>NC_000020.11:25091959-25720162 GCF_000001405.40 Homo sapiens | reverse complement strand
GGAGACACCTCCCAGTAGGGGCCAACTGACACATCATACAGGAGGGTGCCCCTCTGGGATGAAGCTTCCAGAGGAAGGATCAGGCAGCAACATTTGCTGTTCTGCAATATTTGCTGTGCTGCAGCCTCTCCTAGTGATATCCAGGCAAAGAGGGTCTGGAGTGGACCTCCAGCAAACTCCAACAGACCTGCAGCTGAGGGACCTGACTCTTAGAAGGAAAACTGACAAACAGAAAGGAATAGCATCAACATCAACAAAAGGGACATCCACAGCAAAACCCCATCTGTTGGTCACCAGCATCAAAGACCAAAGGTAGATAAAACAAGAAAAATGGGTCTTTGGGATGGATGGAGCCAAGATGACTGAACAGGAACAGCTCTGGTCTACAGCTCCCAACGTGAGCGATGCAGAAGATGGGTGATTTCTGCATTTCCATCTGAGGTACCGGGTTCATCTCACTAGGGAGTGCCAGAGAGTGGGCACAGGACAATGGGTGCAGTGCACCGTGCACGAGCTGAAGCAGGGCGAGGCATTGCCTCACTTGGGAAGCGCAAAGGGTCAAGGAGTTCCCTTTCCTAGTCAAAGAAAGGGGTGACAGATGGCATCTGGAAAATTGGGTCACTCCCACCCTAATGCTGCACTTTTCGGACAGGCTTAAAAAACGGCACAACAGAAGATTATATCCCACACCTGGCTTGGAGGGTCCTATGCCCATGGAGTCTCGCTGATTGCTAGCACAGCAGTCTGAGATCAAACTGCAAGGCGACAGTGAGGCTGGGGGAGGAGCGCCTGCCATTGCCCAGGCTTGCTTAGGCAAACAAAGCAGCCAGGAAACTCGAACTGGGTGGAGCCCACCACAGCTCAAGGAGGCCTGCCTGCCTCTGTAGGCTCCACCTCTGGGGGCAGGGCACAGACAAACAAAAAGACAGCAGGAACCTCTGCAGACTTAAATGTCCCTGTCTGACAGCTTTGAAGAGAGCAGTGGTTCTCCCAGCACACAGCTGGAGATCTGAGAACGGGCAGACTGACTCCTCAAGTGGGTCCCTGAACCCTGACCCCCGAGCAGCCTAACTGGGAGACACCCCCAGTAGGGGCAGACTGACACCTCACACGGCCGGGTACTCCTCTGAGACAAAACTTCCAGAGGAAAGATCAGACAGCAGCATTCACGGTTCACGAAAATCTGCTATTCTGCAGCCACCGCTGCTGGTACCCAGGCAAACAAGGTCTGGAGTGGACTTCTAGCAAACTCCAACAGACCTGCAGCTGAGGGTCCTGTCTGTCAGAAGGAAAACTAACAAACAGAAAGGACATCCACATCAAAAACCCATCTGTACATCACCATCATCAAAGACCAAAAGCAGATAAAACCACAAAGATGGGGAAAAAACAGAGCAGAAAAATTGGAAAAACTGGAAACTCTAAAAAGCAGAGCACCTCTCCTCCTCCAAAGGAATGCAGTTCCTCACCAGCAATGAAACAAAGCTGGACGGAGAATGACTTTGATGAGTTGAGAGAAGAAAGCTTCAGATGACAAAACTACTCTGAGCTACAGGAGGAAATTCAAACCAAAGGCAAAGAAGTTAAAAACTTTGAAAAAAATTAAGACGAATGTATAACTAGAATAACCAATACAGAGAAGTGCTTAAAGGAGCTGAAGATGCTGAAAGCCAAGGCTCAAGAACTACGTGAAGAATGCAGAAGCCTCAGGAGCCGATGCAATCAAATGGAAGAAAGGGTATCAGTGATGGAAGATGAAATGAATGAAATGAAGCGAGAAGGGAAGTTTAGAGAAAAAACAATAAAAAGAAATGAATAAAGCCTCCAAGAAATATGGGACTATGTGAAAAGACCAAATCTACATCTGACTGGTGTACCTGAAAGTGATGGGGAGAATGGAACCAAGTTGGAAAACGCTCTGCAGGATATTATCCAGGAGAACTTACCCAATCTAGCAAGGCAAGCCAGCATTCAGATTCAGGAAATACAGAGAATACCACAAAGATACTCCTCGAGAAGAGCAACTCCAAGACACATAATTGTCAGGTTCACCAAAGTTGAAATGAAGGAAAAAATGTTAAGGGAAGCCAGAGAGAAAGGTCGGGATACCCACAAAGGGAAGCCCATGAGACTAACTGCTGATCCCTTCACAGAAACTCAACAAGCCAGAAGACAGTGAGGGCCAACATTCAACATTCTTAAAGAAAAGAATTTTCAACCCAGAATTTCATATCCAGCCAAACTAAGCTTCATAAGTGAAGGAGAAATAAAATACTTTACAGAAAAGCAAATGTTGAGAGATTTTGTCACCACCAGGCCTGCCCTAAAAGAGCTCCTGAAGGAAGCACTAAACATGGAAAGGAACAACCGGTAACAGCCACTGCAAAATCATGCCAAATTGTAAAGACCATCAAGGCTAGGAAGAAACTGCATTAACTAACGAGCAAAATAACCAGCTAACATCATAATGACAGGATCAAATTCACACAAAGCAATATTAACTTTAAATGTAAATGGAATAAATGCTCCAAATAAAAGACACAGACTGGCAAATTGGATAAAGAGTCAAGACCCATCAGTGTGCTGTATTCATGAAACCCATCTCACGTGCAGAGACACAGATAGGCTCAAAACAAAAGGATGGAGGAAGATCTACCAAGCAAATGGAAAACAAAAAAAGGCAGGGTTGCAATCCTAGTCTCTGATAAAACAGACTTTAAACCAACAAAGAACAAAAGAGACAAAGAAGGCCATTGCATAGTGGTAAAGGGATCAAATCAACAAGAAGAGCTAACTATCCTAAATATATATGCACCCAATACAGGAGCACCCAGATTCATAAAGCAAGTCCTGAGTGACCTACAAAGAGACTTAGACTCCCACACAATAATAATGGGAGACTTTAACACCCCACTGTCAACATTAGACAGATCAACGAGACAGAAAGTTAAGAAGGATACCCAGGAATTGAACTCAGCTCTGCACCAAGCAGACCTAATGGACATCTACAGAACTCTCCACCCCAAATCAACAAAATACACATTTCTTTCAGCACCACACCACACCTATTCCAAAATTGACCACATACTGGGAAGTAAAGCTCTCCTCAGCAAATGTAAAAGAACAGAAATTATAACAAACTGTCTCTCAGACCACAGTGCAATCAAACTAGAACTCACGATTAAGAAACCCACTCAAAACCACTCAACTACATGGAAACTGAACAACCTGCTCCTGAATTACTACTGGGTACATAACAAAATGAAGGCAGAAATAAAGATGTTCTTTGAAACCAACGAGAACAAAGACACAACATACCAGAATCTCTGGGACACATTCAAAGCAGTGTGTAGAGGGAAATTTATAGCACTAAATACCCACAAGAGAAAGCAGGAAAGATCCAAAATTGACACCCTAACATCACAATTAAAAGAACTAGAAAAGCAAGAGCAAACACATTCAAAAGCTAGCAGAAGGCAAGAAATAACTAAAATCAGAGCAGAACTGCAGGAAATAGAGACACAAACAACCCTTCAAAAAATTAATGAATCCAGGAGCTGGTTTTTCGAAAGGATCAACAAAATTGATAGACCACTAGCAAGACTAATAAAGAAGAAAAGAGAGAAGAATCAAATAGACGCAATAAAAAACGATAAAGGGGATATCACCACTGATCCCACAGAAATACAAACTACCATCAGAGAACATTACAAACACCTCTATGAAAATAAACTAGAAAATCTAGAAGAAATGGATATATTCCTCGACACATACACCCTCCGAAGACTAAACCAGGAAGAAATTCAATCTCTGAATAGACCAATAACAGGAGCTGAAATTGTGGCAACAATCAATAGCTTACCAACCTAACAGAGTCCAGGACCAGATGGATTCACAGCTGAATTCTACCAGAGGTACAAGGAGGAACTGGTACCATTCCTTCTGAAACTATTCCAATCAATAGAAAAAGAGGGAATCCTCCCTAACTCATTTTATGAGGCCAGGATCATCCTGATACCAAAGCCGGGCAGAGACACAACCAAAAAAGAGAATTTTAGACCAATATCCTTGATGAACATTGATGCAAAAATCCTCAATAAAATACTGGCAAACCGAACCCAGCAGCACATTAAAAAGCTTATCCACCATGATCAAGTGGGCTTCATCCCTGGGATGCAAGGTTGGTTCAATATACGCAAATCAATAAATGTAATCCAGCATATAAACAGAACCAAAGACAAAAACCACATGATTATCTCAATAGATGCAGTAAAGGCCTTTGACAAAATTCAACAACCCTTCTTGCTAAAAACTCTCAATAAATTAGGTATTGATGGGACGTATCTCAAAATAATAAGAGCTACCTATGACAAACCCACAGCCAATATCATACTCAATGGGCAAAAACTGGAAGCATTCACTTTGAAAACTGGCACAAGACAGGGATGCCCTCTCTCACCACTCCTATTCAACATAGTGTTGGAAGTTCTGGCCAGGGCAATTAGGCAGGAGAAGGAAATAAAGGGTATTCAATTAGGAAAAGAGGAAGCCAAATTGTCCCTGTTTGCAGATGACATGATTGTATATCTAGAAAACCCCATTGTCTCAGCCCAAAATCTCCTCAAGCTGACAGGCAACTTCAGCAAGGTCTCAGGATACAAAATCAATGTACAAAAATCACAAGCATTCTTATACACCAATAACAGACAAACAGCCAAATCATGAGTGAACTCCCATTCACAATTGCTTCAAAGAGAATAAAATACCTAGGAATCCAACTTACAAGGGACGTGAAGGACCTCTTCAAGGAGAACTACAAACCACTGCTCAATGAAATAAACGAGGATACAAACAAATGGAAGAACATTCCATGCTCACGGGTAGGAAGAATCAATATCGTGAAAATGGCCATACTGCCCAAGGTAATTTATAGATTCAATGCCATCCCCATCAAGCTACCAATGACTTTCTTCACAGAATTGGAAAAAACTACTTTAAAGTTCATATGGAACCAAAAAAGAGCCCGCAACGCCAAGTCAGTCCTAAGCCAAAAGAACAAAGCTGGAGGCATCACACTACCTGACTTCACACTATACTACAAGGCTACAGTAACCAAAACAACATGGTACTGGGGTATCAAAACAGAGATATAGATCAATGGAACAGAACAGAGCCCTCAGAAATGACGCCGCATATCTACAACTATCTGATCTTTGACAAACCTGAGAAAAACAAGCCATGGGGAAAGGATTCCCTATTTAATAAATGGTGCTGGGGAAACTGGCTAGCCATATGTAGAAAGCCGAAATTGGATCCCTTCCTTACACCTTATACAAAAATTAATTCAAGATGGATTAAAGACTTAAATGTTAGACTTAAAACCATAAAAACCCTAGAAGAAAACCTAGGCATTACCATTCAGGACATAGGCTTGGGAAAGGACTTCATGTCTAAAACACCAAAAGCAATGGCAACAAAAGACAAAATTGACAAATGGGATATAATTAAACTAAAGAGCTTCTGCACAGCAACAGAAACTACCATCAGAGTGAACAGGCAACCTACAAAATGGGAGAAAATTTTTGCAGCCTACTCATCTGACAAAGGGCTAATATCCAGAATCTACAATGAACTCAATCAAATTTACAAGAAAAAAACAAACAACCCCATCAAAAAGTGGGCGAAGGACATGAACAGACACTTCTCAAAAGAAGACATTTATGCAGCCAAAAAACACATGAAAAAATGCTCACCATCACTGGCCATCAGAGAAATGCAAATCAAAACCACAATGAGATACCATCTCACACCAGTTACAATGGCAATCATTAAAAAGTCAGGAAACAACAGGTGCTGGAGAGGATGTGGAGAAATAAGAACACTTTTACACTGTTGTTGGGACTGTAAACTAGTTCAACCATTGTGGAAGTCAATGTGGCAATTCCTCAGAGATTTAGAACTAGAAATACCATTTGACCCAGCTGTCCCATTACTGGGTATATACCCAAAGGACTATAAATCATGCTGCTATAAAGACACATGCATACGTATGTTTATTGTGGCACTATTCACAATAGCAAAGACTTGGAACCAACCCAAATGTCCAACAATGATAGACTGGATTAAGAAAATGTGGCACATATACACCATGGAATACTATGCAGACATAAAAAATGATGAGTTCATGTCCTTTGTAGGGACATGGATGAAATTGGAAATCATCATTCTCAGTAAACTATCGCAAGAACAAAAAACCAAACACAGCATATTCTCACTCATAGGTGGGAATTGAACAATGAGAACACATGGACACAGGAAGGGGAACATCACACTCTGGGGACTGTTGTGGTGTGGGGGGAGGGGGAAGGGATAGCATTAGGAGATATACCTAATGCTAAATGATGAGTTAATGGGTGCAGCACACCAGCATGGCACATGTATACATATGTTAACTAACCTGCACATTGTGCACATGTACCCTAAAACTTAAGGTATAATAATAATAATTTTAAAAAACCAGAAAGATGGGGAGAAACCATGGCAGAAAAGCTGAAAATTCTAAAAACCAGACCACCTCTTCTCCTCCAAAGGATCGCAGATCCTTACCAGCAACGGAACAAAACTGGATGGAGAATGAATTTGACAAGCTGGCAGAAGTAGACTTCAGAAGGTCGGTAATAACAAACTTCTCCAAGCTAAAGGAGGATGTTGGAACCCATTGCAAGGAAGCTAAAAACATTGAAAAAAAGATTAGATGAATGGCTAACTAGATTAAACAGTGTAGAGAAGACATTAAATGACCTGATAGAGCTGAACACCATGGCACAAGAACTACGTGATGCATGCACAAGCTTCAATAGCCAACTCAATCAAGTGGAAGAAAGGGTATCAGTGATTGAAGATCAAATTAATGAAATAAAGCAAGAGGAGAAGTTTAGAGAAAAAAGTAAAAAGAAACGAACAAAGCCTCCAAGAAATATGGGACTATGTGAAAAGACCAAATCTACGTTAGATTGGTGTATCTGAAAGTGACAGGGATAATGGAACCAAGCTGGAAAACACTCTGCACGATATTATCCAGGAGAACTTCCCCAATCTAGCAAGGCAGGCCGACATTCAAATTCAGGAAATACAGAGAACACGACAGATACTCTTTGAGAACAGCAACCCCAAGATGTATAATTATCAGATTCACCAAGGTTGAAATGAAGGAAAAAATGTTGGGGCAGCCACAGAAAAATGTAGGGTTACCCACAAAAGGAAGCCCATCAGACTAACAGTGGATCTCTCCACAGAAACTCTACAAGCCAGAAGAGAGTGGGGCCAATATTCAACATTCTTAAAGAAAAGAATTTTCAACCCAGAATTTCATATCCAGCCAAACTAAGCTTCATAAGTGAAGGAGAAATAAAATCCTTTACAGCCAAGCAAATGCTGAGAGATTTTGTCACCACCAGGCCTGCCTTACAAGGGCTCCTGAAGGAAGCACGAAACATGGAAAGGAACAAACAGTACCAACCACTGCAAAAACATGCCAAATTGTAAAGACCATTGATACTAGGAAGAAACTGCATCAACTAATGAGCAAAATAACCAGCTAACATCATAATGACATGATCAAATTCACACATAACAATATTAACCTTAAATGTAAATGGACTAAATACTCCAATTAAAAGACACAGACTGGCAAATTGGGTAGAGTCAAGAACCATCAGTGTGCTGTATTCAGGAGACCCATCTCTTGTGCAGAGACACATATAGGCTCAAAATAAAGAGAAGGAGGAAGACCTACCAAGCAAATGGAAAGCAAAAAAACCAGGGGTTGGAATCCTACTCTCTGATAAAACAGACGTTAAACCAACAAAGATCAGAAGAGACACAGAAGGCCATTGACAAAGAAGGCCATTACATAATGATAAAAGGATCAATGCATCAAAAAGAGCTAACTATCCTAAATATATATGCACTCAATACAGGAGCAATCAGATTCATAAAGCAAGTCCTTAGAGACCTAAAAAGAGACTTAGACTCCCACACAATAATAATGGGAGACTTTAACACACCACCATCAGTATTAGATCAATGAGACAGAAGGTTAAGAAGGATATCCAGGACTTGAACTCAGCTCTGCACCAAGCGGACCTAATAGACATCTACAGAACTCTCCACCCCAAATAAACAGAATATACATTCTTCTCAGCACCACATTGCACTTATTCCAAAATTGACCACATAGTTGAAAGTAAAGCACTTCTCAGCAAATGTAAAAGAAAAGAAATCAGAACAAACTGTCTCTAAGACCACAGTGCAATCAAATTAGAGCTCAGCATTAAGAAACTCACTCAAAACTGCACAACTACATGCAAACTGAACAACCTGCTCCTGAATGACTACTGGGTAAATAGCAAAATGAAGGCAGAAATAAAGATGTTCTTTGAAACCAATGAGAACAAGGACACAATGTATCAGAATCTATGGGACACATTCAAAGCAGTGTGTAGAGGGAAATTTATAGCACTAAATGTCCAGAAGAGAAAGCAGGAAAGATCTAAAATCCACACCCTAATGTCAGTATTAAAAGAACTAGAGAAGAAAGAGCAAACAAATTCAAAAGCTAGCAGAAAAGAAATAACTAATATCAGAGCAGAACTGAAAGAGAGACCAAAAAAACAAAAAAAAACAAAAAAAAAACCCTTCAAAAAGTCAATGAATCCAGGAGCTGGTTTTTGAAAAGATCAACAAAACTGGTAGACTGCTAGCAAGACTAATAAAGAAGAAAAGAGAGAAGAATCAAATAGATGCAATAAAAAATGATAAAGGGGATATCACCACCAATACCACAGAAATACAAACTACCATCAGAGAAAACTATAAACACCTCTATGCAAATAAACTAGAAAATGTAGAAGAAATGGATAAATTTCTGAACACATACATCCTCCCACGACTAAACCAGGAAGAAGTTGAATCTCTGAATAGACCAATTAACAGGCTCTAAAATTGAGGCAATAATTAATATCCTACCAACCAAAACAAGTCCAGGACCAGAGGGATTCACAGCCGAATTCTACCACAGGTACAAAAAGGAGCTGGTACCATTCCTTCTGAAACTATTCCAAACAAAAAAAGAGAGAATCCTCCTTAACTCATTATATGAGGCCAGCATCATCCTGATACCAAAGCCTGGCAAAGACACGACAAAAAAAAAGAGAATTTTAGACCAATATCCCTGATGAACACCAATGTGAAAATTCTCAATAAAATACTGGCAAACTGAATCCAGCAGCACATCAAAAAGCTTATCCACCACAATCAGGTCGGCTTCATCCCCAGGATGCGAGGCTGGCTCAACATATGTAAATCAATAAACATAATCCATCACATAAACAGAATCAATGACAAAAACCACACGATTATCTCAATAGATGCAGAAAAGGCCTTCGACAAAATTCAGCAGCCCTTCATGCTAAAAACTCTCAATAAACTAGGTATTGATGGAACGTATCTCAAAATAATAAGAACTATTTATCACAAACCCACAGGCAATATCATACTGAATGGACAAAAACCGGAAGCATTCCCTTTGAAAACTGGCACAAGACAGGGATGCCCTCTCTCACCACTCCTATTCAACATGGTGTTGGAAGTTCTAGCCAGGGCAATCAGGCAGGAGAAAGAAATAAAGGGTATTCAGTTAGGAAAAGAGGAAATCAAATTGTCCCTGTTTGCAGATGACATGATTGTATATTTAGAGAACCCCATTGTCTCAGCCCAAAATCTCCTTAAGCTGATAAGCAACTTCAGCAAAATCTCAGGATACAAAATCAATGTGCAAAAATCACAAGCATTTCTACACACCAATAGCAGACAGAGAGCCAAATCATGAGTGAACTCCCATTCACAGTTGCTACAAAGAGAATAAAATACCTAGGAATCCAACTAACAAGGAATGTGAAGGAACTCTTCAAGGAGAACTACAAACCACTGCTCAAGGAAATAAGAGAGGACACAAACAAATGGAAAAACATTCCATGCTCATGGATAGGAGGAACAGTATTGTGAAAATAACCATACTGCCCAAGGTAATTTATAGATTCAATGCCATCCCCATCAAGCTACCAATGACTTCCTTCATAGAATTGAAAAAACCTACTTTAAAGTTCATATGGAACCAAAAAAGAGCCCAAATTGCCAAGACAATCCTAAGCAAAAAGAACAAAGCTGGAGGCATCATGCTACCTGACTTCAAACTATACTACAAGGCTACAGTAACCAAAACAGCATGTTACTGGTACCAAAACAGAGAGATAGACCAATGGAGCAGAACGGAGGCCTCAGAAATAACACCACACATCTACAACCATCTGATCTTTGATAATCCTGACAAAAACAAGAAATGGGGAAAGAATTCCCTATTTAATAAATGCTGCTGGGAAAGCTGGCTAGCCATATGTAGAAAGCTGAAACTGGATCCCTTCCTTACACCGTATACAAAAATTAATTCAAGATGCACTAAAGATGTAAATGTAAGACCTAAAACCATAAAAACCCTAGAAGAAAACCTAGGCAATACCATTCAGGACACAGGCATGGGCAAGGACTTCATGACTAAAACACCAAAAGCAATGGCAATAAAAGCCAAAATTGACAAATGGGATCTAATGAAACTTAAGAGCTTCTGCACAGCAAAAGAAACTACCATCAGAGTGAACAGGCAGCCTACAGAATTGGAGAAAAATTTTGCAATATAGCCATCTGACAAAGGGCTAATATCCAGAATCTACAAATAACTTAAACAAATTTACAAGAAAAAACCAACCCCATCAAAAAGTGGGCAAAGGATACGAACAGACACTTCTCAAAAGAAGACATTTATGCAGTCAACAGACACATGAAAAAATGCTCATCATCACTGGTCATTACAGAAATGCAAATCAAAACCACAATGAGATACCATCTCACACCAGTTAGAATGGCGATCAATAAAAAGTCAGGAAACAACAGATGCTGCAGAGGATGTGGAGAAATAGAAACGCTTTTACACTGTTGGTAGGAGTGTAAATTAGTTCAACCATTGTGGAAGACAGTGTGGCAATTCCTCAAGGATCTAGAACTAGAAATACCATTTGACCCAGCAATCCTATTACTGAGTATATACTCAAAGGATTATAAATCATTCTTCTATAAAGACACATGCACACCTATGTTTATTGCAGCACTATTCACAATAGCAAAGACTTAGAACCAACCCAAATGCCCATCAACGTTAGACTGGATAAAGAAAATGTGACACATATACACCATGGAATACTATGCAGCAATAAAAAAGGATGAGTTCACGTCCTTTGCAGGAACATGGATGAAGCTGGAAACCATCATTCTCAGCAAACTAACACAGGAACAGAAAACCAAACACCACATGTTCTCACTTAGAAGGTGGAGTTGAACAATGAGAACATATGGGCACAGGGAGAGGAACATCACACACTGAGGCCTGTCAGAGGCTGGGGAGCAAGGGGAGGGATGTCATTAGGAGAAATACCTAATGTCGATGATGGGTTGATGGGTGCAGCAAACCACCATGGCACATGCATACCTATGTAACAAACCTGTACGTTCTGCACATGTATCCCAGAACTTAAAGTAAAATAAAAATAAATAAATAAATAAGAAATTGAAAAAAATTAAGCCAATAAAAAACCCAAAACTTAAAAACTGAGAAATAAATAAATCACAAGGAAATTAAACCATACCACCAGAGAAAACCACTTTTACACAAAGGAAGACAGGAAGTAAGGAAGAAAAGAAGAGAGGATTGATAAAGCAACTAGTAAACAAATAACAAAATGGCAGTATTGAGTTCTTACCTATAAATGCCAATATTGAATGTAAATGGCCTAACTTCTGCAATCAAAAGACATAGAGTCCTTGAGTGGTAATAAAACAACAACCAAATATATGCTCCTACAAGAAACTCACTTTATCTATAAAGGCATGCAAAGACTGGAAATAAAGGGATGGAAAAAGATATTCCATGCAAATGCAAGCAAAAAAAGAACAGGAGTAGCTATATTTGTATCAGAGAAATAAATTTCAAGACATAAATGGCAAAAAAGAGGCAAATAATGTGTTATATAATGATAAAGAGGTCAATTCAGCAAAAGGATATAAAAAATTGTAAATATATGTACAACCCACACCAGTGGACCAAGATCTATAAAGCAAATGTTATTAGAGCTAAAAAGAGAGTGAAACCCTAATAATAACAGCTGGGGACTTTAACACCCCACTTTCATTATTGGACAGACTATTTGACAGAAAATCAACAGAGAACATCAGACTTGATCTACACTATAGAACAAATTAATCTAATAGACATTTAAAGAACATCTCATCTTTAAGCCCAACAGACCTGAAAGGTAAAAACAAACATTTTTTTTAAGAATATGCCATCAAACAGCTGCAGAACACACATTCTTCTCAGTACATGGAATATTCTCCAGGAAAGACCATGTGTTAGGCCACAAAACATGCCTCAAAAAAGTAAAAAATTGAATGGTATGAAGTATCTTTTCTGACCAAAATGGAAAACTGAAAATCAATAACAAGAGAAACTTTGGAAACTACACAAACTTGTGGAAAATACATCACATGCACCTATAAAATGACTTGGTCAATTAAAAAATAAGAAAATTTTAAAATTTTGAAATAATGAAAATGGAAACACAACATCCCAAAACCTAAATAGTAGTACTAAGAAAGCAAAAATAGTAGTACTAAGAAAGAAGTTTATCGCAATAGATGCCTCCATCAAAAAAGCTCTTAAAAACTTTAAACAACCTAATGATGCACCTTAAAAAGACCTAGAAAAGCAAACGCAGACGAAGTCTAAAATTAGAAGAAAAGAAACAATATAGATAAGAGCAGAAATCAGTGATTGAGACAAAAAAAAAAAAGACCAGTGAAACAACAAAAATGGTTTTTTGAAAAGATAAACAGGTTGCTGGCAAGATGGCCAAATAGGAACAGCTCCGAGCGAGATCGACACACAAGGCAGGGTGACTTCTCCATCTCCAACTGAGGTACCCAGTTCATCTCATTGGGACTGCTTGAACAGTGGGTGCAGGCCACGGACGGTGAGGCAAAGCAGGGTGGGGCATCACCTCACCCAGGAAGTGCAAGCATTCAGGGGATTTCCCTCCCCTAGCCAAAGGAAGCCATGAGAGACTATACCAGGAGGAATAGTGCCTCCTGGTTGGCCCAGATACTGTGATTTTTCCATGGTCTTCACAGCCAGAAGACCAGGAGATTCCCTCTAGTGGCTACACCACCAGGACCCTGGGTTTCAAGCATAAAACTGGGCGGCCGTTTGGACAGACACTGAGCTAGCTGCAGGAGCTTTTTTTTTTCATACCCCCGTGGCATCTGGAATGCCAGCGAGACAGAACCGTTCATTCCCCTGGAAAGGGGGCTGAAGCCAGGGAGCCAAGTGGTCTGGCTTGGCGGTCCCACACCCATGGAGCCCAGCAAGCTAAGATCCACTGGCTTGAAATTCTCACTGCCAGCACAGCAGTCTGAGGTCGACCTGGGACACTTGAACTTGGTGGGGATTGGGGCATCCGCCATTGCTGAGGCTTGAGTAGGTGGCTTTACCCTCAGAGTGTAAACAAAGCCATGTGAAGTTCGAATTGTGGGGAGCCCACCACAACTCAGCAAGGTCCCTGTGGCCAGACTGCCTCTCTAGATTCCTCCTCTCTTGTCAGGGCATCTCTGGACAAAAAGGCAGCAGCCCCAGTCAGGGACTTAAAGATAAAACTCCCATCTCCCTGGGACACAGCACTTGGGGGAAGGGTGACTATGGGCACAGCTCTAGCAGACTTAAATGTCCCTGCCTGACAGCTCAGAAGAGAGCAGCAGATCTCCCAGCACAGTGTTCAAGCTCTGATAAGGGACAGACTGCCTCCTCAAGTAGGTACCTGACCCCTGTGTATCCTGACTGGGAGACATCTCCCAGTAGGGACCAACAGACACCCCATACAGGAGACCTCTGGCTGGCATCTGGTAGGTGCCCTCTGGGGCAAACCTTCCAGAGGAATAAACAGGCAGCAATCTTTGCTGTTCTGCAGACTCCACTGCTGATACCCAGACAAACAGGGTCTAGAGTGAACCTCCAGCAAACTCCAGGGAACCTGCAGCAGAGGAGCCTGACTGTTAGAAGAAAAATTAACAAACAGAAAGCAATAGCATCAACATCAACAAAAAGGAAAACCATGCAAAAACTCCATCCAAAGGTCACCAACAGCAAACACCAAAGGTAGATAAATCCATGAAGATGGGGAGAAACCAGTCCAAACAGGCTGAAAATTCCAAAAAACAGAATGCCTCTTTTCCTCCAAAGCATCACAACTCCTCACCAGCAAGGGAACAAAACTGGATGGAGAATGAGTTTGACCAATTGACAAAAAGAGACTTCAGAAGGTGGGTAATAACAAATGCCTCTGAGCTAAAGGAGCATTTCTAACCCAATGCAACGGAGCTAAGAACCTTGAAAAAAGCTTAGACGAGTTACTAACTAGAATAACCAGTTTAGAGAAGAACATAAATGACCTGATGGAGCTGAAAAACAGCATGAGAACTTCATGAAGCATACACAAGTATCAATAGCTGAATTGATCAAGTGGAAGAAAGGATATCAGAGATGGAAGATCAACTCAATGAAATAAAGCGAGAAGACAAGATTAGAGCAAAAAAAGAGTTAAAAGAAATGAATAAAGCCTCAAAGAAATATGGGACTATGTGAAAAGACCAAACAAATCTACATTTGATTGGTGTGCCTGAAAGTGATGGGGAAAATGGAATCAAGTAGGAAAATACTCTTCAGGATATTATCCAGGAGAACTTTCCCCAACCTAACAAGGCAGGCCAACACTCAAATTCAGGAAATATAGACAAACCACAAAGATACTCCTCGAGAAGAACAATCCCAAGACACAAAATCTTCAGATTCACCAAGGTTGAAATGAAGGAAAAAATGTTAAGGGCAGCCAGAGAGAAAGGTCGGGTTACCCACAAAGGGAAGCCCATCAGACTAAAAACAGATCTTCCAGCAGAAACCCTACAAGCCAGAATAGAGTGTGGGCCAATATTTAACATTCTTATAGAAAAGAATTTTCTACCCAGAATTTCATATTGAGCCAAACTAAGCTTCATAAGCAAAGGAGAGCGAAGGAGAAATAAAATCCTTTACAGACAAGCAAATGCTGAGAGATTTTGTCACCACCAGGCCTGCCTTACAAGAGCTCCTGAAGGAAGCACTAAAATGGAAAGGAACAACCAGTACCAGCCACTGCAAAAACATACCATATTGTAAAGACTTTCCATGCTAGGAAGAAACTGCATCAACTAACTGACAAAATAACAGCTAGCATCATAATGACAGGATCAAATTCACACAAAACAATATTATCCTTAAATATAAATGGACTAAATGCCCCCAATTAAAAGACACAGACTGGCAAACTGAATAGTCAAGACCCATCAGTGTGCTGTATTCAGGAGACGCATCTCATGTGCAAAGACTCACATATGCTCAAAATAAAGGGATGGAGGAATATTTACCAAGCAAATGGAAAGGAAAAAAAAAGCAGGGGTTGCAATCCTAGTCTCTGACAAAACAGAGTTTAAACCAACAAAGATCAAAAGAGACAAGGCCATTACGTAATGGTAAAGGGATCAATGCATCAAGAAGAGCTAACTATCCTAAATATATATGCACCCAATACAAGGAGCACCTAGATTCATAAAGCAAGTTCTTAGAGACCTACAAAGAAACTTAGACTCCCACACAATAATACTGGGAGACTTTAACACACCACCATCAATATTAGACAGATCAACAAGACAGAAAATTAACAAGGATATCCAGGACTTGAACTCAGCCCTGGACCAAGTAGAACTAATAGACATCTACAGAACTCTCCACCCCAAATCGGCAGAATATACATTCTTCTCAGCACCACGTCGCACGTACTCTAAGATTGACCACATAATTGGAAGTAAAACACTACTCAGCAAATGCAAAAGAATGGAAATCACAACAAACTGTCTCTCAGATCACAGTGCAATCAAATTAGAACTCAGGAATAAGAAACTCCCTCAAAACTACACAACTACATGGAAACTGAACAACTGGCTCCTGAATGACTACTGGGTAAATAACGAAATTAAGGCAGGAATAAAGATGTTCTTTGAAACCAATAAGAACAAAGACACAACGTACCAGAAGCCCTGGGACACATTTAAAGCAGGGTATACAGGGAAATTTATAGCACTGAATGCCCACGAGAGAAAGCAAGAAAGATCTAAAATTGACACCCTAGCATCACAACTAAAAGAACTAGAACAGCAAGAGCAAACAAATTCAAAAGCTAGCAGAAGGCAAAAAATAACTAAGATCAGAGCAGAACGGAAGGAAATAGAAACACAAAAAAAACCTTCCAAAAAATCAATGAATCCAGGACCTGGCTTTTTGAAAAGTTCAAGAAGATAGACCGCTAGCCAGACTAATAAAGAAGAAAAGAGAGAAGAATCAAATAGATGCAATAAAAAATGATAAAGAGGATATCACTACTGATCCCACAGAAATACAAACTATCATCAGAGAATACTATAAACACCTCTATGCAAATAAACTAGAAAATCTAGAAAAAATGGATAAATTCCTGGACATATACACTCTCCCAAGACTAAACCAGGAAGAAGTCAAATCCCTGAATAAACCAATAACAACTTCTGAAATTGAGGCAGTAACTAATAGCCTACAAACCTAAAAAAGTCCAGGACCAGATGGATTCACACCCAAATTCTATGAGAGGTACAAAGAGGACCTGGTACCATTCCTTCTGAAACTATTGCAAACAATAGAAAAAGAGGGAATCCTCCCTAACTCATTTTATGAGGCCAGCATCATCCTCACACCAAAACCTGGCAGAGGCACAACAAAAAAAGAAAATTTCAGGCCAATATCCCTGATTAACATCAGTGTGAAAATCCCCAATAAAATACGGGCAAACCAAATCCAGCAGGACATTAAAAAACTTATCCACCACGATCAAGTCAGCTTCATCCCTGGCATACAAGGCTGGTTCAACATATGCAAATCAATAAACGTAATCCATCACATAAACAGAACCAATGACAAAAACCACACGATTATCTCAATAGATGCAGAAAAGACTTTCAACAAAATTCAACAGTCCTTCATGCTAAAAACTCTCAGTAAACTAGGTATTGACTGAATGTATCTCAAAATAATAAGAACTATTTATCACAAACCCACAGCCAATATCATACTGAATGGGCAAAAGCTGGAAGCCTTCCCTTTGAAAACTGGCACAAGACAAGGATGCCCTCTCTTACCACTCCTATTAAACACAGTATTTGAATTTCTGGCCAGGGCAATCAGGCAGGAGAAAGAAATAAAGGGTATTCAGTTAGGAAAAAAGGAAGTAAAATTGTCTCTGTTTGCAGATGACATGATTGCATATTTAGAAAACCCCATCATCTCAGCCCAAAATCTCCTTAAGCTGATAAGCAACTTCAGCAAAGTCTCAAGATACAAAATCAGTGTGCAAAAATCACAAGCATTCCTTTACGCCAGTAACAGATAGCCAAATCATGAGTGAACTACCATTCTCAGTTGCTACAAAGAGAATTAAATACCTAGGAATACAACTTACAAGGGATGTAAAGGACCTCTTAAAGGAGAACTACAAACCACTGCTCAAGGAAATAAGAGAGGACAAAAGCAAACAGAAAAACATTCCATGCTTATGGATAGGAAGGATCAGTATCATGAAAATGGCCACACTGCCCAAAGTAATTTATAGATTCAATGCTATCCACATCAAGCTACCACTGATTTCTTCACAGAATTGGAAAAAAACTACTTTAAATTTCATATGGAACCAAAAAAGAGCCCGTATAGCCAAGACAATCCTAAGAAAAAAGGACAAAGGCATCACCCTATCTGACTTCAAAGTATACTACAATGCTGCGGTAACAAAAACAGCATGGTACTGATACCAAAACAGAGAGATAGACCAATGGAACAGAACAGAGGCCTCAGAAATAACACCACACATCTACAACCATCTGATCTTTGATAATCCTGACAAAAACAAGCAATGTAGAAAGAATTCCATATTTAATAAATGGTGTTGGGAAAACTGGCTATCCATATGCAGAAAGCTAAAACTGAATCCCTTCCTTACACCTTATACAAAAATTAACTCAGGTTGAATTAAAGACTTAAACGTAAGACATAAAACCATAAAAACCCTAGAAGGAAACCTAGGTAATACCATTCGGGACATAGGCATGGGCAAAGACTTCATGACTAAAACACCAAAAGCAATGGCAACAAAAGCCAAAATTGACAAATAGGATCTAATTAAACTAAAGAGCTTCTGCACAGCAAAATAAACTATCATTAGAGTGAACAGGCAACCTACAGAATGGGAGAAAATTTTTGCAATCTATCCATATGACAAAGGGCTAATATGCAGAATCTACAAAGAAGGTAAACAAATTTACAAAAAATAAAAATAAAAAAAATTGGGTGAAGGATATGAACAGAAACTTCTCAAAAGAAGACATTTATGCAGCCAACAGACACATGAAAAAATGCTCATCATCACTGGTTATTAGAGAAATGAAAATCAAAACCACAATGAGATACCATCTCATGCCATTTAGAATGGTGATCATTAAAAAGTCAGGAAACAACAGATACTGGAGAGGACGTGGAGAAATAGGAACACTTTTACACTGATGGTGGGAGTGTAAATTAGTTCAACCATTGTGGAAGACATTGTGGCAATTCCTCAAGGATCTAGAACTAGAAATACCATTTGATCCAGCAATCCCATTACTGGGTATATACCCAAAGGATTATAAATCATTCTACTATAAAGACACATGCACTTGTATGTTTACTGCAGCAATGTTCACAATAGCAAAGACTTGGAACCAAACCAAATGCCCATCAATGTTAGACTGGATAAAGAAAATGTGGCATATATATACCATGGAATACTATGCAGCAATAAAAAAGGATGAGCTCATGTCCTTTGCAGGGACATGGATGAAGCTGGAAACCATCATTCTCAGCAAACTAACACAAGGACAGAAAACCAAACACCACATGTTCTCACTCATAAGTGGGAGTTGAGCAATGAGAACACATGGACACAGGGAGAGGAACATCACACACTGGGGCCTGTCGGACCGTGGGGGTCTGGGGGAGAGATAGCATTAGGAGAAATACCTAATGTAGATGCTGGGTTTATGGCTGCAGCAAACCAGCATGGCATGTGTATACTTATGTAACAAACCTGAACGTTCTGCACATGTACCCCAGAACTTAAAGTATAATTTTAAAAAAGGTAAAATTCACAAACCTTTAGCCAGACTAAGAAAAAACAGAAGACCAAAACAAATAAAATCAGAAATGAAAAAGGAGACATTACAATTGATACCATAGAAATTTAAAGGATCATTAGAAATGATTATGAGCTACTATATGCTATTAATTTGGAAAATCTAGGAGAAACTGATACATTCCTAGATACATAAAACCTAAGATTGAACCATGAAAATATCCAAAACATGAGTAGACTAATAACAAATGAGATAGAAGCAGTATTAAAAAGTATCCCATCAAAGAAAAGCCCAGGACCTGACGGTTTCATTGCTGAATTCTACCAAACATTTTATAAAGAACTAGTATCAATCTATGCAAACTATTTAAAAAAAAGAAAGAAAGAAGGATCACTTCCAAACTCATCCTATAAGGTCAGTATTATCCTAACACCAAAACCATACAAAGATGTACAAAAAAAGAAAACTATAAGGCAATATCTCCAATAAACAGAGACACAAAAATCCTTAACAAAATGCTTGCAAACCAAATTCAACAACACATTAAAGTGATTACTCATCATGACCAAGTGGAATTCATCCCAGGAATGCAAGGATGGCTCAATATATGTAATTCAATAAATGTGATATATCATATCAAAAAAACAAAAGACAAAAACCATATGATCATCTCAATGGATACCAAAAAAGCATTTGTAAAATTCAACATCCCTTCATAATAAACACTCAAAAAAAAAAAAAACTCGGTGTAAAAGGAATATACCTCAATATTATAAAAACCATATGTGACAAACCCACAGCTAGTATCATACTGAAAAATTGAAAGCCTTTCCTGTAAGATCTGGAAGAAGACAAAGATTCCCACATTCCACACTTTTATTCAACGTAGTACTAGGAAATCTTAGCTAGAGCAATTACTGAAGACAAAGAAATAAAAGGTATTCAAATTAGAAAGGAAGAAGTGAAGTTATCCTTGTTTGCAGATGATATGATCCTATATTTAGTTAAACCTAAAGACTTCAGCCAAAAAACATTAGAATTGATTAAGAAATTCAGTAAAGTTTCAGGATACAAAATCAACATACAAAAATGGGTGGCATTTCTATATGCCAACAACAAACAATCTGAAAAAGAAATCAAGAAAGTAACCTGTTTATAAAAGTTACAAATAAAATAAAATAGCTAGGAATAAAATCAACCAAAGATGTGAACGATCTCTACAACAAAAACTATAAAACATTGATGAGAGAAATTGAAAAGGATACAAAAAATGGAAAGATAGTCCGTGTTTTTGGACTAGAAGAATTAATCTTATTAAAATGTCCATTCCACCTTGTCTACAGATTCAATGCAATCCCAATCAAAATATCAATGACATTCTTCACAGAAATAGATAAATTAATCCTAAAATTTATATGGGACCATGAAAGATCCAAAATAGCCAAAGCCATCCTGAACAAAAGTAATAAAGCTGGAGGAATCACATTACCTGACTTCAAATTATGCAAACTATAGTAATCCACACAGCAAAATGCTGGCATAAAAACAGGCACACAGACCAATGGAACAGAGTGGAGAGCCCAGAAATAAATCCACACATTTATAGTTCAACTTATATCCCACAAAGGTGCAAAGAACTTACATTGGGGAAAGACAGTCATTTCAATAAATGGCACTGCAAAAACTGGATATCCATTTGCAGAAGAATGAAATCTAAAGCAATCCCCTCACCACATATAAAAATCAAATCAAAATGGATTAAAGGTAAATCTAAGACCTGAAACTATAAAACTACTAGAAAAAAACATTGGGGAAACACTCCAGGACATTGGTGTGGACAAAGATTTCTTGAGTAAGACTGCAAAAGCACAAGCACCTAAAGCAAAAGTGGACAAATGAGACCACATCACATAAAAATCTTCTGCAAGCAAAGGAAACAATCAACAAAGTGAAGTGACAATCCACAGAATGGGAGAAAAAATTTGCAAACTATCCATCTGAAAAGAAAGTAATTGCCAGAATATATATAAGGAGCTAAAACAACTCAATAGGAAAAAGACAATCTGATATTTTAAATGGAGAAAAGATCTGAATAGGCATCTCTCAAAATAAGATATATGAACGGCCAACAAGTGTATGAAAAAAAATGCTCAATGCCACTAATCATCAGAGAAATGTAAATCAAAACCGCAATGAGATATAATGTCACCCCAGTCAAGATAGCTTTTATTCAAGAGACAGGCAATAGTGAATACTGGTGAGGGTGTGGATACACCCTCATACACTGTTGTTAGGAATGTAAATTAGTACAACCACTATGGAGAGCAGTATGGAGGTTCCTCAAAAGAATTAATAAATATATACATGATCCCGCAATCCCACTGCTGAGTATATATCCAAAAGAAAGGAAATCAGTATTTCAAGGATATATCTGCACTCTCATGTTTACTACAGCACTATCCAAAATAGTAAAGATATAGAATCAAAGTGTCTATCAACAGATGAATGGATAAGGAAAGTGTGGTACATTAACACAATGGGATATTAGCCAGTCATTAAAAGAATGAAATTCTGTCATTTTCAATAGCATGTATGAAAATGGAGGACATTATGTTAAGCGAAATGAGGCACAGCATGACAAATATCACATGTGCTCACTCATTTGTGGGGCTAAAAACGTGAACTCATGGAGATGGAGAGTAGAATGAGATAGTTAACAGAGGCTGGGAAGGATGGTGGGTAGAGGAGATAAAGAGGGACTTGTTAATCGATACAAAAATACAGTTAGAATGAATAAGATCTAGTAGTTGGTAGCACTATACAGTGACTATAGTTAAGAACAATTTTACTATATATTTAAAAATAAGAGAGAATTGGAAACTTCCTAAAACAAAGAAATGCTAAATGCTTGAGGGGATGGATACCCCAATCACCCTCATTTGACCATTAAACACTGTATGCCTGTATCAAAACATAACATGTACCCTATAAATATGTACAACTAATATTTATCCAGAATAATTAAAAATTTAAAAACCAAAAGAGAAAAAGCAAACAGCAAGTATACCTAGTAAAGGCCTGAAATATAAAGTCTACGTGGTTTGGCAAGCCACAAAAGATATCAGCATATTATACACCCTACATAATGAAAGAATTCTGGCATTGATGCATAATTAGATAAATGGGGGAACAATTAGAAATTGAAATGCAAATGTAAATTGAGTATACTGAATTATGTAGCTGAAACCTTAAATTATTTGGTAAAAGACTATATTTTTAATAAATTTAATGGGAAATTAATAAAATATTAGAAAATTTTAAAAATAATTGTATATTTACAGTGTGTACCTGGAGAAAAATTAAACCATTGAGAGATCTAAATGTGAATGATAAAACCACAAAATCCGTAGGAAAATCAGAGATCAAAAGTACTACATAGCAAAAAAAAGAAACAAAAGAAAAAAAAAAGACATACCCATAATCAAAAGACAGTGGGAAAATTATTTACCTATATCATAGAAATGGGAAAATATGCTTAATGTATGTATAGGGCTACCTAAATAAAAGAAATCGCCGGTTCTGAAAGGATCCCTCCACGTCCAAACGACCATAGGCTCGCCCCACCTGTCAGAGAGGAGTCCTTCCGAGAAGTCCTTCCAAGGATTCCGGGTCGCGCAGTCCCGGGTGGACCGCTATGACCAATATTCTGGGGCGTGTACCTGGACGACTCCCGAGGACTCTGGGGAGTGTAGTCCACCGAGGGGATGCGACGCGCAGGGTCGCATAGCCTCCGGGCCGCGCCGAGGATGCTGGGTAGCGTAGTCCCGGCCGCGCTGAGGATTCTGGGTAGTGTAGTCCCGGGCGGCGCAGAGCGTTCCAGATCCCTGGGCGTCAGCGAGCCGTGAGATGCGTGGTCCACCATCGGTGACCTCACCGCCTCGGTTCGCCCTCAGCCGCCCCGGTGAGCTGCGCTCCTGCGGGTCCCTCTCTGCAGCGCGCCCTTCCGGCGCAGGAAGAAGGGCCGGGAAGGCCTGGGACGTGAGGGCGCTGCTGGGGCCGTAGCGCGCGCTCCTCCAGGCCCGGCGTCTCCGCGTTCTGGGGAGGGGCGGAGACCCAGGCCGCGCCTTGAAGTGGGCGGTGGGGCTGCGGCTTGCCGAGCGCCCCGGGTCTGGGCCGCCACTCAGTCTCCGTTCCCGGTTGCGTGTAGTGGCGGCTCGGGCGGTGAACAGCCCGGATTTCACAGGGGCGCCGAGCAACCCAGGTCCTCTTGTGCCAGGGTCGCCGCTCCTCGGGTGGGGACGGGCCAGCGGCCTAGCGAGCTGCCACGGGGGTCTTTTGGCCGGAGGTGGAGGGGGACTCGGCCACAGCCAGGGTCCACTGGTGGGGTGGGGGTTACAGCCATGAGACGGATGGGCTAGGTCCGACTCGGGTTCCCTCCGACTCTGATGCTCCAGACTTTATTGTGGGAGGCGGGACAGGGGAGGACTTCGCCCGCGTGTTTTGGGGAAGGGCCGCTGCTTTGGGTTGGGAGCACCCCGCCTTGGGACGATCTTCCGCGGATAGGAGTGTAGGCCGGGACCAAATGTCCTCGCACGGGCACGTCTAGACGTGTTTTGGTGGGGGGGGGGGGGGATCTGCGTGGGGCAGCGTCCGCGGGAGGTGAGGTGGCTGTGGGGACCCAGGTGGCCTCTTCCCTGGGGCCTTGCTAATGACGGCAAAATCCGGGTTCTGCCAAAATATATTTAAAAAGGTTTATTCCTAGTCAGTATGAGTGACTGTGGCCCAGGTTATTCAGCCTCAAGAGGTCCTGTGAAAGTGCCCGAGATGGTCAGGCTTGCAGGTTAATTTTATACAATTCAGGGAGACAGGAATTTCAGGTAAAGTCATAAATCAGGCTGAGCAGTGTGGCTCATGCCTGTAGTCCCAGCACTTTGGGAGGCCAGGAGTTCCAGAGCAGCCTGGGCAGCACAGCAAGACCCTGTCTCTACATGAAATTAGAAAAATAAAAAAATTAGCGGGGCGTGGTGTCCCATGCCTGTGGCCTCAGCTACTTGGGAGGCCCAGTCAGTTGAGTCCAGGAGGTGGAGGCTGTAACCAGCTATGTTGGCTGCACTGCACGCTAGCCTGGGTAACACAGCGAGATCCTGCCTCCAAAAAGAAAATCATAAATCAATAAGAGAAAGATATACACGGGTTCCTCCCAAAAAGCTGGTATATCTCCAAAGGGTTTACACCTCATGGGGGCACTTAGGGATTCTTTAGTGGACAGTTGGTTGAGAGACTTAAGCTACTGCCTGAAGACTGGAATCAGAAGCATGCCAGAGTTAAGGGGATTGCGTAGATCAAAGTTCTTATTATGTAGATGAAGCCTCTTAGTTGGCAACTCTCAGAATAGATGGTAAATGTCTGTTTTCAGTTTTTTGGGTTTTTGTGTTTTTGTTTTTGTTTTTAGAGAGAGTCTTGCTCTGTCGCCCAGGCTAGAGTGCAGTGGCGTGATCTCAGCTCACTGCAACCTCCACCTCCCAGGTTTGAGCAGTTCTCCTGCCTCAGCCTCCTGAGTAGCTGGGACTACAGGCGCCCGCCACCACGCCTGGCTAATTTTTGTATTTTTAGTAGAGATGGGGTTTCACCATGTTGCTGAGGCTGGTCTTGACTTCCTGACCTCAGGTGATCCACCCACCTCTACCTCCCAAAGTGCTGGGATTACAGGCGTGAGCCACCGCGCGTCAGGCTGGCTGTCTCTTCCAGACCTAAGAAAGGCTTAGAACAAAGGAGGTCTGGCTACATTAATGGAGATTCGCTGCAGATGCAAATTTTCCCACTAAAGATAGCTTTGCGGGGCTATCCATTTCAATCTGTTGCCCCTGTGGCAGCCACTTCAAAACATGTCAAAGAAGTATATTTTGGGGTAAAATAATTTCCTTCAGCATCTGCTGTCATGTGATGCTGTACCAGAGTCAGGTTGGAAAGTGAGCCTCATTATATAAGAGTAATAAAACTCATCTGATGAGATTTTATGGTTTCTCGGGCAGGATTCCCCAAGCCTCATACATAGGCATTTGGGCAAGGGAAAAAAGGTGAATTTAGTCCTCACCAGGTTGGTAGGGCTTCCTCGGTTATTGGAGTGGGAGTAACAGCAACCATTGGGCCCAGCAGTTTTTTTAAATGTCTCTGGGGCTGTGGACTGACCATCCAAATAACTGATTTTAATCATTTCATTATGGAAAAATTGTCAGCAGAACCCCCAAGTAGAGAGACCCATCAGTCAAGATATACCTCATGACCTTGCAAGCTAATCTAGCTTGACCCAGATCCCCTCCTAATCTGTGCAGATTCATTGAGGAATGTCATAGCCATGCCTACTGGTTAAGACATAGTCCTTTACAGTGAGAGTTGAAACCCAAGCTCTATCACTTTCTTGGCTGTGTTGCTTTGAGAAAGGCATTTAAATGTTTTGTGCCTGTTTCCTCATCTGAAATTGGTGGGTAATAGTCACTTCATAGGACAGTTGTGAAGATTGAATGCAGAAAAATTTGTGCCACGCCTGGAACCGTCCCTGGCATATATTAAATTCTAAAAAAGTGTTAAATATTATAATGAATATCAACACTTCCTTATTCTGGAAGCACCGACAGGATATGCTGTGTTTAGTGTTAGCATCATGTCAGGACAGGGTCTGTTGCGATGCCCACACTCAGGATCTGTTCCCAGGAACCTGCGTAAAGTTTTCTTCTCTGGAAGACTTTGGGTCCTTTTTTTTTAACAAGAAGAGGCTCTACCCTGGGACTGGGAATTTCCAAGGCCACCTTTGAGGATCGCAGAGCTCATTTTAGAGCCATTTTAGTCCCCAGCTCCTCTTCCTCCACTCCCACGTTACCCGTGAGAGGACTGTCTGCAGGGTAAGGGAGGACAGCCCAACCCCAGGTGGGGACTTCTTATGTATTGCCTTCCTGCAGTGCCTTCTCTGCCCTAAACCATGGTGGGTTTCCTTTGCTAATGTCTGACATCTTGTGCCCTACACTGTCCCATCTGAGGCTCAGAACCTCTCAGCCGGTTCTCATGGGGAACGTTCCCCAGATCTGATGCCCTCATTCAGGACACTTCCATCATTGTCCCTACATTTCTTCTCTCAGTGCTTTATTCAGGCTGCTGCATTCGTGGTGCAGACCAGGTCTTGTAAAAAATTATTCAGTCAGCATGTGCTGAGCCATTGTCCTGTCCCAGGGACAGGGCTTTATAGTCATTGCCCTATTCATCTCTTCAACCAATGTGGAAGTTAGGAATTGGAATCCCCATTTCACAGACTAAGAAGTGGCGTGTTAATCAGTTGAAATAATTTTTACGGCTTGGCGTGGTGGCCCATACCTGTAATCCCAGCACTTTGGGAGGCCAAGGCGGGCAGATTACCTGAGGCCAGGAGTTCGAGACCAGCCTGGCCAACATGGTGAAACCTCATCTCTACTAAAAATACAGAAATTAGCCAGGCATGGTGGCTCACGCCTGTAATCCCAACTACTCTGGAGCCTGAAGCAAGATAATCGCTTGAATCCAGGAGATGGAGGTTGCAGTGAGCAGAGAACATGCCACTGCACTACAGCCTGGGGGACAGTGAGACTCTGTCTCAAAAAATAATAATTTTTACTTTATGTAACATATCTGGGATCAAGTGGACTGGGTTGTGGAGCAAGCTGGGATTTTGGGGGTTTCTGTTAAGAATTAGCTTCATTGAGGTATAATTGAGACAATAAAATTATCTCCCATTTTAAGTTCTAGTTGATGAGTTTTGAGAAATGTATATAGTGAAGTCTTGATCATCAAATCAACATATGAACATTTTTCATCTCCCAAAAATGTAGGAGCTGTTTTTTTATCTTAGGAGAATTTTAATGAAATATACGTGGAGGAGCTAAATGTTTCAAGTTTGCCTCATATTCATATCTAATTTATTGGTAACTAATTTAAACCACTTTCTTACGGCTCTCAGTTTCTGTTCCTACAGGATATTAACTCCCACAGATGGCAACAGATGGCAGGAGTGAGACCAAACAGTTTGCAGTGTTCTCCATTCACACCCTGGAAATGAAAGTTTTCTCTATTTTTCCTCTCCAAATTATCTTGGAAGGGATATTCAATTTTTTTCAAATTTACTATGAAAAATATTGAAGTAGGAACTAAAGTAGAGAGAATATATAACAGATCTCTCTGTTCCCTTGTTGCACCTTAACACTTTGCTCTTCTTATTTCATCCAACCCCCTCCCCACCCCATGCTTTCTGTTTTCAGGCTAGAGCATCTTGAAGCCAATCCAAGACACCATTTTATCTGTAAATTTACTGCAGCTACTTCTCTGAGGACTATTTTTGTTGTTACTGTCTTGCCTTTTAACGTAACTAGAGTACCAGAATCATACTCAACAAAATTAGCAATGTATTAATTTCACTCATTACCCAGTTTATGCAGAAATTTTCCAGGTCTCAAAAATTTCTCCTTACAATTCAGATTTCACACTCAGGTTCATTAAGATGGGAAGCATGAGAGAAGAAATATCTAGAAACCAGCTCAGTAGTGCCCCTTGTCTGTTTTACTTCTCTCGTTGTGATCTAGGTAAAGGAAGTTTCCCTACCTTGGCAAACTTCCCATTTGCTTGCTTAGGTGCTGAGGCTTGTTCATTCTTTCCTTGCCATAGCTTTTTCCTTCCCTTCCTTCCTTCTGCCTGCCAGGCTCATCTCCTAATTCTACTTCTACCCATAAGGACAAATAATGATCACACCACTTACCTAATTGCCTGGCCCTAGTTCTGGTCCCAACTATAATCAGAAATGTGGATTCTGGAATGGCAGTGAGGAGCGACGTGGACTGTATCTCCAGTAAAACACCATAACTGGTAATTTAGAAAACCAAAAACAACCATTTAAACTACACGGAATTTGTCTTAAGACCACTCAGGAATTTAGAGAAACATTTATTCAGAAAAATCAACTGAGCCTTTCTGAGAACAGTGAGAGTCTGTAACATTTGACACACAAACTGCTACCCTCCCCACCCCCATTTTGGTCCACTCTGAGAGAAACTCCACTGTGGGCTGTGAAAATCACAAGATGGAACCCTGTCCCTCTCCAGTTCTCAGTCTATGGTGACAGCTTTTCCCTGAGAGAGGCACGATGCCACTATTCTTAACTTCTCTCCCCCTGCCAGTCCTGTGTTCCTGAAGCTGGTTTCATGTAAGTATAGTTGAGAAGTGTGTTTGGGTGTGGACCTCCTTGAATTTATTCTTGGAGTTTGTTGAGTGTGCTGGCCTTGTAGATTCATGTCTGTCTTCAAATTTTGAAGTTTTGGCCATTATTTCTTCAGTAATCTATCAGCATCTTCTAGACACCCATATATATGTCCAGTTAATGGCACCTTATAACTCTTTTGGCTCTGTTTATTTCATTCTTTTCTCTTCTGCTTCTCTGTCTCTGAAATTTCAAATTCTTCTCTTTATGTTTACTGATTATTTCTTCTGCCTGCTCATCTGCCGTTAAATCCCTCTACTGAATTTTTCAATTACTGTGTTTTCGGGTCCAGAATTTTTGTTTGCTTCCTTTTTGTAATCTCTGTTGGTATTTTGTTCATATATATTTTCCTGATTTCCTTTTCTCTACCCGTGTTTCATGAGTTTTTGAGAATATTTTAGACAGTCTAAAATCTGTCTAGTTTGCCTGAAGCTTATGTTTCTCCGGGGAAGGTTTCCGTCACTTTATTTTCTTCCACTTATTGGGCCATGTTTTCTGAGTTTTTGTTGTTGTTGTTAGAAATTAGGCATTGTGGAAAAAACAACCTCCTTTTCCGGTTTTTGCAGACTGACTCTTTTCCAGGGAGGATTTTTGCTATTATCTTGGTATTCGTTCTAAGCTTTGGGATCAATCTGAGGAGAAGGTTTAAGATTTTCTCAGGCCTTTTTGGAGCATGGATCTTACCTTTGCTTGTGGCTTTTTCCATTTTCTCATAGGCAACTGCTTTTAAATATTTATTTGTCCCAAGAGTCTCTCCTCTGGGCCTTTGATGGTCTGTTGTATGTCTCCACCCATAATATCTTGCCCCAGGCATCTGCTCTTCAATCTGTCTGCATCTTTGCCAAGCATGATCCAGTGCTTTTCTTCCCTAAGGTGTGAGATCCTCAAAACAGAGCAGTCCCTCAGGCAGCCTCCAACAGCTTAGAACCTTGTAAGAAAGGTCTACTGTGCTTTCTCAGGTTTGAGGGAAGGAAGTGGAAACTGAGATGCTGCTTTAGAAGCTCTGTTGTATTCTGCACCTGTAATTTTTTGCCCCAGGGATCTATAGGCAAGTTCACCATGAGATTTTTCCATTAGACAACACTTGGACAGGATAGAACATTGGGAATAAGGTGTATTGGGCTGCAAATATGACTGTCTCCTGTTTTGTTTTTGTTGTTGTTGTTGTTTTGTTTTCTTGAGACTATGTCTTGCTCTGTTGCCCAAGCTGGAGTGGAGTGGCATATTCAAGGCTCATTGCTGCCTCAACCTCTTGGGCTCAAGCCAGGAGTAGCTAGGACTACAGGCACGTGCCACCACATCCAGCTAATGTTTATATTTTTTGTAGAGATGAGCCTTTGCCATGTTGCCCAAACTGGTCCCGAACTCCTGGGATCAAGCGATCCACATGCATCAGCCTCCCAAAGTGCTGGGATTACAGGAATAAGCCACTGTGCCCAGCCAGCTGCCTTCTGTTTTTAATGTGGCTTTTTCTTGATTGGGCAGTTTCTTGAATGCTGGGGACTTTTGAGTATTTTCAAATGAAGTTAGCTCCTATAAGATTATTTTAGCCAATTTTTTGGTAAGCATAGAATTAGCAATATGATTAATGCTTTTTCTGTAAACTAGTGTTATGAAAAATCTCAAATGGGTAGCAAAATTGGGAGATGGTAATAGGAATCCCCATGTTGCCTTCATCCAGATTTGATCATTTTAAAACCATGGGTAGTTCTGTTAGATTTATCCCTTCCCCCTGTTTATGTGCCAAAGTATTTCAAACAAATCCAGATGTCTTGTTATTTTACCCATATATACTTGATCTCTGAGAGGATTTTTAATCAGTGTTGAGGTGTAACTTGCATACCGTAAGAAGCACTGCTTTTAACTGTATAATGAGTTTTGACTCTTTAAAGTATACACAGGTCACTTATCACCTCAATCAAGATACAGAACATTTCAACAAGAGTTCTCATGTGCCCTTACATGTAATCATTCCAGAGGAAAATAGTCAAGAATTCTCACCAAAATATGGACAAGTAGTATCCAGCAATACATGAAAAGGATGATATATTCTAGCCAAATAGAGTTTGTTCCCAAAAAACCGAGGATAGAGTGAACATAGAGTAAGCAACCTGTGGAGATATTTAACTTTTTTTTTTTCTTGATGCGGAGTCTTGCTCTGTTGCCCAGGCTGGAGTGCAGTGGCACGGTCTCCGCTCACTGCAAGCTCTGCCTCCCACGTTCACACCATTCTCCTGCCTCAGACTCCTGAGTAGCTGGGACTACAGGCGCTCGCCACCACACCCGACTAATTTTTTTTTTTTTTTTTTTTGTGACGGAGTCTCACTCTTGCTCAGGCTGGAGCGCAGTGGCGCGATCTCGGCTCACTGCAAGCTCTGCCTCCCGGGTTCACGCCATTCTCCTGCCTCAGCCTCCCGAGTAGCTGGGACTACAGGCGCCGCCACCACTCCCGGCTATTTTTTGTATTTTTTTGTATTTTCAGTAGAGACGGGTTTCACGGTGTTAGCCAGGACGGTCTCAATCTCCTGACCACGAGGAGGAGGCCCGCCTCAGCCTCCCAAAGTGCTAGGATTACAGGCGTGAGCCACCGCGCCCGGCAGAGATACTTACCCTTACTTAACCTATCTGTAGTTCTCCGCTTAGGAACAAAAGGAAAGGTAGCTTCTTGGATGAATCAGCTTTCAGCTTAATATTTTTCTTTTGGCAGAGTGGTTTGGGTTCCAACGTTTTTATTTTCCTTTCACTGCTTTCAGGGAGCAAAAGAGAAAAACCTACATTACTATCTTAATGCAGAAAAATACTTGATAACATTTCACACCTATTCAGGGTAAAAATTCTCAGTAAATGAGGAATAGAAAGAATTTCCCTTAATGAAACAAAGGTTATGTGTGACAGCCTGGCTGCAATCATCATATTTAATGGTGAAGTGTGTTCACACTAAGATCAGGAACAAGCATTAATGTTGATTCTTATCACTCTTATTTAGCATTATCCTAGAATAACTAGCTAACCTGTTAAGGTATTAAAAAGGAATAAAAGGCATAAACGTTGAAACAGAAAAAAAAATTTTTTATTCACAGAAGATGTGAGTATGTACATGGAAGAATAGTTAAACAACTAGATACTAGTAACACACAGTTTAGGAACTTCAGAAAATAAGGTCAGTATTTTTAAAAAGCACTTGTATTTCTGTAACCTAGCAGCAAACAGTTAAAAAATGAAATACATATTTATACTACCATCAAAAACAACATATTTAAACTTCTAAGAGTAAATGTAGGGGAATATCTTTGTGACTTTGGAATAGGTAAAGATAGCACAGATGGGACATGAAAGGTAAACTATTTATGTAAGTATATAGAAAGAAATAACAAAAATGTTTTAAATCACCTTTCAACTGCCGTCAGAGGAAGAAATTTCACTGTTTTTCTTCTCCAACTACATGTAAACCAAAAAGTATCAGAGTCAAGTACCAATTTAGATGTTTATTTTGCCACAGTTGAGGACATGCCACAGAAAGAGGCCAGTGGCTTTCCCCAAAGATGAGTTTGAGAGCCTCATTGTTTAAAAAGGAAAAGTAGGCTGGAGGGGAAAGAGGAAAGGTGTGGTAATCCACCTGTGACAAGAGAAAAGGAGCAGGTAGGAAAATAGTTATGCATTCATCTCACACTCAGTAAATCAGCACTTTACATAAGATACGGTGTGCATAGAGTAGCTACTATGGAGATATTTAACGTTTTATCTGTAGCTATCTCCTTAAGAACAAAAGGAAAGGCAGCTTCTTGCATGACTTAGCTTTCAGCTTAATGTTTTTCCTTTTGGCAGAGTGGACTGGGGTCCCTAGTTTTATTTTCTTTTCATAACACCATAGTATTTGTTCACTTCTGTCTCAAAGTTACTGGCTAGTGGATGTATGCTGTGTTCATCATAATCACCACATGATAGCATCTTTGTTCCTTCACATTTCCTTCTTTTCACCCCTATATGTCTGTGTTTTTAATTTTATTTTTTTAGTCAAAACATTCACTTAAAAGTATAGTGAATACTCTAATGAAATCATTACACCCACCACTTTAATTTACAGTTCTTTTCCTGTATTTCTACTGGAATTTTTTTCAAAAAATTCGGAGAAAATAATATAATGAACCCAGTACACATTATTCAGTTCTAAAAATTATGAAGTGTGGCCAGTAATGCTCAATTGACTTTTGAGGGTGAGAAGGGGTGTTTAAGCACATCCAGACATCATTTTCACTCATGAATGTTCCAAAAGTTTGTATACAAGGAAGGGCTCATGTTTTTAAAACCCAAAATACTTTTATAACAACAAAATTAATGTTTGATAATCTAATATCCAATTAGTGTTCAGATTTCACTGGCTGTTAATACTCCTCACATATTCTTTGTTGCAATCAGGATCCAAATTGCATTGGATCACTCATTGCCTTAGATTAACCATGTGTCTGAGGACTTTTATTCCTGACAGCTCACACTCCCCATGCTATTAATTTGTTAAAGGCTTTGGTGTTGTACAGTACTGAATAACTGCCAATGCCATCTGCCTGTGGCCTTCTCAAGTTTGTCTGCACCTGTGGTTATCCTGACTTCAAACCCGGGGAGACAGAGGCTAGAAGAGGCAGACAGCTCTTGTGTATTCTGTCCAGTGCAAAGAACACCTGGAACTCTGAGCCCTAACCTTAAATGCAAGACCTCATCTGCAGGTGTTCCTCATCCTTTTAGCCCCTCAGTGATGTAAGCAACAAACGTCACCCAGCTCCTGGGGCACACTTCACTCCCAGATGAGCTTGTCCTGGATTTGCAGGGAGCCTGGCTCCCTAGACCTTTTGGCCAGATCCCCACAGGGGAATTGTGCAGGTGCGCCCTCCCCAGATCCCCAGTTGGTATTGGAATCACACCAACTGTCACACATGGGGAGGGCAGCTGCACCCAGCCACCCTCTGACTTCTCTCCTCCCACAGATTGGCCATCTGCAAGCTTCCCTTCTCCGTGGAGAGCAGGAAGACAGTCATGGGACCTCAGGGAGCCAGGAGACAGGTGAGACTTCCCAGAACTGTCGTTCTTGCTGTCACAGGATGGGCCCATTTCCTTCACTGGCCCTAGCAGTTACATTATTAGCACAGGACCAAGGCCAGCACCGCTCCTGGGGAGTGATCTGTCTTTCCTGGCGTCCTCCAGCAGGTGACTGGCCTGTGGGTGTCACTCATCAAGTAGTGATCTGTGTACAGATGGCAGAACCTGGAATCCTCCAACTGCGTGAGTGCAACACTGTCCCTGGTGAGCATGCCTGGGTTTTGTGTTACAGGCTTTCTTGGCATTTGGGGATGTCACTGTGGATTTCACCCAGAAGGAATGGAGGCTGCTGAGCCCTGCTCAGAGGGCCCTGTACAGGGAGGTGACACTGGAGAACTACAGCCACCTGGTCTCACTAGGTAAGCGTGGCTTCCCTCGAGCCTAACATTTGGCCTGTGGTGCCTCTGATGTTGCCATAGGGTTAGGTTCAGAGACAAGAATGTTGTTTTCTCTATTCCCCTGAGGAAGGTCTGGCTTTGGTAAAGTTTCATACTGACTGCCACTGGGCACCTGCAGGCCTTTCCCCACACTGGGGCTCCCCCTGGGGGTTTGTACTCTGAGCATGGTAGACAGGGTCCTCCTGAGCCTTCCCCCTCTGATTCTCCCTCCCTTCCTGCCCTGGGTGGCTCCAGCAAATGGCCCGTGGAGCCTACAACCAGGAGTCACCTCATGGTTTTTTTCCCTGTGAGCAGGAATTCTCCATTCTAAACCAGAACTCATCAGGCGGCTAGAGCAAGGGGAAGTGCCCTGGGGAGAAGAGAGAAGACGCCGGCCAGGCCCCTGTGCAGGTGAGGGGATAGACAGGGCAGACAGAGCACAAGGCACTCCGCCTTTCAGGAGGGAGGAGGCTTCTCTGAGGCCAGGGGACCTGGAAGCTGTTCTGGCCTCCTTGGCTGCTCTTCAGACCACCTGGCCCTGCCTTCCTTCCAGTCCTTGCTGAGTGAGAGGTTCTCCTGAGGTCCCTGGACTCCTTCTCCCAGGAAGCCTCCTTTCCCCCTACTTGCTAGACTTCTTTCTCCCACTCAATCTCCTCATTTGTGACTTTCCTCGTGACTGCCCGACTGCAAGCCTAAGTCTATTGCCCCTTCCTGATACTGTCCAGGTATTCCTATTTTAGCTTCTTTTTGTTTTGTTTTGTTTTGTTTTTTAATTATTTTTCTGTGTAAGTAAATATAAATTTTTTGATACAATTTGCATCTCATTCTTCTATATACTGATTTTCTTTTTTTTTTTTAATTTAAGTTCTGGGGTATATGTGCACAACATGCAGGTTTGTTACATAGGTATACATGTGCCATGTTGGTTTGCTACATCCATCAACTCGTCATTTACATTAGGTGTTTCTCCTAATGCTATCCTCTCCCCTGCCCCCTACCCCCCAACATGCCCCAGTGTGTGATGTTCCCCTCCCTGTGTCCATGTGTTTTCATGGTTCAACTCCCACTTATGAGTGAGAACATATAGTGTTTGATTTTTCTCTTCTTGTGTTACTCTGCTGAGAATGATGGTTTCCAGTTTCATCCATGATCCTGCAAAGGACATGAACTCATCCTTTTTTATGGCCACATAGTATTCTATGGTATATATGTGCCACATTTTCTTTATCCAGTCTATCATTGATGGGCATTTGGGTTGGTTCCAAGACTTTGCTATTGTGAAAAGTGCTGCAGTAAACATACCTCTGCATGTGTCTTTATAGTAGAATGATTTATAATCCTTCGGGTATATACCCAGTAATGGCATTGCCGGGTCAAATGGTATTTCTAGTTCTAGATCCTTGAGGAATCGCCACACTGTCTTCCACAATGGTTGAACTAATTTACACTCCCACCAACAGAGGAAAAGCATTCCTATTTCTCCACATCCTCTCAAGCATCTGTTGTTTCCTGACTTTTTAATGATCGCCATTCTAACTGGCGTGAGATGGTATCTCATTGTGGTTTTGATTTGCATTTCTCTTTTTTTAATTTTTTTTAATATTTTTTATTTATTTGTATTATTATTATACTTTAAGTTTTAGGGTACATGTGCACAATGTGCAGGTTAGTTACATATGTATACATGTGCCATGCTGGTGTGCTGCACCCATTAACTCGTCATTTAGCATTAGGTATATCTCCTAGTGCTATCCCTCCCCCCTCCCCCCACCCCACAACAGTCCCCAGAGTGTGATGTTCCCCTTCCTGTGTCCATGTGTTCTCATTGTTCAATTCCCATCTATGAGTGAGAACATGCGGTGTTTGGTTATTTGTCCTTGAGATAGTTTGCTGAGAATGATGGTTTCCAACTTCATCCATGTCCCTGTAAAGGACATGAACCCATCATTTTTTACGGCTGCATAGTATTCCATGGTGTATATGTGCCACATTTTCTTAATCCAGTCTATCATTGTTGGACATTTGGGTTGGTTCCAAGTCTTTGCTATTGTGTATAGTGCTGCAATAAACATACGTGTGCATGTGTCTTTATAGCAGCATGATTTATATTCCTTTGGGTATATACCTGGTAATGGGATGGCTGAGTCAAATGGTATTTCTAGTTCTAGATCCCTGAGGAATCGCCACACTGACTTCCACAATGGTTGAACTAGTTTACAGTCCCACCAACAGTGTAAAAGTGTTCCTATTTCTCCACATCCTCTCCAGCACCTGTTGTTTCCTTTTTAATGATTGCCATTCTAACTGGTATGAGATGGTATCTCATTGTGGTTTTGATTTGCATTTCTCTGATGGCCAGTGATGATGAGCATTTTTTCTAAGTTTGTTGGCTGCATAAATGTCTTCTTTTGAGGAGTGTCTGTTCATATCCTTTGCCCATTTTTTGATGGGGTTTTTTTTTTTCTTGTAAATTTGTTTAAGTTCTATTTTAGCTTCTTAAAACCTCTGTCCGTTATTCTCCTTCTTCAATTCCCATAGCTTTTTTTCCTTGTCGTTTAATGTTTTAAGCAGTACTACTGTTGCCAGAGGTCACTTCACCTTCCTCCTTCCCCCATTTCCCCCAGATGTACTGCCTGAGTGGGGCTGTGGTCTAGAATTGTGCACCCTCTTAAGTCCCTGTAGTCACCGCAGTGGTTCATCAGGACTCATGATGATGATGATGATGATGATGATGATGATGATGATGATTCTTACCTCTAGGGTGGACTTGTTCTCTCTTGGAGCAGTTTTAGTTCACAGTTAGGCCCTGTGTTCCTCTCTTCTCTTTTCATGCTGTTTTACTGGCTTTCCTCACTCCTCACAGTGGGACCACAGGAGACTGCTGAAAAGTGGTGTTAAGTTTTCTGCTTATGACAATGATAAATTTAGTTTTCTCTATCTTGTTATGTGTCAGTTTCAGGGGTCATCTGTTTCTATTGACCTTTATATCCTATTTGGAGAATGTGTGGACAGATTTAGCCTTACACAGCTGCAGTTCTCCTCGAGTACTTGGAAGTCTCTTTTATGTCTTGTTTAAGAAACCCTTCCTAGATCAAGTTTATAAAGATACAAAGATTTAAAGATATAAAGTTTTTTTTTTTTTGAGTCGGAGTTTCACTCTTGTAGCCCAGGCTGGAGTGCAATGGCGCGATCTTGGCTCCTTGGAACCTCCACCTCCCAGGTTCAAGCAATTCTCCTGTCTTAGCCTCTTGAGTAGCTGGGACTACATGTCCTCACCACCATGCCTGGCTAATTTTTTTTGTATTTTTAGTAGAGAGAGGTTTCACCATGTTGGCCAGGCTGGTTTTGAACTCCTGACCTCAGGTGATCCTCCTGCCTCAGCCTCCCAAAGTGCTGGGATTACAGACATAAGCCACCATGCTTGGCCAATATATAAAGATTTTTGTTGTTGTTATTTAACTCTTCTGTGGCTTTATAGTTTTTTTTGGGAGGGCAGTTTGAACTATCCAATACTTGAAAAGATGATTTTTACATCTTCTATATTCATAGTGGATTGTTCCATATCTACTAAGTTTTGTAGGACTTTATATATTTTAGCCTACTATTAAATACATGCAGGGTTAGAATTATTATAATTTTATTGGCTCACAGGGAATCTTGTGTCCTCTGTACTTTCACCCTCATCTCCCATTCCTGGATTATTTTGAAGCAAATCCTGGTCATCATATTTCATCTGTAAAACCTAATAATAGTTACTGTATTATAATCTATTTCGTTTAATATTAATATTAGTTCCTAAGATTTTTTTTGGTGACTGTAACCCTCATTTAACTTTCCTTATTTCATGGCATATATATTTTGAGTTTACATCCTATAATACTTCCTTTCCTCCAGCATTTTTTTGTGAAGCAAATGTTGAACAATTATATTTTGGTGGATACTAAAAAGTTGAAAGGCTTATAGAATGAACACCTGTCGATCTGCCACCTACAGTCAGCATTTAGCTTTGTGCTCCGTATTCTTTATCGCTTACTTACCCAGCTGTGCATTGCTCTCTCCATCCATAAGTCCATCTTCCTTTTGATGCTCTTTAATATTGTGGACATCATTATCCTTTACGCATAAACACTTCAGCATGCATATCAATAAGTAGTATTATAATGTTTCTTTGTGGTTCTTTTTAGGATTTATATAAGATGCATAAATCTTAAGTGTAACATTCAGTGAGCTTTGACATATGCATAACTTTGTGTAATCTGGACCCCTATGACAACACAAAAGAATTACTCTCACCCCAGAAGTGCTTTTGTGCCTTTTTCCAGTCATTTCCTGCCCCCACGTCCACCAGAGAAAATCACTATTCGGATTTTGTTCAATATGCCTTAATTTCACCCATCTTAGAACTTCATGTAAGTGGAATTACACAGTATACTCTCTATCAGAAAATTAGCAGGTTGATTTTTTTTTATGGTTATTGTTGTTGACTTTGTCCTATTGTCTGCAAAAAAAGCAGGTTCATACAGACTGTGGAGTTCTTTCCCATTCCTTGCTTCCCACCACCCCATAAAAAATGTGGGGGCATCCACTGAGAAATTTGGAGCTGGCCTGAGTTTTCACGTGCATAAGGTCTCTGCTTTTGGATCGGGGCCACTCCCTCAGTTTACATAGGTGGGAAGGGACTCCTCTGTCATCTTGAGTATCGTAGAAATGACGAAATATCATAGACTGGGAGGCTTAAACAACAGACATTTATTTCGTACAGTTCTAGAATCTGGGAATTCCAAGATGAAGGTGCTGGCACCTTTGCTTCATTGTGAGGGTCCCCATCCTGGCTCACAGGCTGCCGCCTCCTTACTGTGTCCTCTCATGGGCTCACCCCACGATCTCAACTAAACCTGTTTATCTCCCAACAACTCCACCTCCAAATACCATCACATTGGGGGTTAAGGCATCAACATATGAATTTGGGGGGGATGCTAATGTTCAGCCCATTATCAACTCCCTTCTCTCGCCCCCATATCAATTGCTTGCTGATTTGTCTGTCAGTGAATTAAAATAAAAGGCTTCTTGTCTACCACTGACTTCTGAAAGTGTGAATGTTTAATGTAATGGGAGCATATGTTAGGATTTTATTTAACTCATAAGTGAGGTTACTGGCAGGATGACAAAGCTGGTTCAGTGCAGGTATGAGAAGGTGGGATGTATGTGGATAGTGCCAAAATAACACCATTGTAAGTTACCCTGTAACTTTACAGAATCAGCAAACTTAACTGTCATTATCCGAGTGATCAGAAAAATTAAAAATTATACAGATGATGTAGGAAAGGTCATATAATCATATATCTGACAAGTTTTGGAGTATTTTTCCTGAATAATAAGCACATTGACTGTCATAGTACCAGCAGTACTTTCTATCAGTTTGCTATTTCTCTTTTCACTTTAGTTTTTCCTTTCTTAATATGAATATTCATTTTAATGTATTAAAAAAGATAATTCTTTATTATTCTCCATTTATATATAAATATCTCCCCTTTGTAGATGCCTACTATTTTGTATTAGTTTTGGGGGGATTATTTTCTTATTTGTTGATACATAATAATTGTACATTATTTATGGAGTAGATGTGGTATTTTGATATATGCATACCATATGTAATGATCAAATCAGGATCCATAACCTCAAATATTTATCATTTCTCTGTATACTCCATTTTTTTCTATTTTGAAATATAAATTACAGTTAAACTATAGTCACGCTACTGTGCTATCAAACACTTATTTCTTCTAACTATATTTTTGTACCCATAATCAACTGCTCTTCGTTCTCCCTTCCCTCTCCCTTTCCTAGCCTCTGCTCCCACATATGAGTGACAATATGCAATATTTGGCTTTCTGTGCCTGGCTTATTTCACCTAACATAATGAACTAATGATACTGATTATATCATTAGTTAATGATAATGATTCTAATGATACTGCTGTAAATGACAGCAGTATTCTTATTCTTCTTTATGGTTGACTAACATTCCATTATATATATGTACTACATTTTCTTTATCCATTCAACCATTGATGGACATTTAGGTTAATTCCATATCTAGACTATTGTGAATAATGTTAACATGGGGGTACAGGTATCCTTTTGCCATACTGATTTCCTTTTCTTTGGATAAATATGAAGTAGTGGGATTGCTGGATTGTATCGTAGTTCTATTTGTAGTTTTTTAAGGAACCTCCATACCATTTTCCATAATGGCTGTACTAATTATACACCAAGAGTGTATAATTATTGCCTTTTTTCTGCATCTTTGCCATTATTTGTTATTTTTTCTCTTTTTGATAATAGCCATCCTAATTGTGGTAAGAGGATCTCTCAGTGTGATTTGCATTTCCCTGATGATTGGTGATGATGAGCATTTTTTCGTATACCTGTTGCCCATTTGTATGTCTTATTTTGAGAAATGTCTATTCAGATCCTTTTCCCACTTTTTAGTTGGATTTTTTGTTGTTGTTTTTTGACTTCTTGTATATTCTGTATATTAGTCCCTTGTAAGATGAATACTTTGCAGATATTTCCTCCCATTCTACATTTTGTATCTTCACTGTTGATACTTTCCTTTGCTGTACAGAAGCTTTTTAGTTTTTAGTTTAATGTAGTCTCATGTGTGTATTTTTGCTTTTGTTGCTTGTGATTTTGAAGTCTTAGCCATAAAATATGGCTAGTTTAGGCCAGTGTCCTAAAGCATTTCTCCTGTGTTTCTTCAAGTTGTTTTATAATTGTGGAACTCATGTTTAAGTCTTTAATCTATTTTGAGTTTATTTTTGTATAGTATGAGAAACAAACATCTAACTTCATTCTTACTCATTTTGGAATTCACTTTTTCTAATACCATTTATTGAAGATTCTGTCCTTACCCTAAGGTATGTTTTTAGTGCCTTTGTCAAAAATCAGTTGGCTATAAATATATGGATTTATTTGTAGATTATCTATTCTCTTTTATTGGTCTATGTGTATTTCATTTTTGTTTTTGTTTCTATGGACAGGGTCTTGCTCTGTCCACCCAGGCAGGAGTGCAGTGGTGCCATCACAGCTCACTGCAGCCTCTAACTCCTGGGCTTAAGTGATCCTCGTGTCTCAAGTAGCTAGGACTATAGGCATGTGCCACCATGCCCAGCTAATTTTTTTTTTAACCTTTTGTAATGATGGGGTCTCATCGTGTTGCCCAGGCTGGACTCGAACTCCTAGCCTCAAGCAATCCGCCTGCCACAGTCTCTCAGAGCACTGGGATTACAGGTGTGAGCCACTGTGCCTGGCCAGTGTCTATTTTTAGACCAATACCATGCTGCTTTGATGACACTAGCTTTGTATTATATTTTGAAGTGAGGTAGTATGATGCCTCCCACTTTGTACTTTATGCTCACTATTGCCTATTGGAGGTCTTTTTGGTTCCTTATGAATTCTAGGAGTATTTTGTCTATTTTTATAAAGAATATCACTGGTATTTTAATAGGTATTGCAGTGAATCTGTAGATTGCTTTGGGCAGTATGGTCATCTCAACAGTATTATTTTGCTCCATGAACATAAGATGTCTTTTCATTTGTTTGTGTCCTCGTCTATTTATTTCATTGTTTTTATCATAGAGAACATTTAATTTGGGGTTGTTTATTCATATACTTTTTTGTACCAATTATAAATGGGATTGCTTTCTTGATTTCTTTTTCACCTAGTTATTATTGGCATATAGAAACACTACTGATTTTTTTTTCTGATTTCATATTGTGCAACTTTATTGACATCATTCATCAGTTCGAAGAGTGTTTAGGTTTTCTATAGGTACGATCATGTCATCTGCAAAAAGAGACAATTTGACTTCAGTTTTCCAGCTTGGATGCCTTTTATTTCCTTTTCTTGCCTTATTTTTTTCTCTTACCATAGTTCTGACTAGGACTCCCTGAACTATGGTAATAAGAGTGGTGAAAGTAGACATTCGAATCTTCTTCCAGTTCTTAGAGGAAAGACTTTTATCTTTTCCCCATTCACTAAGATGTTTGCTGTGGGTTTGGAACATATTGTCTATATTATGTTGAGATATGTTTCCTGTACACCTGATTTAAGTTTTTATCATAGGCTGGGTGCGGTGGCTTATGCCTTTAATCTCATCACTTTGGGAGGGCAAGATGGGCAGATTGCTTGAGCTCAAGAATTTGAGACCAGCCTGGACAACATGGCGAAATCCCATCTCTACAAAAAATATAAAAATTAGCCAGGCAATGGCACCTATGGCTTGACTACAGGCAGGCACCTGTAGTCTAGCTATTTGGAAAGTTGAGGTGGGAGGATCGTGTAAGCCTGGGAGGTCGAGGCTGCAGTGAGCCATGATCATGCCACTGCACTCCAGCCTGGGTGACAGAGTGAGACCCTGTCTCAAAAAAAAAAAGTTTTTATCATAATGGGATTTTGAATCATATCAAATCTTTTTCTGTATCTGTTGAGATGATCATATGTCTTTTGGTCCTTCACTCTGTTGATGTGATGTATCACAAGTATTGATTTGTGTATGTTGAATCATGATTGCATACTTGGGATAAATCTCATTTGATCATGGTGTATTATCTTTTCTGTGTTGTTGCATTGGTTTTGCTAGTATTTTGTTGAGGATTTTTCCATTTAGCATCATCAGGGATATTGGCCTGTAGTTCTCTGTTTTTGCTGTGTCCTTGTCTGGTTTTGGTATCAGGATAATGCTGGCCTTTTAGAATGAGTTAGGAAGAATTCCTCCCTGCCCTGCTTCAATTTTTTGGAATAGTTTGAGAAGAATTGGTGTTTGTTGTTCTTTATGAGTTTATTAGAATTAAGCAGTAAAGCAATATGGTTCTGGGTTTTTCTTTCATAGAAGACTTTTCGTTACTGATTCAGTCTCATTGTTGGTCTATTCTCCAGGAATATATGCAGAACATGTCCTGCGGCCCAAGAATCTTGGACTTGCACATCAGAGGCAACAGCAACTACAATTTTCTGATCAAAGCTTCCAGAGTGACACAGCTGAAGGTCAAGAGAAAGAAAAAAGCACTAAGCCCATGGCATTTTCCAGCCCACCCCTAAGACATGCAGTAAGCTCAAGGAGGAGGAACAGTGTAGTGGAAATAGAGTCTAGTCAAGGCCAGAGGGAAAATCCTACAGAAATAGACAAAGTATTGAAAGGAATAGAAAATTCAAGATGGGGAGCATTCAAGTGTGCAGAGCGTGGGCAAGACTTCAGCCGGAAGATGATGGTAATCATACACAAAAAAGCACATTCCAGGCAGAAACTTTTTACATGCAGGGAGTGTCACCAGGGCTTTAGAGATGAGTCAGCATTGCTCTTGCACCAGAACACACACACAGGAGAGAAGTCCTATGTGTGCAGTGTGTGTGGGCGAGGCTTCAGCCTCAAGGCCAACCTCCTCAGACACCAGAGGACACACTCAGGAGAGAAGCCTTTTCTGTGCAAGGTGTGTGGACGAGGCTATACCAGTAAGTCATACCTCACTGTGCATGAGAGAACACACACAGGAGAGAAGCCTTATGAATGCCAGGAGTGTGGGCGAAGGTTTAACGATAAGTCCTCATACAACAAGCACTTGAAGGCGCATTCAGGGGAGAAGCCTTTTGTGTGCAAGGAGTGTGGGCGAGGCTATACTAATAAGTCATACTTCGTTGTGCACAAGAGAATACACTCAGGAGAGAAGCCTTACAGATGCCAGGAGTGTGGCCGAGGCTTTAGCAATAAGTCACACCTTATCACACACCAGAGGACACACTCAGGGGAGAAGCCCTTTGCGTGCAGGCAGTGTAAGCAAAGTTTTAGCGTGAAAGGAAGTCTCCTCAGACACCAGAGAACACACTCAGGGGAGAAGCCTTTTGTGTGCAAGGATTGTGAGCGAAGCTTTAGCCAAAAGTCAACTCTTGTCTACCACCAGAGAACACACTCAGGGGAGAAACCTTTTGTTTGTAGAGAATGTGGGCAAGGATTTATTCAGAAGTCAACCCTTGTGAAACATCAGATCACACACTCAGAGGAGAAGCCTTTTGTGTGCAAGGACTGTGGACGAGGCTTTATCCAAAAGTCAACCTTCACTTTACACCAGAGGACACACTCAGAGGAGAAGCCTTATGGATGTCGGGAGTGTGGGCGAAGGTTTCGGGATAAGTCCTCCTATAACAAGCACCTGAGGGCACACTTGGGTGAGAAACGTTTTTTCTGCAGGGATTGTGGGCGAGGCTTTACCTTGAAGCCAAATCTCACCATACATCAGAGGACACACTCAGGAGAGAAGCCCTTCATGTGCAAGCAGTGTGAGAAAAGTTTTAGTTTGAAGGCAAATCTTCTTAGACATCAGTGGACACACTCGGGGGAAAGGCCATTTAATTGCAAGGATTGCGGGCGAGGCTTCATCCTAAAATCAACTCTCCTCTTCCACCAGAAGACACACTCAGGGGAGAAGCCTTTCATCTGTAGTGAATGTGGGCAAGGATTTATCTGGAAGTCAAATCTTGTGAAACACCAGCTTGCACATTCTGGCAAGCAGCCTTTTGTATGCAAGGAGTGTGGGCGAGGCTTCAACTGGAAGGGAAATCTCCTCACACACCAGAGGACACACTCAGGGGAGAAGCCCTTCGTGTGTAATGTGTGTGGGCAAGGCTTCAGCTGGAAGAGAAGTCTCACCAGACACCACTGGCGGATACACTCAAAGGAGAAGCCTTTTGTTTGCCAGGAGTGTAAGCGAGGCTATACCAGTAAGTCAGACCTCACTGTGCATGAAAGAATACACACAGGAGAGAGGCCTTATGAATGCCAAGAGTGTGGACGAAAGTTTAGCAATAAGTCATACTACAGTAAGCACTTAAAGAGACACTTACGTGAGAAGCGTTTTTGTACAGGGAGTGTGGGTGAGGCTTCATCTTGAAGTTATATCTCACCATCCATCAGAGGACACACTCAGGAGAGTAACTTTGCTTTGTTACAAGCTTTAGTTGAGGCTGCATAACTTGTTCGTGAAGATATAACAGAGGCAGACAGAATCCAGAGGGCTACAGAGAACCTGAATTCAACCCATGTGTCCCCAAGAGATTCAGAGAAAAGAGGTCAATGTTTAGGGAACAGAGATGCCAGTTGAGGGGAGGGCATTACCTGGGCTATTGGGGAAATGTGGTCTCTTTCCTACTGAGCACATATTCTTGTTGTATTTGTGCCAGGCTGTGCTTTCTAAGGACTGCTCTTAGCCAGTGACTGCAGAGCAGGGATACCAAGGCAGGCCTGTTACACTCTCCCCAACCTCCTTGGACTGCAAACAATCTAGGACACCTCCACCAAACCTCCTCTTGCACTTTCCCTCTGGCTTCCCTCCCAGCCTTCCTTGGTTTGGATGTTTTGTCCCCTCCTTAATTTATGTTGAAACTCTACATAAACTGTTTACTGTTGAAACAGTGTAAGTATTAGGAGGTGGGACCTTTGGGAAGTGATTAAGTCAAGTCACGAAGATAGAGCTTTGCGAATGGGATCAGGTGCCCTTATGAAAAGGCTTGATAGAGGGAGTTTGTCCTGTGGCCCTTCTATTTTCTGCTCTGTGAGGACACAATGCTCCTCCCTTCCAAAAGATGCAGCATGAAGGCATCATCTTGGAAACAGACATGAGCCCTCAACAGACAACTGCACCTACTGATGTTTTGATGTTGAACTTCCCAGCCTCCAGAACTCTGGGAAAATAAAGTCCTCTTTATACATTTCCTAGTCAGTGGTATTTTATTATAACAGCTCAAATAGACTAAGTAACTGCTCCCCTCATCATTCTCTCACAGTCATATCTGGAAATAAAATCTCTGTATATGCAGTCCCATATTGGTCTTTGCAGAGAACTCCCTCCAACACAGCTGATACCAAGAACAGTCTGACAAAACAAGTGGTAAAATAGGGATCTGGGGACCACTCACCTGCCTGGCAGGAGTAAAGCATGTTGGCTGGTGGGGCACAGGTAGGTGGTTAGCTGCAAAATATTTCACAGGTGATTTCCTGAGAAAATGCCTCAATGATAGAGAATGCTGTGGCAGATGTGATGATGCAGGCCTTTGAAAATGTAGGGAAAGTGCCTACAAAGAGCAGAGTAGACTGATTATCGCCGATCTGCATTACCACCTGCAGAAGGACCTTGAGAAATTGAAGACTTCATTCAGCCATTAGCAAACAGTTAATGGTTAAGTAAACCAGGACTCCCTGGTGAGTGCTTACAAGGCCTTTATCTTCTTGGATAGAAGGCAGAATTATTGCCCAAATATGTGGGCTGAAGGCCTGTAGCAGAGCTCTACAGATGTTGGAATGCTCAGCCAATGCATGTCTATTTTGTAGAGGTCAGACCCTTCGTAAGGAAAATCTGGGATCCTGAAAAATGACACCGGAACATCTCCATGGATGCCCAAGATTGCCTCTGCCATGCTCCCAGCCACAGACCATCTGGGTGTGTAGAGATGGCCCATCCTTCCTTAGGAATAGCATTTCCACCATTCATTACCACAGAACCTTCACAATTAAGGCCAGCTTAATGAGCATGTGCCCTACATAGCTGCACACAACCCTTGTCCAGCACAGGGAAGATACATGCAATATGCCTATCCTTTTGTAAATGGTATTTGTGATGCTTGCCCTTCAACTTCCATAACTTTCCTCATACTCATTTTGAGTTTCACTGCACATTGTGGGTTCACCAGAATTCTGTGCTCCTCTTCCATATTAAACACATTTACATCTGAGTGATCTGGGACACTGACAGCCCCAAGAGACACCACTGTCCATTTGGACCCAGAATTTGATTTGAACTCAGAAGACAATGTCTTAGCATAAACAGCCAAGGAACCCGGTCAACGCATTTCCTGCTCAAGTTCCTCTTATTAGCCAACCACTTGTGTTGAAAATGATCACACACAAGGGATTGGAAACATAAGGCAACTCATAGCTACTTTCTCTGTTTCTTACTCAACTTGAAGTTAGAGTGCACTGGTAGAATGTGCATATGGAGAAGTGAAGTAAAACAGTTGAATTAGACATTAGACACAGTGGTTCACGTCTATAATCCCAACACTTTCTGATGCCAAGTTGGGTGGATTGCTTGAGTGTAGGAATTCAAGACCAGCCTGGCCAAAGTGGCAAAATCCCATCTCTAAAAAAACTAGCCAGGTGTGGTGGCACATGCCTATAGTCCAAGCTACTTGGGAGGCTGAGGTGGAAGGATCACCTGAGCCTGAGAAGTTGAGGCTGCAGTGAGCTGTGATTGCGCCACTGCACTCAAGCCTGGGCAATAGAGCAAGACCTTGTCTAAAAAAAACAAAAACAAAAACAAGGCTGAATTAGTTTCTGCAACATTTCTAATGTTCTAAAAAAAAAATCCTAATAGGAGCAACAAAGTAGAAATTGTGTCATTTCACTGATTGTGCTGATTTAAATGGGCAATGCACAATATAATGATGAACAGGAAAGGTTGACATATATACACAACCACACACACATATATATATAATATATACATAATTTTATTTATATGTGTGTGTATATATATATATATATATTTTTTTTTTTTTTTTTTTGAGATGGAGTCATGCTCTGTTGCCCAGGCTGGAGTGCAGTGGCACGATCTCAGGTCACTGCAACCTCTGCCTCCTGGATTCAAGCAATTCTCCTGCCTCAGCCTCCCAAGTAGCTGGGATGACAGGCGTGTGCCACCATGCCTGGCTAATTTTTGTATTTTTAGTAGAAACAGGGTTTCACCATATTGGCTGGACTGATCTCAAACTCCTGACCTCGTGATCCACCCACCTCAGCCTCCCAAAGTGCTGGGATTACAGGCATGAGCCACCGTGTGCGACCTTATATATATTATTCCACAGAAAAAAAGAAACTTTGTTTTTATGGCATGTTTTCCTCTACCTTTTGAACAAAGGTCCCCATTTTCATTTTGTACTGTACCTGCAAATTATGTTCACAAGGGAATAGGTGCTGCTCTCCCAGGAGCTGGTCCAACCTCCTCTCCCAGCCACCAGGCCAGTAATTATGATTATGTCTAAGGATAACCCAGTGCACAAGTGTTGGTCTTGATAAAGGAGGAAAATGGTACATAGATACCTAAAGAATTGCCAAGAACTACCCAGCATGTATCAGCAGAAAGTTGAGTCCCTAATGTGACACTATTCCTCAAGAAAATAAACTACTTACTGGGGGACAAATTGACTACTTCAGCCACCTGCCAGCCTCTAAAGTACAGTGGTTCAACCTCACAGGGATAAATACCTGGATTTATTCCAAACATGGATTTGCCTTTCTAGTCCTGTAAGGCTCAGCCAGCACTATTATTCACGCCTGATCCAAAGACATGAAATACCAAGTAATATAGCATCCAACCCAGGAGATTCACTTCATAGCAAAAATGCTACTGGAGTGTAACAGTAGATAACAACTCTAAATATATATATATACCCAACAACAGAGCACTCAGATACATAAAGCAAATATTATTCACTGTAAAAATAAAGATTCCAAGACAATAACTATTGAGAACTTCACTCCACTGTCAGCATTTGATCGTCTAAACAGAAAATCAACAAACACTGGATTTAAACTGCACTTTAGACCAAATGGACCTAACAGACATTTTCAGAATCTTTTATCCAACAGCTGTAGAACACACATTCTTCTCATCAGCACATGGAACATTCTAAAGGGTAAACCATACATTAGGCCACAAAATAAGTCTCAACATTTTTTTTTTTTAGACACGGTCTCGCCCTGTCATCCAGGCAGGAATGCAGTCCTACAGCTCACTGCAGCCTTGAACTCCTGAGCTCAAATTATCCCCTCTTCAGCCTCCCAAGTAACAAGGACTATAGGTGCACACCACAATGCCTAGCTAATTTTCAACTTTTTGTAGAGACAATGCCTCACTATGTTGCCCAGTCTGGCCTCAAATTCCTGGCCTCAAACAATCCTCCCACTTGAGGATCCTCAGATTCCAAAATACTAGGATTACAGGCGTGAGCCACCAAGCCTGGCCTCAACAAATTTTTAAAAATTAAGGCTGGGTGCGGTGGCTCATGCCTGTAATCCCAGCACTTTGGGACACCAAGGCAGGCGGATCACAAGGTCAGGAGTTCGAGACCAGGCTAACACAGTGAAACCCTGTCTCTACTAAAAATACAAAAAATTAGCTGGGCGTGGTGGTGGGCGCCTGTAGTCCCAGCTACTCAGGAGGCTGAGGCAGGAGAATGGCGTGAACCCAGGAGGTGGAGCTTGCAGTTAGCCGAGTTCACGCCACTGCACTCCAGCCTGGGCGATAAAGCGAGACTCCGTCTCAAAAAAAAAAAAAAATTGAAATCATATCTAGCATCTTCTCAGACAACAATGGAATAAAACTAGAAATCAATAACGAGGAATGCAAAGGTTCATTAGAGACTTATGAACAATTATACACCAACAAAGTGGAAAACCTAGAGGAAATGAATAAATTCCTAGATGCATTTTATATAACAAGATTGAATCATAAAGAAATACAGGCTATTCGAGACACGGTGGCTCCACTAGGTGGTATGTTCTCTTGGCAGCCACCAGGGCCCCCACTACCCACATTGGAGCTCCGGGGCCAGGCTTCACTTCTTCAGGCAGCACCAGATACTCTGAGACCTTCTCACAGTACCTGGTGAATGAATTGGAGCCATCTTTCGAGGCTTGCTTTGCTTCTCTGGTGAGTCAGGACTATGTCAATGGCACTGATCAGGAAAACATTCAAACTGCTGTTGATCAGTATATCTAGGAGTTTCTGGATATTGCAACACAGGCAGAATGTTTTCCTACAAAAAACGATTGCAATTACTTGTCCAGACACCAGAGCAAGTTACCAAAGAGGATGTCTCAGAACTAAGGAATGAATTACAACAGAAATACACACTGGTCCAGAAGCACTTGACAAAGCTGAGGCACTGGCAACAGGTGCTGAAGGGCATCAAATGTGCAGCACAGAACACCAGGCAGCAGCCCTCAGGGCTCCTCCACGTACCTCAAGCAGGCATCTGCCAACATCCCTGCACCTCAGAAACTGACCTGAGCACAAAGGCCAAGGCCGTCAGCCCAAGATTGGGCTGGTGTCTGAGGCAGCCCTGTGCAGACAGTTTGCCACAAATCCCTTCTTATGAACTTGGCATTTTGAACGAAGGAGTTAGTTTTATGCTCCCACCTAAATTTTTTCCACTACTTTTATAAGCTGTTAATGTCTTGAGTACTTTATAAAATGCCCAGAGCTTGAGTAAACCAAATAAATTCTTTTTCTCTTTAGCACAGTTAAGACTGTTAGTGTGATGACACTTACAGATTCTATGTTTTTATTTTTGTATGACTTTCATCTTTTTGTGTGTGTTTCCTATTATTTCATCTGAGGGAAAAAAAATAGCCTAAGAATCAGGGGATGAGGATTTTGGTTGTAGGCCTTTTATGATAATTACCCTTCAGTGGTAGTATAGAAAAATATGTAAATTTGCTGTGTTTCAAGGCTTCAGAATACCTCAAAAGAGGAATCTAATGCAACAATGTTTGTAATGCTTCCAAAGCTCTAAGAATGGGGATTTTTTGTGTGAATAGGTCAGAACAGGATTAAGGTTTCCTGGGTTAGGGTAGTCACATTACAGTAGGATCCTTAGGTCAATGCTGACTTTTATTCAGGGTAAGGTTATATTTTGTGTGGTTTGTTTTTTTTTTATAGGGAGGGACATAGTAGGATCAGTGATATGCTAAATTTTGTCATGTTCTGCAGTAATGAATCCATTTAAGTAATGGGGCAGACCCTTTTCTCAGTAACATGGCAGTTGGGGCATAGGTGAAGTATGAGAGGCTAAAGCTTGCTCTGATTATCTCTTTTTGTTTTCAGTTTTGTTTGCCTATATTGTTTTTGTTTTACATTTTGGGAAGGGAGAGATTTTCCATTAAGTAAGATTTTTGCTGTGGATTTGATTCCAAGGGACTGGGGTCTCAGAGTGGAGGTGGGCTTGCGGTATGATCCTTGGCTACTTAACCTCCACCAAGAACATGTGGTGCCTCTGCCTTTAGGAAGATATTTTGTTCTCTCGTTCGTTCCACAGGCCACCTCAGATACTCTTTTGAATTGCTGTTAAGAAATACTCACAAGCATTGTTTCCTGCTCTTGTTGCGTGAGGTTTTCCAGTGTTTTATGCAGTCTTTTATTAGATTACATATTTTTACTCAGAACAAATGCTTCACTGTCATCTGAGCAGGGAGTACTCCTGTGGCTCAGTGTTTTGGCTCACTTTGTTTTCTCCAGCCTTGAAGGTCCCTCCCACACACACACACACATTGACATCCATTCATATCTTGATCTGACCTAGATGCCACCTGGTCCCTAAAGCCTCCCAGCACCCTTTCTGCTGCATCCCTAGGGCACCGGACTTTTATCTCTTCTATTGCCCTTGTTAGGTTCTCCCTTGTGGGTCAGTCATTTGTATCTGTCTCCCTGCCCATCACTAATTGTACAACCATAAAAATTAAGACATTATTCCCCTTGAATATACCAGGGCCATATGTTATTTATCCTTATAAATGATACCTATTACTTTATTTTATTTATGTATATACAGTATCTCGCACTTGAACCTGTGATTAATCACCTGAGACCAATGAATCCCCTCTGTTAGAAAGTATAGTTTAAACAAAGCTTTTAAAACCCACATTATATGACCTCAAGGTTGTTAGCCTAGTCATCTAATGGTGATTCAAAACTCTGATTAGCAGCTTTAGATTTCTTGATTAAAGACTTAAATAAACTAAGTTTTAGGCTTTTTTTTTTTTTTTTTGAGACAGAGTCTCACTCTGTCGCCCAGGCTGGAGTGCAGTGGTGTGATCTCGGCTCACTGCAACCTCCACCCCTCCAGGTTTGAGCAATTCTTTGCCTCAGCCTCCAGAGTAGTTGGGATTACAGGCATGTGCCACCACGCCCAGCTAATTTTTTGTATTTTTAGTAGAGATGGGGTTTCACCATTGTGGCCAGGCTGGACTTGAACTCCTGACCTCGTGATCCACCTGCCTCGGCCTCCCAAAGTGCTGGGATTACAGGTGTGAGCCACCGTGCCCGGCTTTTCTTTTTTTTTTTTTTTTTTTTGAGACAGAGTCTCGCACTGTTGCCCAGGCTGGAGCGCAATGGCACCATCTCGGCTCACTGCAATCTCTGCCTCCCAGGTTTAAGCAATTCTGCCTCAGCCTCCCGAGTAACTGGGATTACAGGCTCCCACCACCATGCCCAGCTAATTTTTTCTGTATTTTTTAGTAGAGATGGGGTTTCACTGTGTTGGCCAGGCTGGTCTCGAACTCCTGACCTTGTAATCCGACCACCTCGGCCTCTCAAAGTGTTGGGATTACAGGCCTGAGCCACCGCAACTGGCCAGTTTTGGGCATTCTTTAAAAGGGGTTCTTAGTGAAAAGATTGGAAACTATTCTATTTAGTGCTCAGTGAAAATACTTTGAATTAATGTATATACCAGTTATTGCCATTTGCCTATTTAATTCAGAAGTTTTTTTAAATAAATAGCAATTTTTCAATCTTGAAAAAAAAAAGGAATACAAAACCTGAACAGACTAATAATAAGTAATGAGGTTGAATCCATAATAAAAAGTCTCCCAACAGTGAAAAATCTAGGACCAGATGGCATTGCTGCTACATTCAACTTATAAAGAACAACTAACATTAATTCTCAAATTATTCCAAAAACATGAAGAGGCACGAATTCTTTCAAACTTGACCTCTGAGACCAGCATTACTCTGATACTAAGGAAACAACAGCCAAAAAAAGTCCCTAATGAACATACAGTAAAAATCTTCAAGAGTACTAGCAAACTGAACCTAGCAACACATCAAAAAGATAATATACCATGATCAATGGAATCTACCTCAGGTATGCAAAGGAGGTTGAACATATGCAAATCAATAAATGTGATATATCACATCAACAGATTGAAAGACAAAAACTATGATCCTCTCAATAGATGCAGGAAAAGCATTTTATATAAGTTAACATCCCATCCTGATAAAAACTGTCAACAAATTAGGCATAGAAAAAACATACCTCAACATAATATAAGCCACATATTACAAACCCACAGCTAACATCATAATGAATAGGGGAAAGCTGAAAGCCTTTCCTCCAAGAACTGAAACATGAATCAAATGCCTACTTCCACCTCTCTTATTAACATAGTAGTGGAAGTCTTAGAATCAGGCAAGATAAAGAAATAGGCATCCAAATTGGAAAACAGAAAGGCAAATTATCCCTCTTTACAGACAAGATGATCTTAAATATAGAAAATCCTAAAGACTTCACCAAAAAACTTAGAACAAACAAATTCAGTAAAGTTGCAGGAGACAAAAATCAACATACTAAAATCAGTAGCATTTCTATACACTAATAATGAACTAGTTGAAAAATCAAAAAAGCAATCCCAACTATAGTAGCTACAAAAAAATTAAATACCTAGGAAAAAATTTAACAAAGAGATAAAAGGCCTAGGCAATGAAAACCAAAAAATACTGATGAAAAAAATTGATGAGGACACAAACAGAAAGACATGCCACGCTTAAGGAGCAAAAGAATTAATGTTGTTAAGATGACCATACTACCCAGAGCAATCTACAAATTTAATGCAATCCTTATCAAACTACCAATGACATTCTTCACAAAAATAGAAAAAATACTCCTAAAGTTTGTAAGGAACCACAAAAAATCTCAAAATAGCCAAAGCAATGTAAGCATAAAGAACAAAGTGGGAGGCATCCTTTCTATATATACTAAACCAATGAAGAGAATAAATAGCACAGAAAAACATTCATGTATTTACAGCCAACTGATTTTTAACAGTCACCAGGAATATACATTGGGTAAAGGACACTGTCTAATAAATGGTACTAGGAAAACTGGACAGCCATATGCAGAAGAATAAAACTATACCCCTATCTTTTACCATATGCAAAAAAATCTGCTAAAAACAGATTAAAGACTTAGTGTAGGACCTGAAATCATAAAACTGCTAGAAGCAAACATAGGGAAAATGCTTCAGGAATTGGTCTAGGCTAAGATTTTGTGACGGAGACCTCAAAATCACAGCCAACAAAACCAAAAATTGACAAATGGGATTATATGAAACTAGAAAGCTTCTGCATAGCAAGTAAAACAACAGAGTGAAGAGACAACATATAGAATAGAAGAAAATATTTGCAAACTATTCATCTTGTAAGGGACTAATATACAGAATATACAAGGAACTCAAACAACTCGACACAAAACCCAAATAATCTAATTAAAAAGTGGCAAGGGATCTGAATAGGCATGTCTCAAAAGAAGACAGACATACAAATAGGCAACAAGTATATGGAAAAATGCTCAACCTCACTAATCATCAGGGAAATGCAAGTTACAATGAGAGATCCCCTTACCCCAGTTAGGATGGGTATTATCAAAAAAGACAAAAAAAAATAATGGCAAGATGTGGAGAAAAGGCAATTCTTATACACTGCTGCTGGGAATGTAAATTAGTACAGCCATTATGGAAAATGATATGGAGGTTCTTTTTAAAACTACAAATTGAACTGCCATACAATGAAGCAATCTTAAAACTTGGTATTTATCCAAAGGAAAGGAAATCAGGCAGGGTGTGGTGGCTCATGCCTATAATCCCAGCACTTTGGGAGGCTGAGGCTGGTGGAACACTTGAGGTCAAGAGTTCGAGACCAGCCTGGCCAACATGGTGAAACCCTGTCTCTACTAAAAATATAAAAATTAGCCAGATGTGGTGGTGCACACCTGTAATCCCAGCTACTTGGGAGACTGAGGCAGGAAAATCATTTGAACCTGGGAGGCAGAGGTTGCAGTGAGCCAAGACCACGCCACTGCACTCCAGCCTGAGTGACAGAACGAGACTCCTCAAAAAAAAAAAAAAAAAAGGAAATCAGTATACCAAAGGAATACATGCACCCTGATGTTTATTGTAGTAGCACTGTTCACAATAGCCAAAACATGGAATCAACCTAAGTATCCATCAGTGGATGAATGATAAATAAAATGTCCTATATATACACAGTGGAATATTATTCAGCCATAAAAACATAATTAAATCCTGTTATTCTACACCAAAATGGATGGAACTGGAGGTCATTACGTTAAGTGAAATAAGCCAAGCACAGAAACACAAACATCACATATTCATATGTGGGAGACAAGAAAGTTGATCTCATAGAGGTAGAAAGTAAAACAATGGTTACCACAGATTGGGAACAGGACAGGCCTAGGGGAATGAAAAGGCATTGGTTAATGGGTAGGAACATAGAGTTAGATGGAAGGAATATGTTCTAGTGTTTGATAGCACAGTAGGATGGCTATAGTTAACACCAATATATTGTATATGTCATAATAGCTAAAAGAGAAGATTTGAAATGTTCCCAACACAAAAACAGTAAACGTTTGAGGTGATGGATAGACTAAGTACTCTGATTTAATCATTTCATATCGTATGTATACATTCAAATATCACATGTACTTCATAAATATGTGTCGTTATTATGTATCAATAAAACTTTTAAAGGAAACTATTATGCTAAGCAAAGAAACCAGACATAAAATACCTCAAATTGTATGAGTTTACTTATTAAATTTCCAGAAAGGCAAATCTTAAAAATAGAAAGTATATTAGTTGTTGCCTAGGGGTGGGAAGGTTAGATGACTACAAAGTGAACTTTTGGGAGTGAAGGAAGTGCTCTAAACTAAATTATGGTGATTATCACACAACTGTATAAACTAAAACTCATCAAACTGAATACTTTCCATGGTTAAATTTCAAAGTATGTAAATTATACCTCAATAAAATGTTCTTTTTTAAAAAGGATTACACCGGGCACAGTGGCTCATGCCTGTAATCCCAGGACTTTGGGAGGCCAATGCGGGCAGATCACTTGACCTCAGGAGTTCGAGACTAGCCTGGCCAACATGGCGAAACCCTATCTCTACTAAAAATACAAAAATTAGCTGGGCATGGTGGCGTGCGCCTATAGTTCTAGCTACTTGGGAGGCTGAGGTATGAGAATCACTTGAACCTGGAAGGCGGAGGTTGCAGTGAGCCAAGATGGTGCCACTGCACTCCAGCCTGGATGACAAAGCGAGACCCTGTCTCAAAGTAATTAATTAATTAATTAATTAATTAAATTTAATTTAATTTAAAAGGATTATACTCCATGACCAAGTGGGACTTATTCCTGGAATGCAAGGATAATTGAGTATATAAAAATCAATCAATGTAATACACTGCATTAACAAATTGAAGGGAGAAAACCACATGAACATCTCCATTGATGCAAGAAAATTATTTGACAAAATTCAACACCTCTTTATGATTAAAACAAAATTCAACAAACTAGGAATAAAAGGAATAAAATGTCATGGGAAGGCAGTTTCTGTAAAGGAAACATAATAAAGGCCATATATAAAAACCCACAGCTAACATCATTCTTAATGGTGAAAGACAAAAGTTTTTCCTCTAACAGCAGGAACAAGGCAGGGATGTCCACTTTTATCACTTCTATTCAACATAGCACTGGAATTTCTAGCCAGAGCAATTAGGCAAGAAAAAGAAAAGGTATCCAATTTTGAAAGGAAGAAAAATCATCTGTTTGTAATTATTATCTTACGTGTAGAAGATTCCACACAAAAAACTGTTAGAACTAATAAATAAATTCAACAAAGTTGCAAAATACAAATACAAAAAAAAAAGTGGCCAGGCGCGGTGGCTCACGCCTGTAATCCCAGCACTTCGGGACGCCGAAGTGGGCGGATCACGAGGTCAGGAGATTGAGACCATCCTGGCTAACACGGTGAAACCCCCTCTCTACTAAAAATACAAAAAATTAGCCAGGCGTGTTGGCGGGCGCCTGTAGTCCCAGCTACTGGGGAGGCTGAGCCAGGAGAATGGCGTGAACCCAGGAGGCGGAGCTTGCAGTGAGCCGAGATTGCACCACTGCACTCCAGCCTGGGAGACAGAGCGGGGCGACGGAGTGAGACTCCGTCTCAAAGAAAAAAAGAGGTGACCTTGAATTGGCCAACCTAAGTCTTCTTCAGTGTCTGAATAGAGCTGGAAATAGAAATTATGTTCTCATCTAAAAAATTTTAAAATTACATTGTTCAGGCACCAAATTTTGGCAATTCCCAATCTAATTTGCATTATCTATGCAAAGACATCTAAACAGATTGTCATTGAATAATTTAAATATCCAGAGGCACAAATTAGTATTTCCCTGCTTCATTCCTATCCCAAGGAAATACCTTCACCATGGCAAAACTTTCTCCAATAAATTTGCCCTGATGATGAAATTCATTTGCTTCTGCAAACTGATCAAATATTTATCTAGACACTCACACACACCTCCCACCCCACCCTACTTCTCTCTCTCTCATTCACTCACAATTTGGCTTACACTTTTTAAACTTTTTTATTTTTTTGAGACAGGGTCTTGCTCTGTCACCCAGGCTGGAGTGCAGTGCTGCAGTCATGGCTCATGCAGCCTTGACCTCCTAAACTCAGGTGATCCTCCCTCCTCAGCCTCCCAAGTAGCTGGGACTACAGGCACATGCCACCATGCCTGGCTAATTTTTGCATTTTTTGTAGAGACTAGGGTCTCCCTATGTTGCCCAGGCTGGTCTCAAACTCCTGGGCTCAAGTGATCCTCCCACCTCAGCCTCCCAAAGTGTTAGGATTACAGGCATGACCACCGTGCTATAAGAGAAAATTTTACTATTTTTAATTGGTTAAAAAAATATATCTAAGACATAGCCTTTACATTTATTTTGATGTTTTAAAAATTGCAGGCTGGATGCAATAGCTCATGCCTGTAATCCCAGCTGAGGCAGGAGGATTGCTTGAGCCTAGGAATTCAAGACCAGCCTGGGCAACATAGCAAAACCTCATCTCTACAAAAAAACATATATAAAAATTAGCTGGGCGTGGTGGTGCATGCCTGTAGTCCCAGCTACTTGGGAGGCTGAAGTGAGAGGATCGCTTGAGCCCAAGAGGTTGAGGTTGCAGTCAGCCAAGATGGTGCCACTGTCCTCCAGCCTAAGCAACAGAGTGAGACCCTGTTTCAAAAAAAAAAATTATATTAAAACACACAACAAAATTTACCAACTTGGTCATTTTTAAGCATATATTTTAGTATCATTAAATATATTCACAATGTTGTGGACCAGGTCCCCAGAACTTCTGCATCACGCAAAATGGAATCTCTATAGTCATTAAACAACTCCCCATTTTTCCCCTTCCCTCCACACCCTAGTAAATACCATTCTACTTTGTGTTTCTATGAATTTTTCTACTTTAGATTACTCATGTAAGTGAAATCACACAGTCATTTTGTGACTGGATTCTTTCACTTAGCACTCAAGATTCATCCATGTTGGAGCATGAGACAGGATTACCTTCCTTTTTAAGTCTGTGTAATATTCCATTGTGTATATATTATGGGCCTTCCGTATCCATGGGTTCTGTGTCTCTGGATTTAACCAAACTCAGATTTAAAATATTCAAAAATATGTTAAATTTCACAAAGTTCCAAAAAGCAAAAATTGAATTTTCCCTGAGCCAAATACTAAGTCAAATCCACACCAATAAAGTTATATGTAGGCACTGTACTAGGTATTATAAGTAACCTAGGAATCTAGGTATTAAAGTAATCTAGGATTTAAAGCAGTGGTCCCAAGCCCCAGGCCGTGGATGGGTACCAGTTCATGGCCTGTTAGGAACCGGGCCACAGAGCAGGAGGTGAACAAAGGAGCCAGCAAGTATTACCGCCTGAGCCCCACCTCCAGTCACATCAGCGGTGGCATTAGATTCTCATAGGAACATGAACCCTATTCTGAACTGCACATGCAAAGGATCTAGGCTGCACACTCCTTATGAGAATCAAACTAATTCCTGATGATCTAAGGTGGAACAGTTTCATCCGAAAACCATCCCCCTGACCCTGTCCATGGAAAAATTGAGCCTGGGAGGTCAAGGCTGCAGTGAGCCGAGATTGAACCACCGCACTCCAGCTTGGGTAACAGAGTGAGACCCTGTGTCAAAAAAAAAAAAGGAATGAAAAGAGAAAGAAAATTACAAGAAAGTAATTATAACATCTGTTACAACGTGGATGAACCTTGAAGACATGCTTAGGAAAAACAGACAAACACAAAAGGTCACATATTGTATGATTCTATTTAAAACATTCAGAGTAAGTAAATCCATATGGATGAAAAGAGCACTGGCAGTTGTCCGGGGCTAGGAGGAGGGAGAAATAAGAAGGAGGTGCTTAACAGGTAGGTACAGAGCTATATTTTGACATGGAATTGTTTGGAACTAGATGGAAGCAATGGTTGAGCAACACTGTGAATCTACCAACTGCCACTGAGTCGTTCTCTTTACAATGGTTAGTTTTATATTATATAAAACTCACTTCAATAAAGAAATCAATCAATGTATAAAACACTGAATGTCACCTCAAATCCCATGATTAAGGCAGAGACTCATTGGCCCCATGATTAAATGGCTTCCTCTCCATTCACTCCCAAGCCTGCATACATTTGTCAGTGTGAATCTTAGCAGGGTGTGACCCACACCCTTTGCAGCAACCAGCTCAGAAAGGCAAACCAGGAACTGCTGTAGCAACAAACCCACACCAGTCAGGACATGGCAGTGATGCAGCTTCTCTAATTTGTGCCCTGGCTTCCAACTCAGAACCAAGCAGAGAAAGCCAAATGTACTCCCATAACCAGTCATATGAGATGCCTGAATGCTTATTAGACACTTCCAGTGTCCCATGTCAGTAGCCTCCAGTCAACAGCACATCTGATGCCTTCCCTTTTGTTCACTACAAAGCTTTCCCACTTTGTCAAAAGTGGCTGACTCTCTTGCTTTAGCAAGCACTTTCTAAGTGGGCCCTGATTGTTCCCGTTTGAGTTGTCTTTATTTCCACACAGCTGTCAAGCCAGTACCAGGGATTTTCACATTTCGGTGACCTTCAGTGATAATCACATCTACCATCGCACACCACAGTACACAGACACTCTCTCCTAAACAAAACGCTTTCTTCAACAATGGGTGAACATCCTATGTACAAATGATGAAGTAAAAACACAGTGCCATTCAGATCTTTACTGATATTTAAACAAACCATAGAGGAAAATTCCAAATAAACAATACAGACACAAAAAAATAAGTGCTGGTTGAAACTACTGAGAAGTGACCTGCAGTTTAGTGAATCAAAGGTTTTCCTTATTCTTTAAACACTTTTTAATAACAGGCATGTCCTTCCTAGAGAAGCACATACCTTTCTCCTAATTTTATTCTTGCCAAAGATTATATCGTATTTCTTTACAATTACATACTCTCCTCCACACCTGTGGTTATGTCTTACTTTTGGTTTTCTTTTTCTTTTTCTTTTTTTTTTAAGAGATGGGGCCTTGCTCTGTTACCCAGGCTATTCCAAGTGATTCTCCTGCCTCAGCCTCCCAAGTAGCTGGGACTACAAGCAAGCACCACCACACTTGGCTAATTTTTGTACTAGAGACAGTGTCTCACTCTCTTGCCCAGGCTGGTCTTGAACTCCTGGTCCCACGTATCTTCCCACTTCAGGCTCCCATAATGCTGGGATTTCAGGTATGAACCACCATGCCTGGCCATTTGGTCCTTTTCCAGCTTCTTACATTGGTATTAAACTCATTTATTTGCTTCTTCTTGTTTTTATCAAAATATCTTTCAGTTTCCGAAATGTATGCTGAATGTCATTTCCTTTCTTTATGCTGCAATTTTTACTTTTACTTCTTCTGTAAGCTAAGACTCCAATGTATGTTTTCAATGTCCAAATGGATACATTTTTTGTTACCTTTCATTTTTAAATTTCTGCATTGTGGTCAATGTCTCTCGCATTACTTCTGCCTTTTCAAATTTATAGTTTATTTTTGAAACCAAGTACCTGATAAGGACTTCTGAATTTTCATGTTTTAGAGTAAACTGTAGTATCTAAAAGGAAAGTGTAGGTGTGTATATACACATACACAGAAATCAACTGTTCATATTTCATCTCATTTTTTCTATTGTTTCATACTCTTTAATATTGTCTCATTTTTATTTTAAAACATCTACTAAATTATATATGTAAAGAAAACATACAAAATACACTTTTTTTTACTATTTATATTACACTTATAAATAGATGTGTTTAAAAACACATGACAAGAAGTTCCAAGATGGCTTCAATCCCCACCACAGAAAACCAAAACCAAATATGCACCTCCAAACTCCTCACCAGCAACAACCCGGAGCTCAAGTACAAGGGTGAGACCATTCCCAGGGCCACAGAGAAGAGGAAAAACTTCAAGCAAAGGACAGGAGAATTGGACTTCCATATCCATGATGCCCCTCCCCCTATTATGCCTGGCACCAGTCTCCCTGCAGCTCATGGTTTCTACAATGGAAAAAGTGAAATTGAGGTTGTCAGCCACTTCTCCAACTTCTTGGATTCCCAGGCAGGAGACCTCTCCATGCTTTAACCCATGGGTAGCATCGTGACTGCCTGAAGGGAGAATTAACCCTAAGGACAGGCAGAAACAAGCAGGGTAGGCAGGACTACCACCCCCAGCCTCAGAAACCGCTTTGTAACTCAGCCAAAGGAGATGCTAAATCAGAGTGTCTGTTCACCAGCACCATGCTGTAGGAGGGAGTTCCCCAGGTCCCCTGGGCATGAACTCCTAGACAATCTTCCCTCACTGCTGGGATAATATCTTTAGGACCTCCTCCATTTAGGACAGGCAGCGCTCTGACCACTTAGAAGAGAAGAGGCAAACCTGGGCTTAACGTGCCACCTACAGCCACAGAGAAGGCAGCGACTTAGTAGCAAAGATTCACCAAGCAAATATGTTCAATAAAAAGCAAAATAAGCCAGAGAAAACTAGAATAAATAACTAATCTTCCATTGCAAAAACATATATATATACCCACAAGAAACAACAGTAAACAGACGAATATGACCTCCCCAAAAAGACAAACCAAAAATCCAGAGAGTGACCCTATCTAGATGGCAACTTGTGAGCTCTCTGACCAGGAATTCAAAATAGCAGTTTTGGCTGGGCAAGTGGTGACTCGTGCCTGTAATTCCAGCGCTTTGGGAGGCCGAGGCAGGCAGATCACTTGAGGTCAGGAGTTCAAGACTAGCCTGGCCAACATGGCGAAAACCCATCTCTACGAAAAATACAATAATTCAGCTGGGGTGGTGGCTGGGGCCTGTAGGTGGGAGGGATCGCTTGACCCCAGGAGGTTGAGGCTGCAGTGAACCATGATCGTGCCACCGCACTCCAGCCTGGACAACAGAGCAAAACTCTGCCTCGATAAAAGAAAGAAAGAAGATAGAGAAAATTACCTCCAAAGACCAAATCTAAGAATGATGTTCAAGAGGAAGCTGACCAAGAGCAAAGGGTAGAAATCTTCTTCAAAGAAATGATAACAGAAAATGCCAAAAACAGGAGAAAGAGATAAATATCCAGGTGCAGGAAGGTGTTAGTACATCAAACAGATTCAACCCAATAAGACTATCCCAAGGCATATAATAATCAAACTCTCAAGGGTCAAGGACAAAGAGAAGATCCTAAAACCACTGAGAAATAAGAAGCAAATAACATACAAAAGACCTCCAATGTGTCTGGCAACAGACTTCTCAATGGAAATCATACAGGACAGGAGGGAGTGGAATGACATGCTCAGTACTCAAAGAAATAAAAACTGCCATCCAAGGATATTGTATCCAAATGAACTGTCATTAAAATATTAAGGGGAGATAAAGTATTTCCCAGATAGAATTCACCACCACCAGACCCTTCTTGCAAGAAATGCTAAAGACAGTTCTTCAACCTGAAAGAAGAAAACACTAATGTGCAAAAGAAAACTTATTATTTTACATAAAAATGTATAAATTGGCTGGAGCATTGGTTCATGCCTGTAATCCAAGCAGCTTGGGAGGTTGAGGCTTGTGGATCACCTGAAGTCACAAGTTTGAGACCAGCCCGGCCAACATGGCAAAACCCCATCTCTACTAAAAGTACAAAAATTAGATGCATGTGGTTGCAGGCAACTGTAATCCCAGCTACTCAGGAGGCTGATGCAGAAGAATTGCTTTAACCCGGGAGGCAGAGGTTGCAGTAAGCTGCGATTGCACCACGGCACTCCATCTCAAAATGGAGTGAAACTCCATCGCAAAAAAAAAAAAAGTATAAATTGAGACAACTAAAAGTTAAAACGTGGGGGTAGGAATTAAACTGTAAAACTTGTGGGGGTTTTTTTGGCTTTGTTTGTTTCTATTATTTGGGATCTAAGATAAGTTGTCATCTCTTTTAAATAACTCATATCTATAAAAACATTTTTGTAAGCTTCATGGTAACCACAGCAGTTTTTATAATAGATCCACTACAAGTAAAAAGCAACAAATTAAAACATACTACAAGATAAGGAAGACAGTAAGAAAGGAAGAGACAAGTCTCAAAACAACCAGAAAACAAGCAACAAAATAGCAGTAGTAAGTCCTTACTTATCAATAATAACACTGAATGTAAATGTTCTCACTTCTCCAGCTAGAAAACATGAGTGGCTGAATGGATAAAGAAGCAAAAACCAACTATATGCTACCTTCAAGAAACCCATTTCACCTCTAAAGACACAGGTAGACTGAAAGTGAAGGGGTGGAAACAGATATTCCATGCAACTGGAAAATTTTAAAAAGCAGGACTATCTATACTTATATAAGATAAAATATGCTACAAATCAAAGACTATAAAAAAGAAAAGGAGGGTCACTGTATAATGATAAAGGCATCAATTCAGGAAGAGACTATAATCTGTGCACCCGGCTGGGTGCAGTGGCTCACACCTGTAATCCCAGCACTTTGGGAGGCTGAGGCAGGTGGATCACGAGGTCAGGAGATCGACACCATCCTGGCTAACACAGTGAAACCCCGTCTCTACTAAAAATACAAAAAATTAGCCGGGCATGGTAGCCAGCGCCTGTAGTCCCACCTATTCGGGAGGCTGAGGTAGGAGAATGGCGTGAACCTGCGAGGTGGAGCTTGCAGTGAGCAGAGATCGCGCCACTGCACTCCAGCCTGGGCAACAGAGCAAGACTCCGTCTCAAAAATAAATAAATAAATAAATAAATAATCTGTGCACCCAACACCAGAGCTCCCAAGTATATAAAGCAAACATAATAGCTCTAAAGAGAGAGTTAGACTATAATACAATAATAGTAGAGGCTTTTAACACTTCACTCTCAGTAAAGTACAGATCATCCACACGGAAAATTAACAAAGAAATGGCAGAGTTAAACTACACAAGATCTAATAGGTCTAACTGACATTTAAAGTAAATTTCGGCTGGGCACAGTGGCTCACACCTGTAATCCCAGCACTTTGGGAGGCCGAGGTGGGAGGATCACCTCATGTCAGGAGTTCGAGACCAGCTTGGCCAAAATGGTAAAACCGCGTCTCTACTAAAAATGAAGTAAAAAAAAAATTAGCCAGGCGTAGTGGCGCATGCCTGTAATCCCAGCTATTCGGGAGGCTGAGGCAGGAGAATTGCTTGAACCCAGGAGGCAGAGGTTGCAGTGAGCTGAGATCATGCCATTGCACTCCAGCCTGGGTGACAAAAAAAAAAAAAAAAAAAAAAAATTTCACCCAACTGCTATCGAATGCAGCAGTTTTACCAGTACATGGAACGTTCTCCAGAGCAGACCATACCTTAAGCCACAAACCAAGTCTGTATCAAGTCTGATTTCTATCCAAAAAAAACAAGTCTGACTTCTATTTGAAAAAATAGAAATCATATCAAGTATTTTTTCTGACCACAATGGAATAAAACTACAGAAATCAATAACAAGAGGAATCTCAGAAAAATACACAAACACATGGAAATTAAACAACATGCTCCTGAATGACCAATGGGTCAAAGAAAAAATTAAGAAGGAGCCAGGTGCAGTGGTACATGCCTATTGTACAAGTTACTCAAGAGGCTGAGGCTGGAGGATCACTTGTATCTAGGAGTTCTGGGCTATAGTATGGTATGTCAATTAGGTGTCCATGCTAAGTTCAGCATCAATACAGTGACCTCCTGGGAGCAGGTGATCATCAAGTTGCCCAAGGAGACTGGGAAGTGACCCAAGTTGGAAACAGGGCAGGTCAAAACTTGCATGCTGATCAGTAATGAGCTATGCCCAGGCAACATAGCATAGGCAACATAGCAAGATCATCTCTTAAGAAAAAAATAAAAGAAGAAATTTTTTTTTTCTCTTTTGAGACAGGGTCCTGCTCCATTACCCAGGCTGCAGTACAGTGATGTGATCACTGCTCACTGCAGCCTCAAACTCTCAGGCTCAAGAGATCCTCCTGCCTCAGACTCCTGAGTAGCTAGGACCACAGGCATGCGCCACCACAGTTGGCTAATTTTTTATTTTTATTTTTTAAAGACTGGTTTTTGCCATGTTGTCCAGGCAGGTCTCAAAATCCTGGACTCAAGAGATACACCTACAGTGGCCTCCCAAAGCACTGGGATTAACAGGCATGAGTTACCATACCTGGCCTAGAAAAAGGAAATTTTAAAATGTCTTGAAACAAATGAAAATGGAAATATGACATATCAAAGTCTATGGGATACAGGAAAAGCAATACTAACAGGGAAGTTTATAGCAACTAACGCCTATATCAAAAAAGTAGAAAGACTTCAAATAAACAACCTAACGATACACCTCAAGAAACTAGAAAAGCAAGAACAAACCAAACCCAAAATTAGTAGAAGGAAAGAAACAATAAAGATTAGAACAGAAATAAATGAAAAGAAATCAACAAAATGAAAAGGTGGTTTGGTGGGCTTTGTTTTTTGTTTTTTTTTTTAGACAGGGTCTCACTCTATTGCCCAGGCTGGAGTGCAGTGGCACCACCTCTGCTCACTGCAACCTCCACCTCCCAAACTCAAGCCATCCTCCCACCAAACAGCTGTGACTACAGGCATGTGCCCACACGCCCACCTAATTTTTGTATTTTTTATAGAGATGGGGTTTCGCCATGTTGCCCAGGCTGGTCTTGAACTCATGAGCTCAAGTAATCTGCCCACCTCAGCCTCCCAAAACGCTGGGATTACAGGCATGAGCCACCATGCCCGACCTTGTTTTTTTGGAAAGATAAACAAAATCAACAAACATTTATCTAGACTAAGAGAAAAAGAGAAAGATCCAAATAAAATCAGAAATGAGAAAGGAGATACAACAACTGAGACCTTAGAAAGGATTATTAGATACTATTGAAAGGAGTTATTTAGCTTGCCTTAGATAGATAACAAGGGAAGGGTGCCAGAGAGCCCCTGGCCCGTGGGTCAGTGCCTCATTCTCACATAACATAAAAAGCAGCCTGAGAGGCCCTGGCGGTGGCTCACGCCTGTAATCCCAGCACTTTGAGAGGTGGAGGTGGGTGGATCACGTGGTCAAGAGATCGAGACCATCCTGGCCAACATGGTGAAACCCTGTCTCTACTAAAAATATAAAAATTAGCTGGGCGTAGTGGCGTGCCGTCTGTAGTGTCAGCTACTCTGGAGGCTAAGGCAGGAGAATCGCTTGAACCTGGGAGGCGGAGGTTGCAGTGAGCTGAGATGGCGCCACTGCACTCCAGCCTGGTGACAGAGCAAGACTCTGCCTCAAAAAAAAAAAAAAAGCAGCCTGAGAAAAAATTTAGGCTGATAAGGGAACTAACACAGGGTGCTGTGCCTAGAGACATGCCCATGGTGGCACAGATAGTAAAACCTCTGGCCCTTTGGGATACAAACTTGTGCAAACCTCCAGCTCACTCAGATAAGAGAACAAGGCCTGGCATAGAAATGCCTTTGTCCTTTGTATACTCAGCAGGTTCTGAGGAAAAGTTTCTTCTCCTTTTGTGGGCATGGGCACAGTGGGCTCCGGTGGGTTCTAGTGGTCACTCTATTTTCCTTTATTTGGACTGTAAGTCCGGCTTCTATGAATTATCATTTCAGCCCGATTGGTCCCAGGCTAAGGTCCTGGGCCAAGCTTTCAATTCAGTTTCTGATAGGTCCTGGGCCAAGCTGAGCAGCAGCTATAAATCATCATTTCAGCTCCTGATTGGTTGCGGCCAAGGTCTCTGGGCCAAGCTGAGTTATGTGTTCTCCAAGACAGCCCAGGAACTAAGCACATTCCTTCCCCTTCCCAGTCCATAAAACCCGGGACGCCAGCCTCATAGTGGGCACCCCATTTGAGCCCCCCACTCTGCTGGCAGAGAGCTTTCTTCTTTCGCTTATTAAACTTTTGCTCTAACCTCACCTTTGTGTCTGTACTCCTTAATCATCTTGGAGGTAGGACAAAGAACTCCAGGTGTCATCTCAGACAAGGAGAGACTGTTACATCTTCATGCATTGCTGAGACTACAACACTATTATGAACAACTACACAACAAATTTCAAAATCTAAGAGAAATGGATAAAGTCCTAGACCTCTAAAGCCTACCAAGATTCAACCATGAAGAAATAGAAAACCTCAACAAACCAATAAGATCCAAGCCATAATAAAAAGTCTCCCATTAAAGAAAAGCCCTGAACCTGATGGATTTACTGCTGAATTGTACCATTAAAGAACTAATACCAATCCTACTCAAACTCCTCAAAAAAACTGAAGAGGAAGGAATACTTCCAAACTCATTCTACAAGGCCAGCATTACCCCAATACCAAAATGAGAGGAGGACACAACCAAAAAAAGAAAACTACATACCAATATCAGTGATAAACATAATGTAAAACTCCTCAACAAAATACTAGCAAACCAAATTCAACAACACATTGAAAAAGTCATTCACCATGATCAAGTGGAATTCATTCCAGGGATACAAAGATGGTTCAACGTATGCAAATCAACAAACATGATACAATTGCATTAACAAAGTCAATAACAAAAACCATTACTTCAATAGATGCCAAAAAAATTTTGATAAAACTCAACATCCCTATATGATAAAAAAAAAAAAACTCATCAAAATGGGTATAGGAGAAACTACCTCAAAATAATAAAGGCCATGTATGACAAACCCATAGCTAATAGCATACTCAACATAGATAAAGTGAAGGCCCCTCCTCTAAAGGCTATAACAAGACAAGGATGCCTACTTTCACTGCTATTATTCAGCATAATACCAGAAGTCATGGCCAGAGCAATTAGGCAAGAGAAGGAAGGGCATCCAAATTGGAAAGGAAGAAGTCAAACTAGCCTTGTTTCCAGATGACATTATCTTATAATTACAAAAACCTAAAGACTCCACCAAGAACATTATTAGAACTGATAAACGAATTTAGTAAAGTGGCAGGGTACAAACAAAACAACATATAAAAATCGGGAGCATTTATATATGTCAACAGTGACTGATCTGAAAAAGAAAGCAAGAAAGCAGGGCCGGGCATGGTGGCTCATGCCTGTAATCCCAACACTTTGGGAGGTCAAAGCGGGCAAATCACCTGAGGTCAGGAGTTTGAGACCAGCCTCACCAACATGGAGAAACCCTGTCTCTACTAAAAATACAAAATTAGCCTGGCATGCTGGCACATGCCTGTAATCCCAGCTACTCAGGAGGCTGAGGCATGAGAATCGCTTGAACCCGGGAGGCAGAGGTTGTAGTGAGCTGAAATCAGGCCACTGCACTCCAGCTTGGGCAACAAGAGCAAAACTCTATCTCAAAAAAAAAAAAAAAAAAATGAAAGAAAGAAAGCAATCTCATTTACAACAGTTACAAAATATGTAAGACACCCAGGAATAAATTTAACCAGAGAAGAAATATCTATACAAGGCTGGGCGTGGTGGCTCACACCTGTAATCCCAGCACTTTGGGAGCTGGAAGTGGGTGGATCACGAGATCTGGAGTTCGAGACCATCCTGGCCAACATGGTGAAACCCCATCTCTACTAAAAATACAAAAAATAAAATAAAATAATCAGCCAGGCATTCATGGTGGCATGTGCCTGTAGTCCCAGCTACTCAGGAGGCTGAGGCAGGAGAATCACTTGAACCCGGGAGATGGAGGTTGCAGTGAGCTGAGATTGCGCCACTGTACTCCAGCCTGGCAACAGAGTGAGATTCCATCTCAAAAGAGAGAGAGAGAGAGAGAGAGACAGAGAGAGAGAGAGAGAAAGAAAGATCCATACAAGGAACACTATAAAATTCTGATGAAAGAAATAGAAGAAGACAAAAATGAAAAGATATTCCATGCTCATGGTTTGCAGGAATTAATATAGTTAAAATAACAATACTACCCAAAGCAATTTACGGATTCAATGCAATCCCTCTCAAAATACCAATGACATTCTTCACAGAAATAGGAAAAAAAATTCTAAAGTTTATATAGAACCACAAAAGATCCCAAATAGCCAAAGCAATCCTGGCAACAAGAACAAACCTGGAGGCATCACACTACCAGAATTCAAAACTTACTACAAAGCTATGGTAAGTAAAACAGCACGGTACTCACATAAAAACAGACATATAGACCAATGGAACAAAACAGAGCACTCAGATGTACACCCACATATTTACAACCAACTCATCTTTGATAAAGGTGTCAAGACCATACAATGAAAAAAAGACAGTCTTTTCAGTAAATGATGCTGGGAAAACTGGATAACTATCTTAAAGAAGAATGAAATTAGAACCCTATCTCTCAGCATACATGAAAATCAAATCAAAATGGATTCAAGACTGAAATCTAAGACCTGGAATGATGAAAGTACCAGGAGAAAACACTGAGGAAATGCTCCAGGACATTGGTCTGGGCAAAGAATTTTGTATATGACCTCAAAACACACAGGCAACCAAAGCAAAAATGAAGTCCTAGCTAGTCAGGAGGCTGAGGTAGAAGGATCACTTGGGCCCAGGAATTTGAGTTTATAGTGATCTATAATTGAGCCACTACAGTCCACTCTGGGTGACAGAGTGAGGCCCTGTATCTAAAAAATAAAAAAAAGTAAAAAGATTAAAAACAGACAAAAGATCTTAACAGACACATCCCAAAAGAAGATATACAAAATGACATTTTGACACATAAAGACATACAAAAAGACAATGTACAGATGGCCAACAGGTATATGAAGCTATACTCAATATTAATAATCAAAGAAGTTCAAATCAAAACCACAATGCAATATCATCAATCTCACCCCAATTAAAATAGTCTGCATCAAAAAGATAGGCAATAACAAATTCTGGCAATGATGTAGAGAAAAGGGAACCCCCATACACTGTTGGTGAGAATATAAATTAGTACAGCTACTATGAAGAACTGTATGGAAGTTCCCCAAAAAAGTGAAAACAGAGCTACCCAGCAATTCCACTACTGGGCATATTTTTAAAAAGAAGAAAAAAGGAAATAAATACACCAAAGAGCTATCTGCTCTCCCACATTTGCTGTAGCACTATTCACAATAGCCCTAATACAATATCAACTTAAGTGCTCATCAACAGATGAATAGATAAAGAAAATGTGGTAAATATACACAATAAAAAATTATTCAGCCATTAAAATAATGAAATCCTGTTATTTATAGTAATATGGATGGAACTAGAGGCATTATGTCAAGCAAAATAAGCCAAGCACAGAAAGACAAATACCACATGTTCTCACTCATATGGAAGAGCTTTAGAGCTTCAGAGCTCTTACATGTGAGTAAGATACAGAGTAGATTGGTTGTTACCAAAGGCTGGGAAGAAGAAAGGTGAGTAGGAAGATAAATGGAAAAAATTATATAAATGTATTTATTACATTGAACTTGACACTTAAAATGGTAAAGATGGTAAATTATATACATATTATTTACCTTAATAAAGACAAAGGAAGAAAAAAATAGCAATTGGTAGAAGCTCAGCATCTTATGCTGCCTGAAGTGATGAAGGAGAACCAAGTGCAGAGACCCAAGAAGAAATGACTTCACATGCTATAGAAAGATTATGGGCTTTGAATTCATGGGACTGAGTTCAAATCCTGGCTTGCATTCTTACTATGAGATATTAGATGAGTTATCTGGCCTCTCTAAATCTGCTTCCTCCTTGTATAAAGGAGATAAGTAAAATAACTAAAGCAAGGGTGGGCCATAAGTGCTCAGTGAGTATCTGTTTCCTTCGTGTTTCCTCTTTCAGCCATAAAAAAAAGAGACACATCAGGCTAGGCACGGTGGCTCATGCCTGTAATCCCAGCACTTTGGGAGGCCAAGGCAGACAGATCACCTGAGGTTGGGAGTTCGAGACCAGCATGACCAACATGGAGAAACCCTGTCTCTACTAAAAATACAAAAATTAGCCGGGCGTGGTGGTGCATGTCTGTAATCCCAGCTACTCGGGAAGCTGAGGCAAGAGAATCACTTGAACCTGGGAAGCGGAGGTTGCAGTGAGCTGAGCCAAGATTGCACCATTGCATTCCAGCCTGGGCAACAGGAGCAAAACTCTGTCTCGAAAAAAAAAAAAAAGGAGACACATCACTGCAGTTGAGAAGTCCTTGCATAGGGGTGATGGGGGCACACCAAGGGGCCTATCATGAGTGCTGTATTCTTGAAGCATAAATCCAAGATATGAGGTTTTGCAAATCCAATATAAGGCTGCCACCCACTTGCCTTAGCCTAGGGTCCCCCAAAAGGCTTGTGCATAGGTAGCTTGTTTGCTAATGTGATTCTGGGGAGCAGAAATGCAGGATAAGGGGAGTGAAACAGAGCAAGGGAAAGACCACCACAAGGATGCATTATTAAATTGGCTGTTTGATCCCACTGGGACCTGTAGGGGTTTTCTGAAGCATCTCAAAACTGTCCATCAGGGGATGAAATGGGGATGCATTTATCCATTGACTCCAGATCTTCATCGGTCAAGAGTAGACCCCATGGCACTGACTTCCCATCACAGCTGGGTTGTGCTTGAGTGTGAAGTGGATGCCTAGGACTATTAAGCTGAAGAACAGAGATGCATAGGGCAGGAAGCAAATGATACAGTATGAGGGATGAGGTGAGGTCACTGCCCAGGTGCACCTGTGCAAAGCTGCTCAAAACATGCAGGGAAACAGTCCCCTACAGTTGTGGCTGAAATAAGAGGAGAAACAGAAAATTTTGAAACGGTGTACAAGAGGGGTCCAATACACTATCTTTCATGGGGATGCCTTATCTTTCTGCCTAGAAAGAAGGTGCTAAAGTAAATTTCTTGGAGTGTCTTTGGCCTTTCAAGTCTTCCATGATTCATGAAGATGAAACCAAAGCTTACTAAAAATCTATTGAATAGTAAAATATGAACACACACACATGACCAACTCAATTGATGCAGAAAAAAACTTGACAAAATTCAATGCCCTTTCATAATTACAGCCAATAAATTACAAGTAGAAGGACTCTATGTCAACATAATAAAAATTGCATATAAATAGGCCAGGCATGGTGGCTCACGCCTATAATCCCAGCACTTTGGGAGGCTAAGGCAGGCAGATCACTTGAGATCAGGAGTTTGACACCAGCCTGGGCAACATGACGAAACCCCATCTCTACTACAAATACAAAAATTAGCTGGGCATGGTGGCACATGCCTGTAATCCCAGCTCCTGGGGAGGCTGAGGCAGGAGAACCACTTAAACCCAGGAGGTGGAGGTTGCAGTGAGCTGAGATCATGCCACTGCACTTCAGCCTAGGCAAGCAAGACTCTGTTAAAAAAAAAAAAAAAAGGGTATGTAAAAAGCCCACAGCCAACATACTCAATGATGAAACACTGCAAGTTTTCTCTAAGGTCAGGAACGTGATCATGATGCCTGCTGTCACCGTTTCTATTAAACATAGTACTGGATAGTACTGGATGTTCTAACCAGAGCAATTAAGCAAGAAAAAGAAAACTCCCTTTCCCCTTCAACTGAGAAAGGAAGAAGTAAAATTATCTGTTTGCAGACAACATGATCTTATATGTAAAAACACAAGAGATCTTATATGTAAAAACACAGACACAAAATGTTAGAATTAAGAAATGAATTTGGCCGGGTGCGGTGGCTCACACCTGTAATCCCAGCACTTTGGGAGGCTGAGGTGGGTGGATCACGAGGTCAGGAGTTTGAGACCAGCCTGGCCAAAATGATGAAATCCCATCTCTACTAAAAATACAAAAATTAGCTGGGCATGGGGGCGGGTGCCTGTAATCCCAGCTAATCGGGAGGCTGAGGCAGAAGAACTGCTTGAACCTGGGAGGTGGAGGTTGCAGTAAGCTGAGATCACGCCACTGTACTCCAGCCTGGGCGACAGAGTGAGACTCCATCTCAAAAAAAAAAAAAAAATGAATTCATTATATTCAATTCAATTCAGTTCAAGTTGCAAGATACAAAATTTATACTCAAAAATCCATTGTATTTCTATACACTAAAATAAACAATCTGAAAAGGAAATTAAGAAAACAATTATGTTTGCAATAACATCAAAATTAATAAAATACTTAGGAATAAATTTAACCAAGGAGGCAAAGGATTTCTACACTGAAAATAACAAAATGTTGCTTAAAGAAGTTAAGTAAGGCACAAATAAATGGAAAGATGCACTGTGATTATGGATTGAAATAGTAAATATTGTTAAGATGCCAATACTATCCAAAGGGATCTACAGATTCAGTGCAATCTCTACCAAAATTCCAGTGATCTTCTTTGTAGAAATAGAAAAGGCCATCCTAAAATTCATATGAAATCTCAAGAGACTCCCAAATAATAAAAACAATCTGAAAAGATTAGAACAAATTCAGAAAATTCATACTTCCTGATTTCAAATCTTACTACAAAGCTATAGTAATCAAAACAGTGTGGTACTAGCATAGAGGCAGACATATAGATCAATGGAGTACAATAGAAAGCCCAGAAATAAATGCTTGCATATATAGTCAAATGATCATTGACAAGGGTGTTAAGACAATTTGGTGAGAACAGTTTTTTCAACAAATGCTGCTGGGAAAACTTCATATGCTCATGCGAAAAAAAAAAAAAAAAGGTATATCTTTACCTTACACCATATATAAAAATTGCTCAAGATGCATCAAAGTCCCAGAACTTTGGAAGGCTAAGCAGAAGGATTACTTGAGCCCAGGAGTTCAAGACCAGCCTGGGCAACATAAAGAGACCTCATCTCTACAAAAAATTTAAAAATTAGCAGGCTGTGGTGGCACTCACCTGTAGCCCCAGCTACTCAGGAGGCTGAAGCAGGAGGATCACTTGAGCCCAGGGGTTCAAGGCTGCAGTGAGCTATGATGTTGCCACTGCACTCCAACCTGGGTGACAGAATGAGACCCTGTTTCAAAAAAAGGAAAAATATTTTAAAAATTAATTTTAAAATGTATCAAATAACTAAATGTAAGGGATAAATCTATAAAACTCTTAGAAGAAAATAAGGGAGGAGGCCAGGCACAGTGGCTCACGCCTGTAATCCCAGCATTCTGGGAGGCTGAGGCAGGTGGATCACCTGAGGTCGGGAGTTCAAGACCAGCCTGACCAACATGGAGAAACCCATCTCTACTAAAAATACAAAGAAAATTAGTCGGGCGTGGTGGTGCATTGCTGTAATCCCAGCTACTCAGGAGGCTGAGGCAGGAGAATCGCTTGAACCTGGGAGGCAGAGGTTACGGTGAGCCAAGATCGTGCCATTGCACTCCAGCCTGGGCAACAAGAGTGAAACAACTCTGTCTAAAAATAAAAATTAAAAAAATAAAATAAAATAAAAATAAAAACAAAATAAGGGAGGAAAGCTTCATGACATTATAATGACATGATATTTGGCAATGATTTCTTGGATATGACATCATAAGCACAGACGACAAAAGCAAAATGGAACTACATCAAATTATAAAACTTTTGTGGACACTATCAAGAAAGTAAAATGGAAATTTACAGAATGGGACAAAAGATTTTCAAATCATATATCTGATAGGTGGTTAATATCCAGAATATTTAAAGAACTTCTATAACTCAACAAAAAAACCAATAACACATAATCCTAAAATGAATAGGAAACCACAAAAGACTTCAAGTAGTCAAAGCAATCTTAAGTGAAAATAACAAAGCAAGAGGTATTACACTACCTAACTTTGAAATATACTACAAAGCTATAGCAACCAAAACAGCATGGTACTGGCATATGTGAAAGGAAAATAAATCTTGGAGCCCCAAAAATCACTAAGCTAAAGGGGAAAGTCAAGCTGGGAACTGCTTAGGGCAAACCTGCCTTTCATTCTATTCAAAATTATCCCTCTGCTCACTGACATAAATGCATATCTGATTGCCTCCTTTGGAAAAGCTAATCAGAAACTCAAAAGAATGCAACCGTTTGTCTCTCATTTGTCTCTCACCTACCTGTGACCTGGAAGCCCCCTCCCTGCTTGAGTTGTCTTGCCTTTCTGGACAAAACCAATGTACATGTTACATATATTGATTGATGTCTCATGTCTCCCTAAAATGCATAAAACCAAGCTGTCCCCTGACCACCTTGGCACATGTCGTCAGGACCTCCTGATGATACAGGATATAAAAAGAAATTATTTGGGCAGATAGTGAGGGCAAACGAGTCCTTGGCAAAACTTCTCTTCTAACAAAAAGCAGCCCTAGAAATAATTTCTTTTCTAATACAGAGCAGCCTGAAAGATAGAGCTGCAAAGACAGAAAAGGAAGCTGGAAGCTTGTACAGGGGGAGGCCTGTGGCTACAACAATAAAAAAGGGCTACCTGGGGGCCATGCATGCCCACCATGGGGCTCCACCTTCCCTTTATTGTTAGCATGTATACAGTAAGAAATGGGCAACATGAAGAAGTTCAGGCACAGAACCCACCTGCATAATAAAAAATTGGGGCAGAGGCTGCCAGAGACTCACATCCTGTGCAGATGGCACACCTGGTCCTGGTGGTTTTTCACACCCTATGTAGATCAGACACTGCCTCCCCACTAGCTCATCTATAAAATCCCCTGCATTTCACCATGGATCAGCAACCCATTTTTCTAGGACCTCTCTCTGCAGCAGAGAGCTATTCTCTTTCACTTATTAAATTTCTGCTCTTAAAGTCATTCTTTGTGTGTCTGCATCCTTGATCTCCATGGATGTGAGATAATAAACTTCAAGTGTCACCCCAGATGATGAGGCCACTTTACTGAGGCTGTGTCACAGGCATGCATCCTCAACCTTGGCAAAATGAACTTTCTAAATTAACTGAGACCTGTCTCAGATTTTCAGGGTATACATTTTGGTAACTACAAAGGGATTCTGAGTGGAGGTGCCCCTGACCTTTGACAAATCTCTTAACAGTGCTTGATACCAGTTTGAGCTATCTTTATGGCTCAAACCAGTAGGACAATTTGCTGAAGCCTGAAGGCCCCCCACCCCCAGACAATCTCTGATCTCCCAAGATTTAAAGTTTATTTTGCTGTACAACTTCTTTTTTTTTTTTTTAATTTTACTCACTTCCAACACAATCAAGGCAAGTTTTTCCTGCTTCCATGAAATTCTTGGAAGGCAGGTAATTCCTTTATGGAGCTTGAGCTCCCTTCCAACAGGGAAGACAGATTCGAGTTTGTTCCTGCTTCTAGGATGGTAGAGAGCATTCTTTCTCCTGAGACCCATCCCTAGGAAAGTGACTGAATTGGGGTTTGTCTTGGCTAAAGTTTAACAACGAGCTGGTCTTAATTTCTCCTTGCCATTGGAGCACTCAGTAATCATAGAAGTTGTGTCATTATTTGTTTTCCTTAACAGTTTTCTTGTTGTTATTTCTTTCTGTTTTTGTTGCTGTGTTGGTCTTTTTCCCATTTGGTTTGATCAACTCTATCTGACTTGATCAAATCCAGAGAAAAGTTCCAAATTATGGAGAACAAGGCCTCTGAAATGGCTAAATTCACACACACACACACACACACACACACACACACACACACACAAAGGTGATGTGGTGGGGGGAGAAAAATGGCTGGCAAAAGGAAAAAAAAGAGGAAAGATTTTTGACTTTGACTACTAAAGGGGCTTTATTTACATAACAAGGCTGCCTTTTTGCTAGCCAGGCCAAACTGAAACAGCAATGGCTGTACTTCTGAAATAGCAGTAATTTGTCCTAGCTGAAATATGGACATGAGATTTTAAGATTTTTTTCCAAATGATCTCAATGGTTAAAAGTCAGCTTAGTTGAAAGCTAACATCCAAGATGTGTACGCGCGCACGCGCGCGCGCGTGTGTGTGTGTGTGTGTGTGTGTGTGTTTAAAAGGCCTTCATATTTTTGTTTCTCTCCTAGGACCTTGTCTTTTTTTTAAGCAAATTTTTTTTTTCTTCTCAGTTGACTGAATTCTGTTTTCTTCATTTACTTCTGCTGTCTCTCCTTTCTCCTGCACCTTCTGCTGCATGAGGGACCTAAAACAGTTTATGATAGCCAGGGGTTCCTTAAAGAAAATGATGAAGGAGCCAGCCACACTGACTCATGCATGTAATCCCAATGCTTTGGGAGGCCAAGGTGGGCGAATCACCTGAGGTCAGGAGTTCAAGACCAGCCTTGCCAACAAGGTTGGTCTTTGGTAAAGACAGCCTTGAAACCCCGTCTCTACTAAAAATACAAAAATTAGCCAGGCATTGTGGTGCGTGCCTGTAATCCCAACTACTCAGGAGGCTGAGGCAGGATAATTGCTTGAACCCGGGAGGTGGAAGTTGCAGTGAGCCAAGATTGCACCACTGCACTCCAGGCCGGGCATGGTGGCTCACGCCTGTAATCCCAGCACTTTGGGAGGCCGAGACAGGTGGATCACCTGAGGTCAGGAGTTCGAGAACAGCCTGGCCAACCTGGTGAAACCCATCTCTACTAAAAATACAAAAATTAGCTGGGTGTGGTGGTGGGCGCCTATAATCCCAGCTACTCAGGAGGCTGAGGCAGGAGAATCACTTGAACCCAGGAGGTGGAGGTTGCAGTGAGCCAAGATCATACCATTGCACTTCAGCCTGGGCAACACAGTGAGACTCTGTCTCAAAAAAAAAAAAAAAAAAGAAAAGAAAAGAAGGCACCAGACTCCCGATGCCCTTTTGGGGAGAAATCTCTGTTTTTAGTTATGGAACCCCAAGAGTGTAAACAGACAAGTTCATCTTAGCTCTTAAACTGCTTACTTTTATATTATGTTACCTGTTTCTTTTTTCCTTTTTTTTTTAAACTAAAATAGTTATTGCAACAGAGGCTACACTTGGGTTTTTAAGGAAGAGTGTAGTTTAGACACATAAAAATGTCTTTGTTTAAAAAAAACTTTAAGTGCACTGTAAAAGCATCACCTGCCCTAACCTCATCATAATTCTCCCTTTTTGGAGACCTAGGATTTAGTGTGGGCTCTTCTCAGACCTCAGAGATCCAGTTAAAAATAGGTAGTCCCTATCTAAATAAAATTGGTCTCCTTGTACAATCCTATGATAAATTTCTATAATTTTGTTTGATTGTTATGCATCTTTAATCTCCCTCTAGCATCTTTAATCTCCCTCTAGCACCACCAGACTTTCTCTGTCTACATTATGATGTAAATTTTGCTATTTGATTTTCACCTCAGTTGTTTCCTTCAATAGCAAAATTTAAGGCTATTTAGCTGACAACTGTCTAGGGTTGTGAAACAGGTTATCAAGAATCTGAAAGTCTAAGACAGAGGAAAAAAACAGTTTTTATGAATCTATAAGATATATTTCTATAGGCATGCCTAATACATCTATGTATTCATGTGTTGTGTATACAATGTTTCACTACTGTCAATATATAATAGAGCTCTAATTAATTGGCTTAAGAAAATAAAAGTGCTTGAATCAAATACATTATCAGGAAAAAAGAACAGAGCAGTCAAATGCTTTTTCAAGTTTACATAACAATTTAAATCTTTAATAAATAAGTTTGTTTTAAGATTGTTGGTAAAGTAATATTAGAAATGTCTTAAGAATTGCCAGCAAACATTTTTGTTTGCATTTATTAATCAAGCAATTTCATACTTATCCCTGACAAATACTATTTGCTGTCAAAATTTGGTATAGGGGCTACAAAACTGTAAACCCAACCCAAAACAGAATAATCTTTGCTTATGTAATTTTTAATAAATAAGACATTGATATTGGTTTAATCAAAATAGCTACATCTTGAATTATTCAGTAAAATTACCATAATTTCTAATCTTGTGGCTTTAGGCAATTGAGTCCACAAACAATAAGGAGGTTTGTTTGGGAAAGGACAGTTACTGTCTTTGCTTCAAAGCTAAACTATAAACTAAGTTTCTCCCATAGTTTGGCCTATACCCAGGAATGAACAAGAACAGCTTGGAGGTAAGAAGCAAAATGGAGTCAGTTAGGTTAGAACTTTTTCACTGTTTCAGTTATAATTTTGCAATGGCGGTTTCATAACTTTAAACAATAATGATCACAGTTTCCATAAATAATCTAGGTAAACTATTAAAATAAAATAGGTAAATGTAATGGGATAAATACTTGTTGACAAACTTGTCATAATTTAGAGTCTAAAGTTATATTAAATTAAATAATAGATATTTCATTATTTGAGTATTTTCCAATTAAGATAATTGAAGGAAAAAAAGTGTCCTTTTTAAAAATGGTGAACAATTTTTGTCTAACTCAAAGCTTATTTAAAGGTTACATACAAAACGAGGTAAAAGGGACCAAGAAATAAGAGAGATGTAAAGAAAGTTATCAAAATAAAGAGGGTTGTTTTTGGTTAAATAAATAAATAAAAAGAAATCATTTTATATGAGAAAGAATCTTGTATGGTAGATTTAGTCCTAGAATAAACCGACTGGTTGTTTAAGAAAGAGGGATGTTTAGGCCGGGCACTGTGGCTCATACCTCTAATCCCAGCACTTTGGGAGGCCGAGGTGGGCGGATCACGAGGTCAAGAGATCGAGACCATCCTGGTCAACATGGTGAAACCCCGTCTCTACTAAAATACAAAAATTAGCTGGGCGTGGTGGTACGTGCCTGTAGTCCCAGCTGCTCGGGAGGCTGAGGCAGGAGGATAGCTTGAACCCGGGAAGCGGAGGTTGCAGGGAGCCGAGATCACACCATTGCACTCCAGCCTGGGTGACAGAGCGAGACTCCATCTCAAAAAAAAAAAAAAAAATATATATATATATATATATATATATATATATATATATATATATATATATATAAAGAAAGAGGGATGTTTAGAACACACCAGAAAGTCCAAGTCATGAACACTCTGTGTAAGTCACAATAAGAGGATTTATTTTAAAACAAAGAAAAGAAAAAAACAAAAAAGAGGCCAGGCACAGTGACTCATGCCTGTAATCCCAGCACTCTGGGAGGCCAAGGTGGGCAGATCACCTGAGGTCAGGAGTTGGAGACCAGCCTGGCCAACGTGGCAAAACCACATCTCTACTAAAAATACAAAAATTAGCCAGGTATGGTGATGCATGCCTGTAATCCCACCTATTCGGGAGGCTGAGGCAGGAGAATCACTTGAACCTCAGAGGCAGATGTTGCAGTTGCAGTGAGCTGAGATCACATCACTGAACTTCAGCCTGGGCAACAGAGCAAGACTCTGTCAAAAAAAAAAAAAAAACCTTTTATATGATCAAGTTGTCTATAATTAAAAGGAAATTATAGTGATCTTTCTAGAGATTGGGCTTGATGTGAAAAAAAACACTTATACATTAAATAATTGCCTAGAACAATGACATTTTCCTAAGGGATTGATTTACTCTTAATAGATTATAAGATATTTTAATTTTTTTAACCCAAAGTTCAACTTTTACTGCATCTTGCCATTTTTTTTCTCTCCCTTCTGAAATAGTAACCCCCTCCTTCAATTCATTTTCAGCTCATATAAGTTTTCAAGTTCTGTTTGTTGAGGTCTGATGCTAACAGTATTTTCTTAAAGGTCTAAACAAAATGTTTTCTTCCAATGTAATATTCTGTGCAGTGCAGAAGGTGTTTTCTTTTGCCTTTTGGTAACTGGCCTAACAGACTTTATGGTTTATTGAAACAATTCCTATGCCATTATTATTAAGTTTTGGTTTGCTTAGGAAAAAACTGAGATTAAAACAATTTTTTAAATTAAAGTTATTATATCCATATATCTTTCTGTATGTGCTTTTAGAGTCCTTGTGACATTGATTTATAAGGCCTTGACTCCTGGGTCTAAAAAGGACACCAAGTCCTGCTAAATCTTAAACACTGACAGCAATTAAAGCCTCATCTTCAGGCCTGGTAAAAGATGCCAATCAAAATAAACTGCATTCCTGAGACACAGAAATTAAAGCTATTCAACTCCTCAAGGCCAAGGGACTATCAAGAAAGAGGTGGGCATGTGAGATTGTATGGGCTGATTTTGAGAGATAAAATAGTTCAGTTTCTCTATAAATTAACCTTTAATGTCAAAGGCACACAAATGCAAGACCAGCATATGGGCCCCTGTGTCAGATTAACAAGGTTTTCTTAAAGCATTAACTGACTCCCTAATAAAGGTTATAAATGCTATAAAAAGTTTATGGAAGTTATAACTTATGATTAACATTAAAATTTTATAGATTGTTTATAAAATTTTGAAAAACAAATTTAATTGGCTTCATGCTGTTTTCATTAGGGCTTATCATTTGGAAAATTAAGTTTCCTCTCTGAAAGAATGAAGGTTTTCAACCTTTTTTGAAATCCTTAAGTTATCACTTCAGTTAAATGAATAATATATTTTACAATGACCTGTAATCTCATTTTGCAATATTGAGTGTTTTAAACCTTTGATATTTGACAAACTTTCCAAAGTGAAATTATAAATTATGTCTTTTTCTGACATAATTAATCCTTTAAGGTATAAAGTTCCCTAAAGTCCAAAAATGACATATATGGGGGTTTTTTGGTATAAAAATTATACAGGAAACATTGTCAAATATGAAATGCTCTTTGGTTTTCTTTGGGCTGTATTTGTATAAATATATTATTGATGTGTTCCAAAATTATGAAAAACTACAATTCTGATATGACTTAGTGTACATTATCAGTAATAATTATAATTATGTTAAATTATTGTGTGCCACAGAGGTAACAAGTTTTCTTCTCAATTGTGTCTTTGACTATCACTGCTCTAAAATTTTTTGTCATCCATGGACAATTGTTGTTTTGGTCCTCTTTAGAAGGTGGTTTTAAAATCGCTATAAAACTCTTAACAGGTGCTCCTCAATGCAAGTTTCTGATAACTTTGGAGGCTGCAACATCAGAATAGAGGAAAAACTTTCAGGACTCAAAGAGAGCCGAAATGTTCATGAATATCAAGCAAAACAAAAGTTAACTGCATGGACTGAACTAATAGAAGACTGAAGTAATCTTTTTGACTTTTTACGTAAAATGTTGCTGATCCTTTGTTCTGTTTTTTCAGTCAAACAAACCTTTCTTTTGAGCTACTGACAGCTTTTAACAATTAAGTATACTCCTATGAACAAAATCTGGAACATATTTGTTTCTCTCTATCTGATTTCTCCATAATTTGGGAGCTATTTGTGAGTATTCTTAACCTGTGGCAATATAGTTATTGCATAAGCAGAGTAAGAATCTGTTTTCATTTGTAACAGGACACAATTTGAGAATATGGTTATTTTACCAAGGCTTTGACTGGAATGGTGTGCTTTCCTTTAAGGAATCAAACTTGACTTACAGAGCCAATAAAAGCTCCTTGAGAAAACTGGCCCACATCTCATCTACACAGTTCCTGAACAGGGCTCCTGACCTGTAGTAAGTAGAGACTGTCATTTTCTGACAGGCCCAGGGCCCCAAGTTATCTGAAAGCCTCAAGAGGAGAATTCAGACAATTCATGAGTATTTGATGATACAAATCCATGGCTGTGCTTGGCTTTAAAAAGTCTCATCTGAGATTCCTTCTATGAAACAAAGTTCCATGAAAGCCAATTTTAAAAGCCTATTGAAAAAATCATTTTTCTTGCTGCACTTTATACAAATAAGCTGGTCAAGTATACTAAGCCAAATTGGTCCTATCATGACTTGTCTTTAGTAAAAATGGGAAACTAGAGAGAGAAAAATTATGCTTCAAAAACTATAGTACACCTGTTCTTAGAGTCTAGTCTTGCCTGTTCTTCAATTTTTATCATTTTCAACAGTTTGAACTGAATTCTAATTTTTCCTGGTTACTGATCTCCAAAATGTTTTCAATACTTTTCTTCTTTCTTTTCCTTTTTTTATTTTCCTAATTTGAAATCACTGAAAACTAAGATGTGATTTCTTAAAGCCCTGCAAACTGAATCTGGACAACTTAAACATCAGAAGAAAGTAACAGCAACCTATTTACTTACATAAGCCACTTTCATTCCTGCCTACTGATGTATAGACTTCAGAGTCATGTGGCCTATATTGATTTTCCAGGATTGTTCTTTTGTTTGTTGTTGTTTTTCTCCCTTTTTCTCCCTATTCTCTCTTCATAGAACATGAGAATTCTAACCTGCTAAAAATTGCTTTCTTAACTCAGGACCTACACATCTAGGATAAACCACCCTAGCCATGAATGATCCGAGAAAACCTGGGACCAGAGACTTGCTTTCTTCTAAAATGCTTTCTCCAAAAGATTTTAAAAAAAGAAAGGGGGGGAAATGTGAAAGGAAAATAAATCTTAGAGCCCAAAAATCACTAAACTAAAGGAAAAAGTCAAGCTGAAAACTGCTTAGGGCAAGCCTGCCTCCCATTCGATTTGAAGTCATCTATCCGCTCACTGAGATAAATGCTTATCTGATTACCTCCTTTGGAAAGGCTAATCAGAAACTCAAAAAAAATGCAACCATTTGCCTCTCACTTACCTGTGACCTGAAAGCATCCTCTGTGCTTGAGTGGTCCCACCTTTCCTGATGGAACCAATGTATATCTTACGTATATTGATTAATGTCTTATGTCTCCCTAAAATGTATAAAACCGGCCAGATGTGGTGGCTCATGCCTGTAATCCCAGCACTTTGGGAGGCCGAGGAGAGTGGATCACGAGGTCAGGAGTTCAAGACCAGCCTGGTAAAGATGATGAAACCCTGTCTCTACTAAAAATACAAAAATTAGCCGGGCGAGTGGCGGGCGCCTGTAATCCAAGCTACTCAGGAGGCTGAGGCAGAGAAGTGCTTGAACCTGGGAGGCGGAGTTTGCAGTGAACCAAGATTGCACCACTGCACTCCAGCCTGGGCAACAGAGTAAGACTCTGTCTCAAAACAAAACAAAACAAAACAAAAACAAGCTGTGCCCCAACCACCTTGGGCACATGTCATCAGGACCTCCTGAGGCTGTATCACAGGCACAGATTTTCAACCTTTGCAAAATAAACTTTCTGAATTCACTGAGACCTGTCTCAGATTTTTGAGGTTGACACGTGAAATCAGACATACTAGTAGAACAAAATAGAGCCCAGAACTAAATCAATACATTTATGGTCAATTGATTTTTGACAAAAGTGCCAAAGGGGAAAGGGCGATCTCTTCAATAGATGTTGCTGAGAAAACTGAATAACCACATACAGTAGAATGAAATCAGAACTTTGTCTCATACCATATTCAAAAATCAACTTAAAATGTATTACAAACTTAAATGTAAGACCTGAAACTAAAAAACTACTAAAAGAAAACTTAGGGGAAATGCTCCATGATATTGGCAAGGATTTTTTGGATATGACCCCAAAAGCACAGGTTACAAAAATATATAAATGGAATTAAATCAAACTAAATAGCTTCTGCACAGGAAAAAAAAAATCAACAGAGTGAAGAGACAACGAAAGGAATGGAAGAAAATATTTGTAAACCACATATCTGATAAGAGGTTAACATCCAAAGTATATAAGAAACTCAGGCCAGGTGTGGTGGCTCATGCCTGTAAACCTAGCACTTTGGAAGGCTGAGGTGGGTGGATCACCTGAGGTCAGGAGTTCGAGACCAGCCTGGCTAGCATGGTGAAACCCCGTCTTTACTAAAAATACAAAAATTAGCAGGCAAGGTGGCACACACCTGTAGTCCCAGCTATTTGGGAGGTTGAGGTAGCAGAATCACTTGAACCCTGGAGGTGGAGGTTCTCAGTGAGGTGAGATCATGCCACTGCACTCCAGCCTGGGTGAGAGAGAAAAAAAAAAGAATATGACAAATAGCAGTTTCAGTATGAGAAAGACATATACTTTCTTATACTTCTGTCATTGTCTGCTGCATGATTTATTCAGATATTTTGGAGGACAGGGAAAGCAGGATTCTGCAATTCTGAATAATGGAAACTGTAGCTAAGTATATAAAGCCCAGGTAGCAATTATCAGGTATTCTGATAATACTTTGACAACCTTGTTGGTCAGCTGGTATTAATTTGAGTGTGTTCTAGTTTAGTTATTATTCATTTGGTGTCTTCTTATTTTCACTTCTGACTTCAACAAATGCTTGGAAACTTATTCTGTATTTGGCACAGGTCTATGCTGTGGGAGAATAATAAATATATTAGTGCTCTCAAAAACTTGCAATAAATGGGCCAGGTGCAGTGGCTCATGCCTGTAATCCCAGCACTTTGGGAGGCCAAGGCAGGCAGATAACTTGAGGTCAGGAGTTTGAGACCAGCCTGGCCAACACGGTGAAACCCCATCTCTACTAAAAATACAAATATTAGCCAGGCGTGGTGGCAGGCACCTGTAATCTCAGCTACCCTTGAGGCTGAGGCAGGAGAATCACTGGAGCCTGGGAGGTGGAAGTTGCAGTGAACCAAGATGGTGCCAACACACTCCAGCTTGGGCAACAGAGCCAGACTTCATCTAAAAGAAAAGAAAAAAAACCAGCAATAAATACAGGATGACAGATGCAGGCTGGTAATTTGGGGATACTGTTGAGAACTAAAGAAATAAAGTGCCTGGGATCATGGGATGTAAAAAAATACTTCATGGAGAAAGTGGGCCTCAAGAATGGCTGTGACTAGACCAGTAATTAAGGAAGCAGGGGCCTCCACATTTTATCCTCCTGCACTCACTCTTCGGTAATAAGGGGACAGAAAAGGAGGGGCATGAAAGGAAGTCTTTTTTCATCCTACTTCTAGGGAAACTGCCCCAAGAAAACTTTGGTTGGCAGCTTCTATAAATCATTGTGAATCTTGTGATCCCCAACATGCAGAAGAATCTCCTCTGTTTACATTTAGGTCTCATAGTATTCCATCCTGCAGATATGCCAAATTTTATTTTGTGGTTCCTGAAGCACCCAAGGGTGGTTTCCACCCTTTTGAATATACAGTGCTGCAGGAAATGCTCTAGTATCTGCATCCTGTAAAAGTCGTGAAAGTATTTCCAAGGGTAAATTCCTAGCAGTGGGAATGATTGTTTAAGGGACAGATTATGCCAAATTATTCTCAAAGGAGGCTGCACCAATTTACATTCCCTCCACCAGTACCTAAGGGCCTGTTTTCCTACATGGTCACCAGCTCTGACTGTCAAATGTTAAACTTTTGCTTATCCCATATATGTAGGTGGTATCTTCTTATAGTTTGGATTTGCATTTCTTAAAATGTGAGTATGATTGACCACCTTTCCGGGATTAATTGGCTGTATTTACTTTTCTATCCTCTGGCCAAGCTAAGTGTTAAGAATCCAGGGAAGATACAATTTTGAGTCATCAGCATATACATACAGATGGTATTTAAAGTCATAAAAGTGAATGAGATCACCAAAGAAGTGCGTGTAATTAAGCAGCCCTGGGGCACTCTAATACCAGAAAGTCAGGGAAATGGGAGGAACCAGAAAAGAGACTAGGAAGAGTAGTCAGTGAGCCGGGAAGAAAATGAAGAAAGTGTGGTGTCCCAAAAGCCAAGTAAAGAAAGTTTATCAGCTGGGCACGGTGGCTTACACCTGTAATCCCAGCACTTTGGGAGGCCAAGATGGGTGGATCACTAGAGGTCAGGAGTTCGAGACCAGCCTGGGAAACATAGTGAAACCCCATCTCTACTAAAAATACAAAAATTAGCTGGGCACGGTGGTGCTCACCTGTAACCCCAGCTTCTTAGGAGGGTGAGGCAGGAAAATTGCTTGGACCCAGGAGGTGGAGATTGCAGTGAACCAGGATTGTGCCACTGCACTGCAGTCTGGGCAACAGACAACAGAGTGAGACTCCATCTCAAAAAGAAAAACAGAAAGAGAAAAAAAAAAGCTTATCAAGGAGAAAGCAGTGACTGGCTAGTTCAAATGCTACTGATAGGACAAATAAGAAGAGGCCAGGAAATGGCGATTGAAGAGCAAGGTGAAGGTCATTGGTGGCCTGACAAGAGTAGTTTCGGTGGAGTGGTGTCAGTGAAATGCTAAATGGAGTGGATTCAAAGGGTGGGAGAACTTTGAAGATGCAAAACCAAGGAGGAAAGAATTGCTGAAAGATGCCCCTCAGTAAGGGTGGGATCCAGCAAACAACAGAAAGGGCTGGCGGTAGCTGGGTAGATGTGGGAGCCTAAGATTCTCTTCTGGTTGCTTCTGTTTCATCCCTATAAACCTGACAGTGCCCTAATCTGAGAAAACTTTAAACCAGAAGGCACACTTGCCCTTGAGGCCGTTCAGTTGTAATAAACTTGCACAGGGGAGGTAGTTGGGAAGGGCCAGGAGAACTTCCCCTAATATAGGAGACGACAGGCTCAACGCTGGGCATCAGCATCCGCACAACAATGGTGCCATTCTGCAGATGGAAGAATGCAGGAGAAACATGACTACAGTTGCATTTCCATTCATTCCTAGATCAAGTCTCACAGTCAAAAATCTTTTTTTTTTTTTTTTTTTTTGAGGCAGAGTCTTATTGTCGCCGAGGCTAAAGTGCAGAGGCAGGACCATAGCTCACTGTAGCCTCAACCTCCTGAGCTCAAGCTATTCTCCCACCTCAGCCTCCCAAGCAGATGGGACCACAGGCACACACCACTACACCCAGCTAATTTTCAAATTTTTTGTAGATATGGGGTCTCACCATGTTGGCCAGCCTGGTCTCAAACTCCTGGCCTAAAGCAATCTGACTGCCTCAGCCTCCCAAAGTGCTGAGGTTATAGGCATGAGCCACTGAGAACAGTGACTTACAAATCTTCTATTCAAACCTTGTTTCCTGCAAATTTGAAGATGTCCTCTAACTACTAGTGTTAATCTATCAAAATGGCAGTTTAAGTACTGTGCTTAGCAAACAGGTTCATCTGTAATGAGTCTGTACATCTCCCCTCCTTAAAATGCTACACGAAGACTCATTCATCCACAAATGTTAGACTAAATCCATAAACACCCTAGAAGAAAACTTAGGCAATACCATTCAGGACATAGGTGTGGGCAAGGACTTCATGACTAAAACACCTAAAGCAATGGCAACAAAAGCGAAAATAGACAAATGGGATCTAATTAAACTAAAGAGCTTCTGCACAGCAAAAGAAACTACCATCATAGTAAACAGGTAACCTACAGAATGGGAGAAAATTTTTGCAATCTACCCATCTGACAAAGGGCTAATATGCAGAATCTACAAAGAACTTAAACAAATTTACAAGAAAAAATCAAACAACCCCATCAAAAATTGGGCAAAGGATATGAACAGACACTTCTCAAAATAGGACATTTTTATGCAGCCAATAGACACATGAAAAAATGCTCATCATCACTGGTCATCAGAGAAATGCAAATCAAAACCACAATGAGATACCATCTTATGCCAGTTAGAGTGGCGATCATTAAAAAGTCAGGAAACAACAGATGCTGGAGAGGATGTGGAGAAATAGGAACGCTTTTACACTGTTGGTGGGAGTGTAAATTAGTTCAACCATTGTGGAAGACAGTGTGGCAATTCCTCAAGGATCTAGGACTAGAAATACCATTTGACCCAGTGATCCCATTATTGGGTGCTATATACCCAAAGGATTATAAATCATGCTAGTATAAATACACATGCACATGTATGTTTATTGTGGCACTGTTCACAATAGCAAAGACTTGGAACCAACCAAAATGTTCACCAATGATAGACTGGATTAAGAAAATTGGTACATATACACCACGGAATACTATGCAGCCATAAAAAAGGATGAGTTCATGTCCTTTGCAGGGACATGGATAAAGCTGGAAACCATCATTCTCAGCAAACTATCACAAGGACAGAAAACCAAATACTTCATGTTCTCACTCATAGGTGGGAATTGAACAAAGAGAACACCTGGACACAGGGCGGGGAACATCACACACTGGGGCCTGTTGCGGGTGGGGGCCTGGGGGAGGGATAGCATTAGGAGAAATACCTACTGTAAATAACGAGTTAATGGGTGCAGCACACCAACATGACACATATATACCTATGTAACAAACCTGCACGTTGTGCACATGTACCCTAGAACTTAAAGTATAATTAAAAAAAAGAAAAAAGAAAACAGAGGGGCTCCGTTACAGGCTTCAAACAGAGAGAAAGCCAGAGCCACCTACAGCCGAGTCAATGTGGGGATTCCTGCAATGCCTCGGCCAACTGAAGGGTAGAGCATGAAACACACAGTCATTTGATGGTAATTATCTTGAAAAGATCAGACCAGTGATATTTCTGCAAGGAGACCAATTCTACCACAATTCCTTCCATCTATTAGTCACCATCTCACAATTATTTTGCCTTTTCTAATCAGCAGCTAGGCATTTGAAGCCCTTTCTTGAACACATTTATCATCTCCAATTTTGTGGACAGAATCAATTTTATTTACCCATGCTAAGCCTACCACAATCTCATTTGTAATTAGAGAAGTATGCATGAGGGAAAGGATTTGTTGTTGCTAAATTAGGTCCAATGTTCCCATCCTTGGCGTGTCTGGTGTGTTTATAACATGCCCTCCGCGGCTGGTGGCAGGTGGACTCAGGGTGCCCAACAATGTTCTTCCCTAAATCAAAGCTCATCGTGATTTTTCCTATCTAAGTTGCTTCAGGAATCGTCCCAGCTGTCCCCAGACTGTCCAGGGAGTTCCCTGCTGGAGATTGTTCCCAGTCCACTAGAGCTGAACCTGAAATTGATTTTGCCTAACTCTAGTAAGATCTGCAGACAAGGAAGAAACCAGGAAATGGTGGCCAAAGAAAGACACCGTGGCACCTCAAAAGTGACAAAACATTGAGAAGCAATGCCCCTCGTAATTCTCCATCTCTGTCCAAATGGGCACTTCCTGGGAAACCAAGAATGCACTTCTCATCAGCAGAAGGGTATCTTAGGAAGGACATTCACTGCCCATTCCTCACCCAACCCTTGGTGGTTCCAGGCTTCACCTGAATGGGTGTCTCTCCTTCTCCTGATGGCAAACTCAAGGGCTCTGAAGAGCTAATATGTTTCCAGGTCAGGAATGACCCAAGATATAACTCAGTCTGTGTTATAACTCCCCTTTTTCTAACCCTTTTAACTTCCCAGTACAGAGCAGACAGCTGTGCTCAGGAACCGTGTCTCCAGCAGCAGTTTTCCCCCTTTTCCTGTTAAAGTCCTACCTGAGAGCCTACCCCATGGAGAAGCCTCATAGGAATTAAGATATTCCAGATATTCTTAGGAAAATGAAATATTGAAGAATGGCTTCCTGAGCCGATAATGGTGGTATATTTGAAAAACAGACCAGAGTGCGATGTTTAAAAGCCTGAAGTCATAAAAGGTATTATGAACGGATGGATGGGGAACCTCTACAAGCAGAATTCATTGATGTCACTGTAAACGATGAATGCTGTCACTCTTTTTTATATATAACAAAAAGATACGCTGCTGCATCCAGACCTCATTGGAGAAGTTGTCAGACTCACTGAAATGGCATTGCATAAGCTATTTATGATGATATGAGGGAAAATATAAGGTTAAGAGATCTTTATCTACTATCTATGGAAATGTGCTTCCACACAAAGGCGGTACATGAAATAACCTTCCGGATAACCCATGACATTGGGGGCACTGTAAAGTGAGATTAACTAGCAGAGACAAATCTGCACTCAAATTGTTTGTGCTCAACCCTGATGCCTTGGCCTCATGAACACACAGTTGTTTTTCTAGCTTTCTCTATGTAAAATCCCACTCCGAATTTTACAGCACTCGTTGGTGTGACAGATTCACAAGTGAACCAACAAAAAATTCATGCTCCACCTTCCAGAAGATAGAGGGGCTGCTGGGAACAGCTGCCCAGCCACAGATGACATCTCCCAGCCACCTTTGTCTTTGTCATGGCCAAACCATAGGCTACAAGCAGAGGGGAAGTGGTCATTTCCAGGCCAGGGTTTTTCAAAATCAGGTGTGCTTCCCCGATGATCTCTCCAGGTTTCCAGTGCCCGGGGATAGAAGATTCCCAGGTTCTAGGGGATGGCGAAGCTATGACAAGAAAAACCCTGGGCCTTGCGTCACCCCATGGAGAAATGACACTATCAACCCAGGACCAATCCACACCACACTTTATATAAATGAGAAGTGAACTTCTATTTCACTGCCCAGACAACTAAAATTTGCAGTTTGTTACAACAGTTAGTGTTATCTTTATTAGTTGATATGGCTTGGGTCTGTGTCCCCACTCAAATTTCATGTCGAATTGTAATCACCAGTGTTGGAGGAGAGGCCTGGTGGGAGATGATTGAATCATGGGGGCAGACGTCCCCCTTGCTGTTCTTGAGATAGAGGTCTCATAAGATCTGGTTGACTGAAAGTGTGTAGCACCTCCCCACCTCCTCTCTCCTGCCAGCCATGTGAAGATGTGCTTGCTTTCTCTTCACCTTCCACCCTGATTGTAAGTTTCCTGAGGCCTCCCCAAAAGCAGAAGTCTATATAGGCCAAAGAACCATAAGCCAATTAAGCCTCTTTTCTTTGTAAATTAAAAAAAAAAAAATTAGCCAAGCATGCTGCCACATGGTGGTGGGAGGACCACTTGAGCCCAGGAGACAGAAGTTGCAGTGAGCCGAGATTGTGCCACTGCCCTCCAGCCTGGGCAACAGAGCAAGACCCTGTCTCGAATAATATTAATTAAAAAAAAAAAGCTGGCTGGGTGCAGTGGCTCATGCCTGTAATCCCAGCACTTTGGGAGGCTGAGGCAGGCAGATCAAATGAGGTCAGGATTTCAAGACCAGCCTGGCCAACATGGCAAAACCCCATCTCTACTAAAAATACAAAAATTAGCCAGGCATGGTGGCACGCACCTTTAATCCCAGCTACTAGGGAGACTTGGGCAGGAGAATTGCTTGAAGCTGGAAACTGAGATCACGCCACTGCACTCCAGTCTGGGCAACAGAGTGAGACTCTGTCTCAATCAATCAATCAATCAAGGTGTCAGCCAGGCACGGTAGCTCATGCCTGCAATCCCAGCACTTTGGGAGGCCGAGGTGGGTGGACCACCTGAAGTCAGGAGTCTGAGACCAGCCTGGCCAACAGAGCGAAACCCCGTCTCTATTGAAAATGCAAAATTAGCCAGGCATGGTGGTGCATGCCTGTAGTCCCAGCTACTTGGGAGGTTGAGGCAGGAGAATTGCCTGAACCCAGGAGGTGGAGGTTGCAGTGAGCTGAGATCACACCATTGCACTCCAGCCTGGGCAACGAGAGTGAAACTCCATCTCAAAAAAACAGTTAATAATAAAATAATAAAGCTGTCAGGTTTTACTGCATCTAGCCATTATTCAAGTAGCAAAGTTGCAAGGAGCCGAAGACCCATGGGACATGACCAACTCAGCATTCCACCGGAGGCTATATGATCAAACAGCAAACTGTTTATCATGAATGCAGGATGTGGGCAAATTCACATTGCCCTGCCACCAAAAGGTTTGCTGAAGGACATCACTCCCTGGTGCCAGGCTCCTTAAAGTTATCTATTGAGAAATCTAGCGCCTATTGTCCAAAGGATGCAGTCTCGCAAGCCTGCTGTGAACCAAATGGCCGACTATTACCCAACAATCGCCCCCCTTCTCGCTATCTCTTTTGCCTAATAAATACGGAGGGCTGTGTAAAGCTCAGGCCCCTTGTCCACTAGAGGCAAGGTGCCCCCGACCCCTTCTTCCAAATATATTTTTATCTCGTCTTTCATTCCTGTGTTCCCCCTCTTTGTTCAGTCCCCCTAGGTCCATGCTAGTTACATAGTGGCACCTGGACAGGGACTGATAGCTGTAGTATATCCTCTGTCCTTTTCCCTATCTATAGGAGGAGGCGGCTTAGGTAAGACCTCTGTTTCCTCTTTGTTATTTTGGCCCAGTGATATTGGGGCTGAGGGAAGAGGAGGTGATAAGGCAGGTGATGTTTTCTTCTCCTTCCTCTTTTTAGGATCTTCTGTGTGTAACTGAGCCAGGGCTGCTCAAATTAAAGCCCATAACATTAAAGATTTTACTGGGACCTGATGCCTTTGCGCCTGATGTTGTTTAAGGTTTCTCCCCACTTGTTCCCAGAGTTCTATGTCTAGAATTCCTTCCTCTGGGAACCATGGGCTTTGTACTCCATTATTGACCACACTAGTTTTTAATTCCTTCAACAACTTAAATTCCTGTGGAGTGTGTTCATGAATTACCTACTATGGATTATTTGGATCAGGCCTTATGGAAACAGGAAAAGCGCAAGGTCCTAAGGGCTCTCCAGCTATGACAGCAGAGCGTAAAATTCTTTGTGTTGGGGTTTCTATTTCTACTACCGAAGGAGGCAGCACCGATGTTTCTGCAATTGGAGGAGGCGGTATAGGCCAATTTTAATCCTCCCTCTCCTGTTTTTTATTTTCAATTGGTGCTATGTGTGGGACAACAGATTCAGATTTTTATGAACAGCAACAGAATAGGGTGCTCTACACAAAGTTGGACAGGTCATGGAATGCCATTAGACGACTTGTCACAAAAGGAAATCTATCAAACAACGCATCCCCTTAAAAGGATTATACAGACTGCTATGCCTCATCTAACCTTAGATTTTTGCCTAAATCAGCAAACAACAAACTCTGCATGCAAGTCAGAAAAAAAAAAAAAAAGCTGCTCCAATCCTATAAGCTTCCTGTGCCTATAGTTTTATGCTAAATTGATTCTGACATTTCAGGCAATTAAAAGTAACTCCAATTAATTCACCATAATTTTGGCTGATTGCTAATCTAAATGTCCACAATTGATAGGCTAGCCCTATACGTCAATGAGGTAAGCACAGAAAGGAGTCATGGTTTTGAGGAATGCCTATGGGTTTATTCTCCACCATAGCAATGAGATGTCAACTGTGATTGTGCTCCATAAAATATAGAAACTGTAGGTAGTCTAACGCTGCAGAAGAAACTCCTATTAATATAAAGATAAACCAATTAATCTAACCTACTGAACATCAGTGGTCTGTTAAGGAGTTCCACCAGCGAGGTGAGAGACTGGCAATTTTTTTCTCTAAAGAGCTAAATAATGAATATTTTAGGATTTCCAGCCACGTGGTCTCGCTTACAATTACTCAACTCTGTCTGCTTCTGTATGGCAACAGCAGCCACAGACGATACAGAAATGAATGTGTGCGCTGTGTTCTAATGCAACTATGGGCACTAAAATTTCTTGATTTTCATGTGTAACAAAACACTGTTATTTTGATTTTTTAAATCCATTTACAAATGTAAAAATCACCCTTAGCCAGGCGCGGTGGCTCACGCCTGTAATCCCAGCTCTTTGGGAGGCCAAGACGGGTGGATCACGAAGTCAGGAGTTCGAGAACCAGCCTGGCCAACATGGTGAAACTCCGTCTCTACTAAAAATACAAAAATTAGCCGGGGGGTGGTGGCATGCGCCTGTAATCCCAGCTACTCAGGAGGCTGAAGCCGGAGAATTGCTTGAACCCGGGAGGCGGAGGTTGCAGTGAGCCAAGATCGTGCCACTACACGCCAGACTGGGTGACAGAGCAAGACTCCATCTCGAAAATAAAAATAAAAATAAATTAAAAAATAAAAAAAACCACTTAGCTCACTGGCTAAACAAAATCAGGTAATTGGCCTGTACCTGACAGTCAATTTCTGGTCACTAATGATGACCACATATCCAAATTACAGTAAAGGTACCCAAGAGAGACAAAGATTAGAGATTAGTGTTACGATCCCCGTTCTGCCAGCACTAGGAGACAAGAGTTGCTACAGCCCTTCCGCGGGTTTAAAAGGCGGTCGACGTCCCTCAACCTCTTGCTATGCCTGAAAACAACCGAGTAAAAGGCATCCAAAGACCTGAGAACGCAAGGTTTCAGGAAAACAATCAGGAAGGGCAAAACATGGGGCAGCCACTACACAGCCCCTCCGTCTTAGGGCACAGGTACTAAACGGGTTGTAAGAGACCCAAGTCACATCCTTCAGAAACGTGCTGGCGCGGGCCCAGGCAGACAGGGATTCCACCCCGGCGAAGGCCGCAAATGGCGCGAGGCGGGAAGGCGCAGGCTCCACCTTCCCCCGTCCCCAGATCACCTACAGTGACCTGCGCGTACAGGCAGGCTAGGACCGCGGGCGCTCAAGGCAGACATCAGGCCCGCCGACGTCTCCGCGCCGCCCGCCCGGCCACCCGGAGAGCCTGCTGCCCAGCGCCTGGCAGCGCGGACAACCTCTCTCGGGGAGGTGATGACGGTCCCTCGCGCCGGAGGGCCCAGGGAGGAAAGAGATAAGCAGAAAGACACCAGGGAAGAACACCACGCTTCGGACCAACGCCAGCCACAGCCACTGAGAAGTCGCCGCATCCGGCGGCGCCGACACACGTTTCCAGGGCTCTTGAGAGACCATACCCTGGGAGTCTCGCGGGATCTCACTTTTCTCGGCGGCGCAGGGAATGAGACAGATCGCGGGAATTCCACCCGCGCCGGGAGATGGTCTGGTGACTTCGCGGCTCCTCCCACGTCTCTCTGGGCAGTCCGCCTTGCGCATGCGCAGGCGGCGGTGGCAAGGCTACGGTTCGCGCCAGCGGCCGGCGCTATGGGGCTGAGCCGCGTGCGGGCGGTTTTCTTTGACTTGGACAACACTCTCATCGACACGGCCGGGGCGAGCAGGAGAGGCATGTTGGAGGTAACGTCCCCACCCATGGCGCTCCTCTGGGCGGGGTCAGTGCGCCCCGCCCCGTCCTGCACGCTCACCTCCCCTTGACCCCACTTCCACCCCGGCGCCGCGGGCCGCTCTTGCTGGTTGAAACCTGTGGAGCGTGCGGGTGCGGAGGTGGCTGGAGGCGCGCGGGCCCTGCGGGTCTGCTTTCCCTGGCCTGGCGGCCGCTTGTCACCCAATCTCGAGCCCTGGAGCGGCTGCTCGCAGGTGCCTTGGCGCTCGGGACGCGGAAGGGCTCCGTGACGGCTGCCACGGTGGCGGAGGTGCCCGTGGGCGCGGGAGGCGACAGCAAAGCCGCGAGACCAGGCGCTGGTCCCGCCCCCGGTCAGACTGTCGGTGTGGAGCTCGACAGAGGGTCGTGTCCCCCATGCGACTTTCGGGGTTGCTGGGAGGAGACATGGTAGAGTTAGCCCCAGTGTTGACCCAAGAAGGGACACGGCTGTCAGTACCGAGCCTGGACTTAAGCCCTGCTTTAGAGAATTGTCGCCGCAGAACTTCTTCTGGCCTCCCTGGCGGGGTGGTGGTCACCGTGGCTTTCTGACACGTGACACAGCAAAAGCCCGTGCTGCGAGGGCATGCCCTTCCTGAGGCGCTCCTCCGCGGCACTGCCCCTCTACACGCGCGGAGGCGCTTTCAGACCTTCCCGTGTTCCAGCCCCAGTCCACCCCGGCTTCCCTTTCTCTACCTTCAGCTTCAAGGGGAAAGGGAAGGATTTATCAGATGTGGAAAACTCACTTTCAAAAGCTAATTCATCCAAACCTGAGCGCCCCGTCCTCTTCATGCTTCATCAGTTAGTTTTTGTGTCCCTGGATCTTCCACTACCTCATCCGTTTTCTTTTTAGCTGCATTCCACTCCTGCCGCATATTCATGTTTGCCCTATAGTTTTAAAAAAGCTGTAAAAAGGATGCCTCCCTTTGGGCTATTCTTCCTGCTGTAGATGTTGCCTGTCTCTCTTGACAGCCATGTTTTCCCGGAGAAATCTATACCCGTTATCTCCTTGTCTCTACCTCCTATTTATTACTAAATCCATCGTAATGTCGCTTTATCTTCACCGCTAGACTGAAATAGACTTGCTGGATCACTAGGCATTCCCAAAATGCCGGAATCAGTAGACATTTTTAAAGTCTGTCTTCATGACTTTACTGAGGCATTCCACACTTTTAACTTGTTGGCCTCCACCTCAGGGGTGCCACCCTGTGCCATATTGCCTCCAGTATCTCTCGCTGCAGATGTTACATATTTACCTGTGTGTTATTAGTAAGCTGAGTCCTGTGCATTTCAATTAAATTATTGCTTTAGGCCAATTCTTGCTGTAGGCCCAGAGTTTGGGCTTTAAAATCAGACATTTGAATATGAATCACAGCTCTCCCAAAACCTAGCTGAAAGTGCCTCAAGGAATTAACCACTCGGAGCCTTATATCTTCATAAAATGTGAATTATATTAGTCCTCAATAACCCTGTAATACTTGGGAAGCCCATGGTTGCAGTGTCCACTCAGCGAACTATAGCACCTTCCACCCTCGTACGCTGTCTGTCCACCACTGCACATGCCCCGTGCATGTCTCAGTTACAGCTGAACTCATCTCTCACCTAGACTGTTGCTGTGGGCTTGTCTCCAGGTTTACCACATCCAGTGTGTCCTCCACATTCTTGCCACAGCAATATTTTTAAAACAAAGACTAAATCGTATGCCTCCCTGGTCTTTACACCCTCACTTATAGTAGTGCTGTATTTTGTTCAGATATTTCTTAATGCATCTGTCAAAGGATATTTCAATTAATTTTGCAACTCAGGTGCCTACTACTAAATAGTGAGCTTCTTGGGAGGGAACAAGCTGTCTTAATTATCCTCGTTTGACACATGGCAAATGTTGAATAAATGCTGGATGGATGGATACAAATTTTTACTTCGAGACTTGGTTCTATTACTGCCTCCTTTATAATTACAAATCATTGTAAATAATTTATGAATGGGCCGGGCGCGGTGGCTCACGCCTGTAATCCCAGTACTTTGGGAGACCGAGATGGGCAGATCACGAGGTCAGCAGATGGAGACCATCCTGGCTAACACGGTGAAACCCCGTCTCTACTAAAAATACAAAAATTAGCCGGGTGTGTTGGCGGGCGCCTGTAGTCCCAGCTACTGGGGAGGCTGAGCCAGGAGAATGGCGTGAACCCGGGAGGCGGAGCTTGCAGTGAGCCGAGATCGCGCCACTGCACTCCAGCCTGGGCGACAGAGCCAGACTCCGTCTCAAAAAATAATAATAATTTATGAATGGAGGAAGAGGGAAAGGTCCAGCCATTTATGGCCTTGGGCTTGGGGAGAAGAGGTCATATACTGACTGTATGTATCAACTTTAATTTTTTCTAATCACCTAGGGAAGTTATTTTTTTTCTCCCTCTTTAGACCTGTTTTTCATGGTAATTACTCAAGAGGAACTTTTCTACAGAAGCCTGGAGTTTCTCAGTGAACAAAGCAGAAGAGATTTCTGCATTTGTGAATTTACTTCTTAGTGGGTATGGCAGTGAACATAATAAATATTTACAGGTGTGATAGAAAAAGCAGAGAGGGTAACAAATCAACATTTTAAATAGACTGGTCAGATTTGGCCTCATCGAGTAGGTGATGTTTGTGCACAGACTTGAAATAAAAATAACAGAAGCGCTGCTTGAATTGCTAGGCTGAGTGCAGGCCTCATTTTGTGAGCGTGTTTTAAAATTGTTAATAGTTTTATTTGGAATTCATCCCCTTCTGTCGTGCTGGATCCCTATTGATTTCAGTAGGGATAGCACCATGTTCAAGAGGCTGAAGATGAGACCCGGAGCCAGCAAATGAGGAACGGTTTTTGAGGGAACTTATATACAAGACGGTCCATTGGCGGCGGGCTGGACAGAACTGCAGCCACTTGTAAAAAGAATGCAGTTTATATAGCATTTTCACTTAGCACCCTCCCTGCAGCAACCTCCTCCTGGCTACCTTCATTTAATGGAAAAAAAAAAAAGGGGGGCCTCTATCCCCTCTGCAACCTGAGTTCCGCAGGATGGGATGGGCCATGGTTCAGATCCTCCTCATAAATAAGGAATGAATCTCTGGATTGGACACTCCTGGACTCCTTATCTTGGAACCCGAATACACATTCCTCATAGACCACAGGGTCATTCTAAGGGTGTGCGTAAGTTAGTGCTGTCAGGTGCACCTGCTATACGCTTCATATCCAAATGATTAGTATTCAGAATACACTTTTCTTAAAGTGTTGTAAAGTATTAGATGGTTCCAAACTAAGCCCTCAAAAAGTCTTTTAAAATCAGTTAGCTAAACTAAAGTATTGATGATACTAACTTTAGTTCTGGGTCTAGGGAGCAGACAGAAGAATAGAGTTTCCTTTTTCGTATACGTTCAGAGAGAGCCTTAAAATAGAGTTTTGAAGTGGGTGAAGTTTGAGTTCATATTGATCTACTAACGGATAGCCCTTCTGTCAGAGCAGGGCCCCTTTCTTCAGGCCAGCGAGCACCTTGTGGGCTCTTTATACCAAAATCTTTTTCAGCCCTGCCTTACCAGTCAGACACAAAGTATCATCACGCCTCCAAGTTAGAGAGCTTTTTCCTTCACCTCCAATTCAATCAATACTCCCATTTTCAGTGCAGGTGTTAGGAGAGTTTGTAATAACGCATACTAATTCAGGGTAGGTGTTAATTTCTGTTTGAACTAATAAATGAATGCTGATAAACTTTTTTCCTAAAGATGTTAATATTGTTAAAATGCTACTTATTGTCGCATACCAACCTGTAATTAGTTGCTGTATGACAAAATGAGGAAGTTAATTGAAGGGATAGAATAGGAAGAGATTTTGAAACTTGGGCGTGGCATACCATGCCTTTATAAACATCTCCCTTTTAAGGTGAGCAAATCCTGCTTTTTCAGAGCCCCAAGAATGTGCTTAATGAAGTGCCAGTTGAAGTAACAGGAAATTGGGTCTGTACTGGGAGCCAGTAGGAAATTGGGTCTGTATAGGAGCTGATTATGAGCCAGCCCGTATCTAAGCGCAAGCTCTGTGGAGTCCTAGAGGCATGTGTCCTTGCACTGCTGTAGGGTTGCTGAAACTTTGGAGCTCCTGTCAATCATAGCTTAAGAGTCCTTCAATTGATGTTGCTAGCAAAGATGGTGAGATAAACATGGAGATTGAGAAAGCTTTATTTGTTCATAGAGATGTATAAAGCAAAAATTTACAGCGTTTTGCCTTTACCTAAAATTCCTAGGGCTGGTATATTTTTCTTGGGCAGATAAGATTTTTCTTAATGATTACATTTTCTTTTCTTTTTTCTTTAATTTTTTTTTCTCATATGGCCAAGTCTTCTGATACATTTTCTGATTAGCACAAATACCTCAAAAAATATTTTCCTTTCAGCCAGGCACGGTGGCTCACACCTGTAATTCCCAGCACTTTGGAAGGCCAAGGCAGGAGGATTGCTTGAGGCTAGGAGTTAAAGACAATCCTGGGCAATATGGCAAGACCCGTCTCTACAAAAAAAATTTATTAGCTGGGTATGGTGGTGTGCAGTTGTAGTTCTAGCTATTCGGGGGACTGAAGTGAGATGAGCCCAGGAGTTTGAGGCCACAGTGAACTATAATCATTCCTCTACTGCACTCCATCCAGCCTGAGTAACAGAGCAAGATCCTGTTTGGGGAAAAAAAAAAAAAAAAAAGACCCTTTTCCTTTGTTGTGATTCTTTTACTCTGAGGGAAGAAAAACACATGCGTTCCTCTCTCAGTAGGTGAGTTGAGTTTTTGGTGTGAGTGGCATACTGTTTATTCCCTAGTCCCATTACAACAGATATATTTTAACTGTAGCTGGGTGCATTTCAAAGAGCCAGCATTGCCTGGCATGTTTGACTTTCTTCAGGTGCTCACCTGAACACAGGATTTCCAGTGCAGACAGTTCTTGAGGCGATCCCAGGATACACGTTAAGGGGTCGGGGAGACAAGAAGGGGAAGGAGTCCAATACGGGTTAGAGCAGCTTAATGACCAGGTTACTGCTGTGAGCAGCTGGAGATTTCTGGGGGACAGTACACAGAACAGGGTTCAGTTTTGCTCCCCAAGGGGCAAGGAAGCTGTGATATTTATTCGCCAGTTTCTGCCCTACATTTGTTGAGGGCTGCTCCCAGGGCAATACTTTTTAGCCCCATCCTGTGTGTATAGATACCCTTGTGTGTGGCCAAGTAAAGCCCACAAGCAGAGAGGCCCATACTTGGAGAGGGAAGCCACTGGCGAGTGAATATAGTGTGTGCCAAGGGGATTTAGGCAGCACCTGCTATAACATGGGGTTCAAGGCCCTTCACAAACTATCTGTGAACAGGTTCCCCAGTTGCATCTCTTGGCATCTTCCCTCACATGCCTCCATTTGGGCTCAACTCAGCTTCTTGCTTTTTCCACAAAATTTTAAACTCTTGGCCTTTGTTCATGCTGTTCCTCTGTCTGGAATGATTTTCTTCTCTTCCCAAACCCGCTTTTTCTGCTTGTTTACTCCTTGGTCTCAATGTGACTTCCTCTGCCAGCTACCCTGTGGAATGACTTCCATATTATTCCCACAGCTTGTTCAAACTACTGTCATGGCATTTCCCCCACCCCCGGCCCATGATTTGTAGTGGTTGTATATTATATTCCCCACCAGATAATGCCTCAACGACAAAGGCCAGTCTCTAGTGCTTAACACATAGTGCAAAGGCAAGCATGTGGGCTTTGGAAGTAAGCAGGTATGGATGCAGATCCCAGATGGGCGAGTTATTAACAGTTCTGCACTTCCCTGCCTAATTTGGAACATGGAACTGTCTTGCAGGATTGTAGAAAAGTTTAGAAATAATGTATGTAAGTATGTAGTACAATGCTTGCCACATTAGGGGTTTTAGGAAAAGTTACAAGACAGGCCAAATGGATTAGTGTTATAAAAGCCACATAAAGAGCCTTGGGAACGCAGGAAGAGGGAGTATTTAACTCAAAAGTACAGAATTGGGGCCGGGCGCAGTGGCTCATGCCTATAATCCCAGCACTTTGGCAGGCAGAGGCAGGAAGATCACTTGGGGTCAAGAGTTCGAGGCTAGCCTGGCCAACATGGTAAAACCCCGCCTCTACTAAAAATACAAAAATTAGCCAGGCATGGTGGCGGGCACCTATAGTCTCACCTACGCGGGAGGCTGAAGCAGGAGAATCACTTGAACCCAGGAGGCAGAGGTTGCAGTAAGCTGAGATTGCACCACTGCACTCCAGCCTGGGCAACAGAGCGAGACTCTGTATCCAGAAACAAAAAAGTACAGAATTGGGCCAGGCACAGTGGTTCACGCCTGTAATCCTAGTAATTTGGAGGCCGAGGCAGGCAGATCACTTGAGGTCAGGAGTTCGAGACCAGCCTGGCCAACATTGTGAAACCCTGTCTCTGCTAAAAATACAAAAATTAACCAGGCGTCGTGGTGGGCGCCTGTAATCCCAGCTACTTGGGAGGCTAAAGCAGGAGAATCTCTTGAGCCTGGGCAGTGGAGGTTGCAGTGAGCCGAGCTGGTGCCATTGTACTTCAGCCTAAGCTACAGAATGAGACTGTGTCTCAAAAAAAATAAAAGTGTAGAATTGGATCCCATTATAGGTGATAGTCAATTTAGGTCTTCAAAATGTGAAATGGATGTAGATGAGAAAAGATTAGATGAACTAAGTGTTATTTTTTTCTGATGATAGTCTAAATAGTGGTTGTCAGAAATTTTAAATGTTTTACCAAAAATAAGTACAACGAGTTTTTGTTTTTGTTTTGTTTTGTTTTTAAGATGGGGTCTCGATATGTTGCTCATGCTGGTCCTGAACTCCTAAACTCAAGTGATCCTGCCACCTTGGCCTTCCAAAGTGCTGGGATTACAGGCATGAGCCACCATGCCCGGCCCAAAAAGCACAAGTTTTATTTTCATATCTTCATGACCAGAATGAAAGATGTTGGACTCTAAACTACCAAACAAAGGATTGTTACTAGCTATATATGAAGAAGTTGGCTTTAAAAAATGAGTGAGTTCTAGAGCAGTTGGGAGAGCCTCACTTTGTTGTCTCTAAAAATAAGGCCAATTCCCACCAGAAACGGTGTAGTTAGTAGCTGCTTTAAAGCAGAGGAGTGGAGTTGGACTCTCTCAGCCACTTGTAGGATCACAGCTTCCTAGGGCATGACTACTAAAGACATGCAATGTGTTAATGGAGTTATTTTCCATTATTTAGGTGATAAAACTCTTACAATCAAAATACCATTATAAAGAAGAGGCTGAAATCATCTGTGATAAAGTTCAAGTTAAACTCAGCAAGGAATGTTTTCATCCTTACAATACATGCATTACTGATTTAAGGACTTCACATTGGGAAGAAGCAATCCAGGAAACAAAAGGTGGTGCAGCCAATAGAAAATTGGCTGAAGAATGTTATTTCCTTTGGAAATCTACACGTTTACAGCATATGACACTAGCAGAAGACGTCAAAGCCATGCTTACTGAACTTCGAAAGGAGGTCCGCCTACTTCTATTAACGAATGGGGACAGACAGACCCAGAGGGAGAAGATTGAGGCTTGTGCCTGTCAGTCCTATTTTGACGCTGTTGTTGTAGGTGGAGAGCAGAGAGAGGAGAAACCAGCACCGTCCATATTTTATTACTGCTGCAATCTTCTCGGAGTACAACCTGGGGACTGTGTGATGGTCGGTGACACATTAGAAACCGACATCCAAGGAGGCCTCAATGCAGGATTGAAAGCAACAGTCTGGATCAATAAAAATGGAATAGTGCCACTGAAGTCCTCCCCAGTTCCGCATTACATGGTTTCTTCTGTGCTAGAGTTACCTGCTCTCTTACAAAGTATAGACTGCAAAGTCAGTATGTCCACTTAAAGCACATAAAAGGGCATGATTATGAATGTTAGAATCAATTTGCTGAGTATGAAATAAGAAAAGTTAGGGCACTCCACTTATGATAATCCAGCTCTAAGAATAATTTTACTTATGATTTAATGGCCAATATTTTGAAGGTCTTCCCAACCCTATTGCTTCTAAGTTGTAACAACCAACCATTGAGTGGTACTTATATCTGAAAATTCAGATTGCATGAATTCAGGTCAGTAGTATAGCCCAGAAAATTTAAGGAAATATATTATTTGTTAGTCTGTATCTGGAGCTTTTTAAAATTATGTTATTAATCTTTTAGTATCTTGGCTGCATAATGCCAAGCAGGATTGCTTTACACATGGATGCACAAATGTAAGGTTTATCTTCTGGCTTAAAAATAGATATTTTTAAAAAATAGATTTTCTAAAACACAGATTTATGAAAGCAAGTGAATCTGGTTAATATGAAATAAGTACTAAGTCACATGCAAATCAAGGTATTATATAGTGAAATTATTTTGCATATTTTGAAAACATAAACCATAGTTTTTGCCTACTTTGGATGTATACTTTCTTTTATGAACCTGATTTTTCTGTATGACATTTTTTTTTTTTTCAGAGGGCAGGGAGCAATTTTTCTATGGCATGTGACAGATTCCTCCAGTTAGAAAAAGCTGTTAAAATCAACACATGGTGCTCCTTTACCGTGACATTTTCTCACCTGTGCACAGTGAGCCGGTAGCTTCCTTTTAGTCTTCACCTCTCAAGGAAATGTTTTTACTGTCTTTTCCCAGACACACAGTGGGGTTGAGGGAGCTAGGCTGTTTTGCTAGAGATAATTGCAAGGCACGTGGCACTAAAAGTCATTTTTCTTCTGTGGATCCATAAGAGGAACATTTCCTCAGTGTAGCCTAACAATGCAGCCCCCAATCTGTTCCTTTTTTTTTTTGAAATGGGATCTCTGTCGCCCAGGTTGGAGTGCCATGGCACCATCTCGGCTCACTGCAACCTCTGCCTCCTGAGCTCAAGTGATCCTCCCACCTCAGCCTCCCAAGGGTGTGTGTGACTACAAGTACACACTACCACGCCCAGCTAATGTGTGTTTTTGTAGAGATGGGATTTTGCCATGTTGCCCAGGCTGGTCTCGAATTCCTGGATTCAAGTGATCCTCCCACCTCAGCCTCCTAAAGTCCTAGGATTATAGGCATGAGCCACTGTGCCTGGCCCCCTCATCTGATAGAAAATTAGATTTTGCTATGAGCCATTTCCTGAGGGCCAATTTAATACTCGTGTGACTCTTCTTAGAGTTACCATCTGCCTTAAATTTCCTCTGTTTTTCACATTCTTGGAAATATATCATTGTTTTGCAAATTTCTATATCTAATTCAGGGTTTACCAGGAGCTTAATAATTAATGGCTACATAGCAAGGCATCGTCTTGGAACCGGAGAATTTTCTCTAGACTATTAGGCTAGACAGTCTCATGATTATACTAACCAAACCTGGAGTAAAGTGGTTGAAAAAAAAGAAAGTATAAAGGGGCTTATTAAAGTGGTTAATAAATATGATTTAGGTTGGTTTTTGATATGTTTTTCTTCCAACTGTTATATAAGAAACTACTAATGTAAAATAGTAGGCTATATGTTGGGATGTGTATAGCTATGTCTTCAAGACTAATACTCAGAGAATCAAATTGTAGATTGTACCTATCTGTGAGCCTATTTCTTTAGCCAGTTTTCTGTCTACTGCCAAGAAACAGAATTCTCTGCCTCATGCAAATGCCCTTTCGTGTTTACTTTTCGCTCTAGATTTTTAAAAATGTGATTGTGCCCTTGACTGTACCAAAGTGCTGTTGCTATAACAGTGAACATTTGTGAACAGAGGATGTTTGTAGTTTCAAATGCAGTACCCATATGACCTTGATCATATTTTAGCTATTTAAAAATTAAGTTGGAGGATTTTGGCAGAAGTAGTCACATGCATGATTGCTCTGATAGATTGGTTGGCGTGTGCTGCAGGGGGCTTGTCCTTTTAACTCTCCCACAGGATGGATGTAGGCAGTGTCACATTCATTATGCTGAGAGTGAAGGTTCATCACTCCTGTATCATGGTAGCAAATCTCAACAGGATAGCTTCTAGGATGTTAAGTGAGCAGTTCTCCAGCAGAAATGATGTAGAAGGAAAAAATTGAATAATTAAATTTCCTTGTCTTCACAGTTTGTATTCTACAGAGTACAGTAATGTATTACATTCCATTTGCACCCTTCCTTAGGGAAGAACTTTGTGGTTATCTACCTTCTGAGTGGAATGTTACAGAAAATATTTTAAAATATTGGAATAAACCTATGATTTTATTAATATTTTTTGTTTTAGAATAATATTCCTTAAAATTATGGGTGATGTTTTGTCATCTTTATTTTTTTTCAAAGTTTCCCTGTAGTGGCCTTCTCACACAAAGCCAGAGGCCCTCCCTAACACTGCTTACAGAGGTGGGCCTAGAACAGACATGAATGGACACTGCACCTGGAATACCAGCACCTGGTGGGGAGGTTTGGTTCCATGTGCACCTCCACATACAAGGCACGAACATCTCAGATCTGGGAGTGCCCAGGACCCAGTGGATGCTCAGTATTGTAGGAAAGCAGGTCTTTACCAAAGTTCTTGGTTTATTGCTTTCAAACTTCTTTGCAACCTTCAGTAAGAAACATTTTCTATCATAACCTCTTTAACACATTTATAGTGTTAGATAACACTGTAACTATATATAAATATAAATATAACACATGTATATAAATAAATATAAATATAACATTTTATAGTATAACATTAATATGTGTATGGGATCCAGTTTTATATGTTTAATTTTCATAAAACATTCTTGTTACGTGTGATGATATTTTTCATTCCATTCTTTTTTGAATTAGGGAATATATTCATTGTTGAACAAGTACTACTTGTAGTACACAAGTCAAAAAAATAAAAGGGTGAATGGTGAAAAGTCATTCTCCTCATCTCTTTGCTAGGGGCCCACAACCCACTTGCCCTAAAGGCCACTACTGTTTAGTTTTTGTTTTATTTTTAAAAATAGAGACAAGGTCTCGCTATGTTGCCCAGGCTAGTCTCAAACTCCTGAGCTCAAGCAGTCCACCTGCCTCAGCCTCCAAAAGTGCTAGGGTTACAGGCATGAGCCATGTCACCCAGCCAAGGCCAGTGCTGTTACCAGCTTCATGTATACCTGCATATAGAAGTGTATAAGACTATATAGAATCAGTTGAATTCAGGCAGATTTTTAATTTCTGTATTTCAGTTTAGGAAACAGCATTCTTGCTCAGATAATCTAAGAGTCATGCAGCTTGTGTTTAAGCCATTTGTGTTAGGAACATAATACCTTCATGGTCTCAGCCATGTGCGAGATCTCTGTAGTTCCATTGACTTTCGCATACCACCACCCTGGTGATTCTCTTTGCCTCTTATGTTAAATTTCCTATTTTCTGTGTCCTGTGTATTCCTATTTTGACTTATTCCCTCTTTTTGGTGGCATGCATCCTTGCGTAGGTTCCCTGTAAACGTGTGTAGGAGGTAAAAGTTTTGAGATCTGAAATGTCTGAAAATATCTTTATTCTCTTCTCCCATCATTGATAGTTTTAATAGTGTGTATTTCGATAACATTTTTACTTGAAATTTTGAAGGCATTGGTCTGTGGTCTAGCAGCCATTTGTATGTGACCACTTTCTTTCTCTCTTGTAACTCTTAGAACCTTATTTTCCTCCAGTGGTCCATGATCACATGCCTTGGAGAGGGTGTTTCCATCCTCTGTGCTTGGCACGCTGAACCCTTTCAATCAAAATCATATTTTCTTGGTCCTGGGGAATTTAATGACTTCATTGATAATTGCCTCCCTTTGTTTATTTTCTGATTTCTCTTTATGATTTCTGATTTTTTTTGGTTTCTCTTATCCCTGTTATTCAGATGTTAGAACTCCTTTACTGACCTTCCACTTTATCTTTTCACTCCCATTTTTCCATCTCTGTTACTCTGTTTCTTCAACTTTACCTTCCAATCCTTCTATGATTTTTCCCTCTACTATCATACCTTTTAAAGATTTCCAAGAGCTTGATTTTTTTTTTTTTTTTTTTAGACGGGGTCTTAACTCGGTCACCCAGTGAGGAGTGCGGTAGCACAGTCATGGCTCACTGCAGCCTTTAATTCCTGGGCTCAAGTGATTCTCCCACCTCAGCCTCCAGAGTAGCTGAGACTACAGGCACATGCTATGATACCCAGCTAATTTTTTTGTATTTTTTGTAGAGACGGGGCTTCACCATGTTGTCCGGGCTGGTCTCAAACTCCTGGCCTCAAGCAATTCTCTCACCTGGGCCTCCCAAAAGTGCTAAAATTACAGGCATGAGCCACTGTGCCCAGCCCCAGTGTATTTTTTAATCACTTGAGTTCAGGTGTTCAAGACCAGCCGGCCAACATGGTGAAACCACATCTACTAAAACAAAAATTAGCTGGGCATGGTGGCACACACCTTAAGTCCCAGCTACTTGGGAGGGTGAGGCAGGAGAATCACTTGAACACAGGAGCCAGAGGTTGCAGTGAGCCAAGATCACACCACTGCACTCCAGCCTGGGCAACAGAGTGAGACTCGGTCTAAAAAAAAAAAGGCTTTAATTTTACTTAAAAATATATATATATATATATATATATATATATAATAATTAGATGCCATGAAATAGGTGGCAAGGCCTTAACAATATGTGTGTTGTGAGGCCCAAGGGCCTCCCAAAAGCTTGTTTTTGTTGTTGTTGAGATGGAGTCTTGCTCTGTTGCCAGGCTGGAGTGCAAGTGGCACGATCTCAGCTCACTGCAACTTCCACCTCCCGGGTTCAAGTGATTCTCCTGCCTCAGCCTCCCGAGCAGCTGGGACTACAGGTGTGCACCACCATGCCCAGCTAATTTTTGTATTTTTAGTAGAGACGGGGTTTCACCATGTTGGCCAGGATGATCTCGATCTCTTGACCTCGTGATCCGCCCACCTCGGCCTCCCAAAGTGCTGGGATTACAGGCCTGAGCCACTGCACCTGGCCCCAAGAGCTTTTTAAAAAAAAATTCTAAATAACATTCTGGGATTTTTTTTGTTGCTTGTTTTTTGTTTTGTTTTTGAGTGGAGTATCATCTCTGAAAAAAAAAATTAAGTTTTAAAAGAATCCACAGCATATACCATTCTAAGTTTCCCTAATCTGTTTATTTGGGTCTATTTGTTCATACTGGAGGCTTTCCTCAAGTGCCCATTAACCCTTGGTTATTTATGATACAGAGAAGAGAGATGGAAATGCTGATTGGAAGTTCCACACAAGTGCATGGGCCTTCTCAAATCAGAGGTTCTTTTACTGTGGGGTATCTGGATGGGCTGTTAGTTGAGGGATCCCTGAGGTCAGTGTGTTAAAGTCTTTTCTCTTTGTTGGTCTGCTCTCTTAGAGATGAATCTTCAGACTGGAGAGTAGAGGTCTGATGTCAGCATTAGGAGCTGAGTGGGAAGGGTGTGTGTGCATATAGCCCCATGCTCTCTGTTTCTTGTTGCACCTGAGTCCAGCTATGCTTGGTATTCCCCAGGCTAGAGACCCCTCTGTCTTACCCTCCACAGAGAAGCATCCCAGTGTCTGCTGAGAGAGAACAAGTTGGAGTGGGGACAGGGATCTAGGGGTTTGTTTGTACCTTGAGCACCTTTTTACCCCAGCCTCCTTAATTCAGCTGCTCCTTTCCTCTCCTCCAGGACCTCAGCATCTGGGGATGCCAGTGCCCGCATCTTTGGAGGAGTCTGCTGTGTACCTCATTATTTCTCAGCCTTCCCCTCTGCTGGTCAGGACTCGCTTTCTTTAGTCTACTAGATCCTTTGCCACTTGTCCATATGCTTTGCAGCTTCCAAACTTGTGTTGTGGTTGATGCCTGTCTTCCTGGTCCTTGTGGATTTGTGTGTGTGTGCTTGTATGTTTGAATTCCTTTACTGCAGTTTTAGCTGAGTTTGGGGTACAAGCTATCAGATGTGTATTTCCATCCACCATCTTGATGTGGAAGTTCTTTTTCCACTTTGTGTTCAATGTTGGTCAAGACCCATGAAACTGACCCCATGCCCGATAGTCACTACTCGCAGGTCAGAAATGCTCATTTGAGGTGGACATTTACAGCATGCCTGCAGCTTTTTTCTTCTTTTAATTTATTGTTTTGAATTACTAGTTTCCTTTTTCTCTGTGTCCTTGTATGTGACACTCTTTGACATAACTCTTATCATGATGGGAGTCTACTTGTTGTCCTGTGTTTGTGAACTTTCGCCATTGCTTGGACATAGATGTTTATTGACATGCTTGCACAGTCTGACTGGGTCTTTGGCCAATATCAGCAACTCTATTCCCAAATCACTTCTAAAACAGTTATACTCTCTTAGATTTCTTTAAAATTAAAATCCTTACTGGGATGCATTAGATTTATACTTTGTTTCTTTTTTTCTTAGATTTATACTTTTTAAAAATTAACTTACTCCTAGCAATAGGACTAAAATTTAGCCAGATAAAACCATAAATTTTTAAAACCAGTCTTCATTCATATATGACATATATGATAATACAGTTATTTCCACTAGATTTCTTAGAAGATGTCATTGTGATCAGCCTGACCTTCAGATAAGATCTTCAGGCTGGGTGTGGTGGCTCATGCCTGTAATCTCAGCACTTTGGGAAGCCAAGGTGGGAGTATTGCTTGAGCCCAGGAGTTCAAGACCAGCCTAGGCAACAAGGAGAGATACTGTGTCTACACAAAATAAAAAAAAATTAGCCAGACATGGTGACGTGTGCCTGTGGTCCCAGCTACACAGGAGCCTGAGGCAGGAAGATTGCTTGAGCCCAGGAGGTCAAGGCTGCAGTGAGCTGTGTTTCCACAACTGTATACTGTGTTTTTGTTATTGTCTGCCTGGGTGACAGAGCAAGACTCTGTCTTAAAAAAGATTTCCAATACTCGATTTTTTTTTTTCAGACAGAGTCACACTCTGTCGCCCAAGTGGGAGTACAGTGGTGCAATCTTGGCTCACTGCAACCTCTGCCTCCCTGGTTCAAGCAAGTCTTCTGCCTCAGCCTCCAAAGTAGCTGGGATTACAGGTGCCTGCCACCACGCCTGGCTAATTTTTCTATTTTTAGTAAAGATGGGGTTTCCCCATTTTGGCCAGGCTGGTCTCAAATTCCTGACCTCAAGTAATCCATCCGCCTTGGCCTCCCAAAATGCTGGGATTACAGGTGTGAGCCACTGTGCCTGGCCAATACTCAGATTTTAAAAGTCATGGAAGATAGCCAGGCATGATGGCTCACACCTGTCATCTCAGCACTTTGGGAAGCTGAGACGGGAGGATCGCTTAAACCCAAAAAGTAAAAAAAAGTAAAATTTTTTAAAAAGTCACAAAAGATAAAATGGTTTTAACCACCAGACAATTAAAGAAATAATACTCAAAATAGTTCCTGTTTAAAATTACATTTTTTAATGCTTAAAGGAATTATATTGACCATTTTATTGAAGCTTAGAGGTTAAGCAAATCAGCCAATTTGGACTCTCAGATATGTGTCCTCAGCCCACTTGGCATCTCTGCGTAGATGTCTAATAGACATTACCAAAATAACTCCTTTCCAACCAAACTCCTGGATTTCTCTCAAAAATCTGCTCTTCCTGCTGTCTTCCACATCTCAGTAACAGCAATGTCACTTTTTTTTCAGGATATGGCTATATCTTGCACTTAAGAATATTCCTGGCCCGTGGTAGGCACTCAGTGAATATCTGTTGAATGAAGCAGTTATTGGCTATTTCTATAAAAATTAATTAAAATTAAACAAATTTTAACAACAAGGGGCAACTCATCAACTCGTTTTTGTTAAAATTTTACTTTTCCTTCCTTTCACATGCGGATTTGTCCTTTGCACCATGATAAAGCAGAATGGGAATTCTGTGTTGAGGACTGCAGTGATGATGCTAGTTCACTTCCTGTAATGTGCCTGTTTCCAAGCACCAGCTAATAACCTGTACCACACTGTTGAGCTGATACAGAAATGACAGTTGACGGAATGGTCACAAATCTCCATTTATTTGACATATGTATTTAATGAAGAAAATCTTTCTTGAGTACATTTACAAACTCCAGCAGTGACTGTCATTATGATGGAAAATATTCACGTTCTGTTCCTTTTTTTTTTTTTTTTTTTCTTGAGACAAGGTCTCACTTTGTCACCCTGGGGTGCAGTGGTACAACATGGCTCACTGCCGCCTCACCTCCCAGGCTCAAGCAATCCTTCCACTGCAGCTTTCCGAGTAGCTGGGACCATAGGTGAGCGCCATTACGCCCGGCTAATTTTTGTATTTTTTGTAGAGACGAGGTTTTGCCATGTTGACCAGGCTGGTCTCAAACTCCTGAGCTCAAGGGATCTGCCCACCTTGGTCTCCCAAAAGTGCTGGGATTACAGGCATGAGCCACCATGCCCAGCCAGAAAATATTCTTAATACAGTTTGAAATATGCCTTTACTTGGAAGGGCTTTTTTTTTAAAAAGGATGCTACAGGCTATTTACTGAATACAGTGCTGAAAGCATCTATCACACAACGGAAAAAATGGCAAAAGTAGCTGTAGTCAGTAGAAGAGGGACTAGAAGACAGCAATAGAAAATCAATTACTTATTGGGCCAGGCATGATGGCTCATGCCTGTAATCCCAGCACTTTGGAAGGCTGTGATGGGAGGATCACTTGAGGACAGGAGTTTGAGACCAGCCTGGTCAACATAGCGAGACCCCCATCTCTTTAAAAAAAAAAAAAGAAAGAAAAAATCAATTACTTATTGTTTCGGTAATCTATTGCTGAAAAAGAATACACACACCCCAAAAGTTAGTGTATTAAAACAACAAAATCACTTATTGTGGCATCACCTGGAGTACTGGCTTGTCTGAACTATGCAAAATGGCCTCACTCACATGGCTGGCAGTTCATTCCGGCTGTTGACATGGGTCAACGTGGATTATTACACGGGATGGCTGGAACAACCGGACCGCTCTCCATGTGGTCCAAGAGCCTCTCCATGGGACTAGCTTAGGTTTCCTCTCAACATGGTGGCTGGGCTCCAATAAGGAGCATTCCAGTTGGGCAACCCCCAGCGTATAAATACTTTGAAGCCTCAGTTTGCATCATGCTTTCTAATATCTTTTAGCAAGAGCTACTCAAATAAACTATTACACTTGTGAATGAGGTAGGTACTGCTTTGGTTACATAATTGGGCAGGGAATAGTCCCAAGAGAGACAAGACGTGAGGTAAAGATAAGAAGGGAAATGTTCCCTCAAAGTGAACAAGCAAGAGGCATTCTGGTATATCCTGAGATATCCTTTATTATTTATGTTTCCACTGATATTCATGATAATGAAATAAACCACTGAGCTCATGTTCTTGTCTAGAAGAACAGCTGCTACATTTGATGTACTCAACCACTAGCTCTAGCTCTACAGTTCAGTTACTTTTTTTTTTTTTTTTTTTGAGACAGAATCTCACCCTATCACCCAGGGTGGAGTGCAGTGCTGTGAACATGGGTCCAGGCAGCCTAGACCTCCCTGGCTCAAGTGTCCTCCCACCTCAACCTCCCAAGAAGCTGGCACTGCAGGTGTGCACCACTGCTTCTGGCTGATTTGTGTATTTTTTGTAGAGACAGGGCTTTGGAATGTTGCCCAGGCTAATCTCAAACTCCTGGCTTCAAATGATCCTCCTGCCTCAGCCTCCCAAAGTTCTGGGATTACAGGTGAGAGTGTGAGCCACTGAACCTGGCCTCATTACTTCCTTTTTTCTTTTTATTTTTTTGAGACAGAGTTTCACTCTGTCGCCAGGCTGGAGTGCAATTGGCTCACTACAACCTCTGCTTCCTGGGTTCAAGCGATTCTCCTGCCTCAGCCTCCTGAGTAGCTGGGACTACAGGTGCGCACCGCCACGCCCAGCTAATTTTTGTATTTTTAGTAGAGATGGGCTTTCATCATGTTGGCCAGGATGGTCTTAATCTCTTGACCTCATGATCCGCCCGCCTCAGCCTCCCAAAGTGCTGGGATTACAGGCGTGAGCCACCGTGCCCAGCCCTCATTACTTCATTTTATACCAGTGATTTTTATTTGAGTCGCTGCTAAATCGAGAAATCTAGGAAAAGTTATGGACCTTCTTCCGCCCAAAATTAATCTATTCACATAACCAAACATTTACATATTATTTTAGGGGTCCACCAAATTCCCCTTAACCCCCCACAAGTCCATCCATAGACACCTCTATGAAATACAACCCTAGTTTATTCCTTGGTGTCTACCACCTTTTTATACTGGCCAAGTTCTTAATAATTAGGGATGTCTGTGTCATCTTTGTACGTCTCCCAAGCCTGAAATCTGTGCTTAAAAATGTAATAAATAATAAAATAAACTTTGAAAACAACACAGACAGTGCTTTACTGAGTGTCCAACAGATGCCACTAAAATAAGATATTGATGCTGCTTCTCCGGAAACAGCTGTTTCGTTTCTGGGAATTCCTGGGCAAACCCCTCCCTCTGGGAAGGATGAACACAGCTCAGATGCTCAGTACATACTGAGGTCAGCATCCGTCCACGGGTTTTTTTGTGTGGGTAGGTTTTTTGTTTGTTCATTTTTTTGAGACAGAGTGTCGCTCTGTCACCCAGTCTGGAGTGCAATGGTGTGATCTCTGCTCATTGCAACCTCCGCCTCCTGGGTTCCAGTGATTCTCCTGCCTCAGCCTCCTGAGTAGAGTAGCTGGTATTATAGGCGCCTGCCACCACGCCCAGCTAATTTTGTATTTTTAGCAGAGATGGGGTTTCACCATGTTTGCCAGGCTGGTCTCGAACTCCTGACCTCAAGTGATCTGCCCTCCTCGGCTTCCCAAAGTGCTGGGATTACAGGCGTGAGCCACTGCACCTGGCTGAGTTTTTTTGACTAAAAATGTTAGTGTCCACAGTGTTTTTAACAGTTTTCTAAAACCTTCACTGCAATGAGGAAAGCGAAGCCCAGACTGCTGAAACAACTGGCACACGTTCCTGCCATGGTGGATCAGCGCTGCCGGCCCTGCCGGCCCTGCTCCCTCCTGGTCTGCCAAATGCTATGCTTGCCCCTGCCCATGGGAACTCCCCAGGCAGCATTAGATACTGTGGCAGGTATTTAAATTTTGAGGGTCACATTTGGAACACCAGATATAAAAACTAGAGAACAATGTACTAGATACACGAGTGTAACTAGTGTGCTGAACAAGGATGCCATGAGGCGCAGTGGCTCACTCCTGTAATCCCAGCACTTTGGGAGGCACTTTGGCAGGTGCATCACCTGGCATCAGGAATTCAAGACAAGCTTGGCCAACATGGTGAAACCTCATCTCTACTAAAAATACAAAATTATAGGTGTGGTGGCACATGCCTATAATCCTAGCTATGCGAGAGGCTGGGGCAGGAGAATCATTTGAACCTGGGAGGCGGAGGTTGTAGTGAGCTGAGAACTTGCCACTGCACTCCAGCCTGGGCGACAGAGCAAGACTCTGTCTCTAAATAAATAAATAAACCACGGAATTTAGTGGAAATGAACTTTTCGGTCACCTGCTATCCCTTTCACATCTACTCAGAGTGGGAAGTTTTCTCCTGGCAGTGGACTGAAGGGAGATGTGGACGCCAGCCTTTTCTGCTCAGTCCTAGGAAATTGTCCTGTGATGACTTGATGTCACAAACACCATCCTGGTGCAGACCCATGGAGGGTTTAGCCCAGTGGAGGCGGCCACACTTCGGGCTTTGCTCTAAGGAGAACTAATTGCACCTGCCTGCCCCCTCAAGGCCTGCCTGACACAGCCACCCTGTGGGGGTGTGGGATGGTTGGCGTCTTTCTTCCACACTCATCTCCTCTTTGCAAGTTGGGGGTGAGGTGGGACGCTGGGCAGGGAAGTAAGTTCTCGCTTGGGACTTCCTCACCAAAGCCTGGTTTTGTCTTGAGTTAGCTCCATAGCCTCCAGCCCCAACCTGCCTCCCATTGGGCACTTTCAGGGGCTCTTGTTTTCTGTTTTTTTCTTTGCCCGGCTGACACCTTGATTTCCCTTTTTTTTTTTTTTTTTTTTTTTTTGGAGATGGGGTCTCACTATGTTGCCCAAGCTGGTCTTGAGCTCCTGGCCTCAAGTGATCCTCCTGTATTGGCCTCCCAAGGAGCTAGAAGTACATGCGTGAGCTATTAGGCTTGGCTTCAGGGGCTCTTTAAAGACCTCTGGTAAACCCCCTCCAGCTGCAGCTTAGCTTGTGCTTCTCCAGTGGGCTGTCTTCTGGCCCTAGGTCTCAGGCAGGCCCCTCCACCACTGGTTCTCACCACTGGACTCCCCTTTGTCTTCTGGAAGGGACCCCAGGTCAGCCTCTCTCCCATGTCCTTGCCCCTTATCAGTGAGAATGGAGTTACATCCCACCCACATCCTTCACGCCCCCTACCACCCCTGCCATAGGCCCCTTGAACTTTCATGCTTTCTGCAGAAAAGGCATGCCAACCTGTCTCTGGATTTCACCACTGGGTCGTCCCATTCTCTGGGTTTGGGTGAAGGAAGGAGTTCCTCTCTCACCCCCTGAGAGAACAGCAGCCACAGGCTGCAGTAGCTCTCTCTCCAAAGAAATCCTGTAATTCCCTTCCTCTTCCATCTGCAGTTTCTCCACTGCAATATTCTTGAAATAGGTAAGGGACTTCAAAAGTCAGGAAATGAGTTGTTGACTGATTGATTTCAAAACTCCTCCAACAAGTGTCACACTAACTGGTGCCTGATGTCTACTGGCTTAGGTCAAAGTTTCCATTCTGAGGCTGTGCCTGTGAGATCTGCCAGAGCACGTGTGTCCTGTGTGATCCGCCAGAGCACGTGTGTCCTGTGATCCGCCAGAGCACGTGTGTCCTGTGAGATCCGCCAGAGCACGTGTGTCCTGTGAGATCCGCCAGAGCACGTGTGTCCTGTGAGATCCGCCAGAGCACGTGTGTCCTGTGATCCGCCAGAGCACGTGTGTCCTGTGAGATCCGCCAGAGCACGTGTGTCCTGTGATCCGCCAGAGCACGTGTGTCCTGTGATCCGCCAGAGCACGTGTGTCCTGTGAGATCCGCCAGAGCACGTGTGTCCTGTGAGATCCGCCAGAGCACGTGTGTCCTGTGTGATCCGCCAGAGCACGTGTGTCCTGTGAGATCCGCCAGAGCACGTGTGTCCTGTGAGATCCGCCAGAGCACGTGTGTCCTGTGATCCGCCAGAGCACGTGTGTCCTGTGATCCGCCAGAGCACGTGTGTCCTGTGAGATCCGCCAGAGCACGTGTGTCCTGTGATCCGCCAGAGCACGTGTGTCCTGTGAGATCCGCCAGAGCACGTGTGTCCTGTGAGATCCGCCAGAGCACGTGTGTCCTGTGATCCGCCAGAGCACGTGTGGCCTGTGATCCGCCAGAGCACGTGTGGCCTGTGATCCGCCTGAGCACGTGTGCCTGAATGGCAATTCCTTGCCATTCCTGAATCAACCCTTTGTTTTGGAGGAGAAAAAGTTCCAATTTTGATACCCTGGTACATAAACAAGAAGGAATACGGTACAATATAGATGAACACCTCCTGAAACAAAGTCTCATAAGGGAGCTACTGTGCAGTGGCTTGACTGGGGATATGAATCTAAGCTGAGGATTGAAGGAAATGAAACATTTGATTGGGGCAAAGAAGGGAGAGAATTCATTCAGTTCAACACAAGCATAGAGGGCTCCTCCTGAGTGCCAGGAGCTGAGTACCAAGCAACCAGGAGTTTACAATCTCCACAGAGAGGGATCTGAGTAGGGGGGTGAGAAGTGAAATTTGGATGGGTAGGATGGACTGTCAAAAGTGGGCTGTGGACATAGGCCTGGAGTCAGAGAGCACTGTCCTCTGCATTTTAGGAAGGTGGGGAAGCCTGTGTGCATGTGTCTGTGGGTCTGTGTGGAACAGGATGTGCAGTGTGGAGGTGTGTGAATAGTGAAGGCAAAGGAGGGTTTGTGGAGAGGTGTGTGTGAGATAGTTGTGTGCATGTATGTAGGTGTGTGGAGAGGTGTGAGATGGTTGTGTGTGTATGTAGGTGTGTGGAGAGGTGTGTGTGAGATGGTTGTGTGCGTATATGTAGGTGCGTGGAGAGGTTTGTGTGAGATGGTTGTGTGTGTGTATGTAGGTGTGTGGAGAGGTGTGTGTGAGATGGCTGTGTGCATGTATGTACGTTCGTGGAGAGGTGTGTGTGAGATGGTTGTGTATGTGTGTGGAGAGGTGTGTGTAGGGGGTGTGCATGTCACACTGGGTGTGTCTAGAAGGGTTGTGTGTGTGTGCTTAGTGGGTGTAGTAGTGAGGTTGTGGTGAATGTGAGTTATACAGTTGTGTTTGTGTACATTGTGTGTATGACAGTGGTATGTGTAGCAGTGTTGTGTTAGGGGTGTGTGTGTAGTGGTTACTGAATAAGAACTATGTGAAGGACAGATGCTTTCTTTATTGAATTAAAACCTGCCTGGGTGAGAGAGAGACAGAGCAGCAGAGAGACAGAGGCAGAGACAGACAGGGAGACAGAGGCAGAGACAGAGAGACGGGGAAAGACAGAGACAGTGGCAGAGAGACAGACAGAGGCAGAGTATCATGAAGAGATGAGACAGAGACAGTGGCAGAGAGGCAGACAGAGTCAGAGACAGAGAAGCAGAGAGAGATGAAGAGAGACACGAAGAGAGACACAGAGAGGCCTGGAATGTCCTGTGTGATGCCGGCCAGGGGTGCCTGTTGTCTCTCCTGCAGTCAATTCCTCTAAAGTCCCAGCCTCCTTCTTAGAGAACCTATCCTTGGCCTCTTCTCAGACTGAACTTCTCCAGTGAGTGGGCAGCCGCCTCCAACTGAGCCCAACTGTGCAAGGCAGGTTCTTCGGGGAATTCAGGACTCACAGGCTCTGGTTTGGGAGTGCCATTCACGAATGTCCACAGGGTCCAGGCCAGCCTGTAGGCGAGCCACACAGGCTGGGGGAGGGCACAGAAGTGGTGTGGGCTGTGGCAGACCCACGAGGGGATGACCCAGAGGACGCCTGGGCACCAGGCCAAGCCAATTGGGTCTGCAGGCAATACCGCGGGGCTCCTGGTCTGTGCGCTCAGCACATTCCTCTTCTGTTGCGTGAACTCTTGAAAGGGCAAGTGAGGTAAAGCCATGGTCACAGAGAAAGGGAGTCTGTGGAGACAGAAGAGTAAGTGGGTCTGCAAGGCAAGGGAGAGGGAGGGACCTGTGGGTCAGGATAGGTACAGTGGACTGAACTGTGTCCCTCCAAAACTCGTGTGCTGAAGCCCCAACCCCTAATGTCACTGTGTCTGGACATGGGGTCTTTAAGGAGGTAAATAAGGATAAATGAGGTCCTAAGGGTGGAGCCCCAATCCAATAGGAATGGTGTCCTTATAGGAAGAGGAAGGGATGCCAGGGATGGGCGTGCACAGAGAAAGCAGAGAAAGGACCAAGTGGGGAAAGGGTGAGAAGTCAGCTGTCCGCAAGCCAAGGAGAGAGGGTCAGAGAAACCTTGATTTTGAGTGCTTACACCTCGATCTTGAACTCCCAGCCTCCAGCACTGTGAGAAACACATTTCTGTTATTCAAGCCACCCAGTCTGTGTATTTTGTCTTGGCAGCCCAAACAGACTCAAACAAGAAGTAATGGTTGTGATGTCTTTGCAGGCCCTGGTTCAGTTGTACCATTCAGTCAAACATTTGAGCAGTATTGAGTGTTGCAGGGTGTCCTAGGCTCTGAGTCTACAGCAGGGAAACAAGGAGCCTGCTCTCATGGAGCTCACAGGCTCAAAGGATGCAGCCACATCATTGGACCTTTCAGTAGGTTCCCTGTGCTGTTAAAGCTCCCGTGTGTGCACGTGATTCAGGCTCCAACAATTCCTGGCCAAGATAACAGCACAGAGGCCCTGGACCACCTCTGGGTGTTCTGTACAGTGGGCCCTTGGGGGCCTGGTCTTTCACCCACTGGGGTGCAATATAAACCCTCTTCAGATGCCAGAACCAAATGAGGGTTCTGGGCCCTCAAAAGCCTTGACCACAGGCAATCATAGCTGCTTTTTTTTTTTTTTTTTTTTTTTTTGAGACAGAGTCTCACTCTATTGCCCAAGCTGGAGTGCAGTGGCACCATCTTGGCTCACTGCAACCTCCGCCTCCCAGGTTCAAGCAATTCTCATGCCTCAGCTTCCCGAGTAGCTGAGACTACAGGCGTGTGCCACCACGTCCGGCTAATTTTTGTATTTTTAGAAGAGACAGAGTTTCGCCATGTTGCCCAGGCTAGTCTCGAACTCCTGGCCTCAAGTGATTCACCTGCCTTGGCCTCCCAAAGTGCTGGGATTACAGGCACAAGCCACCGTGCCCAGCCCCATACCTGCTTTTAAAGGGGAATTTTATTCTAAGTCAGAAAATTCCAGTGTAGAAGGAAAAAATCCATAGCAAGAACATCATATTTCCCTTTATTTCTCAATTTCCTCTTCTACCATCTTCTCTAGAAATGAAAGACCCTTAGATTAGAGTAATTTTCAAAATGAACTTTCTTCTGTCAACAGCATTTTGATTGAAGTGGTAAGGATGATGTCTACTTTGGCTTACAGTAAAAACCCTCAGCTAACTTCTGTTAGCTAGCTGAATGTTAATACCTAATATTCTCACCAAAACAAGACTGCCCTCAAAAAGAAAATAGACTCTACTGTAAAATAAATCAAATTAAATAAAGTGACACCATCAAATGCTGACAAGGATGCAGAGGACAGAAACTCACTGGTTGCTGGTGGGGAATGCAAAATGGTGTAGCCACTTTGGAAAACCATTTGGCACTGTCTCCTCCAGTTAAACAGATACTTCCCCTATAACCCAGAGATGCCAATGACCCACTCATAGGTATTTACCAAAGTGAATAGAAAACTTATGTTCGAACAAACAAAAACCTGTATGGAAATGTTTCTAGGAACTCTACTCATTTTTTTTTTCTATTTTTTAGTGACGAGGTCTTACTCTGTCACCCAGGCTGGTGTGCAATGGTACGATCACAGCTCAATGCAGCCTCGACCTCCTGGGCTCAAGCCATCCTCCGCTTCAACCTCCTGAGTAGAGTAGCTGGCACCTCAAGTATGTGACACCATGCCTGGCTAGTTTTTAACTTCTATTGTAGAGATAAGGTCTTGCTATGTTGCCCAGGCTGGTCTCAAACACCTTCGCTCAAGCAACCCTCCCATCTCAGCCTCCCAAAGTGCTGGGATTACAGGTGTGAGCCACCATGCCCAGCCTTGTAGTTCTATTCATAATTACCAAAAGGAATGAGCTACTGATACACACGACAACATGGATTAATCTTAGACTCATTTTGCTAAGTGAAAGAAGCCAAACCCAAGGCCGGGCATGGTGGCTCATGCCTGTAATCCCAGCACTTTGGGAGGCTGAGGCAGGTGGATCACGAGGTCAGGAGATCCAGACCATCCTGGCCAACATGGTGAAGCCCCGCCTCTACTAAAAGTACAAAAATTAGCTAGACGTGGCGGCACGCACCTGTAGTCCCAGCTACTCAGGAGGCTGAGGCAGCAGAATCGCTTGAACCCAAGAGGCAGAGGTTGCAGTGAGCCAAGATTGCACCACTGCACTCCAGCCTCGCAACAGAGTGAGACTCCATCTCAAAAAAAAAGAAGAACAAGAACAAGAAGCCAAACCCCAAAGTCTACATGTGTAATTCCATTCATATGACATTTTAGAAAAGGCAAAACTACAAGGACAGAAGACACATCAATGGTTGCCAGGGACTTGGGGGAGGGGAGCAGTTAATTGCACAGGGACACATAGGGTGACTGTATTAGTCCATTTTCACACTGCTGATAAAGACATACCCGAGACCGGGAAGAAAAAGAGGTTTAATTGGACTTACAGATCCACATGGCTGCGGAGGCCTGAGAATCATGGCAGGAGGCGCAAGGCACTTCTTACATGGCAGCAGCAAGAAAAAATAAGGAAGATGCAAAAGCAGAAACCCCTGATAAAACCATCAGATCTCATGAGACTTATTCACTATCACGAGAACAGTATAGGGGAAACCACCCCTGTGATTCAAATTATCTCCCACCAGGTCCCTCCCACAACACATGGGAATTATGGTAATACAATTCAAGGTGAGATTTGGATGGGGACACAGAGCCAAACCATACCAGTGACTTTCACAGTGATGGAACTTTACCTATGGTACTGGGATAGTCGATATATGGTGATCTACACAATTGTCAATTTCATACTTTATTTTTTCATACTGCACGAACTTTATTGCATGCCGATTAAAAAATAATCAAACAGCATATTTAAGACCTAATATGGAAAACAGACTGTGATAAATGAATCTAACCTTATTCTAAATGTGTGATATAACCTCACTAAAGGGGCTGAGGGAAAAGGAGGTGACCTAAGTAATTTTGAAAGCTTGTATTTTAACCAGAAACTGTAAGGCTAAAGAACTATATTAAGCACTGTACTCTAGTTTATAAATTTGTTTCTCACAGGCTATGGGTTAAAAATTCTGAAAGTAGACTGGGCACAGTGGCTCACGCCTGTAATCCCAGCACTTTGGGAGGCTGAGGTGGGTGGATTGCTTGGCCCCAGGAGTTTGAGGCCAGCTTGGGCAACATGTGGAATCCCATCTCTACAGAAAATATAAAAATAAGCTGGGTGTGGTGGCATAAGCATGTAGTCCCAGCTACTTGGGAGGCTAAGGTGGGAGGATCACTTGAGCCTGGGGAGGTTGAAGCTGCAGTGAGCTAAGATTGTGCAACTGCACTCCAGCCTGGGTGATAGAGTGAGGCTCTGCCTCAAAAAAAGAAAAAAAATTCTGAAAGCATTATAAAGAAGTAAGGGGGGAATGCTAGCATGAAGCCTAGGGTATTGGATTTATTTTGGAGACATCAGCATGAACTCAGGTTTAGTTTAATTGGTAGATAGGTAGGTTGGTAGACAGATGGTAGATGGCAGATAGATAGATGATAGAGAATAGACAGATAAAGAGGTGAGAGTAGACATTTATAAATATGAGTCAATATACATGTGTATTTCCTGAGCCTGTCCACTGAGAGAGCCGAGAAGCAATGACACCTCCAATAGCAATGAACACGCCCTCACTCAGATCTTGGTTTCTAAATACAATTCACCAACCAAAAGAAGCAGGTATCTTGGATACCTGGCTTGATACTAGGGCTGGGGCTGGAAAAATATGAGATGAGCCTGGAACATCATATGGTGTTCACAACTACGGAAGTGCTCCAAAAGCAAAATACACAGGCACAGTGAGGAGAGCAGGACCCGAGCAGAAAGAGCCACCAATGGCCAAGGCTGGAACAATGGGAGCAATGAAATAATATAGCATTAGATTATAACCTAGAGTAGGAAATAAAAATACAGGAGTCCATATCAATATAAATAAATGATTTGATTGAATCAATAAATAGGAGATAAGAGACAGATCCTCCTGATAAAGAATTCTAAATAATGTATGTAGATACTCCCCCTCCAGGAGGTGGAATTTAATCCTCCTTTTCTTGACTGTGGGCTGGAATGGACTTAGTAACTTACTCCTAAAGAACAGAGTATGGGCAGGGCGCAGTGGCTCACACCTGTAATCCCAGCACTTTGGGAGGCTGAGGCGGGCAGATCACTTGAGGCCAGGAGTTTGAGTCCAGCCTGGGTAACATGGCAAAACCCCGTTTCTACAAAAAATACAAATGTTATCTGGGCATGGTGCCGACCCCCTGTAGTCTCAGCTACTTGGGAGGCTAAGGTGGGAGGATCACCTGAGCCCGGGAAGTCCAGGCTTCAGTGAGCCAAGATTGCGCCACTGCACTCCAGCCTGGGTGACAGAGGAGACACTGTCTAAAACAAACAAACAAAACAGAATATGAAGATGAAAATTTGAAACTGCAGTGAGGAAACCTGGCAGACAACACCTGAACCAAGTGATCAGGATTAACATGCCATGTGGATGTCAGGTACCCCTTATGCGATGGGATGACAAGGGCACTTCACTTCTGTGTGTTCTTCCCAAAAGCCCCTAACACCAGTCTACTCATGAGAAAACATCAGACAAACCTAAAGTAAGGGACATCCTAAGAAATGCCTGACCAATGCTCCTCACAACTGTTAAGGTCATGAAAAACAGGAAAAGTCGAAACTGTCACAGACCAGAGGAAACTAAGGGATACACTGAGTAAATGCCACATGGGATCCGGGAACACCGGTGAAATCCAGCGGAAGTCTGGAGCTTAGCTGATAGGTTGTGTCATTAGTGGTTAATTCCCTGGTTCTGGTCATCGTACCATTGTTATGTAGGATTTTAGCATTAAGGGAGAGTGGGCAAGGGGGGGTACATGGAGCTTTCTGTACTATCTTGGCACCTACTCTATGCATCTAAAAATGTTCAAGTAAAACTTATTATGAGGAAAAGAACATGGAATTTACTGAAAGAATCAGATATGCCCAGCTGGGCATGGTGGCTCATGCCTGTAATCCCAGCACTTTGGGAGGCCGAGGTGGGCGGATCACTTGAGGTCAAGAGTTTGAGACCAGCCTGGCCAACATGACGAAACCCCATCGCTTCTGAAAATACAAAAATTAGCCAGGCATGGTGACACTTGTCTGTAGTCCCAGCTACTTAGGAGGCTGAGGCAGGAGAATCGCTTGATTCTCCTGAGATCGCGCCACTGCACTCCAGCCTGGGCAACAGAGTGAGACGCTGTCTCAAAAAAAGAAGAATCAGATATACTCAGACTGAGTTAAACTGGGTATATCTGAGTTATCAAAGCTTTTTAAAGGCTAATGAAGCAACAATATCCACAGATGAATATATTTTCCAAATGTTCTGAAATGAGCACTTAGCAATGACTCCTAAGGAAGTTATAAGAACTTGAATGTGGCACATCTTTCCTCTAAAGGCTGATGTTCTCTGTTAAGTCACCTGATTGTGGGTTATTCTGATTAAACTGTGGGAGATGAATGTGAACTAACAACACTGTAAAACAAATGCAGGATCTTGTGGCCACTCATCAAAACACAGCCGTCTGAGGGCTGCTGGCATTTCTCAACTTCCAGCATCACATTGGAATTCACAGATGGCAATTTCATGATGGGTTATTTAAGAAAAATTAAGATGTCTATATCACAGAGGAAAAGCTATATGGGCTGGGCACGGTGGCTCACGCCTGTAATCCCAGCACTTTGGGAGGCCGAGGTGGGTGGATCACCTGAGGTCAGGAGTTCGAGACCAGCCTGACCACCATGGAGAAACCCTGTCTCTACTAAAAATACAAAACTAGCCAGGCATGGTGGTGTATGCCTGTAATCCCAGCTACTTGGGAGGCTGAGGCAGGAGAACCACTTGAACCCTGGAGGTGGAGGTTGCGGTGAGCCGGGATCGTGCCACTGCACTCTAGCCTGGGCAACAAGAGCGAAACTTCATTTCAAAAAAAAAAAAAAAAAAAAGCTATATCCCCATTAATTGAAACCATTGCCAGAAACATAAAATCAACACTAGAATTCAATAAAATAAGGAACCCTTACTGTTTATCGGGCTTTCTATAATACTAGGTGTTGTCGGGGATGTAAAGACAAAAATCTCATCATTCTTGACTGTGGCAATTTACAATCTTGTTGGGACTCAAACAAGTAGGACCTACCGGTGGAACCTTAGTGTCATAGTACTTAACAGACCAGGACACCAGAATGAATGGTCCAAGGCAGAGCAGGACTCCTTATTCAACGGATGGGGTGGAGGACTGCAGTTGCTCTGGAGGTCTTCTCAGAAAAAGACAGATTTGAGCACAGCCCTGATGAATGGACAGATTCGAGTTGATGGAAAGGAGGCATGGTGTGTTTAAAACACTAAGGCAAGAGTGCCAGGGGCACTCCCCAGAGTCAGCAAGTACCTGGTTTTCCTGGAGGCAGGGCTCATGGGATGTGATGGGAGAAGCTGGAAACAGGGTCTGGGATTTCTGTGAAGGAGGCTGGGTGAAGGTTTGTGAATCTGGATTTCTCCGTCTAGTTAGTGTGGAGTCACCAAAGGCCCTGGGGAAAGGAGGAGTGATCAAAGCAGGTTTTTAGGAAGATGAAGCTCATTTTATCACAACAGATAGAGAGACTAGAGGAGAAACATTTGGGAGGCAGCAAGGCTCTACCCTGGTAAGGCACAGCACTCCTGTTGCCCAGGCTGGGAGTGCAGTAGTGCAATCTCGGCTCACTGAAGCCTGGATGTCCCATGCTCATGTGATCCTCCCTCCTCAGCCTCCCAAGTAGTTGGGACTGCAGGTGGTCGCCACCATGCCCAGCTAATTTTTGTATTTTTCATAGAAACAGGGTTTTGCCACATTACACAGGCTGGACTCAAACTCCTGGCTTCAAGTGATTTGCCCACCTCGGCCTCCCAAAGCGCTGGAATTATAGGCATGTGCCACTGTGCCCAGCCCTTGGGAGGCATTTTTTTTTTTTTTTGCGATGGAGTTTTACTCTTGTTGCCCAGGCTAGAGTGTAGTGGCACGATCCCGGCTCACTGCAAACTCCGGTCCCAGGTTTAAGCGATTCTCCTGCCTCAGCCTCCCAAGTAGCTGGGATTACGGGCATACACCACCATGCCGGGCTAGTTTTGTATTTTTAGTAGAGATGGGGTTTCTCCATATTGGTCAGGCTGGTCTCAAACTCCCGACCTCAGGTGATCCACGCACCTCGGCCTCCCAAAGTGCTGGGATTACAGGCGTGAGACACTGCATCCGGCGGGAGGCATTTCTGATGTTCATTTCTCTTTGCCTCTTACTTCACCATTTAGTTTGTAGCTAAATTCTACTACTTCCTTTTACATGCCAGCTGTATCTGCTCCGTGGGCCACTTTTCCCACTAGCTCTGGTGCCTTCCTGCCTGTCTTTCCAGCTGAGTTTCCTGCACGCATCTTAACCTGCCATTGCCTTCTCTGTCTTCATTATTTGATGTGTCTGGCCCCAGCCACACAGCTCCCACTTCTCTCTGGCCTCTAAGACCTTCTGAAGCGTTTAGAACAATGCCCCACATCTGAAAAGTGAACAGTGCTGGTTCTCACATTCGGGGAGGAGGCTCAGTTTTGCAGGCAGTTAGAACTGTGCAGTTCCCCCAGGACAGCAGCAGGCAAGGAGCAAGATCGGCCTCCTTGGCAACCTACTTTAAACCACCTGAGGAAAAGGCGTTTATTACTGTGAGGCTTAAAATAAAATAAGAGACAGAGTATTCTTTTTTTCCTTAATTACGCATTTTAAATATCAATATGTGCATTTGCTTTTACAGTTATAAACTTTCTCATGTTTCAGACAACAGCTTGTAATAGTTTTGAATCCATTAAGATGTTGCTTTCAATTTGAAATATTTTGTGTATACATGTATATAAAAAATAACCCAATGTATGACTCATCTGACAGATGTTTAAGATCAATAAAGGCTTATTTTTCAACATGCAGTTAGGAAGAGAGGGAAGCAAGCCAACCTCTCTACACTGTCGTTTTGCTGGCTTGTTTTGGCAGTGGAACCAATAGTGGTTTTTGGAGGGAACCATGTGCCTTCAGCCTATCTAGTTAAGATCAGATACCACAATCAACAAAGACAGAGTATTCTTTTTTTTTTCTTTTTTTTGAGACACGGTATTGTTTTTTGAGACAGGGTATCGCCCAGGCTGGAGGGTAGTGGCACGATCATAGCTCACTGTAGCCTCAGACTCTTGGGCTCAAGCGATCCTCCATCCTCAGCCTCCTAAAGTGCTGGGATTATAGGCGTGAGCCACTGTACCCGGCCTACAATATCTTAAGAATATAATATTAGTTTGTGAACAGGAGCTCCAGGACAGACAAAACAACAGCATGGGATTAAAGGAAAGCTGTGGACCTGAGGAAAGAAACTGAAGACCAAAGCTAGATTATTACAAGAGGAGTCAGTAATTAAAAACAGCAATGCTTAAATGGAAAGTAGAGAGGCAAAAGTAGAAGCAAGAGGAGGGCCAGGAGACTATTACACAGACTAAAGGTGGGGGTGAGTGGGTTGGAATGGCCGTGATTGGATGCTAGAAGGATCCGGCACTGACAAGAAAAGGGGAGGGACATTAGTGGGAAACTGGTAAAATCTGAATAAAGTCTTTAGTTAATAGTAATGTACTGATGTTAAATTCCTGGTTTCGATAACTACACCATTATACCATTACAAAAAACATGGCTGGGCAACCCCCTTTGGGTCCCGTCCCTTTGTATGGGAGCTCTGTTTTCACTCTATTAAATCTTGCAACTGCACTCTTCTGGTCTGTGTTTGTTACGGTTTGAGCTGAGCTTTCGCTCGCCGTCCACCACTGCTGTTTGCCGCCATCGGAGACCTGCCGCTGACTTCCATCCCTCCGGATCTGGCAGGGTGTTCACTGTGCTCCTGATCCAGAGAGGCACCCATTGCCATTCCTGATTGGGCTAAAGGCTTGCCATTGTTCCTGCAGGACTAAGTGCCCGGGTTCATCCTAATCGAGCTGAACACTAGTCGCTGGGTTCCACGATTCTCTTCCGTGACCCACGGCTTCTAATAGAGCTATAACACTCACCCATGGCCCAAGATTCCATTCCTTGGAATCCGTGAGGCCAAGAACCACAGGTCAGAGAACACGAGGCTTGCCACCATCTTGGAAGTGGCCCACCGCCATCTTGGGAGCTCTGTGAGCAAGGACCCCCGGTAACATTTATACAATGGAAATTTTCTACAGCAGTAAAATGGACTATGGATGCAAGTTCTGAACACATAACCATGGAAATATCTCAGAAACATATTGAGTGGCTACTCCCACTAGAACAACCACCCCTGTTGCCTCTGGAGACCAGAAGCAGCTGCCAGCTCTGGCACCTCCCATCATCAAGACAGACTGTGGCTTCCTTAGGGAGAGTGTATCTGACCGGCAGACCTGGCCATGCTGCAAGGCAGCCGGGGAAAGCAAATCTCTGTTACTTCCAAATTCTCTCATGGCAAGCAAGGTTTAGATTATGAGGTAGAAAATTTCCAAACTATAGAAAGGGGGATGAGAAAGGAGACAACTGAAAAGAATATCAAACATGACTATAGACCCCTACAAAAAGACAGGAGATATAGGAAGCAGGTGAGCCAGGAAAGTGGTTAATCTAAATAAGCTGTTCTTAATGTTTTAAAAGTAGTAACAATAGAGAATTGAATTCTCAGATAATATTTTATGGGAGATGAAGAAGAGATAGAGAATTAAAAACATTCTGCCCTTTGTCCAGTTTTGAAGATTAATATAGATAATGATTAACTCTAGGCATTGAAAGAAATATATATAAATATTCCATTAAAATGAAAAGATAATCCCTTTGGGGCAGTAATATTGGAATGGGAGGGAAGAAGGGTTTCAGGGGCACTGGTAATGTTCCTATGCTAGTTACATCAGTGTGTGAAAATTTATCAAACTGTACACTTATGATATGTATACTTTTCTTGTGTACATTATACTTAATAAAGTTTTTTAAACTTTAAAAAAAAAAAACAGGGATATGTAAGATGCTGATATTTACAGGACCTGAGTGAGAAGAATATGGAACCTCTCTTTTCTACGTTTCCAAGTTTTCTGTAAAGATAACATTAATTCAAAAGAAAAAGTTTTTTTTGTTGTTGTTTCTTTTTTTGTGAGACAGATTTTCGCTCTTGTTGCCCAGGCTGGAGTGCAATGGCGCGATCTCTGCTCACTGCAACCTCCACCTCCCAGGTACAAGCAATTCTCCTGTCTCAGCCTCCCAAGTAGCTCGGATTACAGGCACGCGCCACCATGCCCGGCTGTTTTTCTTTTGTATTTAGTACAGATGGGGTTTCACCAAGTTAGTCAGGCTGGTCATGAACTCCTGACCTCAGGTGACCCACCCACCTCGGCCTCTCCTGCGCCTGGCCAAGAAAATGTTTTTAAAAAGAAGAGCGATCAGGATGTGATGACGTCGCTGTAAGGTATGAGAGAGAGAGTCAAGATTGACTCAAAGGTTCTTTCCTGAACAATTGTGGTGTCAGGATATCCATTGGTTTTCATCCACAGTTACTGGCACATGACTCCCATAGCCCTTGCTACAGTCCTTTGTTATATTGTTGTGTTGGGCCTCATGGGCAGGCCCCTGACCTCCTCCTGGCTTTCTGATTGTGGGTCTTTTTTTTTTTTATTTTATTTTTAGATGGAGTCTCATTCTGTTGCCCAGGCTGGAGTGCAGTGGTGCGACCTTGGCTCACTGTAACTTCTTCGCATCCCGGGTTCAAGCGGTTCTCCTGCCTCAGCTTCCCAAGTAGCTGGGACTATAAGTGTGTGCCACCACGCCCAGCTAATTTTTGTATTTTTAGTAAATATGGTGTTTCATCATGTTGGCCAGGATGGTCTCGATCTCCTGACCTTGTGATCCGCCCACCTCGGCCTCCCAAAGTGCTGGGATTACAGGAGTGAGCCACCGCGCCCTGCCGTCGATTGCAGGTCTTAAGACTCTCCCATGAGAGGGTCTCACCCTATTCCCTGGGAGAAGGAATGCTGATATCATGAAGCTTTCATAAAACCCCAAGAGGACAGGGTTCAGTGAACTTCTGGGTAGGTGAACAGTGGAGGTTCCTGGAGGGTGGTGCCCAGGGAGGTATGGAAGCTCTGCCCCTTCCTCCAAACCTTGCCCTATGTGTCTCTTCACCTGTGTCCTTTACAATATCCATTATAATAAACCAGTGGGCCAGGCATGGTGGCTCACGCCTGTAATCCCAGCACTTTGGGAGGCCAAAGCAGGCAGATCACCTGCGGTCAGGAGTTCGAGACCAGCTTGGCCAACAGGACGAAACCCTGTCTCTACTAAAAATATAAAAATCTAGCCAGGTGTGGTGGCGCATGCCTGTAGTGCCAGCTTCTTGGGAGGCTGAGGCATGACAATCACTTGAACCTGGTAGGCGGAGGTTGCAGTGAGCTGGGATCGCACCACTGCACTCTAGCCTGGGCGACAGAGCAACACTCCGTCTCAAAAATAAATAAATAAAAATAAACCAGTGAACATAAGCGTTTCTCTGAGTTCTGTGAGCCACTCACAGGTAGCAAATTAATCGAAACCAAACAGGGGGTCAGGGGGTCATGGGAACCCCAACTTGAAGCTGATCTGTCAGAAGTTCTGCAGAGGCCCGGCCTTGCAACTGATGTATGTGAGGAGTCTTGGGGACTGAGTCCTCAACTTGTGGGATCTGACACTCTCTCCAGGTAGTGACAGAACTGAATTAGAGGATGCCCAGCTGGTGTCTGCTGCTCAGTGTGTGGAGAAAACCCCACACACATTTAGTCATAGGTCTTCTGTGTTGACTGTTGTGCGGTGTGAGAGTGGAGAGTTTTCTCTACACGACAATAAAATTGGAATGTCTGGAGGTAGGATGCAGGCACTGGTGTTTTTAATTTTTAAGTAGTCAAAGTGGAGAACTCCTAGTCTTCCCACTTCTCTCTGATGAAGAACCACTACATTAACTCATTTAAATTCGGTATGCTCAACTGGGCACGGTGCCTCATGCCTGCAATCTCAGTACTTTGGGGGGCCAAAGTGGGAGGATCATTTTAGCCCAGGAGTTCAAGACCAGCCTGGGCAACATAGACCCCATCTCTACAAAAAATTAGTAAGTTAGCCAGGTGTGGGGGTGCATCTGTAATGCAGCTATTTGGGAGGCTGAGGTGGGAGGATCACTTGAGCCCAGGAGATCAAGGCTGCAGTGAGCTGTGATCACACCACCACACTCCAGCCTGGGTAACAGACTGAGATCCTGTCTCAAGAAATAAAATAACAAATAAATTCAGTACACTCCTGTGCAATGGGTAATTTTTACATTTCTATTTTGCAAATGAAACTGAGATCACAGATGTTACATGACTGGGTGATCCACAGTCAAACAGCTAGTAAGTGGCATGATTCACATCTTCTGACTCCAAATTCATTCTCCAGCCAGTGAGTGGGAGCCCGTGCAGAGCATCAGGAGCACTGAAGAGAAGACATTCTTCACAATGGCAGCCCCCATGGCTCTGAGCACCCCTGGGAATCCAGGGTTATAAACTGGAGTCATCGGGGTCTTGGCTGCGCATCCCACAGGGACCACCTTTGCACGGTGTGTCCTGCCATTGTGCCCCACACTGGTTGGGACAGGTCATGGGCATAGCAAAAGGTATCTGGGCACATTCAGCAGGTCAGAGAAACCTCCCAGCCTAGAACACACTATGAGCGTCTCTGAACCACTCCCTGTGTTTGCCTTTTGCTCTGCATGGGGTTTAGCACTTGCAGGCACTTGGAAATTTCACTCGCCCTTGGAAACTCCGTTCCCCCATAGCCTGTCTTTCATCCTGCTTCCTTCTCACCCCATTTTGCCTCTGATCCTCACATCCTCTAAAGTGGAGTTCCTACAAAGTATATGCACCTTTCTCATGCTACAGTGTACTGTAGCTCATTTTGTAATTCTGATATAACTCTCTGACATTTTTGTATATTTATGTTTTTATTTTTATTTTTTGGAGACAGAGTCTTGCTCTGTCGCCCAAGCTGGAGTCTAGTGGCAAGATCTCAGCTCACTGCAACCTCCGACTCCTGGGTTCATGCAATTCTTGTGCCTCAGCCTCACGAGTAGCTGGGACTACAGGCGCGCGTTAACCACAACTGGCTAATTTTTTTGTGTTTCAGTAGACACTGGGTTTCACCATGTTGGCCACGCTGGTCTCGAACTCCTGTCCTCAGGCAATCTGCCCACAGTGGCCTCCCAAACTACTGGGATTACAGGCATGAGTCACCGTGCCTGGCTGTATTTACTTTTTTTTTTCTTTTTTTGAAATGGAGTCTCACTCTGTCGCCCAAGCTGGAGTGCAGTGGCTTGATAACCACAACCTCCGCCTCCCAGATTCAAGCGATTCTCCTGTCTCAGCCTCCTGAGTAGCTGGGATTACAGGCATATGCCATCACGCCCGGCTAATTTTGTATTTTTAGTAGAGACGGGGTTTCTCCATGTTGGTCAGGCTGGTCTTGAACTCCCGACCTCAGGTGATCCGCCTGCCTCAGCCCCCCAAAGTGCTGGGATGACAGGCATGAGCCACTATGCCCGGCCGGGTATTTACGTTTTTAAATTGTTTTCTGTGTAAACTCTATAAGGGCCAGGGATTTTTTGCACCGCTGTTGGCAGCCCCTAGGACAATGCCTGGCCCTAGTAGGTGTTCGATAAATATATACAGGTTGAATATCCCTTAACCGAGATGCTTGGCACCAGAAGCATTTAGGATTTCAGATTTTGGAATATTTGCATTATACCAATTGAACACCCCTAATCTGAAAATCCAAAATTAGAAATGCTCCAATGAGGCCAGGTGCGGTGGCTCATGCCAGTAATCCCAGCACTATGGGAGGCCAAGGTGGGAGGATCACTTGAGGCCAGAAATTCCAGACCAGCCTGGGCAACATGGTGAAGCCTCCTCTCTTAAAAAAATACAGGCCGGGCGCGGTGGCTCACGCCTGTAATCCCAGCACTTTGGGAGGCCGAGGCGGTGGATCCATCCCTTGAGCCTAGGAGTTCGAGACCAGCCTGGGCAACACAGTGAGACTCTGTGCTAAAAATACAAAAATTAGCGGACATGGTGGCAGATGCCTGCAGTCCCAGCTACTGGGGGTTGGGACGCTGAGGCGGGAGGATCGCCATAGCCGGGAAAGTCGAGGCTGTAGTGAGCCATGACCGCGCCACTGCATCCCAGGCTGGGCAGCAGAAGTGACAGCCTTTCTCAAAAGAAAAGAAAGTTAAAAGAAGAAAAAAGAAGTGCTCCAATGTGCATTTCCTTTGAGCATCAGGTCAGCGCTCAAAAACTTTCAGATTTTGAAGCATTTCGGATTTCAGATGTTTGGATTAGGGATGCTCAACCCGTATTGATTTAATATGCGGTGGAAACGTGACGACCTAGGTTTTAAGTCGCGGTTTCCTCAGTGGTGGGTTTGGGGTATTACCCCTGCCTGGCCGGCCTCCGGGCTTGTTTCCAGAAGATGCTACCCCGAGAGCTGCGAACCGCCAAGCTCCGCAGCGCGCAGGGCTCCGACAGGGACCAGCGAGGTCAGCTCCAAGGGTCACCCCAGGCTCCAAACTGGCCAGAGCCGCCCTGAGATTTGCGGAGGCCGCCTTGCCCCCACCCCGCCCCGCAATCCCGGACCCGACCCGCCCCCTCTCCCGTTCGCTCGCCCCGCCCCCTGTTCGCCCACTGCGCCGGGACACCGAGGGGGCGGTGCCTCGAGGCCGGGAGGAGTGTTGCGTCGCGGCCTCCAGACACAAAGAGCGGCCGGCGGTACGGGGGTGGTGCCGCGCTCCTGGCCCCGCGCGGGCGGACGGCGGAGGCGCCTCCCAGGTGAGCCGGCCCGGGCGTCCGGCGGGACATTCAGGCGGCTGGTGGGGTCGAGAGTCCGGGGCCGCCCCTGCGTCGCGACCCGCGCCTTAGTCACCAGACCCGGCTCCGGGAGCGCGGCCTCGGGTGCTCCTCGCGGTGCGGGGCGCAGACTCGGCGCATCTGCTGTGGTGCCTGCTCTTCCGGTCGCCCTCGAGGGCGGGGCGGGGGTCACGCCCTAAAATACAGCGCCCGCTGGGCCGAACGCTTGAAAACCCGGTTTCCCGACGGCGGCGGCGCGGGCGCCGTGCGAACGAGGGCCCGGGTCCAGCACAGCCCCAAGGCTCGGCCTGAGGCGGGCGGCCTTGGCCGGGGCCCCCCGTGGTAATGAGCTACGCGGTGCCCGCCGCCTGCCCAGCGCGGGCCGTTTCTCCTGACGCCGCCGGCGTCTGGTCGAGGCCCAGGATTCCCTCCTGCCAGTGTGGCTGCGGCCCCCCACGGAGCGGGACCCGCGTTCGTGGCGCTTGGGACGGTTGATTGAAAGGGTGTAGAAGTCTGTTGCGAATTTTATCTGTTGTACTCGTTTTGCAGATTCGCCCCTTTCCTCCCGCCTGTGCGCGCAGTCACACACACCATGTGGGAGTCTCTGATCGCGTTGGGTTCATAATCATCGATCGTGCCTGGGTACTGATGCCCCATTGTTAGGAGCTCTGTGTGGGGCTGTATGTTTGCACAGGACTCACGTGAGGAAGGGTGGCCACGTTTCTTTCTGCTCTGTGAGACTTAGGCCAAGCCCTGGAACTAGGGAGGAGGTTCAGGAAGAGACCCATGAAGCTGGCGGGGCCTTGGAGAAGGGCAAGTGATTTTCAAGGTCAGTAGTAAGAGGGGTCATGAGTAATGGTAAGTTTCTTAGCGGCCTTTGCTGTGACTTCTAGGTTTTTCACACTGGACTTAAAATACTTTTAAAAGCAGAGTTTTTGTTCTTCTTGTTGTTGTTCTTGTTGTTGTTGCTGTTTTTGAAACGAAGTTTCACTCTTGTTGCCCAGGCTGGAGTGCAATGGCGCCATCTCGGCTCACTGCAACCTCTGCCTCCCGGATTCAAGCGATTCTCCTGCCTCAGCCTCCCGAGTAGCTGGGATTACACGCCCAGCTAATTTTTTGTGTTTTTAGTGGAGATGGGGGTTTCACCATGTTGGCCAGGCTGGTCTCGAACTTCTGACCTTCAGGTGATCCAGCTGCCTCGGCCTCCCAAAGTTCTGGGATTACAGGCGTGAGCCACTGCACCCGGCCAAGTTTTTGTTTTGTTTTGTTTTTGTTTTTTAATTTTATTTTACTTTAAGTTCTGGGATACATGTGCAGAACGTTCTGGTTTGTTACATGGGTATACATGTGCCATGATGGTTTGCTGCACCTATCAACCCGTCATCTAGATTTTAAGCCCCACATACATTAGGTATTTGTCCTAATGCTCTCCCTCCTCTTGCCCCCCACCCGCCCCGACAGGTCCCGATGTGTGAGGTGTGTGATGTTCCCCTCCCTGTGTCCATGTGTTCTCATTGTCAACTCCCACTTATGAGTGAGAACATGCGGTGTTTGGTTTTCTGTTCTTGTGTTAGTTTGCTGAGAATGATGGCTTCCCACTTTATGCATGTCCCTGCAAAGGACATGAACTCATTCTTTTTTATGGCTACGTAGTATTCCATGGTGTATCTGTACCACATTTTCTTTATTCAGTCTATCCGTGATGGGCATTTGGGTTGGTTCCAAGTCTTTGCTATTGTAAATAGTGCTGCAATAAACATACACGTTTATGTGTCTTTATAGTAGAATGATTTATAGTCCTTTGGGTATATACCCAGTAATGGGATCACCGGGTCAAATGTTATTTCTGGTTCTAGATCCTTGAGGAATCGCCACACTGTCTTCCACAATGGTTGAACTAATTTACACTCCCACCAACAGTGTAAAAGCGTTCCTATTCCTCCACAGCCTCTCCAGCATCTGTTGTTTCCTTGCTTTTTAATAATTACCATTCTAACTGATGTGAGATGGTATCTCATTGTGGTTTTGATTTGCATTTCTCTAATGACCAGTGATGATGAGCTTTTTTTTTAATATATGTTGTTGGCTGCATAAATGTCTTCTTTTGAGAAGTGTCTGTTCATTTCCTTTGGCCACTTTTTGATGGGGTTGTTTTTTTCTTGTAAATTTGTTTAAGTTCCTTCTATATTCTGGATATTAGACCTTTGTCAGAAGGGTAGATTGCAAAAATTTTACCCCGTTCTGTAGGTTGCCTGTTCACTCTGAAGAGTTTCTTTTGCTGTGGAGAAGCTCTTAGGTTAGATCCCATTTGTCAGTTTTGGCTTTTGTTGCCATTGCTTTTGGTGTTTAGTCATGAAGACTTTGCCCATGCCTATGTCCTGAATAGTATTGCCTAGGTTTTCTTTTAGGTTTTTTATGGTTTTGGGTTTTACATTTAAGTCTTTAATCCATCTTGAGTTAATTTTTGCATAAGGTGTAAGGAAGGAGTCCAGTTTCTGTTTACTGCATATGGCTAGCCAGTTTTCCCAGCACAATTTATTAAATAGGAAATCCTTTCCCCATTGCTTGTTTTTGTCAGGTTTGTCGAAGATCAGATAGTTGTAGAAAGCAGAGTTTGTTTTTTTTTTAAGTAGTTAAAACTCATCTGTTAAACAGAACACTGAATCAGCAGCCTAGCAGTTTTATGAACTGTGTGCAAGAATGCTTGTATATTAAAAGGAAAATGTTCAGGTGTTAGAGAAGCAGTCTACTTTCATGCTTGTCCCTTTTGTTTGACTTATACATCATCCATTAGTGGTTTAAATGATGACAGATTGAATTGATCTGTATTGGCAAATAAAAGTGGGATGTGTGTTTATGTAAAGTTCAGGTGCAATAAAAATTAGAGGATAACTCTTTTTTGTAGAATGAGAAAATAGCAAGCCTTCTCCAAGGAACTTGGACTTCAGATTTTTTCTTTTTAATGTAGAGCCGGGAGTCTTGCCCAGGGTGGTCTCCAACTCCTGGGCTGAAGTGATCCACCTGCCTCAGCCTCCCAAAATGCTGGGATTACAGGTATGAGCCACCACACCTGACCTCAGATAACATTTAACTCCATCAAATTGGAAAGAAAGCACTTTATAGAGGAATAGTTAGGACTTAAGCAAAAAGTTTTGTTTTTTGTTTGTTTGTTTGTTTGTTTTTGATATGGAGTCTCGCTCTGTCGCCAGGCTGGAGTGCAGTGGCGCGATCTCGGCTCACTGCTACCTCCACCTCCCAGGTTCAAGTGATTCCCCTGCCTCAGCCTCCTGAGTAGCTGGGATTATAGGAGTACACCACCATGCCCAGCTAATTTTTTTATTTTAGTAGAGACGGGGTTTCACCATGTTGGCCAGGATGGTCTCCATCTCCTGACCTCGTGATCCACCCCGCTCGGCCTCCCAAGGTGCTGGGATTACAGGCGTGAGCCACCACGCCTGGCCGGACTTGAGCAAAATTTAATTGAGCAGTTTATATTAACTTCAATGGAAACTTTTTCGCTAACTCATACTTATCCCATATGTTGTGATTTATAGGACTGCTCTAAGGTGGGTGAATTGATATGGTCATTTGCTAAGAGCATGTTGTAAGTCTTTTAATGTTTGGGTATCCTTTGAACATTTGGTGATGGAAAATAGAATAACAAGAATGGCAAAGTTCCAACAGTGTCTGTAGCTTCCCCTTTTACAGTGAGTTCAAGTTCCTTGGAGAAGGCTTGCTATTTTCTCATTCTACAAAAAAGAGTTATCCGCTAATTTTTATTGCACCTGAACTTTACATAAACACACATATCCCACTTTTATTTGCCAATACAGATCAATTCAATCTGTCATCATTTAAACCACTAATGACTCTTTTTAAGTTTTTTAGAAGATGGCACATGTGGCATTTGAGACTTAGAGCATGTGAGCGGGGCTCTGTGAGCACATTCTTTCTATGGTGGACATTTACCTTTGGATTTTTTTTTTTTTTAAACTGAGAAGGAGTCTCGCTCTGTCACCCAGGTTGGAGTGCAGTGGCACAATCTTGGCTCACTGCAATCTCTGCCTCCCGGGTTCAAGCGATTCTCTTGTCTCAGCTTCCTGAGTAGCTGGGATTATATGTGCCTGACCACGCTCAGCTAATTTTTGTATTTTTAGTAGAGACAGAGTTTCGCCATGTTGGCCAGGCTGGTCTCAAACTCCTGACCTCAAATGATCCACCTGCCTTGGCTTCCCAAAGCGATGATGGGATTGCGGGCGTGAGCCACTGCACCCAGCCTACTTTTGGATCTTGCCATGAGCAGGTAGCTACTAGATAGCTTTCCTCTTTCCTGGCACAAGACAGATTTGGAAGCAGGAAGCAAAAACAGGAGCAGTGTCTTGGCCTCACACCTGAACTGGCATGGCTTCCTAGCTGCAGGTAATAGCGTCCTCTGCCCTGGAAGGCATTTCCAGCGCTGTGGCCACTTTGCTGTTCCATTCCTTGGTTATTGTGTAAGTAGTTAAGCCGCGGTGGCTGTAACTGGAATCTAGGTTTGAGTTTAGCTTAGTCCTTGGCTTCAAGTGCAGATTAGGAATTCAGGCCCAAGGCCAAGACATTTGGTTACTCACAAGCTGAGGCCAAAAGTTTGGGTCATACTCTACCTGGAGCTATTTGGAGGCAGGCTTTCCTTCTCCCACCTTGGGGCAACTTTGAGCCTCCTGGATTCTGATTATTGTTGTTTGTGAATGGACAGACAATTTTCTGGGACAGAGGAGTCTTTTAGAGCATGGCTTGTATTTTCATCCTTTTTTGACCTAGGTTCAAGCATGCATCTGGCGCTGCCTGGTTGTACTTCCCTTTCTGAACCCGATTGTCTTTCCTTGGACTTCAGAAAGATAATGGAGCCTTCCATCATCCTCCAAGCGAGGTGACCCGTTTCCCTCAAGACTGCTGTATAGTCTCCCTGGAGTCGAAGTCATTTGTTAGTTTCTGAAACAGGAGAGCTCTCTAGGTACCTCTGAAGCAATCAAGTTTGAGAACCTCTAGGATATACCAATTTTTGTGCATTGATTGTTACTTTGTATCTCATAAGGGGCAATCATTACATTTTTTTTTTTTTTTTAGGTGGAGTCTCACTCTGTTGCCCAGGCTGGAGTGCCATGGCGCAATCTTGGCTCACGGCAACCTCTGCCTGCTGGGTTCAAGCAATTCTCCTGTCTTAGCCTCCTGAGTAGCTGGGATTATAGGTGTCCACCTCCACGCCCAACTAATTTTTGTATTTTTTAGTAGAGACGGGGTTTCACCACGTTGTCTACGCTGGTCTCGAACTCCTGACCTCAGGTGATCCACCCGCCTCGGCCTCCCAAAGTGCTGGGATTACAGGCTTGAGCCACCATGCCCAGCCCACACATCTTCTTATAACCTTATTTTTGGATCTGCTTTGTTGAGTAAAGTAACAATTTTGGTTTGTTGGAGTTTCTAAGAGTGGTCAGAGACCTGAGGGGCAATCACTCTTCAAAATCTCTCAGTTTTTAAGCCTCTGGTAAAGAATTTTACATTTGTAGAGTATATCAGTTAGGATATTTTAGCCACTAGTGTTGGAAAACCCAACTCAGTCTGGCTTAAATAAACAGGGAGTTCACCGAAGACCTCAGGATGGGCTGCTCCATTGTTGAAGTGGCCCTGAGGGACGCAGGTGGCTTCTCTTCTGCACACAGCCTCTCACATCCATGGAGAGAGGGAGCTTGGCTTCTGTGGCTTCTGTGCCTCTCTGAAGAATGAGGAGTGACAGCTGGTGCCCCCAGCCAGGGTAGTGGAGTCCTGGGCCATTTGAACCAGTCACCAGGAGGCCTCCCCCGGCTGTCTCCAGAGGCAGGGTGGCGTGGGGGTGTGGGGACAGGAAGGACAGGCTTTTGGGTGCCTGGTCCGTGGGGGCTGTGTGAGCCTCACCATAAGGTAGCGTGTCACCTGTGCCCAGTCCCCGTGCATGACTTGTGCACTGGTTGTGGCTGCCAGAAATGGAGCTCAGGTCTCCTGGTGTTTTGTTTTTAAATTTTGAATGAGCATTCAGTAGGTGCCAGGCACTGTTCTCAGTGTTTTTGTTAAATTCTTTCACGGAGTACTCATAGCAGGAGGCTGAGCCGGGGTGTACTGTTGCCCCCATCTCACACACAGAGAGTGCGAGGGTCAGAGAGGATAATAACATACTCAGGGTCACATGGAGGTCAGGGGTGCTCCGGTCTGGAGAGGCTCTGCAAATTCCATGTCCCCTGCTGTGCCTCCCAACACAGTGGGGTTTCCAACATCCCTTACTGCCTCCGAGGGACTATATCATTTCTTTACCTTAACAAGAAGATGAGGTATTTTCAGTGCTAGAGAAAAGCTGTGACTTATGTGATCCTGTCTACACATGCTGGTTGAGAAGCAGTATGAGGACTGTTAGCTCAAAGTCCCATTTTTATTTTATTTATTTATGTTTTAGAGACAGGGTTTCACTGTGTTGCCTGGCTTGACTTGAACTCCTGGGTTCAAGCATTCTCCCACCTCAGCCTCCCAAGTAGCTGGGACTACAGGCATGTGCATGACTCCATTTAATTTAATTTAATTTAATTTTGCTTGAGCTTTACTGCTTGATCAAATTCCTTTTTTTTTTTTTTTTTTTGGAGATGGAGTCTCGCTCTGTCACCCAGGCTAGAGTGGTAGTGGGCGATCTCCGCTCACTGCAAGCTCCACCTCCCAGGTTCACGCCATTCTCCTGCCTCAGCCTCCTGAGTAGCTGGGACTACATGCGCCCGCCACCATGCCCGGCTAATTTTTTCTATTTTTAGTAGAGACGGGGTTTCACCGTGTTAGCCAGGATGGTCTCGGTCTCCTGACCTCATGATCCACCTGCCTCAGCCTCCCAAAGTGCTGGGATTACAGGTATGAACCACTGCGCCCAGCTAATCAAATTCCATTTTTAAGCAAGAGTATTAAGGACTTAATGAATTGTGCTTTGCTTTTTGTGGCTTTGTGTGCGTGTGTGCGCCCATGGAAATAACATTTCAGGGCCGGGCGAGGTGGCTTATACCTGTAATCGCAGCACTTTGGGAGATTGAGGCGGGCAGATCACTTGAGGTCAGGAATTTGAGACCAGCCTGACCAACATGGTGAATCCCCGTCTCTACCAAAAATAGAAAAATTAGCCAGGTGTGGTGGGGCACACCTGTAATCCCAGCTACGCCAGAGGCTGACATGGAAGAATCGCTTGATCCTGGGAGGCGGAGGTTGCAGTGAGCCAAGATTGCGCTACTGCACTCCATGGGCGCCAGAGTGAGATTCCGTCTAAAAAAAAAAAAAATCACGCCTGTAATCCCAGCACTTTGGGAGGCCGAGGCAGGCAGATCACCTGAGGTTGAGAGTTCAAGACCAGCCTGACCAACGTGGAAAAACCCCATCTCTACTAAAAATACAAAATTAGCCAGGTGTGGTGGTACATGCCTGTAATCCCAGCTACTCCATAGGCTGAGGCAGGAGAATCTCTTGAACCTGCGAGGTGGAGATTGCAGTGAGCCGAGATCGCGCCATTGCATTCCAGCCTGGGCAACGAGAGTGAAACTCCATCTCAAAAAAAAAAAAAAGAAAAGAAAAGAAAATATTTCAGAAAAATGAGTCTGTTCCTGGGACTAGGACAGTAGTAAGCCCCGAGCTTCTGCTGGCCCCACACAAAGAGGGGTGGTGGGCTCCCCCGCCAGGATGGACCTCACAGGAGCTCTATTCACAAAGAGGACCTCCAGGTTCCCCTTAGAGTCATGGGTGGTGTCAGACCCTAAACATGAGAACCAGCATCAGTCAATATAGTGCAATATTCACTAACTTGGAGTTTTCGTTTCAAGGGCATAGGAATGTAGTAAACAGCTATTAATTATTTAAAAATCAACAGGGAGAGTCTGCTCGGTGCAGATTTTGAGTAGGTTGTCCCAACCCCAGGGAGAGCTCCTTGTATCTGGAAGGCCTCTGCCTGTCCTGTACTCAAGTGACCTGAGGAGGGATGTGCTGGACTGTCCGGCCACGTGGCCTTGGGACTTCCAGCCATGCTCGGGAGGAGGACAAAACCAGGCAGGCAGAAGTGGGTAGCGTGCCAGGTCTCCAACACAGGAGAGGCGGCAGGGCCTTGAACAGACTTGGGGACGCGTGTCTCCATGTGGACCAGTGAGTAAAACTGAGTACCCACGGTCCTGGGATGACCAGCAGGGACTCCAGAGGGCGGGCTGCAGCCCGGCCAGTTAGCTCCCTGCTTCAGGCAACGTTGTCACTGCTCTCCAAGGCCCCAAATGAAGGTAAGTGACAGGCTGAGATTTTCCCCAACTCTGGGTAGGGACAGAAACGTGGATGCCCAATTTCGGAACCCCACAATCTACATTAATGGCCTGTACTGATTTCTGGTACGGTTCCTCAGGAAACTGTGTCAAGCAGGATGTTTGCAGGGGCAGGTCTGAAGTGGACACAGTCCACAGCCTGCATAGTTCAAGACCAGCCAGGCCTTGCTCTGTGGCAAAAGTTTTAAACTGTACTTGATAGTGTACACTGTTGCACAGCTTTAAAGCGAAGCAATTCTTGATACATTTTAAATTCTTACTGAATTTTTATTATTTCCAACTGTGCACATAAAGTAAGACTCTTATCATTGTAGACTTTCACCACTTAAAATTCTCAGGCTGGCACGGTGGCACATGCATGTAATCCCAGAACTTTGGGAGGCTGAGGTGAGAGGATCTCTTGAGTTCAGGAGTTCGAGACCAACCTGGGCAATGTACTGAAACCCCATCTCTACCAAAAAAAAATGAAAAATTAGCTAGGCACAGTGGCATGTGCCTGTGGTTCAAGCTACTTGAGAAGCTGAGGTAGGAGGATCACTTGAGCACGGGAAGTGGAGGCTACAGTGAGTGGGGATGCACCACCGCACTCCAGCCTGGGTAACAGAGCAAGATCTTGTCTCAAAAAAGTAAAATAAAATAAAAATGAATAAACTTCTCATAATTCAAACTCACATAAAGGTGACTACCCTGCTGCAGTCACCATGCTAACCAAGCGATTGCAGTTACTGTCACCAGTTATGAGACATCTGTGCCCCCCATGAGATGTGCCAAGGACACACCTGACCCAGGTGTTCCTGCCACCCTTGAATCTAATTGTGCAGACACCAGACAGACTCTGGGACATTCTACATAACGCCCTGCCTGTGTCTACTCCAAAGACTTCAAAGTTCAGAAACAGAGACTGAGAAAATGGTCTGGTTTAAAGGGACAGGAAAACCGTGTACAGTGCTTGTCTCTGAATTGGAAACTGGACTGGGGTGAAAAAGATAGCTGTAAAGGACATTGTTGGCACCATGGACAGAATTTGATCTGAATGGTGGATTGTATAAATGTCAAATTTCCCTAGTTTGTTGTACTGTGACTGTCTCCTTGAGCTTAGTGAATACATTTTGAACTATTTAGGGATACAGGGGCACAAAGTCTGATACCCGATTTCAAATGGAGAAGGAGAGGAGCAGGGGTAGATAGATGATATGGAGGGAGGGAGGAAGTGAGGGAGAGAAAATGACAAAATGGTTGTGGTAAAGGGGAAAAGTGGAAACAGGTGGTGAAGCCAGCCGAGTGAGGGAGTATTGGAGAATTTTTTGTACTATTCTTACAAGTTTTTTTTTTTGTTGTTTTGTGTTTTTTTTGAGACTGAGTACTTGCTCTGTCGCCCAGGCTGGATGGCGCGATCTCGGCTCACTGCAACCTTTGCCTCCTGGGTTCCAACAATTCTCCTGCCTCAGCCTCCTGAGTAACTGGGATTACAGGCCCACGCCACCATGCCCAGCTAATTTTTTACTTTTTAGTAGAGACGGGGTTTCACCATGTTGGCCGAGCTGGTCTCGAATTCCTGACCTCATGATCCATCCACCTTGCCCTCCCAAAGTGCTGGGATTACAGGCGCAAGCCACCACACCTGGCCTATTCTTTTTTTTTTTTTTTTTTTGAGACGGAGTCTCGCTCTGTTGCCCAGGCTGGAGTGTAGTGGCGCAATCTCGGCTCACTGCAAGCTCCGCCTTCTGGGTTCATGCCATTCTCCTGCCTCAACCTCTGGAGTAGCTGGGACTACAGGCGCCTGCCACCACGCCCAGCTAATTTTTGTATTTTTAGTAGAGACGGGGTTTCACCATGTTAGCCAGGATGGTCTCGATCTCCTGACCTCATGATCCGCCCGCCTCGGCCTCCCAAAGTGCTGGGATTACAGGTGTGAGCCACCGCACCTGGCCTATTCTTTTAAATTTTCTATACATTTGAAAGTTTTTCAGAATAACAAGTTAAAAAGCTAGTCCTATATTCACTGCCATCTAAAGACCTCCAACCAATAAAAAGTTTACTATATTTCATCTATTCTAAGATAAACCTTTTTTTTTCTTTGCTTGATAGTATTTTTGACTTGGGGGTACATTTAAAAACTGATGCCATCTTAGCACTGGGTCACATTTTGACAGCAGTTTTTCGTCATCATTTGTCTTAGAATTAGTGGCATCTCAAATTTGATGAAATACTGTATTTTTCTCTGGCTCTGTTATGTGAGGAGGTGGGAAAAAAGAAGACTCCTAGGAGCTTTGCATGTGACATTTTTTCAGCCCCTCATGCCCACATCTACACTCAAGGATTCCACCCCCATACCATGTAGCTACATTAAACTCAACATATTCCAGACTGGATTTCTGTCTGCACCTCTATCTACCATGCCAATCTGTGCTTCCTCTGTTTCCTCCCTCAAGGAACAGAAACCTGATATTTAGCCACCGATGGCCCCAGAAGGTCCAACAGGAGGAGCTCCAGGACCTGTCTAGGAGGGGAGATGTGGACACTTCCTGTAAAGTGGGGCATGCATGAGGAGGAGGTGGCCTGGATCCTTCCCTTTCTGGGTAAAGGGTGGAAGCGGTGTGGATTCTTTACTTCGTGTGTTCTGATAGCCATGTGTCACTGTGTACTTGTTCTTTGGGTCTTCACATCTCCTCCTGTTGCATTTTAAAGCATTTCAATGGCATTTTTATGCCTAATAAAGCATTCTCCTAGAAAAAAAAAAAAGACGGTGGTGGGCACAAGGCCCTTGCCCAGCCATGCCATGGCACAGACACTAGCTTTGTTTCTTGAAATGACTTTGGGATCCAGATGTCTGTGCTTCATTTTCTCCATTGTCAAGTGAGAATAGTTTTCCTGAGTCAGTTGAGATAATGGACAAGGGAATTTAAGGTGCCATAAAGCTCTAAAATTCTGTGATTTAAAATAGGGGACTTTTGAAACAGTCATTTATACTAGAATCATTCAAATAACAGATACACTTTAGGCAAACAGCTCTGAGCGCAGACGTCAGTGAAGGGCAGGGGTGTGGCTGGTTTCTCTGCTTCCTGACTCCCCACACTCCTTCCCAGGTTTCTTTCCCTTATTGGTTCCTGTTTCTGGGTGATTTTTACACTGGATGCTTGCAGGGAATTCATTCCTGACCACCAGGAACAGGTGTGCTGTATGGAACAGGCTATGGCCTGATGCTCCAGGCTCTTGTCTGCTCCAGGGTCCCTAGTCACCGCCATGTTGGAAACTTTTCAGGTCTCCTCAGACCTTGAACTCTATGTGTGTCAGACTTAGAAATGGTTCCATGCAAAGTCTTTTTAGTTGACTCAGGGGAAACTGCATCAGCCCAGGATTGTAACATTTTATTTTAGTTTATTTTGTTTGGCATGGACTTCAAGTAGTTGCAATAGCAAAATATGGTAATTTTCCCATCAATGGGCTCCTCAGATTGCTGTGTTTTATCTACATTTAGGTTGACAGGCAATTCTGAATCCTCTTTTAGGGCCTTTGAATTGTTGGTGTTGACACTGACCTTCACAGCAGGCTCATTCTTTAGAAATAGAAACCCCAAATGTTCAGGCCTCTGTCAGAGTCTGTGCACTTTAGGATACGTGTAGAGAGCGTAGAAGAGCATCAGTGTTGTGTGTTATGCCTCTAGGCTCCTAATCGCATGGCTGGAATTTCAGATATGAAAGTTGGAATAATCATGAGAAAAGGGGTAGACTGTTCTTAGGATTTTTCAGCATAGATTTTATAGGCTATGTTATTTTATTCTTTAATTTTTTTTTTTTTTTGAGATGGAGTTTTGCTCTTGGCGCCCAGGCTGGAGTGCAGTGGTGTGATCTCGGCTCACTGCAGCCTCCGCCTCCCAGGTTCAAGCAATTCTCCTGCCTCAGCCTCCCGAGTAGCTGGCACTACAGGCATGTGCCACCATGCCCAGCTAATTTTTGTATTTTTAGTAGAGACAGGGTTTCACCATGTTGGCCAGGCTGGTCTGGAACTTCAGACCTCAGGTGATCCGCCCGCCTCGGCCTCCCAAAGTGCTGAGATTACAGGTGTGAGCCACCACGCCTGGCCTATTCTTTTATTTCTTTATAGTCAACATGAAACTAGAAAGGTTACACCCAGGTTCTGGGGAAGAGAAAGTGTCTCAGTTTTATAACAGATGGATAGAATGGACCGGGACGTGGAATGTTTGGTTGAAGTATTGCTTTTTTGTTCTGGGGAGGAAGCAAGTTAATATTCTTTCCTTATAATTCAGTTTACTAATACAGATTCTTACATGACACTAGGGCTTTTCAGGTTGATTTAGAGCTGGAAGAGACATTTTCCGTGTATTTTGGATATCAAATTCCTGTACTTATTTCATGGAAAAACTTTTAGAAAACTATCAAAACTACCTTATATGCTTGTGTGCTGTTAGTAGGTATGGGGCAGTATGTAAAGGTTTGTGTTCCAACTCTGGCGTTATCACTCACTGTGAGTTCACTTAGCAGATCTGTGACCTTGGGCAAATTGCTTAGCCTCTTCTGTGGCTCAATTTCCTCACCTGTAAAATGGGTAATAATAGTGCCTTCTTCAGAAGGATAAATTCCAAAGTGCCTAGGAATGTGTCCAGTACATGATGAGCACTCAAGAAATACAAGTTTTATATCACCAAAAGATAATTACAAAAGCAAGCACCGTAGTGAGGGGTCAGTGGTAGAGACACCTCTCCAGTGGCTCTGACAGCTCAGAGAGTGGGCCCCAGCACTGCACTCCCAGGGAGGGAGTGTTAAGAAAATCTCCTGGGGCCGTTTTTTTTCCCCTCAACCTTTAAGGTCACTTGACTGAAACAAAAATAAATTGCAACAATTGTCTCATTAAAAAAAAAAAACTACTCAGAATGGCAAAATGTGCAAACACTTCAAAAAAGTATAAACTTAGGCAACTTAAAGGAACAGACTGTATTACTAAGATGCTGTGGTGACCCTGCAGGGTCTGTCCTCATGTCCTCCTGTGTCTGCACATGCGTTCTGCAGAGTTGAAAGCTGTGTGTGCTAGGCTTCTGCTGAGTTCTCTTGGTTAGTGTTTTTATAGACAGGTGTCTGCATGTTGACACAGTACATGGCCTGTTAGCTTCAGTGCTGTTGAAAATATATACCGTGATGTGTTTCCCTTTTGTTAGGATTTTGATTTTTTGCTGAGCTAAAGCAACCTTTTTTTTTTTTTTTTTTTTTTTTTTCAGACAGAGTCTCACTCTCTTGACCAGGCTGGAGTGCAGTGGTGTGATCTTGGTTCACTGCAACCTTTGCCTCCCAGGATTCAAGCAATTCTCCTGCCTCAGCCTCCTGAGTAACTGGGATTACAGGCGTGTGCCACTATGCCCAGCTAATTTTGTATTTTTAGTAGAGACAGAGTTTCACCATGCTGGCCACACTGGTCTGAAATTCCTGACTTCAAGTGATCCACCTGCCTCAGCCTCCCAAAGTACTGGGATTCCAGGTGTGAGCCACTGTGTCCAGCCTAAAGCAACTTTTAAATAGCATTCCATGAAGAGTTTCCAAGTCTTCCTGTTTTCCTTCTCTCTGGACTAAAATGTCTCCACCTTCCTTCCTCCCTGCAGCCCTGTCACTGTGTACTCAGGCTGCTGCTGGGGCAGGTGTGCACTGAGTTCTCTTATCACAACCTCCCAGCAGGCTCCTTCGAGGAGTGCTGGAGGGTCTGGGCTGGCCAGGCTCACACAGGCCCACTCCTTGACCCTGGCGTGCCAGACACCTTGCCCCTGGTGAGACAGGGAGGGAAACCCTTTCTTAAGTTGTTTTAATTTGTGTTTCCTTAATGATGAGCAGTACTGTGGCTATGAAACCTGCTTATTATAATGAAAGGCAAGATTATCCCCTTACGTGATCAGCCTTCCTTTTTCTGGATATTTTGACGTGGTTCTTACAGGAGTAAAGACATCATAGTCGTAGCAAGCTGTGGCATCCTCACCCAGCCAGCCATCGGGGCTTACTTATTAATGAGTGAGAAAGGGGAGCTTTCATGGTGACAACACCTACTTATAGAGCAGTCATCAGTTTTTTTCAGAATAATAACATCTACTTGCCCAGGATTTGGCTGGGCGCGGTGGTTCACGCCCAGCACTTTGGAAGGCTGAGATGGATGGATCACTTGAGGCCAGGAGTTTGAGACCAGCCTGGCCAACATGGTGAAACCCCGTCTTTACAAAAAATACAAAAATTAGCCAGGCATGGTGGCGTGTGCCTGCAGTCCCAGCTACTCGAGAGGCTGAGGCAGGAGAATCGCATGAGCCTGGGAGGTGGAGGTTGCAGTGAGCTGAGATTGCGCCACTGCACTCCAGCCTGTGTGACAGAGTGAGCAACTCCTTCTCAAAAAAAAAAAAAAAAAAAAAAAAGTCTACTTGCCCAGGATCTCTGACATTTTGGAAAAGCTAAAAAAAAAAAAGTATCTGTATTAGTTCGTTCTCGCACTGCTATAAAGAAATACCTTAGACTGGGTAATTTATAAAGAAGAGAGGTTTAATTGGCTCAGGGTTCTGCAAACTGTATAGGAAGCATAGCGGCTTCTGCTGCTGGGGAGGCCTCAGGGAGCTTCCAATCATGGCGGAAGGCGAGTGGGGAGTGAGGTGGCTCACACAGTGGGAGCAGGAGCATGAGAGAGCAAGCGAGGAGGTGCCACATGCCTTTAAACAACCAAATCTCATGAGAACTCACTATCCTGACAACAGCACCAAGGGGATGGTGCTTACCCATGAGAAACCGCCCCCACAATCCAGTTGCCTCCCACCAGGCCCCACCTCCGGCATTGAGTATTATAGTTGAACATGAGGTTTGGGCAAGGACACAGATCCAAACCATATTGGTGTCTATATGAATTCTTCTCTGCAATTTCTAGCTTTTGTTTTGTTTTGAGACAGAGTTTTGCTCTGTCGCCCAGGCTGGAGTGCAATGGCCCAATCTCAGCTCACTGCACCCTCTGCCTCCTGTGTTAAAACGATTCTCCTGCCTCAGCCTCCCAAGTAGCTGGGACTACAGGTGCCCACCATGCCCAGCTAAAATTTTTTTTTTTTTTTAGTGGAGACAGGGTTTTGCCATGTTGGCCAGGCTGGCCTCCATCTTCTGAGTGATCCTCCTACCTTGGCCTCCCAAAGTGCTGGGATTACAAGTGTGAGCCACCACGCCCGGCTGCAGTACCTAGCTTTGACAGAGAATCAGATGTGCCAGCGAGGCTCCTGAGAAAGCTCTGGGTGGTTCCTTGACAGTCGTGACATTTCCATAGTGACAAGGGTAGTGGGGCTCAGTTGTGGCCCTGCTGCATTCAGGAAGGACTGCTCTTCCTGTGGCTGCTTCCTCCGCCTCCGTGCTTGCTCCACACCAGGCCATGCCTTCTGCCTCTGAGGGAATCTGGGTTACCAGTCGTCGGCCTCTCAGGTGTCGCTCAGAACATATCTGCACCCACATCTCTCCTGCCTCCTGCAGGGCCTCCCAGGAGGAGGTGACCTGCCCACTTCCATTCATCGCTGTCTTGCCCTCCAGGCTCTGAGACATGGGCCGCTGGCTGCTGTGGAAGAGCTGCAGGCATGCAGTGGCTTCTGCACCAGCATCCCACCCTACTGCTGCTCCAACCCAGCACTGTGGCGCTCCCTTGGGAAGCATTATCACAGACGCTCCCAGGTAAATGTAAATTATCTTGTTTAATAAAAACACGTATAAACTCCTTGGCATGTATGCACCTGCAGCAGGATAAGTTATTCAAACTTGCTGTTTGGTTTTCAAGTGTTTGTAGATTTTCCTGTTGTATCTTTCTATTACTAATTTAATTTATATAATTTATTTCTAATTTAATTTTTTTTTTTTTTTTTGAGACAGAGTCTCGCTCTGTCACCCAGGCTGGAGTGTAGTGGCGCTATCCTGGCTCACTGCAACCTCCACCTCCTGGGTTCAAGTGATTCTCCTGTCTCAGTCCTGCTAGTAACTGGGATTACAGGCATGCATCACCATGCCCGGCTAATATTTTTTTGGTAGAAACGGGGTTTTACCATGTTGGCCAGGCTGGTCTCAGAAACTCCTGACCTCAAGTGATCTACCCACCTGGGCCTTCCAAAGTGCTGGGATTACAGGTGTGAGCCACCACACCCAGCAGGAAAAAAAAAAATATTTTGTAGAGACAGGGAGGGGTCTCAATGTGTTGCCCAGGCTGGTCTCAAACTCCTGGCCTCAAGTGATCCTCCTGCCTCAGCCTCCCAAAGCACTGGGATTATAGGGATGAGCCACCACACTCAATTCCAAATTCAATTTCTTTCTTCAATTTCAGGGCTGCTATTCAGATCATCTCTTTCATCTTGGAAAAGTTCTGATTGTGGTTTTTAAGAAATTGGTGGCAGGGTGTGGTGGCTTACTCCTGTAATCCCAGAACTTTGGAAGGCTGAGGTGGCAGGATCACTCGAGCACAGGAGTTTGAGACCAGTCTGGGAAACATAGTGAGACACTGTCTCTACAAAAAAATTTAAAAAATAAGCCAGGCATGGTGGCACGTGCCTGTAGTCACAGCTACTCAGGAGGCTGAGGTAGGAGGATTGCTTGAGCGGAGGAGGTTGAGGCTGCTATGAGCCATGATCAGGCCACTACTCTTCCCGACTAGGTGACAGAGTGAGAGTCTGTCTTTAAAAAAAAAAAGTAAGAAAGAAATTGGTCCTTTTAATCTAAACTGTTGAATTTATGTGTGTGGAGTTTATAGTATCCTATTATTTAGTACTCCTAAATAATAGGAGTTTATTATCCTATTATGCCTGCAGAATCTGTAAAGATACAATTCTCTCTTTTATTGCCAATAATGGCAGTTTGTCTTTTTTTTTTTGAGATCTGACAAATGAAAATTTGTAAATTCTTTCTCTTTTTTTCCCTTCGTTAGTTTTGCTAGAGGTTTATCAATTTTATTGAACTTCAAAAATCAGCTTTGGGTTTTACTGATTTTTTTTCTATTACTTTTCTGCGTTCAGTTTTATTGATTTCCCCTCTTTGTTATTTTCATTCTTCTGCTTGCTTCAGTTTATTTTGCTCTTTTTTTCTAGTTACTTGAGCTGGAAGCTGAAATTATTGATTCAAGCCCTTCTTTTCTATTATAAGCATTTAATAATAAATTTTCCTCTGAGAACTGCTTTAGCTGTATCCCACAGATTTTTGTATGTTGCATTTCATTTCATTCAGTTTAATATATTTAATTTTTTTCTTGCAATGTCCTCTTTGACCAGTGGATTATTGAGAAATGATGTGTTGTTTAATTTTCAAGTGCATGGAGATTTTCGGTTGCATCTTTCTATTACTGAATTCTAATTTAATTTTATTATGGTCTGATAGCATATTTTGTATTATTTCTATTCTTTTAAATGTATTGATATATGTTTTATGGCCCAAAATATAGAATATCTTTTTCTTGGCTTCATGGTATATGAGAAGTCTGATGTAATACTTAACTTTGCTCCTAAGGGTTTTTTTTCTTCTGGCTTCTTTCAGGTTTCTCTTTGTTTTGGGTTCCTGCAGTTTGAATATGATAGGTCTAGGTCTTTCTTTTGGTTTTCTCCAATTTGAATATGATAGGTCTAGGTCTTTCTTTTGGTTTTCTCCAATTTGAATATGATAGGCCTCGGCCTCGATTTTTTGGTATTATCCTGTGTGGTGCTCTCTGAGCTTCCTGAGTCTGTGGTATGGGGAAATTCTCAGCCATTATTACTTCAAACATTTCTTCCTCTCTTTCTACTTCTAATGTTCCCATTATGCATGTGTTACACCTTTGATAATTGTCTCATAGCTGTTGAAGATTCTGTTCTTCCTCCACTCTACCACCCCTATTCTTTGTTCTCTTTGCTTTTCAGTTTGTGAAGTTTCTATTGAAATATTTTCAAGCTCGTTGATTCTTTCCTCTACCATGAGCAGTCTACTGATGAGCCCATCAAAGGTATTGTTTTAAAAGAAAATTTTTTTTTTGAGACAGGGTCTCACTCTGCTGCCCAGGTTGGAGTGTAGTGGTGAGATCATAGTTCACTGCAGCCTCAAACTCCTGGGACTATAGGTATGCACCACCATGCCTGGCTAATTTTTAGATTTTTTTTTGTCTCACTGTGTTGCCCAGGCTGGTCTCAAACTCCTGGCCTCTAGTGACCCTCTTGCCTCAACCTCCCGAAGTGGTAGGATTACAGGTGTGAGCCACTGCACCCAGCCAGCATTCTTCATTTCTGTTACAATGGTGTTGCTTTGTTTTCATTTTTGTTGTTGTTGTTGTTGTTGTTTGTTTGTTTTAGAGATGGGTCTTGCTGTGTCACCTAGGTTGGAGTGCAGTGGTGTAATAATAGCTCACTGCAGCCTCAAACTCCTGGGCTCCAGCAAGCCTCCTGCCTTGGCCTCCCAAAGCACTGGGATTACAGGCATGAGTTACCATGCCGGGTCTGTTACAATGTTTTTGATCTCTAGCATTTTCTTCTGATTCTTTCTTAGAGTTTGCATATTTTTATGAACCTTACTCATCTTTTTGTATGTTGTCCACTTTTTCCCATTACAGCCCCTCACATGTTAATCATAGTTATCTGAAAGTCTCAGTCTGATCATTGCAAAATCTTTGTCAGATCTGAGGTGGGTTCTGATGCTTGCTTTGTGTATTCAGACTTTTTTTTTTTCTTGACTTTAATTTATCTTATAATCGTTTGTTGAAAGCTGGACATGATGTATTGATTGGGCTATAGGAACTTAAGTAAATGGATCTTTAGTGTGAGGTTTTGTGTTTCTCTGCCTGGCAGTTAGTCTGGGTTTAATGTTTATTGTAGCTGTAGATGGCAGAGGCTTCATATTCCTCCCGTGTCCATTTTTGTTTCCCAACTATTTTTGGATTTTTCTAGATACTCCTTAAGTGGTGTATGAGGGTTCTCCAGAGAGACCAACAGGGTATCTGTCTGTGTATTTATGGATAATAGGTATGTGAGAGGGGATGTGTTAGGAGAACTGACTCATGTGACTGTGGAGGCCGAAAAGTCCAGTGCCCGGCTGGCTGCCAACTGGAGGTCCTAGGATGCTAATAGCATGGCTGAGGCCAGGTCTGAAGGCCTCAGAGCCAGGGAAACCAATGATGTAACTCTCAATTTGAAGCCAAAGCTCAGAGAGCCTGCGGGGGTCGCCAGTGTAAGTCCTGGAGTCCAAATGCTGGGAGTCTGGAGTTGTTGTTCCAGGACAGGAGAGGAAGAGTGCATGGCAGCTCAGCAGATAGATTTGCCTTTTCTCTGTTTTTGTTCTCTCCAGGCCCCCAGCAGATTAGATGGTACCTGCCCACATTGAGGGTAAATCTTCCCCACCTAGTCCACTCAGACTCCCATGCTAATCTGCCCTGGAAACACCATCACAGACTCACCCAAACATAATGCCCTAGCGGGTTTCTACGTATTTCTTTATTCAGTCAAGATGACACCAAAAATTAACCATTACAAGTGAAGTTTTTATCTTGCCCCTCCATTGTAATTCACTGTGATTATACTACAGCCCTGTTGATGTGGTGGTAAGGTATTAGGGAAGGAAAATGTCCTGTAATCCTGTGAGTCTCAGTTTTTTAGTAAGTCTGAGTTCCTGGACTGTGAACTTCAGAAGTTTCTTTGCCTGCCTGCCTGTCTTCCTCCCTCCCTCCCTGCCTCTCTTCCCTCTCCCTCCTCCTCCTCTTCCCTCCTTTCTTTCTCTCTTCCTCCCCTGACCCACCCACCCCATTAAGTTATCCAGAAAGCTACTGGAGGCTTCATTTTTCAAGTTTTCCTTTTCCCTTGGCCAGATAAGGTTCTGATAAAGTAGTTTTCCTGGATGGAAGGCCTTTGTTATGGAAAACAGAATGTTCTGGGCATTTTTCAAAATGGTTACTTTTCTTTGAGTGAATTTCAAAATGGTTATTTTTTTCTCTCTCTCCACCTGTCCGAAGAGTGGGGGATTTATTTTATTCTCCAGTCTTCATCATGAGAATCTGGTGAGGCTTTTGGAGATGTAACAAAACTTATGAAAGTATGTCACTTCCTGCCCCTACCCTGAAAGATTGGGCCTCAGGATTTTCTCTTATACTTGTCTATAATCAGCTTCCAGCAATCATCAGTTGCCATGTGTTTTTACCAGTTATTGGCTTACTCGGCTTTTGCTTCGGTAAAACTGTGATCTCTGTATTTGCCCGCTGTCTCTTCAGTTTTTAGGTAGGAGTTTGTCTTGTGACCTCGTTCTCTGATGGATATAAGAAGTTTTATTTTATTCAGCTTTTTTTTTTTTTTAATTGTGGGGAGGACTTAAATGGCACCTTTCAGGCTCTTTACATGTTAGAACAGAAATGGGGCAATGGCTCACACCTGTAATCCCAGCACTTTGGGAGGCTGAGGCAGGTGGATCACTTGAGGTCAGGAGTTCAAGACCAGCCTGGCCAACATGGTGAAACCCCGTGTCTACTAAAAATACAAAAATTGGCCGGGCGCGGTGGCTCACGCTTGTAATCCCTACACTTTGGGAGGCCAAGGCAGAAAGATCACCTGAAGTCAGGAGTTCAAGACCAGCCTGACCAACATGGTGAAACTCTGTCTCTACTAAAAATATGAAAATTAGTTGGGCCTGGTGGCATGCGCCTGTGATCTTAGCTACACAGGAGGCTGAGGCAGGAGAATGGGTTGAACCCAAGAGGTGGAGGTTGCAGTGAGCTGAGATTGTGCCATTGCATTCCAGCCTGGGCAAAAAGAGCAAAACTCTGTCTCAAAAAAACAAAAAGTTAATTAGCTGGGTGTGGTAGAGTAGGCCTGTAATCTCAGCTACTTGGGAGGCCGAGGCAGAAGAATTGCTTGAATCTGGGAGGCAGAGATTGCGGTGAGCTGATATTGCACCACTGCACTCCAGCCTGGGTGACAGAGCAAGACTCCATCTCAAAAAAAAAAAAGAAAAAAGAAAAAAAAAAAAGCCACCTCAGCCTCCCAAGTAGCTGAGACCACAGGTATGTGCCACCACACCCAGCTACCATGCCGGGCTAATATTTTGATTTTTTTGTAGAGATGAGGTCTTGCTTTGTTGCTCGGGTTGGTCTCCTGGGCTAAAGCAATCCTCTTGCCGTGGTCTCCCAAAGAGCTGGAATTACAGGCATGACCCACCACGCCCAGCCAGTTCTATCCATTTTGGCTTTATGTATTTTGTTGATCTAATGATTTGTTTCTTCTTCTTCTCTTTTTCATCTCTTGACACTAAGGACAAGTATACATTTAGGATTTCTGTGTCTTCTTGGCAAATGGACTTGTAAAAATCATTATTTAATGTCCTGCTTTATTTCTGGTAATTTTCTTTACTCCATAGTCTCTCTCTTTTCATATTAATATGGCTGTCTCACATTAAAAAATATTATTTGCATGGTGTATTTTCTCCATCCTTCTACTTATATTTGAAGAAGATTTCTTGTAGGTAGCATATGTTTGGGTCTGTTTTAAAGAACATTCAGTCTGATAGTCCTTCTCTTTAATTGGTGTGTTTAGACCATTTATACTTAATGTAACTATTAATATGTTTGGATATAGATGTATCATTTTGTTATTTTCTTTTTGTTCATTAGGTTTTATTTCTCTTTCTGGGATTTCTTGAATGTTTCTCAGTATTCCATTTAATCAATTTATTGAGGTTTAGACTATATATCTTTGTATAGGTATTTTAGTGGTTACTGCAGGGATTATGGTATTCATATTTAACTTTGTTTACTTAGAAATAATATTGTGCCACTTGAAGTGGAATGTAGAAACCATATTGCCATGCAAGTTCCTTTACCCACCACATTATGCTGTAGATCTAGGTATGTTGAGAATTGCTTCAGACAGTGTTACAAATTTTGCCTTCAGCTAGCATAAGAAGAGGAAAATAGTCTATTTATGTAGCTCTTAGTCATTTTGAGATGGAATCTTGCTCTGTCGCCCAGGCTGGAGTGCAGTGGCGCCATCTTGGCTCACTCCAAGCTCCACCTCCCAGGTTCACGCCATTCTCCTGCCTCAGCCTCCTAAGTAGCTGGGACTACAGGCGCCCGCCACCACGCCCAGCTAATTTTTTGTATTTTTAGTAGAGATGGGATTTCACCGTGTTAGCCAGGATGGTCTCATCTCCTGACCTCGTGATCTGCCCGCCTTAGCCTCCCAAAGTGCTGGGATTACAGGTGTGAGCCATCATGCCCAGCCTGCTCTTTGTCATTTCTGTTGCTCTTCCTTTATTCCTGAAACTCCAGTTTTCCCTCTGGTATTACTTCCCTTCTGTCTGAAGAACTTTGTTTTTGTTTTTGTTTTTTTTTTTTTATTGATCATTCTTGGGTGTTTCTCGCAGAGGGGGATTTGGCAGGGTCATAGGACAATAGTGGAGGGAAGGTCAGCAGATAAACAAGTGAACAAAGGTCTCTGGTTTTCCTAGGCAGAGTGTGTGTGTCCCTGGGTACTTGAGATTAGGGAGTGGTGATGACTCTTAAGGAGCATGCTGCCTTCAAGCATCTGTTTAACAAAGCACATCTAGCACCGCCCTTAATCCATTTAACCCTGAGTGGACACAGCACATGTTTCAGAGAGCACAGGGTTGGGGGTAAGGTCACAGATCAACAGGATCCCAAGGCAGAAGAATTTTTCTTAGTACAGAACAAAATGAAAAGTCTCCCATGTCTACTTCTTTCTACACAGACACAGCAACCATCCGATTTCTCAATCTTTTCCCCACCTTTCCCCCTTTTCTATTCCACAAAACCGCCATTGTCATCATGGCCCGTTCTCAATGAGCTGTTGGGTACACCTCCCAGACGGGGTGGTGGCCGGGCAGAGGGGCTCCTCACTTCCCAGTAGGGGCGGCCGGGCAGAGGCGCCCCTCACCTCCCGGACGGGGCGGCTGGCCGGGCAGGGGGCTGACCCCCCACCTCCCTCCCGGACGGGGCGTCTCGCCTGGCGGGGGGCTGACACCCCCACCTCCCTCCCGGACGGGGCGGCTGGCTGGGCGGGGGGCTGACCCCCCCACCTGCCTCCCGGACGGGGCGGCTGGCCGGGCAGAGGGGCTCCTCACTTCCCAGTAGGGGCGGCCGGGCAGAGGCGCCTCTCACCTCCCGGATGGGGTGGCTGGCCGGGTGGGGGGCTGACCCCCCACCTCCCTCCCGGACGGGGCGGCTGGCCTGGCGGGGGCTGACCCCCACCTCCCTTCCGGACGGGGTGGCTGCTGGGCGGAGACGCTCCTCACTTCCCAGACGGGGTGGCAGCCGGGCGGAGGGGCTCCTCACTTCTCAGATGGGGCGGTTGCCAGGCGGAGGGTCTCCTCACTTCTCAGACGGGGCGGCTGGGCAGAGACGCTCCTAACCTCCCAGACGGGGTCGCGGCCGGGCCGAGGCGCTCCTCACATCCCAGACGGGGCGGCGGGGCAGAGGCGCTCCCCACATCTCAGACGATGGGCGGCTGGGCAGAGACGCTCCTCACTTCCTAGATGGGATGGTGGCCGGGAAGAGGTGCTCCTCACTTCCTAGGTGGGATGGCGGCCGGGCAGAGACGCTTCTCACTTTCCAGACTGGGCAGCCAGGCAGAGGGGCTCCTCACATCCCAGACGATGGGCGGCCAGGCAGAGACGCTCCTCATTTCCCAGACGGGGTAGCGGCCGGGCAGAGGCTGCAATCTCGGCACTTTGGGGGGCCAAGGCAGACGGCTGGGAGGTGGAGGTTGTAGCCGAGATCACACCACTGCACTCCAGCCTGGGCACCATTGAGCACTGAGTTAACGAGACTCCGTCTGCAATCCCGGCACCTCGGGAGGCCGAGGCTGGCGGATCACTCGCGCTTAGGAGCTGGAGACCAGCCCGGCCAACACAGCGAAACCCCCTCTCCACCAAAAAAATAGGAAAACCCGTCAGGCGTGGCGGCGCGCGCCTGCAATCGCAGGCACTCGGCAGGCTGAGGCAGGAGAATCAGGCAGGGAGGTTGCAGTGAGCCGAGATGGCAGCAGCACAGTCCAGCTTCGGCTCGGCATGAGAGGGAGACCGTGGAAAGAGAGAGAGAGGGAGAGGGAGAGGAGGGGAGAGGGAGAGGGAGACCGTGGAAAGAGAGGGAGAGGGAGAGGAGGGAGAGAGAGAGGGAGAGGGAGAGGGAGAGCTGAAGAACTTTGTTTAGCATTTCTTTTAGAGCAGGTCTGTTGGTGGCAAATTTTCTTGTTTTTTTTCATCTGAGAATGTCTTTCTTTCACCTTAATTCGTGAAAGATATTTTTACTATCTTTGTTGTTGTTGTTGTGGCTGTCATTTACTTCTCAGAGCCCTCAGATGCTGCCTCCTTCCTTGTCTTTCGTTGTAGGGCTCTTAGGTTCCTTTGAGGGGTTGTGGTTAGAAAGAGGAGACAGTGAATACCTTGCAAGGAGACATTAAACTCCATGAGAGAGATCCCCCCAAAACCAGCAGAGGTACAGGGGGCTATAGATTCCTGGAGAAAAAGAGATCTTCAGCCCACTCCTTGAAGATCCTGGGGAAGTGACAGAAACCAGAGTGAGCAGATTACTGGCTGTTGCAGCACTCAGGGCTGCTGGGCTCCAGGCCTTGGCTCAGTCAGGATGCCTGTGCCCATCGTGGCACAGATATATTAGGGCCACCTGACTTCTAGGATAATGAGTGCCTACTGACCTTAGCCAGTTTGGTCATTTACAAATTTTAGGTTCCTTTTGCTAGAGGAGATTGGCCACGTAGGAAGTTGGAAATGAATGAAAGGTAGTTACTCCCCCTCATTATAACCTTGCTCTCTGGTTATAATGAAAGGGAGTCTCAGACCAACTTCTGTCAATTACACATATAGGCATTAAACAGTATTTAATAGGCCAGGCATGGTGGCTTATATCTGTAATCCCAGCACTTTGGGAGGCTAAGGTGAAGAATTGCCTGAGGCCAAGGCCAAGAGTTGGAGACCAGCCTGGGCAACAAGGCAAGACCCTGTCTATAAAAATTTTAAAAATTAGCTGAGTATTGTGACACATGGCTGTAGTCCCAGCTACTTGGGAGTCTGGGGTGGAAGATCGCTTGAGGAAGATCGCTTGAACCCAGGAGGTTAAGGCTGAGGTGAGTCATGTTCACACCACTACACTCCAGCCTGGCTGACAGAGCAAGACCCTGTCTCAATCAATCAATCGACAATCAATGTAAACCGTAGGCATCATGCAAGGCGGGGCATGCTGGCTCACGCCTGTAATCCCAACAGTTTGGGAGGCTGAAGGGGGAAGATTGTGTGAGGCCAGGAGTTTGAGACCAGCATGGGCAACACAGTGAGATCCCATCTTTACAAAAAACGAGAAAAAAAAAAATAGTCGGGTGTGGTGGTGTGTGCCTGTTGTCACAGCTACTTCGGAGGCTGCATCAGGAGGATCACTTGAGCCCAGGAGTTCAAGGCTGCAATTAGCTCTGATGGGGCCATTGCACTCCAGCCTGGATGACAGACTAAGATTCTGTCTCAAAACCAAAACAAAACACCTGGCAAGATAGAGAATGGATTGGTGACGACCAAGCAGACGGAAAATGAAAAAGGCCCTCCCAGCTGGGTGAGGTGGCTGATGCCTGTAATCCCAGCACTTTGGGAGGCTGGGGCAGGCAGATTACGAGGTCAAGAGATCCAGACCATCCTGGCCAACATGGTGAAACCCCGTCTCTAATAAAAATACAAAAATTAGTTGGGTGTGGCGGCACGCACCTGTAGTCCCAACTATTTGGGAGGCTGAGGCAGGAGAATCACTTGAACCTGGGAGGTGGAGGTTGCAGTGAGCCGAGATCGCGCCACTGCACTCCAGCCTGGCGACAGAGTGAGACTCCATCTCAAAGAAAAAAGAAAAAGGCCTTCCTCTGCTCCCCGAGCTGAGCACACTGCCTTATCCCAAGCCAATGACTTGGCTTCATTTACAGGAAGGAGACTTTCTGGGTGAGCAGATACCTTGCCTTACGTGGCCCTATTTTTAGGCTCTGTGCAGGTCATCACGTGATAATCACTTAGGTTGAGCAAAGTTGTGCAAGTCTCTTGAGACTGAAGCTCACAGGTAATTGCTGAAAACTAAAAGTGTTACAGAACATGTGAAACGCTGGAGAATATCATAAGATCTTGGAAGCAAAGCAACCTGGCTGGGAAAAGCAGAAGGTGCAAGCGTGTGTCTCGCTTCTGCGGCTTGATATTGAGAAATGAACAGTTGAATCTGCAAGTGTCTGTTGCTGTGAGTATGGAATGGGACAGGCCGTCTCCGCTTTTTACTGCTCTGCATTTGCAGTTCTCAGAATACACCTATTATCAGGTACTCTGTGCCTCTGCCTGCCTACTTGCTCTTGGCCTAAACACAGTCTGAAGGGAACAAGGACCTCTTGTCCCTTGGTGTGGGAAGTAACTATTTTAAAATGTAAGAGCAAAGAACAACCTGACTGCATGTTGAGGACAATGGAATGTATTTGAATGAGTCTTCATACTCAGAAAAGTTGGTCAAGAAGGAAAAAGGCATCATTGCAAATTACCTTAGTCAGCTTCCTTGGGAAGACATGACCATTTGAAAAATCATTATAAGTTCCAAGGGGGTAAAATAAATTATTATTAAATGAAGGGTTGGGCAGGCTCATGCCTGCACTTTGGGAGGCTGAGGTGGGTGGATCACCTAAGGTCAGGGGTTTGAGACTGGCCTGGCCAACATGGCGAAACCCCATCTCTACTAAAAATACAAAAAATTAGCCAGTGTGGTGGTGGGTGTGTGTCCTCCCAGCTACTTGGGAGGCTGAGGCAGGAGAATCGCTTGAATCCAGGCGACGGAGGTTTCAGTGAGCTGAGATCACAACACTGCACTCTAGCCTAGGCGACAGAGCAAGACTCCATCTCAAAATAAATAAAGAAATAAATAAATGAAGACTTAATTACTGCCTATTCTACTCAGCATGTTTATCTTTGTTTTTCGTTTGTTTTTGAGATGGAGTCTTGCTCTTTCACCCAGGCTATAGTGTAATGGCATGATCTCGGCTCACTGCAGCCTCCACCTCTTGTCTTCAGGTGATTCTTCTGCTTCAGCCTCCCGAGTAGCTGTGATTACAGGCGCATGCCACCATACCTGGCTCATTTTTTTTTTTTTTTTTGTATTTTTAGTAGAGACGGGGTTTCACCATGTCGGCCAGGTTGGTCTGAAACTCTTGGCCTCAAGTGATCTGCCCGCCTCGGCCTTCCAAAGTGCTGGGATTACAAGCGTGAGCCACTGCGCCCAGCCCAGTATATTTATCTTTGAACAAAGTGGATAATGTTGTTAAGATCATCTACCTCTTTACTTTTTATACATCTAGATAATTCTTTTTATATATCTAGTTCTATCAATTGTCAAGAAGTTAGAGTTTAAATATCCAAATATGCTTGTGGAATTGTCCATTTCTCTCTTTTATTCTGTTGAGTTTCGCTTTATTTTGAGGCTCTAGTGTTAGATGCTTATACATTTATGATATATCTTTGTGTTGAATTATCACTATAAAAAGTCCTTCTATCTTTGGTAATTAATACTGTACTCTTTTTTTTTTCCTTTTCTTTTTCTTGAGATGGAGTTTCGCTCTGTTGCCCAGGGTGGAGTGCAGTGGTGTGATCTCGGCTCACTGAAGCCTCCGCCTCCTGGGTTCAAGAAATTCACCTCCCTTGGCTTCCCGAGTAGCTGGAATTACAGGCATGCACCATCACACCTATCTAATTTGGGCATTTTTAGTAGAGACAGGGTTTTGTCATGTTGGCCAGGCTGGTCTGGAACTCTTGACCTCAAGTGATTCACCCTCCTTGGCCTTCCAAAGTGCTAGGATTACAGGTGTGAGCCACCACACCTGACCAATACTGTACCTCTTGAAGTCTATTAATATGGTCTCTCCAGCATTCTTGTTTACAGTATGCATGGTAGAGGTTACAGCCACTTACTTTTCAAAAATAATGGCTTTAAGTGAGATATAATTCAAATACCATATAATTCACCTGTTTAAAGTGTGCAGTTCAGTATAAAATAAAATACATGCAGAGTTGTGCAATGCAGTTTCATCACACCCAAAAGAAACCCTGTACCTGTTAGCAATCACTCCTCATTTCCTTCCAGCTGGGAGTGGGAGCTGTGGAGGTGGGAAACTCCCCTGGTGCCCATAGCTCCCTTCCAGAATCCTCCTGTTTTTGGTTGCTCTCAGGTATCTGCCCTTAGTAGTTGTGTTCTGTATTCTATCCAAAGTTTATCATTTTTATTTGGGGAAAGATCAGTTTGGTAGGATTATTGGCCCTTATATATGTATCCATGCATGATACAGAGTCTCACCATCACCCAGGCTGAAGTGCGATCTCAGCTCCCTGCAGCCTCGATCTCCTGGGCCCAAGTGATCCTCCCACCTCAGCCTCCCGCGTAGTTGGGATCATAGGCATATACCACCATGCCTGGCTAATTTTGTTTATTTAATTACTAATTAATTTATTTAGACACAGAATCTCACCCTGTTGCCTAGGTTGGAGTACAGTGGCATGATCATGGCTCACTGCAACCTTGACCTCCCAGACTCAAGTGATCCTCCCACCTCAGTCTCCCAAGTAGCTGGGAATACAGTTGCACATGACCATGCCCAGCTAATTTTTGTATTTTTCTTTAGAGACAGGGTTTCATTATGTTACCCAGGCTAGTCTCAAACTCCTAGGCTCAAGTGATCCTCCCACTTTGACTTCACAAAGTGCTGGGATTACAGGCATGAGCCACTGTACCCATCCTTGATTTTAAATAGATAAAAGTTTTTTGTGTTACATAAAACTTTTTGTTTGTTTGTTTGAGACAGGGTCTTGCTCTGTCACCCAGGCTAGAGTGCAGTGGCATAATCATGGCTTACTGTAGCCTTGACCTGCTAAGCTCAAGCAGTCCTCTCCCACCTCAGTCTGCTGAATATCTGGAACTACAAGCATCTGCCACCTCTCTTGGCTAATTTTTTGCTTTTTGGTAGAAATGAAGTCTCACTATGTTTGCCCAGGGTGGTCTTGAACTTCTGGGCTCAAGCAATCCTCCTGCCTTGGCCTCCCAAAGTGTTGGGATTATAGGCATGAGGCACCGTGTCCGGCCTGTTTTTTTTTTTTATTGAAAATAAGCCGGGCATGGTGGCTCACGCTTATAATCCCAGCACTTTGGGAGGCCGAGGCGGGCGTATCACCTGAGGTCAGGAGTTCGAGACCAGCCTGGCCAATGTGGTGAAACCCTGTCTCTACTAAAAATACAAAAATTACCCAAGCGTGGTGGTGCATGCCTGTAATCCTACGTACTTGGGAGGCTGAGGCACGAGAATCGCTTGAACCCGGGAGGTGGAAGTTGCAGTGAGCCCAGATTGTGCCATTGCACACCAGCCTGGGCAATAGGGAAGATAGACACGGAGGCCTCACTGTGTTGCCCAGGCTAGTCTCAAACTCCTGGACTCAAGCGATCCTCCTACCTTGGCCTCCCAAAGTGCTGGGATTACAGGCAGAAGCCACCACGTCTGGCCTGATGTGTCTTTCGTGTTCTGAATGGTAGTTACATGAGTGTGTTATCTTTGTAAATATTCCTTGAGCCATATGCTCATGATTTGTATACATTTACCTTTGAATATTTATTTTTCAGTACAAATTTTACGTAGAGTAAATGTGTTAAAATTCTCATTTATCTACCTGGAACATTATCCATGGTATATTGTGTAAATAGATATAGCCTCTATGGAGAGCAATTTGGCTATATCCATCAAAATTGTCAGTAGGAAGATGTAGGAGCCTCGGCAGGTGTGTGTGGCATGGGCTGCTTTGTTGTGGGGCCTGTCTGTACGTTACGGAAGAGGTGCCTGAGAGCCATGTCTGACAGTGTCACAGGGTTAGGTGGACACAAGTTGATGTCCAGGCTCCACCAAGCTAGACGCCTGATAGACTGCCTACATTTTGGGTCAGGACCATGAGGAAGATTATTCCCTAGGAACAGGAGTGAACTGGAAGGAAACTGGCCTTCTCAGAAACCAAACGCTGTTTGTATTCATCTCAGCCTGTGATCTCGACTCAGGTTGTTACCGGGGTGCTGATGGCTATTTCTCTGTAGAGGAAAAAAAAATCATCCCAGGGCACATATTTTTTCTAGTTTTAAATATATTGGCACACAATCAAGATATTCAGGCCCGTGGAGCTATGATAATCTGAATGAAAGACCTGAGTGGCACATACTGCCAAAGCGGGCTCCCCAGGGTCCCTGATGCTGCAGTTACCAGACACAGGTTTTTTGTTTGTTTGTTTGTTTGTTTTTAAGATGGTTTTGCTCTGTCACTCAAGCTGGAGTGCAAAGGTGCAGTCACAGCTTACTTCAGCCTTGACCTCCTGGGCCCAAGTGATCCTCCTGCCTCAGCTTCCTGAATAGCTAGGACTACAGACCCCCATCACCACACCTAGCTAATTTTTTTTTTTTTTTTTTTTTGTTTTTTTTTTTGGTAAAGAACAGGGTTCTTACTATGTTGCTCATGCTGGTCTTGAACTCCTGGTCTCAAGCGATCCACCCACCCCGGCCTCCCAAAGTGCTGGGATTACAGGCATGAACCACTGCACCTGGCTACAGCCATAGGTTTTGTATAAATTGTGATCCTTAAACTCCAGTATGCAGATTGCCATTCTGTTGTCTGAGATGCACTGTGTTCTCTTCCATGAGCCCATACCCTTCCAGGTGGCAGAAAGTTCATTTTTATCCATCCAGAAGTCACCCAGGGCTATGTCTCTACCTGGCAGGGGTTTCATGTTCTGTCCACTCTGGCACTCAGGGGGCTGTCCTTCTGTCTGTCTTTGGGCCTTGGTTCCCATGGGTCCCCTGCACACAGACCTTTCTCCTGACCCCATGCTCCGCAGAGTGCAGCCCTCCCGCTGTGTGGCTCCTTGTTTAGCTTCTGCTCCTTGTTGCCTCGACACACCTCGCTGCCCTTCCTTGCCTGGGCTCCTGCCCCTTCCTGAACGTTGCCTGAAAGAGTGAATTCACTCTCACTTCCCCCACACCTACCTGCAGGTTAGGTTAGAAGGCCTGGTCCTTCTGCCCTGACCCGTGCCCTGCCTGCCAGGTCCAGCCATAGCTGCCTGGAAGGCTTGCATGTTTATTATTTGCAGCTGTTGGCTGCTGTCCAGGGACTGAGCATCTGAACCTCAGACAACAAGAAGAGCCTCCCAGTTTGTGGTGTTCTGCTCTGTCTCCCTCCTGGAGGCAGCAAGTACAGAATATCCTCCTGCTGCCCAAGTTGGGCAGAGTGAGCAGGGAGCAGGAAACGGAGTCACCTCCATGGGCCACTGTTTCAGAACCTCTTCCCATCGTGCCTGTTGAACTGAGATGCTCTTTCCTTCCTCTTTAGCTTCCCTGGGGAGAAAGATAAGTGAAGGACACTCTTTTTCGACCCAGGTTCACATAATGGCGTGCAAGTCTGTGCATTTTTGTTTAAAGGAATGAGATTTTATATGGGCTTTACTTGTGACACGTGTTCATGCTAACCTAGCTGTATTTATTTCAGCCTAATATGCATCTGTGTTACACATTGGAGGAAAATATCTTTGCCATGGGAATGATAATTATTTTTCTTAAAATTGTTTTTAATGTTAAAGAAAATCAGAAAGTACCTTTCCCAATGTGGCCCACAAGCCATTGGTTAGAGAAGTGGAGACACTGGGGCCTGTACTGTGTGCATCCTCAGTACTGGCGGGGACCAGTGAGTGGCTCTGTTTAAAATGCCATTTCCCCAACCTTTGGATTTTTGTTTTTGTTTTCGGTTTTTTTTGTAACAGTATGTCTGAAGCCAATTACGATTCCAATAAGCTGCATGTGGTGGCAGGTACCTGTAGTCCCACCCACTTGGGCAGCTGAGGTGGGAGGATCACGAGCCCAGGAATGTGAGGCTGCATTGAGCTGTGATCACACCTGTGAATAACAGCCTGGGCCACATAGCAAGACCCCATCTCCAAAAAAAAAAAAAAAAACCCAACAAGGGTGAGAAGTAACTTCCAGGCATAGTGGGGTCTGAAGTGGAGGGCCACAGTGAGCAAGGCCGCTGCACCAGTGCCCTTGCGTGGGGAAGCAAAAGGTGAGCTGAGACCCCCACTCCATGAGTGCCTCACCTGCACCAGCACTTTCCCTGGGTGTCTCAGCTCAGCCTTTCTTTGATTCTAGCCAGACCCTGATTCTCCAGGAAGGCCTGAGTAACCCGGTGTGTTTACTGACCTTCGCAGATAGGCTCGGCTCTTCGCAAACTTGTCCTCCAAGCTGTAAGAGCCACCTGGAGCTACTCTGAATTACTTTCTGTGTCTCCTTTCTTTTCCCATCCCTGTTCAGCACCTCTATTTTTCTCTCCTGGACATAGCCTGGGATGTGGTTCTTTCCAGGACCTCTCAGCCTTGCAGGGGGGTGTGTCTAGACCTGACTGAGTTGACTTCAAACTTCAGGGCTTGACCAAATGCTGGAGGCTTGTGGCCCCTCCGTGATTTAGACAGAAGGGCGAGCAAGCATGCCTCTGTCTGTATAGTGCCAGCATGGCTTGGAACAAAAGCTCTGGCATCACTGTTTGATTAATAGGATAAACATGCAATTGGCCTTACAAATCCAGAGGATTATGTTACCTTTTATTTTTTTTAGTAGATTTATTTTTTTCTTTCACAGCTCTTTTAGAAAAGTGGTTTAACCTATGTATATGGTTAGTTTGTCAGCGTTCTTTTTGAGGTGGGGAGGGTCTGGCTATGCTGCTCAGGCTAGTCTTGAACTCCTGGGCTCAAGTGGTCCTCCCACCTTTGCCTCCCATGTAGCTGGGATTACAGGCACACACCACCATGCCCAGCTCTTTTAGTAGATTTTTAACTTGAGTTGGAAGAAAAAAAAAATGATAAAAGGCTTGAGGGAAATAGCTTCTGTAAAAGAAAATGAAATTTTGGTACCTCCCCATCCCCACCCCGCCAACTGGTTATGCCAAAGGGAGAGTTAAGCCTGGGAATGGAGTCATGCAACTGCTGTTCTTTTTCCCCAAACAGAGCTGTAACTTCACAACAATGTGTCATAGTGTTAGACATAAGCCAGGTCCCAGGATGGTAAAAGGCTGTATACCTCCCGATGGCCTCCCTCACAAATTGCTCACAGGGACATCCCTTGCTAGCCCCTAAACCTTTCAGGATACATATCTGCTGTAAAACCAGTACATGCCAATTGTAACCTTGGATCTGCAAGCCAAGTTTAACTCCTCAAACTGAATCCTGTTAAATCTCACACTGACAATGTTGATGACAAGCTTACCTTCCCAAGTGCAGAACACGCTCAAGACAGGATCAATCACTCTTCCTGCTTGACTCTCCTCCATTCCCTGTTTTCAAAGATTTACCTTATCTGATATAAAACATACGGGTGCTGAGCAGTTATTAGAGCCTCATAAGAATAACCGTTTGCCTCCCTGCCCCCACCCTTGTTTCCCTCCTGCCTGCCCCCACCTCACACACACACTAAGTTCCCACATCCTCTTTGGAAAAGCAGAGGTCACAGATGCTTCAGTGGCTTGTGTTTTCCCTGGGTGCGTCCTCAGACTTGGCTCAATAAACCTCTGCTGATAGAGACACTTGCCTCAGTGACCATTTTTGTTGAACACCCTACCTTCTTTTTTCTACATCTGTTAGGGGCAGGTTCATATTTTCTTTTCTATCTTTTCTTTTCTTTTTTTTTTTATTTATTTATTTGAGACGGAGTCTCGCCCTTGTTGCCCAGGCTGGAATGTGTGGGGGAAAGAAAGAGAGATCAGACTGTTACTGTGTCTATGTAGAAAATGGAAGACACAAGAAACTCCATTTTGTTCTGTACTAAGAAAAATTCTTCTGCCTTGAGATGCTGTTAATCTGTAACCCTAGCCTCAACCCTGTGCTCCCAGAAAACATGTGCTGTATTGACTCAAGGTTTAATGGATTTAGGGCTGTGCAAGATGTGCTTTGTTAAAAATGTGTTTGCAGGCAGTATGCTTGGTAAAAGTCATTGCCATTCTCCATTCTCAAGTACCCAGGGACACAATGCACTGCGGAAGGCCGCAGGGACCTCTGCCCAAGAAAGCCTGGGTATTGTCCAAGGTTTCCCCCCACTGAGACAGCCTGAGATATGGCCTCGTGGGAAAGGAAAGACCTTACCGTCCCCCAGCCCGACACCTGTAAAGGGTCTGTGCTGAGGAGGATTAGTGAAAGAGGAAGGCCTCTCTGCAGTTGAGATAAGAGGAAGGCATCTGTCTCCTGCTGGTCCCTGGGAATGGAATGTCTCAGTGTAAAACCTGATCGTACATTCTATTTACTGAGATAGGAAAAAACCGCCTTATGGCTGGAGGTGAGACATGCTGGCAGCAATACTGCTCTTTACTGCACTGAGATGTTTTGTAAAGTCAAACATAAATCTGGCCTATGTGCACATCCAGGCACAGCACCTTTCCTTAAACTTATTTATGACACACAGTCCTTTGCTCACATGTTTTCCTGCTGACCCTCTCCCTGCCATTACCCTATAGTCCTGCCACATCCCCCTCACCGAGATAGTATAGATAGTGATCAATAAATACTGAGGGAACTCAGAGACCAGTGCCGGTGCAGGTCCTTGCTTGCGGAGCGCCGGTCCCCTGGGCCCACTTTTCCTCATCTATACTTTGTCTCTGTGTCTTATTTCTTTTCTCAGTCTCTTGTCTCCACCTTGTGAGAAATACCCACAGGTGTGGAGGGGCAGGCCCCCTTCATCATGCAGGGGCACAGTCACGGGTCACCACAGCCTTAACCTCTCGGCTCAAGTGGTCCTCCCACCTCAGCCTCCCAAGTAGGTGGGAATACAGGCACATGCCACCATGCCCGGCTAATTTTTCTGTTTTCTAGACAGTCTCGCTATGTTGCTCAGGCTGTTCCCGAACTCCTGGCCTCAGGTGGTCTTCCTACAGCAGCTTCCCAAAGTCCTGGGATTACAGGCATGAGCCACTGTATCCACCCCCTTTTTTCTTTAAGTAAACGTAATGTGAGCCAAAGTGTTTGGAAAGAGAGACAAATTCCTTTTGATACACAGATGCCAAGTGTTTCATGTGTTCTTTTCACTGTCCTCTCAGTGTTGAATTTACTTCTGATCCACTTTATTTCATTCTTGTGGCTCTAAAAGTTTTCCCCTTTTAGAAGGATGTTTGCAGACGTGTGTATGGCAGGTTTAGCTAGAACCTTGTAAATATTCTACCTGGAGTTCTGAGATTTTCCTGACTTTTGACTTTTCCTGTGTGGAAACATTTTTTAAAAAACATGTTAGGGACATTGTGGAGTTGGTTGGAAAGAGTGGCTCAAACCGGGCTGAATGGGCGTGTCTGGAGATCCAAGGTCCGAGTGGGCTTTCCGTGCTGACACTGCTCAGCTGAGTGCATTGTGCTGCACGACCTCAGGCCACGACATTGATTTAGTTCCACTCGTGCATGATGAGCTGCCAGCTTTTGTTTGGATGTAAAATAAAAACTCACATTGCCTTTTTCCTAGCACAGAGCAGGAGAGGGAGAGGGGAAGTGAGACTCAGCAGACATTGATGGAGGGTCCATTAAGAGCCAGGTCCATGCTGAGCAACGGCCAGAGAGACAGTGTCTGGGACGAGCTTGGATTCTGGATGAGGCTGGGTGTGGGAGCTGTGGCCATGGGTGCCGGGGCCAGCCCTGGGTGAGGCTGGGTGTGGGAGCTGTGGCCATGGGTGCCGGGGTCAGCCCTGGATGAAGCTGGGTATGGGAGCTGTGGCCATGTGTGCTGGGGTCAGCCCTGGGTGAGGCTGGGTGTGGGAGGTGTGGCTGTGGGTCCCGGGGTCAGCCCTGGGTGAGGCTGGGTGTGGGAGGTTTGGCCGTGGGTGCCGGGGTCAGGCCTGGGTGAGGCTGGGTGTGGGAGGTGTGGCCGTGGGTGCCGGGGTCAGGCCTGGGTGAGGCTGGGTGTGGGAGGTGTGGCCGTGGGTGCCGGGGTCAGGCCTGGGTGAGGCTGGGTGTGGGAGGTGTGGCCGTGGGTGCCGGGGTCAGGCCTGGGTGAGGCTGGGTGTGGGAGGTGTGGCTGTGGGTACTGGGGTCAGCCCTGGGTGAGGCTGGGCGTAGGAGGTTTGGCCGTGGGTGCTGGGGTCAGGCCTGGGTGAGGCTGGGTGTGGGAGGTGTGGCCGTGGGTGCTGGGGTCAGCCTTGGGTGAGGCTGGGTGTGGGACCTGTGGCCGTGGGTGCTGGGGTCAGCCCTGGATGAAGCTGGATGTGGGAGGTGTGGCCATGGGTGCTGGGGCCAGCCTTGGGTGAGTCTCTGTGTGGGAGCTGTGGCCGTGGGTGCTGGGGTCAGCCCTGGGTGAGGCCGGGTGTGGGAGATGTGGCCGTGGGTACTGGGGTCAGCCCCGGGTGGGGCTGGGTGTGGGAGGTGTGGTCGTGGGTGCCGGGGTCAGCCCTAGGTGAGGCTGGGTGTGGGACGTGTGGCCGTAGGTGCTCGGGGTCAGGCCTGACTGAGGCTGGGTGTGGGAGCTGTGGCCACGGGTGCCGGGGTCAGCCGTGGGTGAGGCTGGGTGTGGGAGCTGTGGCCATGGGTGCCGAGGTCAGCCCTGTGTAAGGTTGGGTGTGGGAGCTGTGGCTGTGGGTGCTCAGGGCCAGCCCATAGGCCAGCACGCTCAGGTAATGGCCATCTGCAGAACACCCTGTCCAAGACCAGGCTGCTTGGTGTCCTCTGATTTCCCCCTCAGGACTCTTGTGGAGCTCAGTGGTGAGGGGAGCCCAGAAGGCATTGTGCTGGGCCCAAGAGAATGAGAATTTTGGAGCACAAAGGTGCCTGGGATCAGGTTTGGCTTCCTCATTTGATAGCTCAGCTCAGGCCCAGAGAGCATAAGCAGCTTGACTCGGCCACACAGCTGCCCAGGAGTGCAGCAGAACCCCCCCGACCAAGCTGCACTGGACCGGCTTGTGTGGAGGTGGCCATCCTTAAATGTGCCCCCATGGCAAGGAGGGACAGGGCAGGAACCTTGGGGAAGACCAGCATTGCAGTGCATCTGCCCAGTGGATCCCAGGAGTATAGCTGTCCCAGGCAGTGTGCAGTGTTACCTCATTAGTTTGATTTGCATTTCCCTAATTACTTATACTGTTGAGCATCTTTCTGTGCACTTTTTGCCCATTAATGAATCTTCTTTTGGGAAATGCACGTTAAAACTTTGATGCTGACAAGTTGCTGTCCGTAGAGGTTGCCCCGGTTTATTTCCCATCAGCGTGTATGAAGCCTGCTTTCCTATGGCTTCATCAACAGAGTGCCAGTCTGCTGTGGGCCAAGTTGTGTTCCCCAGAATTCGGATGTTGAAGCCCTAACCTCCAGTACCTCAGAATGTGATTGTATTTGGAGACAGGTTCTTTAAAGAGGTAATCAAGTGAAAAGTAAAATGGAAAACATGGTTTCTCTACTCAGCAGAACACTTCTAACACCAAACGTGGTCTTTCCACACCACGTAATTCTCCAATTCTCTTCAGAGGCCCCTGGATGTCCTAGAATTTAACCCAGTTCTACACTACCTGGAGTTAGTGCAGACCCCATAGGTTAAGGGCTCAGTTCCATTTGGCTTCCCCCAGTTCAGAAGGCAGTCATGAGTCCCACGTTGTGACCTGTGCATCTGAACGACTGACTTTAAATCAGGAGTCCCCAAGACCATCTCTGGGGGTTGATCATCTGATAGTGTGGCTTGCAAAGCTCAAGGAAACATTTACAAATGTTTACCGGTTTATTATGAAGCTGTGACCAAGAATGTGGATGAACAGCAGATGAAGAGGTGGATGGGGTTTAGCTGCAGCCCCGCCCACCCTGGAGGCTGGGGGTGGGATTATCCTAATCCCAGGGTTGGTCCATCTGGTAACCAGCCCCTTTCCTCCTAGAGTCACCTCAGTAATATAAACGCTGGTGTAGTTGAAAGGGGCTTATTATGAATAACAGAATTCCCTATTACTCAGGAAATTCTGAGGGTTTTGGGAGCTGTATGTCAGGAACCTAGGACCAAGACTAAACATACACTTTTTGCCACACCACAGTATCACATGAGGCCATAAGGGTGGCCCTGGTTCTATATGACTGGTGTCCTTATGAGAACAGATGAGGACACAGGCACATGCAGGGGAGACATCTGCAAGCTGAGGAGAGGCCAAAGAAGAAGCCACGCCAACTTCTTGATGAGACGCCTCTTGATGGCTCTGGAACAGAGGGAAATACATTCTGTTTTCAGCTGTCTGGCCACGGTGCCTTGTCACAGCAGCCCAGCTGACCTGAGGCACAGTCTGACAAGCGAAAAGTCCTCTCTCTCGGTGGGGTTTGTATCTCTCCCGATGAGCACAGTGGAGCATCTCTCCACATGTTCAAGAGCCATTTGTATTTCCATCTTTGTAATCTAGATCCTTTGCTTTTGGAGGGTGGGGGTAGGGTAGGTTGTTTCAGTACTGATTTTAGGAGCTCTTTATTAAGGGAATTAACCTTTGGCCTGTGATTTACATTAAAATTACCTTCTTGTTTGTCATTTATCTTCTGATTTTATTCTTTCCTATTTAGAAATTGTGACTTTTATATAGTCAAATTTCCCACTCTTTTAAGGGTGAAGCAAAAGCTGCATTTTATTCTAGATCTTTTTTGGGTTAAATTTTTCTTGGTTCTGAGTACCTTCTAACTCTGATGTTCTATAACATTATGCTCTGATTGAGGGGCACAGGCAGGTAAGAAAGCACTTACCCACGAAAGCTTGGATTGAATAACAGGTATGGAGAAATCACTCATAAACTGTTCAGTCAGAATCCACCTGGGGGAAACCTGCTGGACCTGCTCAACCTTAAAAACTCAAGTGTATGCTGTGAAGGTGTTAATGGAAAACCCAAACTGTAAAATATCTTAAGGAGGTTTATGCGGAGCCAGTATGATTGACCGTGGCCTGGGGAAAACACAAACCCAGGAAGCCTTGATAAGTGGTCCTGAGGCAGTTAGGGCACGACTCTGTCTTATGCATTTTAGGGAAGCAGAAGTCACAGGCAAAGTCATACATTAGTACACTGCACTCCATCCTGGGCAACAGAGCGAGACTCTGTCTCAAAAAAAAAAATAAAAACAAAACAACAAAGAAAGAAAAGGGGTTGTGGAGACCAGGGTTCTCATTATACTTAGGGAGCCTCCAGATAGCAGGCTTCAGAGAGAATCCATTGTAAATGTGTCTTATCAGAGCTGATTCTCTCCTGGATCAGGAAGAAGGCCTGGAAAAGGAAGGAGATTCTCTTCAGAATGTAGATTTTCCCCACAAGAGACAACTTTGCAGGAGTACTTCAAGATATGGCAAAGAAATATAGTTTGTAGTAAAGTACTTCCAGGGCTTGCTATCTGTCTTATGATGCTGTGCTAGAGTCAAGCTGGTATCTTATTGCTACAGGAGTCTGTCTTGTCAGTCTTGAGATCTGTTTTAATGTTAATGCTGGTCAGTTGTGCCTGAATTATTCTAAAGGGAGGAGGGCATAATGGGGCAGTCCAACCCCCCATCCTGTCATGCCTGAACTAGTTCTTCAGGATAACTTTGGAATGCCCTTGGCTGAGAGGAGGGCACCATTCAGATAATGGGGGGGGGCTCAGAATTTTATTTTTGGTTTACACCTCCCATACATGAGGACATGCCAATGTATGAAAAGGGGAGACTTTAGGTCTACAGTCTAAGTCTGGCTCCTGAAACGCCACACTGATAATGTTGATTACAAGCTTATTTTCCCAAATGCAGAGGAAAGACAAACTCCCTTCTCCACCTACCCGGAGATGTCTGTGGAACTGACTCCTCCTTTAGTCCCTACTCCTCTTCAAATGTTCACCTTATCTTACGTAAAATGTAGATTTACTGGGCACCAGCTCAAGGCCCATGGGAATAGAACCATTCCCTTACTGCCTACCTGACCCTCTTCCTACATGCCTTCTGCACTTTAAAGGAATGTGTAAATACTAAACCTCCAGAAAACCTCTTCAGGAAAACAGCCACAGATGGAGCTATCCCAGGTTTTCCTGGATGCTCCCTAAAGCTGCTTAATAGGCCCTGAGGGTTGAGACTTCTGCCTCAGTCCCTCATCTCACTTGTCATACTTACGGAGATAAAGAGCTCTGTTCCTCCTCAGCTCAGTTAAATCTCCATCTGCTGTTTTAACAAATGCAGCTTGAAGACAGATTTGTTTATTTAAACATTCATCCTGTCAAGGGAGATTGACCAGCAATGATTAGACCAAGTAAAAGTTGTTTGGGGTGCTCAGAAACCAGAAGTCTGTTTTAGCAAATGTCTTTTCCCTGCACCCAGCTTGGTTCCTGCCAGAGGAAAAACCTTTTTGTGGCTGCTTTTTTCATGCCAATGCTGTTAGCTTTTGGGTAGAAAAGGAGGGAGTTGAGTTTAGGAATCGTAATGTGAAAAATACAGACTCCAGTGTTGTGGGACTCAGAACAGCCAGACTTCTCACAAGGACCCGTGCATCTGAAACAAAGACTTGGCCCCTGGGACTGAACATGGCCTCTGAAGTTTCCAAAGATTCCACTTCCTGTTCTCCTAAGCACCTCAAATATTTTATGCCATAGCGGCCTTTCAGCATAGTCAGGTCACAGTCAGGTCACGTGCAAATGTGTTCTTTAATCTGTCTGCATCCTGCTCATTCCTTGAAAGTAATTCATTACTTTTACTACAAGTTGAGAAATAGGAGATGCAGAGTAGAACTAATGAAAGATCCCTTCCTTCATTGTCTTTGGTCTAAAGATAGATGGTTCTGTGGGCCCATCAGTCCTGTGCACCTCTTTTATCCTATTATGTGGATGCTGGTGAGGCCAGAGCCAGGAGTTGCCTGGGGCCACTCATCGTCACTGTTTTCCCGTCCAGATTCCACGCGTCAAATTGTGGGCAGTGAACAGAAGTGAGAATATGTGTGAGTGAGGCTAGGTGAGTGTGGGTTTGTCACCACTGCTGGACAAGGTTTCTCTTACACCTTTGAAAAAGAAGAACCAAGTTGGAGCACTCAAAATTCTAGTTTTGAAGCTCACTACAAGGCCACAGAGTAATCAAAACACTGTGGTAATGGAAAGAATGAAGATGGACTCTTACCTTACATTATATATAAAAATTAGGCCAGGCGCGGTGGCTCACGCCTGTAATCCCAGCACTTTGGGAGGCAGCGCCTCAAGGGCCTGCATGTAGAATCTTCTCCTGTCCAGAAACCTCCGGCTAGAGGTTTGCCATTGGCCACTTCATGCTCACCTCATGGAAACGACGTGGTGGCCTGCAGTTGGTTGCTTTCAACATCAATCAGAGGCTGAAGTGGAGTTACAAATGTTACACTCTTGTGCAACATCTAATTGGTTGCATTTTGCAGCCAATCAGAGGCTAAGGTAAAGTTACAAAGTTGCAAAGGAGGACTCCACCCACAATCAGTCTGATTGGTTGCGGACAGCCAATTTCCCATCTACCACGCAGAAAAGGTTGGGAGTTTGCAAAGGGAGTAGCCTGAGTAGCCTCTGGTCCTTTTGTTACTTAGGCGTCGAAAGTTAGGATTTTCCTTTCAATTTAGTTGGGCATGAAACAGCCATAGGTTCCCTCCTCCAGAGCCTATTCTCCTGCCTCACTCCTACCTCAGTCTCCTGAGTAGCTGGGACTACAGGCACAAAGCACCAAGCCCGGCTAAGTTTTGTATATTTTGTGGAAATGGGGTTTTGCCAATGTTGCCCAGGCTAGTCTGGACCTCCAGAGCTCAAGCTGTCTGTGTGCCTTAGCCTCCCAAAGTGCTGGGATTACAGGCATGAGTCACCACACCCGGCTGCAACTGATTTTTAAGTGCTGATTTTGTATCCTGCAATTTTGCTGAATTCACTTATTGTTTCTAACAGGTGGGTGGGTATTTGGGAGGGGGGTGTGTGTGTCTGTGTAATCTTTAGGATTTTCTACACAGATTGTATCATCTACAAACAGATAATTTTACTTTTTTCTTTCGTATTAATAAACCATAAGCCATATTTCTTTTTCTTTTCTTTCTTTTTTTTTTTTTTGAAGACGGAGTCTTGCTCTGTTGCCCAGGCTGGAGTGCAGTGGTGCGATCTTGGCTCACTGCAGCCTCCACCTCCCAGGTTCAAGCAATTCTCGTGCCTTGGCCTCCCAAGTAGCTGGGATTACAGGCGAGTAGTGCCTTCCACTACCCCTGGCTAATTTTTGTGTTTTTAGTAGAGAGGGGGGGTTTCACCATGTTGACCAGGTTGGTCTCGAACTCATGACCTCAAATGATCCGCCCGCCTCAGCCTCCCAAAGTGCTGGGATTATAGGCATGAGCCACCACGCCCAGGCTTTTTTTTTTTTTTTTTTTTTTTTTTTTTTTTTTTTTTTTTTTTTTTTTTTAGTGAAAGCAAGTTTATTAGAGAAGTGAAGAAACAAAAGAATGGCTACTCCATAGAGCATCTTCGAGGGCTGCTGGTTGGCTGCTTTCAGAATTCTCTATTTGCCTTTAAGGTTTGACCATATGGCTATAATGAGTCTCAGTGTGGATCTCTTTAAGAATATTCTTTTTGGGTTTCTTACCTTTTGGATCCAAATATGCATGTCTTTCATCAGATTTGAGAAGTTTTTGGCCATTTTTTCTGTGAATGTTTTTTCTGCCCCATTCTTCTTCTTGGTCTCCTCTGATGTGTATGATTGTACACTTGACCTTTAGACTCTGTTCATTTTTCTTCATTCTTCAAATTGTGTAATCTTTCCTGTGTGCAGTGACTGAAGTTTCTGTTCTTCACAGTCAGCCAGTGACCTGACAAAGTTTCTCCCTTCCCAAAAGGTATTCCCATCCCTTTATATATTCTGATAGATGCTTTTGAGGGAAGCTTCTGTAGCCCAGGAAGGCTGAATGCAAGGCAAAGTCTGCTTCATTCCCTAAAGGAACCACTAGACCAACCAAAACCCTGAGCCCATGCTTTGGAGGACAGGGTCCCCACTGCCCACTCTGGCACCAGCCAGACACCCCAGGAGTGCAGGCTGCTGTCATCCAGCTCTAGGGCAGCAGGAACAAGGGCTGAGGAACAGGGATGGTAGCAGGCCCATAAGGATCTGAAATGATTCCAGAGTTTTGAAATAGTTGATTGCAGTTGCTCAGTAGTTTCTGTGGGAACGTCTGACCCCCTAGAGCTTCCTGCCCTGCTGGTGTGCACAGTGTCACTCCTCCCATTGTTTTTGATCATACACGGATGATTCTTGTCTTATTACAGCTATTACAGTGGTAGCTGCAAATGTGCTCTTCTAGTTCTCTCATTTCTTCTATTTCTGTTATTGGCTATTTCCAGTAAAAAAGAGGAACTATTGCTTTCTTTACAGTAGATTTATGTTAGAAGTTGATACTGATGTTGAGAATAAAGTTTCCTATTTTTGTAATGATATATATAGAAAGAGCTCATTTTATATACATAGAAGTGTATGTGGATAATCTCATGTCTATAACTAATTGTATGGATATTTTGTAATTATATAGATACACATATAAATTTTGCATCTATAGCTATAGTCCTAGCATGAATATAAGTATGTGTGGATATAAAAGTCTTTACATACATTGACATACAATAGGAACTTACAGGATTAGCTGTATATGATTATTTATCTTGGAAGCTATAAATGCCCACCCAGCTTGTAGATGGTTAGAGATGTGTACAGTCCCAGACACATTTGCCTGTATAATGGGGCATGGTAACATTTATTCAGTACTTGCCATCAGGCACGGGTCTCAGTACCTAACATGTTAGCATGCTTAGCATTAGCTCTTTTAATGCTCAGAATGTCCTAATCAGGTTGTTCAGATCACGAAACTGAGGTTCAGGGAGGTGAAGTAATGTGTCCAAGACCACAGAGCTAGAAAGTGGCAGAACCCACATTAAAACCAGAGACTTTGTAAGCAGAGTCTGGCGTTGATAGGTACCGAGGTGTCTTTTTTTAGGAGACCACAGAAAGGTGTTCTAGGACAGTTTTAACATTTGGTATCTTTGTAGTTTTTAGTCTAAAAATCTACTTTGTAGGGAAAGTAAGTATTAACACTTAAATGAGGTATAAGCTTATTTTTAGATTTTTGGGACTGAAACAATAAAAAAGCTTCTTAAACCTTATTTGATAAAAAAAAAAAGGGATAGCTTTTCAAACTTGATTGTTGAGATATTTTGGGTCTGTGCCTGCAAAATAAATAAATAGCAAAAATTTTGAAAAATAAGCGAAAACCATGAAAACACTTAAAGCGGAAGTTAATCCTAATAGCTCAGAACTGCCGGAGTGTGAAGGTTGATTCCTGCTGGCAAGGCCATTGGAAGTAGCACTGAGGTCTGTTCAGCTGGAAGGTAGGCACTGGCTTCAGTGTTTTATTGGGGTTATAACATCTTTCCAGATTAAAAAGGAACACCCTCAAAGGGCTGCCTCAGCCCTGTTCTTTCTGGGCGAGCAGGATTTACAGAGATCCTTGTTGGGAATGGCTTCCCGTTACGGACACTCTGGGTCCCTAGGTGATTGGCACACCTAGGCTGCCTCCGAGTGGTCATGAATCTCTTCTCTGCCCTTAATGCCCGGTGGATTCTGGGGGGCATAGCTTAAATTCCCTCGTCACTGTGCATAAATTAACTAAATTAAATGCAAACCAACACCTTCTCCTCCGGCCTCCAGAGGGCTGCACTGTCCTGCAGAGCGATGACAACGTCATATGTCTCTGGGGCAGCATCCAGTTTGTTTGGGGACAGGCTTTTCCCCTCTGGATGAAAACAGGATTTTCTTTCACTTGGTGGCAAAGTTTATGTTTGTATCTTAAATTAAGCTTTATAGCATTAGGATTATTGAGAGCCTACTCATTCCAGTTTCCAAAAATGAAACTAAGAGAAACTGTTGCTTTTTATCTGGAATATTGCCCTCAATTTTGTAGCCAGCTGCTGAATGCTGGCCAGATTTTCTGGTGATTTTGACATGCAAACATTTTATGCAGATGTGGAATACCAAGGAGTATTAATAATTCAGTTTGCATGAAGAAGAAACTGAAGAGGCCTCTGAACTGCGCAGGTAAACAGTGTGTATTATTACAGTGAGCTGCTTGTTGTGAGGCTGCACTGAGGCGCCTGCGCAGGCCTGGGAGCCCCCGGGAACCCGCAGGGGTGTGCAGTGGCAGTGCTGGATGAATGTCTTGGTCCTGAGAGTTCAGGGAAAGCTCCGTTTCTTTCCTCCGCCCCGTGGGTCTGTGGAAGGATGATAGAGAAGGGGTGTCCTTGCCTCTGCCCTCACACAGAGGCTTTGGGGAGTCTAAACAGAGGGCTTTGGGTGGGCGGCTCACACGCTGTGGGCTCCCTGGGGAGAGTTAGGGCGGCTTTCTCCCCTCAGTGTTCTGTCATTTGCATTGGTTGTATTTCCAAGTAGGGAGGGAGGGGAAGGCCGATTTGCAGCTAGGCGCCTCTGGAAATAGGGTTTGAGCAGCATGAAACTGGGATTCTGGGCACCTGTACATACATGGGACGGTAGTTCTGGTGTCCTTGGTGGCAGTATTACAGCGTGTAGTGAGTAAGCAGCAGTCTCCGTATGGAGCGCCTGGCCTTTTCAGTCATCGCCCCCTTAGTAGCAGGTGTTTAGTTCACCCTATAGACCGCGAGGCCACAAGTGGCAGGAGCTGGGACTTGCCCAGACCTGAGCTGCCTGCCTTGGCCGCTCAGGGGCCCTGCGGCCTCACAGCGAGGTATGGGCCAGGTTGCTGGTTCTCCGTGGCTGTGGAGTCAGCATTGCCAACCTCTGTTTATCCAGGGTTGTCTTTGCATGGGTCAGGAAGATCCCGCTGCTGTGAACCCTGGCATGTGACCTTGGCCTCTCTCTGTTGACCCTGGCAGCAGGAGCATGGCTGTTCGCTGACTCCTTATCTTTGCTGTCCCAGCTGATGCTGTGAGTGTGCACACAACTGTGCTGCAGGGAAATTGGACACTGGATTCTGGGCATCAGCACTCTTGCCAGGGAGCTGACCCCAGCCCTGCCCATGTTAGTGTACGTTTTGGTAACATTTATCAAGTGCCCACCAGTCACTAAAGGGCAGCACTCATGTCATTTGATCAAACACTGCAGGTCAGTGGGCAGGGCCTCTCCAGCAGCAGCTGACAGCCAAGGTGCCCTGGCTGGCAAGTGTCTTCTGCTGCCACCCTTGGTCAGGGCCTGAAGCCCAGCTCTGTGCTCCCTGACCCTGTGTTCCCCAGCCCTGTGCTCCCCGGCCTTGTGCTCCCCAGTTCTGTGCTTCTCCACCCCTGTGCTCCCCAGTTCTGTGCTCTCCAGTTCTGTGCTCTCCTCAGTTCTGTGCTACCCACCCCTGTGTTTCCTAGTTCTGTGCTCCCCAGCTCTGGGGAGAGTTAGGGCGGTTGTCTTTCTCCCCAGTTCTGTGCTCGCCAGCCCTTTGCTCCCCAGTCCTACCCATCACTGTGACCCTGGGGCCAGGCCATGTCCATGCCTGGGAGCAGAGGCCATGCCATGGTTGGCCAGCCACATATGGCAGCCTAGGACCATGTCTGCCCTGGCTTTGCCCCTGAGAGCTGCCCACCATCTACACCAGGTCCAGGGCATCAAAGGATTCCTTACCCAGAGGAGGCTGGGGTGAGCTGAAAGAACTCTGGAAAGCAAATGTGGGTGTAATTTATGTTGTGGTGGAAGAAAAAAAATATACCATGTAGTGTTTTTACAGGACCTGGCAGACTCCTCCCTTCCGTGGTGGTCCACTGCCCAGGAGCAAGGCCTTTTCATAGGACCACAGGCCACAGCAGAGGTGGGGCAGCCCACCCCTCTCAGCCCCTGCTTTCAGAGGAAGAAGCTGGACAGAAACAGAGCTCCCCTCACCTGGCGACCACAGGAGTCCCCTCTCAGGACAGTGCCTGAGGTGCACAGGCCACGCCTATGCCTCCCTGCCCTTCACTCGGTGACACATGTTCATCTTCCAGTGGCGTTGCGGGGTTGGGATGGGCCAGGGGCGGCCACCAGCATCTCACGCCCTGGTGTCTTTCACCCAGATAAGCCAAGCTCCAACCCCAGGAGAGTCCCCAGCCTGGGCAGGGCACCGTGTTGGTCCCGTGGATACCGCTGGGGTGGGTAGAGGCTGGGTCCCTGAGAAAGCGGGAGGGAGAGAGACCGAGCAGCAAGAGTGCGAGTGTAGATGTGTGGCTGCAAGTATAGGTGTGCAGTTAACGTGACGTGCATTTCGACTCTTGTCAGGAGCCCCGTTAATGGTGGCCTGTGGTGCCACCATGGGCCTGAAGGAGACAGTGTCCTGAGGCAGCTGCGCCCCCCACAATGGGACAGTGAAGGCACGAAGCTCGTTTACAGGTTCCTCCTCCCCACAGCCACCCTCCACCTGCAGCAGCCCAGGGCTGTCCCTCCAGAGGGCCTCCCCATGACGCATCCCCGTCACCCACAGAGGGTGGTGCTACCTGAAAGCCACACTGCTGTGCATGTGGGGCGCTGCATCCGTGAAATTCAGTGTTTACTATGGTATTCTGTACTCTGTTTTAATTTTGTGTGTGGGGATGACTAGCTCCATAATGAACTTCACACCTCCCCAGGAGCACTGCTGGGTTGTATGTGCAGAGCCAGCAGGTGCGCTGCTCGTTGACCCATTGGATTTACATCAGTTTTTGTTTCGTCAAATAACATACTCACATGGCTTAAAAATGAAAACATTCAGGCCGATGTGGTGGCTCACACCTGTAATCCCAGCCCTCTGGGAGGCCCCGGTAGAAGGATCACTTGAGCCCAGGAGTTTGAGACCAGCCTGGGTAACATAGGGAAGCTGCATCTGTACAAAAAAGTTTAAAAGTAGCCAGGCAGGGTGGTGCACACCTGTAGTCCCAGCTGCTTGGGGGCTGAGGTGGGAGGATCACTTGAGCCCAGGAGGTTGAGGATGCAGTGAGCCGTGATCAACGCCACTGCACCCCAGCCAACAAGAGGGAGACCCTGTTTCAAAAACAAAGGAAGTCAGAAAGTTTAAAAAAAGTGTATGTTGACATCAACTACCCCGCTCTGTTGCCTTCATCTCCCCATCTCTCTCCTTAGAGGCAACCACATTTCAGTCTTAGATATTTCTCCTGATACTCATGTCCATATCCTAATTGTACTGTTTTATAGCCTACAGAGTATGAGCAAGGTAATTAAACCTCATTCTGCTGTTATTTCTTATACTCTCTAGGCTCCCCAGTGGCCACTGTGCATTTTTGCTGTTGTCACTGCATAACATTGTCCACTGCAGAACCAATAGGTTGGTCATGATTACACTTCTACTCTTTTGCCAGGTTTGGCTTTATGGGCTGATGTTGTCTGGGCTTTTACTGGCTTACCTTTTTTTTTTTTTGGAGACAGTCTTACTCTATCGCCCAGGCTGGAGTGCAGTGGCATGATCTCAGCTTACTGAAAACTCTGCCCCCCAGGCTCAAGCAATTCTCTTGCCTCAGCCTCCTGAGTAGCTGGGATTTTAGGCGCCTGCCACCATGCCCAGCTAATGTTTGTATTTTTTGTATTTTTGTAGAGACAGGATTTCACCATGTTGGCCAGGCTGGTCTTGAACTCCTGACCTCAAGTGATCCACCTGCCTGAGCCTCCCAAAGTACTGGGATTATAGGCGTGAGCCACTGCTCCCAGCCCTGGCTTACTTTTTAATGAATTTATTCTTATTTTTTCCAAATGCTCCATCAGCCTTGTCAAAAGCCTATCCCTATTTTTCTCAAAGGCTCAGTGGGCAGTACACAGCAGTCTGTTGGGGTTGGTCACCTCCCATCCCTGGCCTGGCTGAGCTCCTACACCAAAGCCTCTCGTCTTGGATGGAGCCCAGATCGTGAGCCTGTGTCTTTGACTTTCTTGGTTCACCCCTTATTTTGCCGAAGTGTGTATTCAGCGTGGGTTATATAGTCTCTTGGGTAGGTGGAAAGTCATTTACCCTGAGCACATGGAAGGCCCTGGGTTGGCTCTGAACTTTCAGCCTTGCTGCTGTGGGCATGGTGCCATTCTGATCCCTGTTGCTGTGATGTGGGGCTGCTCTTTCTCTCTGGACATCTGTAGGGCTCACTCGTTAGTTTGCTCTGAAGTTCACAAGGGTGTGCTTGGCGCGGGTGTTTTTCATTTGTTGTCCCAAGCGGAATGACTTTTCCATCTGTGTGCTTGGAAAAGTCTTGTATTATTCTAATCATTTCCCCTTTCCCTTCCCTTGGCTCCCTTTTCTGGGCTTTTCAAGGATGTCGAGAGATTTGGGATTGATTATTTTGCGGGAGAGGGAGGCAAGGAGAAAATCCAGATAAAAGTGCTGTAGGAGAACAGAGTTGGGCAGTTTCAGAAAGCAGGTCACCATATTTTGAACACTTTTCTTTCTTTATTTTTAAAAAATATGTTTTACTTAAATTTAATGGTGGTAAAAAACACAACATGAAATTTACCCTCTTAACCATTGTTAAGTGTACAGTTCTGTAATGTTAACTAGATTCGCTTAGTTTTGTAACAGATCTCTAGAACTTCTCCCCCACCCCAGTTTATGAAGGTATAATTGACAAAAATGCATATATTTATGGTGTACAAAATTATGTTTTGATTCATGTATACATTATAAAATTGTTAAATCTAGCTAATTAACATATCTGTCCCCTCACATACTTAATACTTTTTGTGGTGACATTTAAGATCTACTCTCATAGCAATTTTTGAGTATACAATATGTTATTATTAACTGTAGTCACCACGTTGTACAGTAGATCGCCAGAACTTATTCATGTCTTACCCAAAACTTTGCACCCCTACCCAACAACTCCACAACCCCCGACACCAGCCCCTGGCCACTTCTGTTCACTCGTAGCTTCTCTGCGGCCAGCTGCTCTAGAATCCACATCTGAGTAAGGTCTGTGGCGTTTGTCTCTCTATGCCGGCCTTATTTCACTTAGCGTTAATGTCCTCTAGGCGTATCCATGTTGTTGCAAATGAAAAGATTTTCCTCCTTTTTGAGGTGTAATAATATTTCATTGTACACAGAAGTACAGTGAGTCTTTTGTGTCAGTGGGTTCTACATCTGTGGATTTAACTAACCATGAATCAAAAATGTAGTTAGGCATGTGATGGTTGCCTCTATACTGAACATGTAGAGGCTTTTTGTTTTCTTGTCATTATTCCCTAAACAATATGGTATAACAACTACTTACACAGCATTTACCTTGTCTTAGGTATTATACGTAATCTAGAGGTGATTTAAAGTATACAGGAGGATATGCATAGGTTATAGGCAAATACTACATCATTTTATAGAGGGACTTGAGCATCTGTGATTTTGGTATCCATGAGAGGTCCTGGAACCACCCCCTATGGATATTGAGGGATGACAGTACATATAGTCATATACCACATAACAATATTTCAGTCAGCAATGGACTGCATATACAGTGGTGGTCTCATAAGATTACAATACTCTAGTTCTGTACCTTTTCTATGTTTAGATATGTTTGGATTACCATTGTGTTACAATTGCCTCCAGTGTTCAGTACACGAACCTGCTTGTGGCCTAGGTTTGTGGTAGGCCATGCTATCTTGGTTTGTGTAAGTACACTCTGTGATGTTTGCATAACAACAAAATCACCTAACAACACATTTTCAGAACTTATCACCATTGTTAAGTGATACATGACTGTATCTCTTTGAGATGCTGTTTTCAGTTCTTTTGGTTATTGTCACAAGTGAGCGGCAACTGTCTGGGGCTGGCAGTGCAGGGGTAAGAAGAATTTACCAAGAAAGGCAGAGAGAAAGGAGAAAAATACATTGCAAGGGAGTAACAGGCACAGCAGGAAGAGAGGAGCTGACTGCAAAGAGACAAAGCTTTGTTGGGGATTTTATAGAATAGTGTTTATGCTGCATGCTGAAGAGGGCTTTGTGCAGTACTGATAAGGCCAAGGTTGCAGTGAGCTAACGTGCAGGTGTCTGGTGAGAAGTTGGGCACAGGAGGACTGTGTATCCTGGGCCAGGAAGAAGGACAGACTTAGAGTTTACCTACTTTTCTTTTGGCTTCCCCTGCTCCCACCATCCTGGCCCCGCAGTGCCTTCAAGTTTTCAAGTTTGATGTAGTCCCCTTTGTGTATCTTTGCTTTTGTTGCCTGTGCTTTTAGTGACATATCTAAGAAATCACTGCCAAATCCAACATCATGAAGCTTTCTCTCTGTTTATAAAACTATTACACTATTTTAGTTAAAACTATAAAAAGCTTTATAGTTTTAGGTCTTACATTTAAGGTCTTTGATCCATTTTTGGTAAATTTTACAAAAGTTAATTTTTGTATATTGTAGAAAGCAAGGGTTAAACTGAGTTCTTTTGCTTGTGGATATCTGCAGTTTTCCCTGCAGCATTTATTGGAGAGACAGTCTTTTTCCCGTTTTGTGGTCTTGACACCCTTGTTGAAGATCATTTGTATGCATGGGGGTTGATTTCTGGGGTCTGTATTCTGTTCCATGGGTCTATGTCTGCCTGTGCTGAGACCACACTGATTTGACTACTGTATGGAATTGATTTTTAATTTCCCTTTTTTTCTCTCTCATTTTTTATCTTTATTGTTTAGATACACTTTATAGGAGCTTTCCTTGTCTTCCGATTCTGCTGTTGACGTTTGTTTTGCCACTGTAACATGTCAGTGTCCAGGAAACTTCCCTTGGTCTCGGATCGTTCTTTTTGCCCAGCAGTCTGTTTTGTTTCCTGGCTGAAATGGCTTTCCTCTTTCCTTCTCTGGGTAGTGCAATTTTTCTGTGTGCGCGTGTGTGTGTTTTGGGCTCAGCCCCTTCATTATTCTCCTCTCCCACATCCGCCTGGCATCATCGGCTCCAGACTCCAGGGATTGGAGTGTGTGTGAACATTGGAATTCTAAGCCCCATCTTCAGGCTGCTCCACTGCTTCTGAGACCCTCCACAGTTCTGCGGGGTTCATGGTTTGTCTGCTGTCGTGTTGCCTGGGCTGTGTTCTGGGGCTCTTGGATCCCAGGGCAGCCACTTGAAGCGGCCAGCCTCTCTGCAGCGGGGTTCCTATGTGGCTGAGCCGGGCCGCTTTCCAGGTGAATGCAGTCTTCTGTGGAGCCTTGGAGTTTTTCTAAGCCTTCCTGGCCAGGGTTTCCAACTGCCTCCATTTGCTAAGGTTGGTCATGGGGTATTTGAGAGGTTACGGAAAGACGCTTTGCCCCTCTTCCTGGGGTGAGGGGAGGACAGGTTCTATCGGGTGTATGGGAGGAGACAGTACCTCCTCGTTTCCTTTATTTTGAAAATGTGGCTGGATATTGTCTTGGATAGGGGTTAGGCCATATGCTGGCAAATTGTCACAGAAAGGTCTTTGACTGGCTTGTAGACCTGCTGTGTCTGACTCACCTGCTTGCCCGCACCTGACTCACCAATAGGTGAAGCAGCTGCTCTCTGGGCAGAGTCTGAGACGCAGGAGTTAGGGAGAGGAGAGGAGAGGAGCGGCTCTGAATGCTCAGTAACTCAGCCATGGGCTTTGAGAAGGCTCAGTGCAGCCTTGAGAAGTGGTGGGGGCTGCCTGTATTTCCCTGCTCACATGGGGACAGTGGAGCAGAGCTGCAGATCCCCTTGGGGGCTGGCTGGTCAGATGGGTGGGCTCCCCCTACTGCCTATGCCATGAGCCTGCAAAGACAGGGCCAGAGGGGACCGCTGTTTGCCAGACGCCAGCCCTGCTGGCCAGCCCTCCTGTGGATGCTTTATTCGTAGTCATACGGGAATTGAAGCTCCTTCCCTCTTCTGGAAATCCTAGCCCAGCCTCGAAAACGTGAATCTGGGGCTCTGGGAGGAAGGGAAGCGGTGTGGCTGGGGCCTCCTGAGAGCCCCACGCATGGAAGGGACTGGTAGGCCCAGCTGCTGTGAGTGGCAGGGAAGGAGCTCATTCTCCAGCCTTGCTGCCCCTGCAGTCCCAGCCATGGCAGGGTCTTTCCTTTTTTGTGCCTCTCTTAGTTCCACAGAGGGTTTGCAGTGTCGTGGGCCAGGCCTGGCCACACACAGAGCTGTCCTTCTAAGGGCAGCCAGGGCTCTGCAGGCCCCAGTTAGAGACTTTCCCCATCTTGTTTAGAAAGGGAAAGATGCCCCTGAGAAAGAACTTTGAGTCCCCATTTTGTGCCTTCCCCTGTGTAGTAAAAATAGCTGTGGTGTAGGGAGAGCTGAGAGCCAAGGCCAGGCACCCCCAGCTGGCTTAGGTGCAGGACTTGCCCACAGCCGGGAGATGAAGAGATCCCTTTTTTACCCTCTGACATTGGGAAAACAGCTCAGCCGCGTTTCCTCCAAGCCTCGCTGTCTGGGAAGCCCTCCTGGACCTTCCCAAAGGCACAGCTTTTGGGGCATGGTCAGGAGGAAACAGTGGTTGGTTCATACCTTTCAGAGCTCACGAAGAGGAAGGAGCAGGGATGTTCGATGCAGGAGGTTTTGTCTTCTCCCCTGTTGCGGGAAGTCAGGGACCCCAAACGGAGGGACCGGCTGAAGTCATGGTGGAAGAACATAAATTGTGAAGATTTCATGGACATTTATTAGATCCCCAAATTAATACTTTTATAATTTCTTACGCCTGTCTTTACTGTAATCTCTGAACATAAATTGTGAAGATTTCATGGACACTTATCACTTCCCCAGTCAATACCCTTGTGATTTCCTATGCCTGTCTTTACTTTAATCTCTTAATCTCATCATCATTTTCGTAAGCTGAGGAGGGTGTATGTCGCCTCAGGACCCTGTGATGATTGCATTAACTGCACAAATTGTTTGTAGAGCATGTGTGTTTGAACAATATGAAATCTGGGCACCGTGAAAAAAGAACAGGATAACAGCAATGTTCAGGGAACAAGAGAGATAACCTTAAACTCTGACCACCTGTGAGCTGGGCAGAACAGAGCCATATTTCTCTTCTTTCAAAAGCAAATGGGAGAAATATCGCTGAATTCTTTTTCTCAGCAAGGAACATCCCTGAGAAAGAGAATGCGTCCCTGAGGGTGGGCCTCTAAAATGGCCCCCTTGAGTGCAGCCGTCTTTTGTGGCTGAGCTGTAGGGATGAAATAAGCTCCAGTCTCCCGTAGCGCTCCCAGGCTTATTAGGACGAGGAAATGCCCACCTAATAAAATTTTCGTCAGACCGGTTGTCTGCTCTCAAACCCTGTCTCCTGATAAGATGTTATCAATGACAATGTGTGCCTGAAACTTCATTAGCAATTTTAATTTCGTCCCAGTCCTGTGGTCCTGTGATCTTGCCCTGCCTCCATTTGCCTTGTGATATTCTATTACCTTATGAAGCACGTGATCTCTGTGACCCACACCTATTCGCTCACTCCCTCCCCTTTTGAAAATCACTAATAAAAACTTGCTGGTTTTGCAGCTTGGGGGGCATCACGGAACCTACCAACATGTGATGCCTCCCCAGACACCCAGCTTTAAAATTTCTCTCTTTTGTACTCTGTCCCTTTATTTCTCAAACCGGCCGATGCTTAGGGAAAATAGAAAAGAACCTATGTGAAATATCGGGGGTGAATTTTGCCCAATATCTGGCTGAATTTTCCCCGATACTCCCCTGCCCCTCAGATTACATATGCCCATACAAGCAGGAGGTGATGTAAGAGAAAACCCTGGATTTGCCCAACGTCTCTCTCTGAGAATACTTAGATACATGATGTTACAGCCCTGCACACAAGAGCACGTTGTATTTTTTAAAATGAGGGAGGCAGGGAACAATCTCTCAGTGCAAGTTTAAAAACAAGTTGGAAAATAATGTGTTCAGTGTTATACTTATTATACTTATGTGAAAATACATGTGTGTCTATGTGTTATGTACGTGCGTGTGCCTCACCGCCCATCTGTTCTAGAGACTTAGAAATGATCTCAAAGCCTGTGTTCCAAGCAGTGATTCTTCTGGGAAGCAGGGAGGATAAAGGGACAGGCTTATTTTATGTTCTTTATTTTATATGCTTTAAATGGTTGAATTGGTTACAACTAAACATAAAAGAGAAAAAAAGTAGAGGAATTTTCAAAACAGATTTTTTCATGATTCTTGGAGACACGGGAAAGGGCTGGAAATTGGGCCCTGGTGGGCTGGGTGAGCCCTGGAGGCATCCTGCTCCCCTTTGCCTGGGGTCCTTCCACCAGCCACTCTGCCCTCTGTCCCCATTCCTTGCCTTTCACATTCTGAATTTTACCACTTGTCTTTCTTTTTCATTTGTATTTATTTATTTATTTTGAGACGAGGTCTGGCTCTGTTGCTGAGGCTGGAGTGCAGTGGCGCTATCACAGCTCACTGCAGCCTCGACTTCCTGGCCTCTAGGTGATCCTCCTACCTAAGTCTCCCAAGTAGCTGGGACTACAGGCATGCACCACCACGCCCAGCTAGTTCTTTCTGTTTTTTGTAGAGACGGGGTCTCACCATGTTGCCCAGGCTTAGTTTGCTTTCCGATTTATTGTTTATGGTTTTCTGTCCATTTTCATTGTTACCATCTCAAAACAGTCTGAAAGAGGAGGCAGATGTTCACAGTTCACTCGTCTTCGCCCTGTCTGAACCTCTGTCTACTCCTGTCTGAGAAGGGTTGAGTAATTTGATTAGCAAATAGGGCAGGCCCTTGCAGATGCTGAGCAGATTATCATTTTCACCTGCACCTCTGAGACTATGAACCGGTTTGTTCATTCTCAGTGTAGATACTGGCTGTTTTTAACAGCTTATCAACAGGTGTTTAATTAAAAGGTCAGATGTGTTCACCTTCTACAATCAGTTTAATGTCACCATGAAGATTCTACTTAATTTTTTTTTTTAAGAGACAAGATCTTGCTCTGTCACCCAGGCTAGAGTGCAATGGTGTGATCATGGCTCACTGTAGCCTTGAATCCTGGGCTCAAGCTATCCTCCTGCCTCAGCCTCCTGAGAATCTGAGACTACAGGCTCACACCACCATACCTGGCCAACATTAATTTTTATATCACTGATTATATTGTTTTCCTGAGTAAGATGAGGAGCATGCACATTTTCCATTGGGGAGTTGATCTGAACAGATTTTCAACTCCTCATACATTCTTTTTCTGACTCCAACTTCCGTACCCTGTGTGGATGATGGCAAGTAAACGCCTCCCGCCACATTAAAGCGACATCTATATAGAACTGGCATTTACTGTGCTGTGCCTTGCTGGAAAGAGATGTTGCTTCATTGTTTCATGTTTACGAATTACTTGATTATGAATGAGCTTGATTGACTTTTCATGTTGTTGTTTCCTTATATTTCCTCTTTTTTAGAATTGTTCCTTAGTTCTTGTGCCTACCTTATAGGCTGAACCATATGAAATTGCCGTTTTTGTGGGTCAGAATGATGGCCTAATATTGGTGGTTTTATGTGGTTTATCTGAATATCTTTAGGGCTTTAATGTTTTTTGTGTTTTAGTAACATTTTCTACTTACAAAAGTGTTCTACTTGTTCTAAAATTTTTGAGAGATATAAAAATATATAAAATAGGAAATATAAATGTGTAATACCATGAAAGCATTTCTTACCATTTTGATGTATTTGTTTCTTTTTTCCCTTTTTTTAAATATATTTTCCTCCAGAAAGTTGCAGAAGCTTCCTGGTAGAATTGTTATAAGGCATAAATGAATTATTATATGTAAAGTGACCAGTAAGTAGATTAGTTATTACTATTATTATAAAGTTTTTATTCTTCTACACTGCCCATTCTATTAAATATTTTTCAGAAATGTGATTTTGGCTGGGTGCAGTGGCTTACACCTTGTAATCCCAGCACTTTGGGAGGCCGCAGCAGGAAATCACTTGAGTCCAGAAGTTTGAGACCAGCCTGGGTAACATAGTGAGACTCCTATCTTGGTAAAAAAATTTTAAATAAATTAGCTGGGCACGGTGGTATGCATCCATAGTCCCAGCTACTTGAGAGGCTGAGGCAAGAGGATCTCTTGAGCCCAAGAGTTCAAGGTTACAGTGAGCTATGATTGTGCCACTGCACTCCAGTCTGGGTGACAGAGTGAGAACCTGTCTCTAAACAGTCAAAAATAAATAAATGTGAATTTCAAGACTGTTTAATATTCTGTCATATAAATACACAGTAATTTGACAAACTATTCTTCTGTTGGATATTTTAGGTTATTTTCTTTCCTGTCCTTATATAAATAATATTCTGATGAACTCATATCTTTGTCTGTAACTATTTTCTTAAATATAAGGAATTTCATGTAAGTAGATACTAGGCCAGTTAATATTTTAAGTATTCTTGATATAAAGACAAAGTACCCCCCAGAAATGTTTGCCAATTCCTTCCTCCAGCAGTGGACGAGATCCCTTGCTTACAAGAGGCATCCAGGATTTTTAGTCTTGATAATTTGACAGTTACAAATAGCATATCTTGGTTTTAATTTGAGCATTTTTAGATGGTTATTAATTATATATATATATCTTTTGTGATTTATTAACATCCTCTGTGTATTTTTATTGGAGTTTCCTTTTTTTCCTTATTGTAAGCACTTTCATTTAGTACAATTCAGTAAAATTTTTACTACCTATTATTTGAAAAAAAAACAGAAACCCTTGTAAGGAAAAAAACTACATTTGTACGTGTGTACAGAAAAATTAATCTGGGCTGCGTGCGGTGGTTCACACCTGTAATCCCAGCACTTTGAGAGGCCAAGGCAGGCGATCACTTGAGGTCAAGAGTTCAAGACCAGCCTGTCCAACATGGTGAAACCTCGTCTCTAGTAAAAATAGAAAAATTAGCTGGGAGTGGTGGCGTGCACCTGTAGTCCCAGCTACTTGTGAGGCTGTGGCAGGAGAATCACTTGAACCCAGGAGACAGAGGTTGCAGTGAGCTGAGATTACGCTACTGCACTCCAGCCTGGGCAATAGAGCAAGACCCTGTCTCCCAAAAAAAAAAAAATCAGATTGTATGCTGGTCAAAATATTAATAGTAGTGTTTTTATATGGTAGTGGAATTTTTGATGGTTTTAGTTTTCTTTATACTACATATCTCTATTTTCTAATTATTCTAGAATAGTTTCCTTTTTGAGATAGGGTTTCACTCTGCTGCCCAGGCTGAAGAACAGTGGCACTGTCAAGGCCCCTGCAGCCTTGAACTCCTGGGTTCAAGCAGTCCTCCCGCCTTTTTCTCCCAAAGTGTTGGGATTACAAGCGTGAGTCACCCATACCTGGCCTAATGGATATTTTTCATACAACAAAGAAATTCTGGTTCTTGTGACTGACGACTGAAGGACTATTTATCCTCACTCCCTGTTAACCTGCTCTGGCCTCTCCTGCAAGGGTGGAGCTGAGTCCTCCCACTGTGTGCTTGGCCCTGCAAGGGTCCCTGGTGCCTTCCCCACATGCCAGCTCCTGCGTCTGCTTGGACCATGTAGCTCGGTGCTCACCGGCAGTGTGGGAATGGGAGGGGAGGTGGGAAAGTGTCCTGATGTTTTCTTCTTCCCTTGCACACTGCCAGCCTGCTATGGGATGGATGAAGAAGAGAACCACTATGTCTCGCAGCTCAGGGAAGTCTACAGCAGCTGCGACACCACGGGGACTGGCTTTCTGGACCGCCAGGAGCTGACCCAGCTCTGCCTTAAGCTTCACCTGGAGCAGCAGCTGCCCGTCCTCCTGCAGACGCTTCTCGGAAACGACCATTTCGCCAGGGTGAGTGTTGGACTTCATTGTCATAAAGGAAAGCACGGGGTCTATAGTTGGCTCTTATGGGCATTTGATAAATATCAGCTGAATAAGGATTCAAGTGTCAAAGGAAAGTTATTAGCAAATGGAACAGTGTCCTAGTTTTTCCCTCTATGGAAATTCTACATTGTAGAAAGTGGTTTCTTAAGATTACTTGTTTTTAATGTGGTAACTTCCAGAGGTTTGGTTTTGTTTTTCCAGAGAGATATTTTAGTGGTTTGTCACAGGGGCAGAATGGGGAAGGAGTTTGGTATAGGCCAGTGGTGTGTGATTCACAAAGACCACATGGGTTGGACCTGTGAGCAGCTCACACTGGTAATCAGAGAGAGCGTCACAGTCCCTTGAAGGCAGATTGTCTTACACAATTTCACAGTTTGAAGTCCATCTAGGAGTTGGACAAAACAATTGCAAGCTACTGTTGAAAGAACAAAGGATACCCATGTCCAAAAGTATCCCATAATTTCATCTAGGCCAGATAGAAAACGTGAAATTAGAGGGTTCTTTTCTATCAGAAGGTCAAGATCATCTAGAATGGGGATCTTGGTCCTAGACTGCAACCTGCTTTCATGATCAAAACACTAAAAAGCACCTCCCCATTCCTACTTCTTAAACATGCCTGGATGTTACTGCTAACAGCAGTGCCTTATCTTGTTGGTCATCTTAACTTTGAAGGAATAATATTTTTTCCACAAGACTCAGTATTTTCTTTTCGTTTGTTTTTTTGAGACAGTCTCACTTTGTCATCCAGGCTGGAGTGTAGTGGAGCCGTCTCAGCTCACTGCAACCTTCAACTCCCAGACTCAAGCAATCCTCCCGCCTCAGTCCCCCAAGTAGCTGGGACTACAGGCCTGCACCACCACACCGGCCTAATTTTTGTATTTTTTTTGTAGAGATGGGGTTTTGCCATGTTACCCAGGCTGGTCTCGAATGCCTGAGCTCTAGCAATCCACGTGCCTTGGCCTCCCAAAGTGCTATGATTACAAGTATGAGCCACTGCACCCAGCCAGTATTTTTATTTTGAATTGGGGAAAAGAAACCCAGCCAGTAAATTTTCCTGAAATGGCCCTTGGGCCAAAACAAATGAAGAAAAGAACCACTCACTGCTGGCCTAGTAGAGAGTCTGGTTGAATCCGACTTCTTGTTAGTTCCTCAAAGAAGCCTCACCTGCCCTGTCAGCAGGGCACTGTGCCTCCCTCATAAGGAACTCTCCTCAGGCAAACTCATGCCCTTTCTCTGACTTTGGTTTCTATTCCTGCATTTTTCAATGCGCTTAAGAAGGCAAATGTGTTATTGATAGATAATGATCTAGCCTCTCTTGATATCACCTGGAAGTGTGTTTGGGACATAGATGAGCAAAAGGCACATTTATGAAAAATCAACGCTCTGGTTATTTAAGCAATACAGACAGATGGTCCCGTTTATTTATTTATATATATATATATACACACACATATATATATATATATATATTTTAATTTGAGTCTGTCTCTTGCTGAATTGATATTTTTGAAAAATCAAGAATTTAGAAATCAAACTTTGGAAAATTCAAAACCAAAAGAGTAACTTTGGGTCCACGTTCAGATTGCAGGCTCTGCTGATTGAATAAGCCACGTCATTCCCAAGGATTTCTTCACTTTATGTTTACAGGAATGATACAAGACAGAAACATCCAATTCTGATAGAATAACCATGATTGGTATTAGAGCATCAGCAAGGAGAGAAATTCGCTTGGGTTACATGAGATTTCTGACTGGAACCCTGTCACACGCACCCTGAAAAGCGGCTCATCTGAGATGGAATTTCCTTTCAGGAGGCCTGAGGCTTCTCATATGTGTGTGGGGAGGGGATGAGAAGAAAGTTGGGTACCACAAGCAGTGGCAGGAGCCGGGCCCTTTCTGACTCAGCTCCCCCTGGGATAGCCATGCGTGTCCAGCCATCGTCCTTCCGTCTGTCCCAGCTCCATCCCCTCCTACAGCCATGCTTCCCAGAAAGCAAGTCAGATGTTAGATAAACTAAGAAGTCACTTTGTTTGCACTAGTGCTCTCGACTCTGCTCTGACGTTATCCTTTCTCTTCTCTCTGTAACATTTCGAGAGCACCCTGCTGGTGCTGCAGATGCCTAGCGTTCACCTCTCCCTGCCTGTCCCTTCATCCTGTCTCCTCGGAGATGGTTGGTCATGGTGGACCATTTTTCTTTTCAGGCTCTGCTTGCTTCTCTGCTTCATACCACAGACAGGGCAGAGCTCCCACAGCCCCTATAGGTGGAACGTCATACAGAGATTTAAGGGAAGCGGTATCAAGTCAGAAATATCCGTATAGGTGTCCCAGTTTTTCTACAAGAAACCCAATGGTAGAGATTTCAGGGAGTCTCAAAACCAAGATAAACCCTTTATCCAGGAGAATGGATTGGCTTTTCAGTTCAAATACTACATATCTGGGTCAGGCGCAGTGGCTCACACCTGTAGTCCCAGCACTTTGGGAGGCCAAGGCAGGTGGATCACAAGTTCGGGAGGTGGAGATCAGCCTGACCAATGTGGTGAAACCCCATCTCTAATAAAAATACAAAATTAGCCGGCGTGGTGGCACGCACCTGTAATCCCAGCTACTCAGGAGGCTGAGGCAGGAGAATCACTTGAACCCGGGAGGTGGAGGTTGCGGTGAGCCAAGATCGCGCCATTGCACTCCAGCCTGGGCGACAGAGCAAGACTCCATCTCAAAAAAACAAGCAAACAAACAAATACTACATATCCAGTCCTTGTAGTAACTATCATATATGATATTATATAAACGTTACTGATACAGAAATCTCATAAAAATGAAACAGGCCAGGTGCGGTGGCTCACACATGTAATCCCAGCACTTTGGGAGGCCAATGTGAGAGGATTGCTTAAGTCTAGGAGTTCAAGATTAGCCTGGGCAACAGAGTGAGACCTCGTCTCTACAGAAGAATCTTAAAGGTAGCTGGATGTGGTGGCATGCACCTGTAATTCCAGCTACTTGTGAGGCTGAGCTGGGAGGATTGCTTGAGCCCAGGAGTTTGAGGCTGTAGTGAGGTGTGATTGTGTCACTGCACTCCAGCCTGGGCAACAGCATGAGACCTTGTCTCATATATATATATATATTCTCTCATATATATATATTCTCTCATATATATATATTCAGAAAAAGAAAGGATGGTCACATCTCTATTGAACAGGTATGGACCTTTTTCTTCTCACTATTTCCTAAACAATGCAGCCTAAAACTATTTACATAGTATTTACATTGTATTGGCTATTATAAGTAATCTAGAGCTAATTTAAAACATACAGGAGGATGAGCATAGGTTATATGCAAATACTACATTTTATACAAAGGACTTGAGTATCTGTGGAGTTTGGTATCTGCCAAGGGTCCCGGAACCAATCCCCCAGGGATACTGAGAGACAATTGTAATTTGAAGTTGAAAGTACCTCTAGATCACACATTGCAGCCTCTTTACTTTGTGATGAATGAGTCTAAGATCATGCAGAGATGGGATGGTGTATCTTATTGGTAAAATACCTGAATATATGGGGTTGCCGCTCGCCTTTTGTGAACTGTAAAGAAGGACACAAGAAAACAGACAAGTGTGGTCAAGATGGTATCAGACTGAAATGGCACCAGACTGGGCCATCTGATCCCACTGCTCTTTGATGGATGGAAGAAAGTCAGCTGGCAATTATTACCAACAACACAAAAGAATCTGTGATTAGAATGAGCAAAATTGCAATTTCATCATTCGTTTAGTATTTGACAACTATTTTTGAGGGACTTATTATGTGCTAGGCAACACCAGATGCTAGGGATGCAAGGAGGAAAGACTCACAGTTTCTATCTTCATGTGAAAGGACATGCATTCAAGGTATGCATTCTAGCATTGATTCAGATAGGAAAAATGTGGAAACAGCTTTTTCAGTATGGGATTGGTTAAATAATCCTGGTAGCTCCATTTGTTGAAATCTTTTTGCAGCCCTAAAAAAAGGAAGAAGCAGTTCAGATGTTCTGATAGTGGCAAGTGAGCTAACTCAGGCCAAGCTTTCAAGGAGGACTACTAGAAAAACTGAACAAAATAATAAAAACAAATATTTTGAAAACAGTAAAGAGCAAATAAATCAGTGAGAAATTGCCAGTCAAAAAATCTGCGATAGGCTTGGCATGGTGGCTCAGGTCTGTAATCCCAGTACTTTGGTAGGCCAAGGCAGGAGAATCACTTGAGCTCAGGAGTTCAAGACCAGTCTGGGCAACATAGCCAGACCTTGTCTCTACTAAAAATAAAAAACAATTAGCTGGGGGTGGTGGTACACACATGTAGACCCACCTACTCAGGAGGCCAAGGTGGAGGATCACTTGAGCTTGGGAGATTGAAGCTGCAGTGAGCTGTGATTGAGCCTGAGTGAGATCTTGTCTCAGAAACAAACAAAAAAAAAGTGTAGTAAATTAAGTACCCAGAGAGGTAAGCTTAGCACACAAAAGCCCATTTTCCCTGAGAATATTTTGTGATTTTAAGTAAGCAACTGAGAAATTGATCTGTGACCTTGGGGGCCTCAAAGAGCCCCAGAAACATATGTCAAAACCCGGAGTCATTCAAGGTAGAAACCCAGGGTTGACAAACCAACCCCAAATTTAAGGAAGAATCCTGAAGGGTAAGACCTGTAGGGTAAAGATGAATTGCAGTCAGTCATTATACTGCTTTGTGGTCTGGTCTTATATCCCTCAGTACACTAGATAATCTCAAATCCTGCACTTAGATTACTGGCACTGCATGGATAGGCACCTAGCCAAAGCAAACAATAAAAGTGCCACCATCCCAAATCTGAAATTTTTCCTAAATAATAGCCAAATACAATGACCAGCATATGATAAAGGAAAGCTGGGCAAACAAACAAGACAGATGAGCAAGAACTAGCAGAAACAACTGACAATGGAAGCACACCCGCAAATATGTGAGATATTAGAATTGTTAGACACAAAATATAAAACAACTATGGTTACTATATTAGAGATTTTTTTAGAGCTTAAAAAATATCTAAAAGAACTCTGAAAAGTGAAGTAACAAATCTGAACAATGAACCAAATAAAATGTCTAGAACTGAAAAGTATGATCACCAAAATTTAAAACTAAATAGAAGCATTTAACAGCAGATTAGACACAGCTGAAGAGACCATTCATTAACTGGAGTCATCCAGAATGCAGCATGAAGATATAAAAAGAGGTGGTACAGATGGAGTGAGAAAGTCCAGCATCCCTTTAACTGGAGTCCTGGGAGGAAACAAGTGAATGCTGGAGGGGCATTATGTGAAGAAGTAATAGCTAAAACATTTTCAGGACAGAAACATACTTCTTGGGATTCCAAAAGCCCATGGAATTCCAAGCAGGATAAAGAGACATCTATACCTGGCGTATTATGTGAAACTGAAGGAAAACAAAGCCAGAGAGAATATCTTAAAAACAGCCAGAAGTGGGTACACAGGATCTCTTTGTATTTTTCTTATAACTGCATATGGATCTATAATGATCTCAAGATGAAAAGTTTAATAATTTTAAAAGGGAAGCTAGAGAAAAGACATATCCTAAAAGTGAGCCATAGTTAGATTGACCGTTGCTTTCTGTAATGCAACAGTAGAAGTCAGAAGACGGTGGAAAGATATCTTCAATATGCTAGAAGAAAATAACTGTCAACCTGAATTTCATACCGAGTAAAAATATCCTTTAAGAATAAAGGTGAAAGAATGCCTCTGTGAGAAGGAGAGTTCTGGTTAGCAGTGAAAGGATACAGAGGCAAAGACACCCAATAAATATTTGTTGAGTCCCTACTATATGCCAAAAGTGAGCTCACATTTTAACTGGGGGGCAGAAAATAAGCAAATGCATGTATAATTTAATGTCAGATAGTAATACATGTGTGTCCCAGGCAGAGGTGTCTGCAAAGAAACAGCCACATTTTGCATTCAATGGCAGCAACAGAGGTGTGCTCATGCAAATTCTTGGTCAGATTTTGGAAGCATGCTTGGACCTATGGCCCCAAACCTTCTTCTCCAACACTTAGTGGTGATATTTTGACCAGCCTAATAGCCCTTCTGTTGATTTCTTTCTGTGTGACTTTCACTGAAGCGTACCTAGAGAAAAGAGCCATGTGTCCAAGTGTACAGGTCAGTGAATATTCCAAACTGAGCGCACCTGTGTAACCATCACACCCTTATCCCTCATCATGTCTCTTTTTGGTTCCTCTACTACCAAAGGTCAACCACTGCCTGGACACCAACATCAGAGATTTTTTTTTCCTGTTTCTGAATTTTAAATTCTGCATTTTAATACACAATACATACTCTCTGGCCTTTTTTTTTTTTTTTTTTTTTTTTTTTTTGAGACGGGGTCTCACTTCGTCACCCAGGCATGATCTTGGCTCACTGTAGCCTCGACCTCCTGGGCTTAAGCAATCCTCCTGCCTCAGCCCCCCAGGTAGCTGGGTCTACAGGCACATGCCGCCATGCCCGGCTAATTACTGTATTTTTTTTCACCATGTTGCCCAGGCTGGTTTCCAACTCCTGAGCTCAAGCAATCACCCTGCCTCTGCCTCCCGAAGTGCTGGGATTACAGGCAAGAGCCACCGCACCCGGCCATTCTCTGGCTTCTTTACTCCATAGTATGTCTCTGAGATACATTCGTGTTACTGTGTCTATTAGTGGTTTGTTCTTTTTCATTGTCAGGTATTTCATTGTATGACTATGCCTGTATCAATTTGTTTATCCATTCTGTTTAAATGGACAGCAGAGTCATTTCCACTATTCTAAAAGGATAATTTATAAGTTATAAATTATTTCTTTGTAAAAAAAGAATTAATGTAAAATAAAAACATGTTAGACAAAATATTTGGCACTGGCATATTCAAGAAAAACAAAGTTCTAAAGATGTATTTTAAATAGTTGGAAAATTATTCCAGATGGAAAGTCAGAATTGCAAGAAGAAATGAAAAACAGAATAACTATGGGATAATTCTAAAATGAACATTATACAAAACCAAAAATAGTATTTTGTGAGGGTTTAAAACATATAAAATACATGATAACAAAGGCATTGAAGTCAGGAGTGTGGTAACTGGAGCTAATATATTTCACTGGCTTTGTATTGTCATAGAAGACAGTAAAAGTATTATTAATACTCAACTTTGGTAAGCTAAGAATGGATGTTGTAATTTTAGGGTAATCAGTACAAAAGTGGAAATAGACTATATAACTTCCTTTTTTTTTTTTTTTTTTTGAGACAGAGTCTCGCTCTGTTGCCTAGGCTGGAGTGCAATGGCGCTATCTCGGCTCACTGCAACCTCCGCCTCCTGGGTTCAAGTGATTCTTCTGCCTCAGCCTCCCAAGTAGTGGGATTACAGGCACACGCCAGCATGCCCGGCTAATTTTTGAATTTTTAGCAGAGATGGGGTTTCACCATATTGGCCAGGCTGGTCTTGAACTCCTGACCTCAAGTGATCCACCTGCCTCGGCCTCCCAAAGTGCTGGGATTACAGGCATGAGCAACCATGCCTGGCCATAACGTCTAAATTAATAAGAGAAAAGTGAAATCCTAAAATAGTAAATCCAAAAGCAGGGTGGGGGAGGGGAGAGAAAAAACAAGCAAGTCAAATTGAAAGCAGAAAGCGAAATAGTCAGTTTAAATCCAGTAAATCAGTAATCACATTAAATGTAATTAGATTACATATTTAAGTTAAAGGATAAAGTTTGTCAGATTGGACAAAATCCAACTGTTACTATTCTTAAGAGACATAGCTAAAACATAAGGATATTAAAAATTGGAATGAAAAATTCAATAAAAAGATAATATCATGTAAATACTTTCCAAAAGAAAGCTGGGGTAGTTTCTTGTTAAAAGAGAAAATGGACCTTAAGGTGAAAAGCTTTACTGTATTAAAGAGTGTGAGCATTTTGTTATAATAAAAGGTTCAGTTCACCAAGGGAATGTGCCAATAGGGCACATTCTATGGCCCAGCAATCCCCTCCTCAGGTGGGTACTATAGCAAAGCTTCTGAGGACACAGAGAAGCCAAATGAAACCAAGCTTTAGGCATGCATGCAAATGAGGTCTAGAAAAGCGAGGAAGCTGTCACCATAAAAGTCAGGGTAGGGTTCAGGAGATGTAGGGGGAAGGGTCGTGGCGGAGACGCCTTCTGCAGTGCTGGTGGCGTTGGGGATGCCATGGGCGTTCACCTTATGTGTAACGTTTCGTGGTCATCAGATCCCTCTTTCCTAATTATGTTGTTTGATTTACAAAATTGTTGATAGTGTTTATTTGGTGGTAGGATTATGGTCCACTTCTACTTTCCTTATCATGCTCTTCTGTTTTTAAAAATCTTAAGTAAATATTTGAAAACGTGAATGTTCTCATTCTAAAAGGCAGTAATAATATATTTCTATCTGAGAGAAAATCCAAAAGAGTCACTTTTGAATTGTGTGATCTGTTGAAAGTGACATTGTCCTCTCTCACCTTCAATTCACCCAGGTTAACTTTGAGGAATTTAAGGAAGGTTTTGTGGCTGTGTTGTCTTCAAATGCTGGTGTTCGCCCCTCAGATGAAGACAGTAGTTCTTTGGAATCAGGTAAGAGGATTTCCTCTGTGTTTTCTTTTCATTATTTGTTTGTTAACTTTTGGAGTGTAATATTCTAATGAAAGAATCCAGCAGTTCTGAAAACTGAATTCTACCTTACTTTCTGTCACCCCCAAGGTATATGGACTTGGAAAAAACACTTGATGTTTTCTCTTCCTTGGTTTATTTGTGAAATAGTGTCATATAATAACGTGCACTGTGCCCGCCATGGATGATGACACTGCACTGTGCTAATGTGACTGATCGGAATCCTGTTACAGGGACAGGGCTGCTGGGACACAGGCTATGTCCCTAAGTGGAAGTGGCATCCTTGGAGAAAGCCACCTGGCCTTGGTTTCAGCCTCAAGGTGCTGGGATGGTAACAGGCTGTGGGCAAGGTCAGAGGGAGGGCTGCCCAGGCCTGGAGTGGTGAGGTAGTGGTGGCCTGCTTCTTGGTTGCAGATGGCCCCGTGTCAGGAGGGTGTGAAATGGGGGTGGCTCTTTCCCTTTTGCAGGGGTGTTGTGTTTGTGGTATTATTTAGTGTGTCACATAGGGAGCACTTCCCTCGTGTCTCACAGCAGGATGTCCTGGTCAGGAGGGGTGTGTGGCAGTAGACAAGGCTGTCACAGGGTTTGGGACAGAGGACGGGAAAGCGGAAGGGACCAGGCTCACACAGAGGTTTTCTGTGTGAGCGTATGGCATTGAGCTTTGTGTACGTTTACAAAGAGTCCATTTAACCCTCATAGAAATCCTGTGGTATTACTTACCATACCCATTATTCAGATGAGGAAACTGAGGCCCCAGGTGAGAAGAGATTCATTCACCATTCCACAGTTAGTAAGCGATGGCCAGGATTTGGGTCCCGGTTCTCCAGCTTGAAGTCCTGGGCCCTTGTGTGTGCACTGTTGCCAGACCCCGCTCCTTCTGCTGTGTGCTGGTGGTTGCCCCTTCCCACTTCCTCTTGCTGGTTGCAGAGGTGCTGGTAAGGAGCCCTGGGATGGGAGGAGAAGCCTTGGGTTCAGAGTCAGCCCCCCACTAGCCATATGCATGACCTGGGTGAGGTGTAAGTTGCTCCAATTCACACTTTCCTTCTTTAAGATGTGAAAGGGCTCCCTACTCTCCCTAAGGCACAGGAGCTTGGAGGTATGATCAAAGATATCAAAGCACCTCAAGGAGGTGACAGCCTGGTCCTCTGATGTTGTATTTTCCCATCTGTGCTGGAGAACACAGAAGGTCCTTCTCCTTGGTGCATGGTGGGCGCATCTAAGCTTAAAATTGTCTCAACCTGTGGGACATGTTGTCAGTGCTTCCAAAGAAACAACAAACTGTTCGGAACTTGTGCTTTTTCTCACCTGTTTCAATTCTATTTTTTCTTTCTTTTTCTTTTTCTTTCTTTTCCAATTAGAATTTTAAAGTGTTCCTCAACTAAATGGTCCTATTCCTTATCAACACTTCTGTATTAGTTTGTTCTCATATTGCTATAAGAAACTACCTGAGACTGGGTAATTCATGAAGAAAAGAGGTTTAATTGACTCACAGTTCTGCAGGCTGTACAGAAACCATGGCTGGGGAGGCCTCAGGAACAATCATGGTGGAAGGCAAAGGGGAAGCAGGCACGTCTTCACATGGCAGAGCAGGAGGAATAGAGTGAAGCGGGAGGTGCTACACACTTTTAAACAACCAGATCTTGGGCTGGGTGTGGTGGCTTACACCTGTAATCCCAGCACTTTGGGAGGCTGAGGCGGGCAGATCACGAGGTCAGGAGATCGAGACCATCCTGGTAACATGGTGAAACCCCGTCTCTACTAAAAAAAAATACAAAAAAATTAGCCGGGCATGGTGGCAGTTGCCTGTTGTCCCAGACACTTGGGAGGCCGAGGCAGGAGAATGGTGTGAACCTGGGACGTGGAGCTTGCAGTGAGCCGAGATTGCACCACTGCATTCCAGCCTGGGTGACAGAGAGAGACTCTGTCTCAAAAAAACAAAACAAAAACAAACAAACAACAATAAAAAAATAACCAGATCTCATGAGAACTCACTCACTGTCACAAAAACAGCAAGGGGGAAGTTCTGCCTCCATGATTCAATCACCTCCTACCAGGCCCTTCCTCCACCATTGGGAATTAAATTCAACATGAGATTTGGGTGGGGACACACAGCCAAACCATATCATTTCACCCTGCACACCCCCCGCAAAATCTCATGCATGTCCTTCTCACATTTCAAAACACAATCATGCCTTGTAACAAGTCTCCCAGAGTCTTAACTCATTCCAGCATTAACTCAAAAACCCAAGTCCAAAGTCTCATCTGAGACAAGGCAAGTCCCTTCCGCCTATGAGCCTGTAGAATAAAAAACTAGATAGGTACTTCCAAGATACAATGGGGATACAGGCATTGGGTAAATGTTCCTGTTCCAAAAGGGAGAAATTGGCCAAAACAAAGGGGCTACAGGCCCCATGCAAGTCTGAAACCCAGCAGGGCAGTCATTAAATATTAAAGCTCTAAAATAATTTCCTTTGACTCCATGTCTTACATCCAGGCCACACCAATGCAAGGGGTGGGCTCCCATCCTGTGTCTCTGCAGGATACAGGCCCTGTGGTTGCTTTCATGGGCTGATGTTGAGTGCCTGTGGTTTTTCCAGGTGCATAGTGCAAGCTATCAGTGGATCTACCATTCTAGGGTCTGGAGGACAGTGACCCTTTTCTCACAGCTCCACTAGGCAGTGCCCAGTGGGGACTCTGGGTGGGCCCCAACCCCATATTTCCCCTCTACACAGCCCTAATAGAGGTTCTCCATGAGGGCTCCGTCCCTGCAGCAGACTTCTGCCTGGACATCAGATGTCTTCATATATCCTCTGAAATCTAAGTGGAAGCTCCCAAGCCTCAACTCTTGCCCTCCGTCCACCTGCAGGCTCAACACAACATGGTAGTCACCAAGGCTTATGGCTTGCACCCTCTGGAACAGCAGCCTGAGATATTTTTGGCCCCTTTTAGCCATGGCTGGAGCTGGAGCAGCTGGGACGTAGGGAGCAGTGTCCCAAGGTTGCACAGGGCAGCGGTGCTCTATCTCCAGCCCATGAAACCATTCTTTCCTCCTTGGCCTGTGAGCTGGTGATGGGAGGGACTGCCATGAAGCTCTCTGAAATGCCTTCCAGGCATTTCTTCCATTGTCTTAGATATTAACATCCGGCTCCTCTTTACTATTACAAATTTCTGCAGTTGAGTTGAGTTCCTTCCTCCCCTGAAAATGGATTTTTCTTCTCTACCACATGGCCAGGCTGCAAATTTTCCAAACTTTCACACTTTGCTTCCCTTTTAAATATGTTTTAGTTTCAGATCATCTCTTTGCTCATGAATATAAGCTTATGCTGTTAGAAGCAGCCAGGGCACATCTTGAATGCCTTGCTGCTTAAAAATTTCTTCCATCAGATACTCCAAATCATTTCTCTCAAGTTCAAAGTTGCACAGATCTCTAGGGTAGAGGTGGCTTGTTCCAGAGGGTGCAAGCCACCAGGCTCTTTGCTAAAGCGTAGCAAGTGTGACCTTTTTTCAGTTCCCAATATGCTCCTTATCTCCATTTGAGACCACTGCAGTCTGGACTTCATTGTCCATATCACTATTAGCATTTTGGTCACATCAGTTTAACAAGTCTCTAGAAGGTTACAAACTTTCCCACGTCTTTCTGTCTTCTTCTGAGCCCTCTAAACCGTCCCAACTTCTGCCTGTTATCCAATTCCAAAGCTGTTTCCACATTTTCATGTATCTTTGTAGCAATGCTCCACTCCTGGTGCCAATTTTCTGTATTAGTCTGTTTTCACATTGCTATAAGGAACTACCTGAGACTGGGTAATTTATTTTTAAAGAAGAGTTTTAATTGACTCACAGTTCCTCAGACTGTACAGGAGGCATGGCTGGAGATGCCTCAGGAAACTCAGAATCATGGCGGAAGGCAAAGGGGAAGCAGGCATGTCTTACATGACTGGAGAAGGAGGAAGAGAGAGCAGAGGGAGGTGCTACACACTTTTAAACAACCAGATCTCATGAGAACTCAGTATGATGAGAACAGCAATTGGGAAATCCACCTGCATGATCCAATCACCTCCCACCAGGCCCCTCCTCCAACACTGAGGGTTACAATTTGACATGAGATTTGGGTGGGGACACAAAGTCAAACTATATTAACTTCCCATATGCTCAGACCCTTCTGGTGAGAGTGTGCTAGGCCAGTCCTTGATGGTGCCTGCTGTCTTGGGATGATTGTTAATAAGGCTCATGATGACTCTGTCCCAGTGGGGTGAGAGATATTCTGGTCACCCTGTGTTATTGTCAGCTGCCTGGAATGTCACTTGACATTTAGCGTGTTCACTCAGTATACTGAGAGTCAGGTGATCATCGGCTATATGTTGTTGGATTATTGGAGGTTTTATTGCTCCTTTGCATAGATAGCTAGGTTTCGTATTAGTTTTTCATTACATAAAAGCAAAATATGCTTGAAAAAGTGTAAATAGCATACAGAGTTTAGGGGAAAGTCCTCCTCTCCCCACCCTTGCTTTCTCAGTCTCCCACCCAAGGTCATAGAATTGCCATTGTTCACTGTTTCTCGTGTCTTTCCAGATGCTTCTGTGTGCAGAGCAGTACGTGTTTGAGGGGCACACTCGGTGCTGAGTGTGCACCTTCTCAGAGGGTACCTGCTGGCCTGCATGGGCCCAGAACTGCTATAAAGGACCCCCACCAAATTTCCTGTTTCCTTTCCAGCTGCCTCCAGTGCCATCCCTCCAAAGTATGTGAATGGTTCTAAGTGGTATGGCCGTCGGAGCCGGCCTGAGCTATGTGACGCTGCCACAGAAGCCAGACGCGTGCCGGAGCAGCAAACCCAGGCCAGCCTGAAAAGTCACCTCTGGCGCTCAGCGTCTCTGGAGAGCGTGGAGGTGGGTCAGGCCCCTCTCCCACCCCAGCTGCCCAGTGTTGGGAATAACAAATGCTTCCCTTCATCCCTTTTTGTAGCACATAATCACAAGATATGGGGAGGGCAGCCACCGTCTCAGGCACCCTGAGTCGCCAGAAGCTTGGTCACTTTGGGGAGTGCCATTTCATTTAAATTGGGTCTGGTTGTCTTCAGGACAGTCCTGGACACAGGGTTCTCTCCTGAATTAGTGCAATAGAGAATTTCCTCAGACTGTGCAGGAGGCATGGCTGGGGATGCCTCAGGAAACTCACAATCGTGGCGGAAGGCAAAGGGGAAGCAGGCATGTCTTACATGACTGGAGAAGGAGGAATAGAGAGCAGGGAGAGGTGCTACACACTTTTAAACAACCAGATCTCATGAGAACTCACTATCATGAATCCTTTGTATACAACATCTCTCTTTCCCGATACTACCACCAACTCTAGGAGGCAATGTTTATGGCTTCATGGGAGTGAAGCGTCAATGTGCTAAGAGTAGAAAAGGGAAGAAGCCTTTTTGAAACAGCCTCGAGGTTAGGAGTGTGAGTGTGTCAACTCCCAGCCCTACTTATCTTGAACACTTAGTTATACTGAGGCCCAGCACTTACAACTGGCCTGTATGAGCCAATGCGTCCTGGGGCCTTGGAAGTTGCTTCCCTGTCCCCCAGGCTCCCTGGGTCATTTGCTGCAGGTGCCTGGGATGCAGGGATCACCCAAGGAGAGGGGGATGGGCCCAGGAGATGGCTGCCAGAGTCTCGTGGGGCTTCACGTTAAGAAATATGTCCATGGGGCAGGTCCACAGCTTGTAAGTTAATCATGGATTGGGTCGAACCATTTTCAAGGATTCCAAAAGGTTCCTGGTTCCTGCTCTCTGTGCTCTCAGCTTCTGCCAGGTGGGTCTCGATCAGGAGCACATCCTTCTTAGACAGGTCGGGCCCCCAGGTGGACTTGTTTACCATTTGTTTTCAACATTTGTGGAGACAAAGAGGGAAAACAACCAAAATATATTTAAATCTTAGAGTCTTTTTTCTCAGGGGCATGTGACATCTAGGCGATGCCAGTAAATCCAGAACATTCCTTTTTTGTTCTTTTTTAAAAATTTGGACCTCAGGGATGGAGAGATAGTGAATCTCCTCCTTGTGGTGGATCTTCATTGGTGCCATTCTGCTTCTTAAATCATCTTTGATTCTCAAAACCTGAACACGGGGAAAGCCGCCTTTAGGGTTGTCAGTGGAGTTGAACTCATTAAAAAAATGGGGTTGCGTATTTATCACCAACTCACAGATTCTCCCTGATCAGAGCCAGTGCCAGCTTTGAAGCATACAGAGTCTTGGTCACCAGGCATCCATTCCACAGTCAGTTGTGGGGACACACAACACCTGGACAAATCAGACTTTGATTCCAGTTGGCTGACGCAGTCACTGCAGCACGAGGTTTTTACTTAAGTCGCGTGTTTCTTGATGGCCCGGGCTCTTGTCTTGGGTACAGATTTGCAAAGGCTGCTGGAGTGTGAGGTGGTTACCAGGCGCTGTGCTATCCCGGAGCCCTTGGAGGGATACAGAAACCTGCTCTCACCTTGCGACTGTTTGCTGAACTGATATGGTTGGTGAGGGAAAGGTGCAGAGAGGCGTGTTGCAAGCCTTGTATGGCGAGCGTGTCCTGAGACTGAATGATTGGCTGTGGCTGCAGGGCTGGCTTCTTTCAAGTGCTGGGTCTGAAGCCATCACCATGCAGAGGGGGACAGCTTCTGTGCTGCTATGACACGAGTGTTTGATTGTATTTTCAGTGTCAACTGTTGATGACTGGGTTTATATTGAGGAGCCCCGAGCGTGCAGAACAAGGCATGTCCCCTGTCTCCCCGGCCCAGCCCCTTGCTGCTGCTAGGCGGGGCTCACCTGGGTCTGCTAGCTGGCATGCAGGGCAGCCCCAAGGTGGGGGTGGGCTTTTCCTCTGAGGGATTGACTCCATACTCAGCCATCCCCCACTTCCCCAAACATCCTGCTCTATTTGTTCCCGGTGCTCCGTCCCCAGCAGCACCCCCTGGAACTCACAGCCTTCTCTCTGCATCTTTCTACAGAGTCCCAAGTCAGATGAAGAGGCCGAGAGCACTAAAGAAGCTCAGAATGAATTATTTGAAGCACAAGGTAAAGCCTCAGCCTCGCATTCAGTGCTCTCTGCCTTTGCCCAGAGCTTTGAAAGCTGAACAGCCGGGTCATTGGGCAGTGTGCAACCACAAGTTTAATTTCCTGGGAAATGCATGGGGTGGGTTGTGTCCCGCTGGATTCTTCCTCCTGCAGGAGTGGTCAGAATGTCATCATCACAGCAGTGAGGCCGTCACTCGGTCCTCATCCTCCCAAGGTCAGACCCAGGGGCAGAGGCCCGTGGCCGAGGGAGCATCGTGGTTCGTCACACTTTATGGTCTGCAAGTACTGATGTGACCCCAGCTGGCAGGTGTGGCCCTGTGGTTTCAGGCAGGAGGGCCTTGCTTGGCCCTGTCACCTCAGACTGCCCCTGCACCTCCTTCCTGGCACGCTGGGCTAGATACAGCCTCTCCCTTGCTGTGCAGGGGCAGTCTCAGCACCCACCAGGGTTTTATCTGTCTCACAAATGGAGTGTAATACCTGGTCCTGGAGCTCAGAGCCTTACATAGCAGCCAGAAGGCCAGCAGCTGGTACACATAAGCAAATCATAGCATGCAGCCTCACAGCGCTGTGCAGCGTGCAAGGGGAGGCTGACCATCCATGCTGCCGTGGTGCCCTCTGCAAGATCTGGCATTTTGGGAAGATAAGCTACATGCAGGAGCATGATTGAGACTTCAGCTCCCTCACCGCATTTCTGGAGGGACATGCATTACATATGTCATGGGGACAGAAAGCTAGGCAAAAAAACTTCCCAGTGGATCCCCCTGGGGAGAGGAACAAAGGCTCTGGGAAGGGAGGACTTCTTTTTAATTTTAATTATCTTGTGTTTGCCTATAATACTTCCTTGACATTAAAAAGCAAACAAATATATTAATTATGAATCCTAGAGTATTTTGGATAGAAAAGACCAACACCTATGCAAACAATGTGAAAACAGAAGATTCTGTGGAAGTTACTGCTGACTTACATGATGCCTGCAAGAGTGAAGAAAGGGGCCCCACAGAAAGGTGGGTGTGAGAGGATCAGTGTGGTGGCCAGACGCTGAGCTCTAAGGAACTACCCAGGTGTGAAGCTGGCAGCCTGGCTAACCCTTGCAGCAGGCTTGGCATAATCTGAGCATCCCTCCTCTCAGAGCAGCTTGGGGCTCAGGAGTGAGGTCTTGCCGAGCTTGGGAACAAGAGCTGAGGTTCACACCAGGCCCTTACAATCACAGCACAAGCTTTTACACTGCTGCTGCAGAGCTTCTCCAAGGAGCAGGGCTGCAGTGCTCAAGGAAGGATTGGAGAAGGTGAGAGACTTAGGATGGACTGCATTGCATCTGGGGCCTCTGTTGGGACACTTGAAGGCTGGGTCTGAAATCATATGAAGCGTCACTGATGCGTCTGGGCTGGAGGAGCTCAGCTGAGGACAGTCTCGGAGGGGTTGCAGCAGGCCTCAGCGTGGCTGGGCTTCCTTACAGCATGGCGGCTGAAGATAGTCAACTGTCTCACCTGGTGGCTTAGGGCACTAAGGACATGTGGTCCCAAAAACAGGGCTGGGATTTCCTCACTGAGTTCAGGCCAGCCTCAAAGTCACAAAGCATCCCTTCCACCACATTCTATTGATCAGAGCTGTCACAAGCCTACCAGATTCAAGGAGAAGGGACACAGACCTGAAGGGAAGAGTGTCAAAGAAATTTGAAGCCACATTTCCAAACTGCCTCACATGGGCAGGCTGAAAGGAAGAGGGAAGGCAAAGAGGGGCAAAGTTAGAACAGGGGGGTGTCATGTGCTTCAGGAAAGAGGAAGGCCGGAGGCATTGATGGACGTGTAGGGAGCAAACTGCGGGATCCTTAGCAGCCAGGCATGTACGGTGCAGGTGTAGGGAGTGCAGGATGCTGCCATGGCCTTTGAGGAGGCAGTGATGAAAGGAGCTAGTGTTTCAGGGTGCAGGGATGCAGGTGACTGGGGAGGAGAGGCTGGAGCCCGGCTGAATGCCGAGAGCCCTCTTCAGGCTGCCAGCGCCCCCCAGCTCCCCCTGTTGTAGAAGGACCAGGGTGGCAGCATTGCGTGTGTCCCCTTGTAGGAGGCATGAAGCCATCCCAGGAAGTCATCAGGCTGCACTGGATCCCACTGGTGAGGTGTGGGCAGGGTCAGTGGCTCCCAGTCAGTGCCCTGTACCCCGGGAACCCCCAACTCCAGACAGGGTGCCCCGCCATTCCCTTTGCCCTGGGCTGGGCTGCAGGCCAGGCAGGCCGCTGACCATGCAGGGCAGGGAGTAGCACTGGTCTGTATTCCTTAGTCCTGTGAGCAGTTTTACTGTCTTTCCAGGCTTTTCTGTGTGAGTCAGTGGATGCCCTAATGAGGCCTCCCCACACAGGCGGTTACGTGGGCTGACTGTGCAGAAACATAGCTTGGATAGAGGGCATTGCCCTGGGATTTCTGCCAAAGTAAACAGCACCCCTTGGACCATGATCCTTGAATGCCAGGGCCATTTTTTGTTCAACTTTTGTCTCAGTAAATGTCAGGGAAACTGACCTGAGCTTCCAGCTGTGGTGCTGGACAAAGCAGGCAGATTCCTGTGTGCTGAGAAAAGTCAGCCAAGCTGCCGTGTCTTACATCCTTGAACTTGATGTCTAGATCTAGAGCAGCGAAGGGAAGGGCTCGCAGGAGGCTGTTTTTCACCCAGCAATTTCAGTGTTCTCTGCCCCAACCAGGTTGGGGTTCCTTCCAGCAGTTTACAGAAACCTTTGTACAGGATCAGAGCTGACAGACGGTAGTGCACACACACTCGTGTCAAGCTCAGAGGACTTGCCCGACCTCTTCTGCCAGCCTAAGAAATAACCCAGTATCAGGATTGCTTTCACATTTTTCCTTGGAGATTTCAGGCATCTTAGGCCGGAAGGGACCTCGAAGGTGGCCTTTTCTTACCCATCCCTTTCCTCTTGTTTTCCTCAACCCAACCCACAGTGTCATTTGTGAGCACACAGTCTGGCTTCCTTTGGGGGATGGTGGCTTTCCCGTTACCAGCAGGGTTATCAGTAATTCACACCCACATGGCTCATCTACCTGAAGGATCCAGACTGCTGAAGCAGAACTGCAACACTAAAGTCTGTGTTGGGTGGAAGCAGCCATGTCCCTGCTCTGGGCTAGGTGGTGTGGATGAGGCATAGAGGAACATGTCTGGCTGGACACATAGCTCACCATAGGAACATGTCTGGCTGGACATATAACTCACCATGGACACTTTCTGCTGGACACCCAGTGTCTGTCCTCATTCTCAAGCTGTTTCCACAGCTTCAAACACATCAAGAAGATAAGCGGCTGAAGACAAAGGTTAGGAAAAGTGGCCATCCACCACCTGAGCCCGCTGATGAGTCCTAAAGACACCAGTGCCTCCTGAGTGAGGTGTGCGGAGGACACAGCACCACCTGCAAAAAAAAAAAATGTTGAGGCTGCAGCAAACTAGACTTTGATGCTAACTCAGGTTTTCAGGAAATGTTAAGGATGGAGGAGCTCATTAGATGACACCCTGGGGAAGCAAGCAGATAGATCCGGATGTGGAACATTCCACAAAACAGTGGGTCTGATTTCTTTAAAAAGGCATGGGCTATGGGGATTTGGGAGAGGTGTTTGTGGTTGAAAGATGTGAGAGGAATAACAGCCAAGGGCATCCTGAACAGTTTGGATGCTGGTTCAAACAAATCAACTGTAAGAATATATGTTTGAGACACTTGGGAAAATCCTGTTGATTTTGTTAGGTATGATAGTGGCATTGCGGTGATGTAAGAATATATATATTTTTTCTAGAGATATGAATCAAATATGTGGGGCAGAAGTAACATGAGATCTGCGATTTCAGATACCCCAGATGGATCCAGACTCATGATGTTTTGACTCAACGATTTTTCAACTTCTTGATGGTGTGAGGTCAATATGCATTCAGTAGAAGCCGTCCTTCAGTGTCCATGGGACCGTTGTGATCTTCACTTTCAGTACAGTGTTCAGTAGATTACATGAGACATTGAACACATTAGTCTAAAATAGGCTTTGTGTTAGAGAATTTTGCCCCACTGTTGGTTAATGTGTTCTGAGATGTGTAAGGTAGGCCAGGCCCAGTTACGATGTTGGTGGGTTAGGTATATTCAGCACATCTTTGACTTGACATTTTCAGCTTATGGTGGGGTTGCTGGGCTGTAGCTCCATCATAAGTCGGGGAGCATCTGTACTTCTAAACACTTCAGCCGTAAGAAAAGCGGGTAGAGAAGAAGCCTGTGGCAGGCTGCTGTCATAGTGCAGTCTGAGCAGCAGGTGCTGTGGGCTTCACTTTACTCTTTGCTCTGTGTAAGTTAGAAAAGTTTTCAAAAATTAAGCTATTGAAAGACTGGTCTTTTTATTGTAAATACAAATAATAGAGCCCTCACCCTCTTTTTTTTCTGAGACAGAGTATTCTTCTGTAGCCCAGGCTGGAGTGCAGTGATGTGACCTCGGCTCACTGCAATGTCCGCCTCTTGGGTCCATGCAGTTCTCTGCCTCAGCCTCCCGAGTAGCTGGGATTCCAGGCGGCTGCCATCACACCCGGCTAATTTTTGTATTTTTAGTAGAGACGGGGTTTCACCAATTTGGCCAGGCTGGTCTTGAACTCCTGACCTCGTGATCTACCCGCCTTGGTCTCCCAAAGTGCTGGGATTACAGGCGTAAGCCACCGCGCCCAGCCCCTCTGCCTCTTTTAAGTGCTTGCATGGCTGACCATAGAAGGTTCTCTTCAGAAAGAATTTTCCCCATTACAGGCAGATATTTTCCCCCAAGATTTATTTTGAAAATTTGTAAACAGAGTGAAGTGCAAACAACTGTGGCATGAAAACCCATGTACCAACCACCTAATTCCACCTTTGGTGCTTTGCAGCTCCCCTTTGTCCGTCCATCCATCCCTCTGTCTGTCCATCCATCCTGCTATCTGTCCATCCATCCAGCCCTCTATCCATCAATCCATCTGATTTCAGAGTCACTGACCAGCATTGCTGTGCTTCCCCGAAATGCTTCAGCCTGGAGCACAGGACTTAACTGTTGCTGGTTTTTCTCCCCAGCCTTATTGAGGTGTGATTGACAAATAAAAATTGTATATATTTAAGGTGTACAATGTGATGATCTGAGACATGTGTACATTGTGAAATGATGACCACAGTCCAGCCAGTTAACACGTCCATCTCACCTAGTTATGTGTGTGTGCTGAGAACACTTGAGATAGACTCTCTTAGCAAACTTCAAGGAAGCAATCGGATCTTATTAACTGTAGTCACCGTGCTGTACATTAGGTGACTCCAGAACTTACTCATCTTGTAACTGAAAGTGACCCCCCCCCAACCAGCATCTCCCCCACCACCCAGCTCTGTAGCCACCCTTCTACACCCTGCTCCTGTGAGTTCCCCTTTCCTTAGATCCCACATGTGAGTGAGATCTCACGGTGTTTGTCTTTCTGTGTCTGCTAATTTCACTTAGCGTAATGTCCTCCACATTCATTCACGCTGTTGGAAAGGGCAGAACGTCCTTCTTTCTAAGGCTGAGTCGTGCTCCATTGTGTATGTATCAGGGTGTAACTGTGACTCCTCCCTTGCTTCAGGACAGCTGCAGACCTGGGATTCTGAGGACTTTGGGAGCCCCCAGAAGTCCTGCAGCCCCTCCTTTGACACCCCAGAGAGCCAGATCCGGGGCGTGTGGGAAGAGCTGGGGGTGGGCAGCAGCGGACACCTGAGCGAGCAGGAGCTGGCTGTGGTCTGCCAGAGCGTCGGGCTCCAGGGACTCGAGAAAGAGGTGAGGGGCACAGCAGGCCACCCAGCCACATATTCCTGGCCATGGTCACGGTTTAGTGTTGGGTCTGGAAACCCCTCTACCCTTCAGCCACTCATGTAGGTGCATCACTTTCTAATCTAAAATCCTTTGGTGGCTCTTGGCATTTCTGCCAAAGGCTAAAATCTCCAGACACCTTTGAAAGCCCGTCTCTGATGGAGTTGCCCAGTCTCACCGACTCCCTGCCACGCTCAGGTGTAGCAGGCACTTCCTGTTCCTTCACTGACATCCTTCCTCTGCCTGGATGCCTTTCCCCCTTCTCTGTGTGGCCGGGTTCCACTGCGCAGCCAAGACAAGGCCTCCAAGACAAGGCCCCCAAGCCTGTCCTCACTCTCCAGTGGCCATGTTCCTTCTCCTCCTGGGTGGGAGGCCAGTCTGCCTTGCTGGAGTTCTTCTCAGCCCTGTGTCCTTGCTGGGCCTCACACTGCAGGGCCTGGCCTTGCTCAGCATCCCGCAGGATCCAGCCCCAGCAGACACTGAATAAGCATTTGTAGAACTGGGAAGTTCAGGTGACACCCACTCACAGTGAAATGGAAACCAAGGCCTGTGGGTTTTACAAGATAGAGGGAGGGGTCGGCTTGGGAAAATATAGCCCGCATGGTCTACACAGTTTTAAGGCTGGATAAGACTAGGAAACGGCCCTTGTTGGGTACTTGGAACCAGAGGGAGGGAGGGAGGGAGGCCCTGGTGAGGGCGGTTGGGTGGAGCTCTTGTGGGTGGGCCTGAGATATGACGGCTTTTGTTTAGGAACTCGAAGACCTGTTTAACAAACTGGATCAAGACGGAGACGGCAAAGTGAGTCTTGAGGAATTCCAGCTTGGCCTCTTCAGTCATGAGCCCGCGCTACTTCTAGAGTCTTCCACTCGGGTTAAACCGAGCAAGGCTTGGTCTCATTACCAGGTAAAATGCAACAGTTAAATCCTGAACCCAGCAACCACTGCTGTCACTCTCTGGTGACTAAAACTGCTGACTCCCTCCCTGCCTGTGTCACCACACAACAAGCTGTCCAAGAACTGGACAGGCCATGCACACACGCATGTATATGGGAGGCCACGTGACGTAGATTCTGGAGCCACATAGATTTGGGGTGGGTCCAGTGTTGCTCTTCCCTGGCTGTGTGTCACTAGGGGAGTTACCTTCTCCAAGCCTCAGGCTCACGTGTAAGATGGGGGTGGTTCGGGTGCACACCTCCTGGGACTACAGAAGGCAATGCTCAGCTGAGGAACATGGCAGCTCAGGTGCCCACCCGATGCAACAGAAGGCAGTGCTCAGGTGAGGAACGTGCTGCTCAGGTGCCCACCTCCTGGGGCTACAGAAGGCAGTGCTCAGGTGAGGAACGTGCTGCTCAGGTGCCCACCTCCTGGGGTTACAGGAGGCAGTGCTCAGGTGAGGAACGTGCTGCTCAGGTGCCCACCTCCTGGGGTTACAGGAGGCAGTGCTCAGGTGAGGAACGTGCTGCTCAGGTGCCCACCTCCTGGGGTTACAGGAGGCAGTGCTCAGGTGAGGAACATGGCTGCTCAGGTGCCCACCTCCTGGGGTTACAGGAGGCAGTGCTCAGGTGAGGAACATGGCTGCTCAGGTGCCCACCTGCTGGGGTTACAGGAGGCAGTGCTCAGGTGAGGAACGTGCTGCTCAGGTGCCCACCTGCTGGGGTTACAGGAGGCAGTGCTCAGGTGAGGAACTTGCTGCTCAGGTGCCCACCTGCTGGGATTACAGGAGGCAGTGTTAAGGTGAGGAACATGCTGCTCAGGTGCCCACTTCCCAGGGCTACAGAAGGTAGTGCTCAGGTGAGGAATGTGGCAGCTCCTCAGCCTGTGCTGTGATATGCCCCAGCAAGAAAACTCCCTCCCGTCCTCCCCATTGTGGAATGGTGAGGGCAATGTTTCTGTGTTAGTCTGTTCTCGCATTGCTAAAGGAATACTTGAGACTGGGCAATTTATAAAGAAAAGAGGTTTAATTAACTCACGATTCTGCAGGCTGTGCAGGAAGCATGGTGCCAGTGTCTGCTCGGCTGCTTCTGGGGAGGCCTCAGGAAGCTTACAATCATGGCAGAAGGTGAAGGGGTGCAGGCAGGTCACATGGCCAGAGCAGGAGCAAGAAAGCGAGGGGGGAGGTGTGACACACTTTTAAACAACCAGGTCTCATGAGAATTCACTCACTATCATGAGGTCAGTACTAAGAGGGATGGTGCTAAACCATTTGTGAGAAATCTGCCTCCAAGATCCAGTCACCTCCCACCAGGCCCCACCTCCAACATCGGGGATTACATTTTAATATGAGATTTGAGCAGGAACACAGATCTAAGCCATATCAGTTGCCAAAGGATCCATCGAGTCTGTCTAAGATTGGTCCTGATAGTATCCCTTAACCTGTGCTCTATCTCTTGCACAAATACCGGGTCTCTCTGCAGTTTGAGGAGACCAGGGCATGGCTGCTCAGGGGCTGGATACTTCCTTGCTGCTGCAATTGGTCCTGAATTTGGTGAGTGGTGTTGTAGGACCAGTAGTGCTGTTCTGCACTGGGGGTAGGTACACCTGAGAATCTAGGTTTCTGACTCTAAAGTCAATGAGGGCCGGGCATGGTGGCTCACGTCTGTAATACCAGCACTTTGGGAGGCCAAGGCGGGCGGATCATTTGAGGTCAGGAGTTGGAGACCAGCCTGGCTAACATGGTAAAACCCTGTCTCTAGTGAAACTACAAAAATTAGCCACTTGTGGTGGTACACATGTGTAATCCCAGCTACTCAGGAGGCTGAGGCAGGAGAATCACTTGAACCTAGGAGGCAGAAGTTTCAGTGAGCTGAGATCGCATCACTGCACTCCAGCGTGGGTGACAGAGTGAGACTCTGGCTCAAATAAATAAATAAATTTAATTTAATTTAAAAACCTAAATAATTTAGAAACCTGGTGAAAAAAATCAATGAGGACCCGGCACAGTGCTCATGCCTGTAGTCCCAGCAGTCTGGGAGGCCAAGGCAAGCAGATCACTTGAGCCCAGGAGTTTGAGAGAAGATGAGACAACATTGTGAGACCCCATCTCAAAGATTTGAAAATTATCTAGGTGCGGTTGCACATGCCTATGGTCCCAGCTACTTGGGAGGCTGAGCAGGAGGATCACTTGAGTCCAGGAGGTGGAGGCTGCAGTGAGGCTAACATCAGTGAGAACGACAAAGAAGAAACTCAGAAGCCAGCACTGAGGAAGGGTCAGGCAGCCATGTAAGGCCAGAATGATCAACATGAGGTCCCACAGGTCATGCTTAGTGTGGGTTGGGGAGATGCCTCCTGAGCTGGCTTGCCTTCATTGTCGAACCCCATGAGTGGCCATGAGCCACTCATGCTGCATTCTGAGGGTCTGGGGGTGTGTGCGCCTCTGCCTGGGCCAGCGCACTTCTGCCCTTCCAGCCTGCCTTGGGTTTCTTTTCACAGCTGAGACTTTCCTGGTGCTGGCATGGACTCTATGGGCCCCTGCCTCTGCGAGGCCAGGCTCCCGCCTTTGTGAATTCAAGGGTGGAACGTTAAAACTCCTTTGTCGTCCCTCTCCAAGTGATGAGTGTGCTGACTGGGGCTGGCCGGTTGGGCCACGTGGGTGCAAGGCCTCAGAGTCCTGGGTGTTGGGGGCCTTGGTTGCATGTCCCGACTTTCTTACCTGCACAGCCATGTGACCTTGGAGAGGTCATGTGATGGGGCTGCACCTCTGACCCCTCTGAGAGCTGAGGATGGTCTCATGAGCTGTTCCTGTGAGGCCCTCTGAGCACAGGCTGGGGAGGGTGGAGAGCACATCAGCAGCACACAGGCGTGAGGCTTTGGACGCTGGGCGCTATGGAAGTCTTCCTGACATGCAGGTCCCAGAGGAGAGCGGCTGCCACACCACCACAACCTCATCCCTCGTGTCCCTGTGCTCCAGCCTGCGCCTCTTCTCCAGCATTGACGATGGTTCTGGCTTCGCTTTTCCTGATCAGGTCCTGGCCATGTGGACCCAGGAGGGGATTCAGAATGGCAGGGAGATCTTGCAGGTTTGGAACTGGGTGATGCCTAAGCTGGACAGGGGACCTGGGGGGCCCGTCTGCTGCAGAGGAGGATGGATGGAGCGTCCCAAGCCAGGGGACCCAGCAGGGGTGTGTGCTCTGTGCAGAGAATGCCATGCAAGGAAGTCCAGGTAGAAACCTATCTCTTTTAATTTTTGTTACTAAAATATAGGACATTATAATTTAAAAAGATAAGAAATAAAACACAAAGTTAGTGTGAAAAAGTCCATTTGAAGGTAGCCTTTAGTGGCTTAGACATTTCCCCTGAATGTTGGGCCAAGGAGGTTAGATGAATGGAAAGAAATTGCCTGTTGTGATGATGACGATTTCTGTTGGGCACCACTGTTACAGCAGTTACTGATGATCTCAGAGTGAGCCCGGACTCTCCTGGAGCCCCTGCCTGGCTGGTTGAGCTGTTCTCCCCCATGGCGCCCACTTACCCCAGGCCCTTCCCACCATGGGCCAGGTGTCAGGAGGTGCACCCTTCCCTCCGTGTTCTGCTGGGGCTGCCTGGGAGGGAAGATGTGGTCCTTGCATGGGACACAGCTCCTTACAGGCTCAGGCTTCCCAGAGGGATGCAGGCCAGCCCTGGAGATTTGGAAGGAGCTCTGCCCTGGGCACAATTTGGCAACAACTGTGCAGGGGCAGAGGTGTGCAGGGGCCCAGCATGGATGATGGAAGACAGCCTCACGAGGTGCAGTGAACTCAACTGAACAAAAACCTATTAAATAAGAAAGAAAGCCTACCTGCCCCCCTCTCCCTATTCCCTGGAGGGGGCGACAGCTGTTGGTGTAGTGGGTGTACTGCAGAGCTTTTCCCTGGCACATGAGAGATGTATATATACATTCTGGCTAAATTTTTTTTTTTTTTTTTTTTTTTTTTGCGAAATTGGTGTCATACTGTTTGTCTTGCTAATTTGTGCGACCCTTCGCTTTTCCTATGATAAATCTGGGCATTTATAATGCAACGATGTCCTCTTGCTGCTGTGCCAGCATTTCTCTGAGGCTGGACTCCTGAAGTTGCACCCTGTAACTCTTGGAGGCTCTGTCATATTCCCTCAGAAAATGTCCTGTTGGCACAGATAGACAATACAGGAAGGAGCCCAGACAGCCCTTGAAACAGTCCACCCTACTCCACAGACCAAGACCCTCATTGGCGCAACCTCATCTGTTACCGAGTCCCCCAAGATGGCAAAGCCAGACCTGGACAGCTGGCCTCACAATTGTCCTGAGAGCCAGAGGCGGAGGCAGGATCACCAAAAATCGCTTGCAGGAAGGGCAGAGAGCACAAGTCTCTCGGTTCCAAGATGCCCGACACCTGACTCCACAGCCCTGGGGGTGCCCTGGCTGCTGCTGTGCGCTGGCTCTGATGAGTGCATGTTGCCTCTGCCCTTTCAGAACTTATTCTCTTTCCCATTTGCGCTAGAGCTGCTGGTGCTGCTCTGCAAAGACGCCCTGGGTGGCTTCTCCCTCGCTTCATGATAGATTATTGCCAAATTCTGCCTTGCAACTCAGTCAGCATTTCTGACCTCAGGCTGCTGTGGCGGTTCTGTCCCTCTACGCCATCCAGTGACGTGGTGGGGAGCGTGTGCTTGTGTAGGGACAGCTTTCCAGGCGGCTCCCCAGCCTCTCCCAAGATGCCATTGCTCCTCAGGAGCTGCTGGGAAGTGGGCAGTGTGGAAAGTCAGCCCCTACTTCACAGGAGACTCTGGGCCAGGCACGTCCTGGCACCTGCTTCAGCCGCCCTGCCATGGTGCCTGCCGCCGGCCTGAGCAGGGCGTTTGTAGCCACAAGTGGAAAGCAGAGCCAGGAATACCCAAGGCGGAAAAAGCAAACACGACAGAACGTTAGCTGCCGCTCCCTTGAGCTGAGGGTCTTAGGGTGTGTGTGACTCTATTTTTTGTTGTTTCAGTAAAATGCCGGCTGTTCTGTGCTTTGAAGTTTATTAGTGTATTCTTCACATTTCTGTGGGGAGGAACACCCCGCTCTGGAAAGCTTTTTGGCTTTAAGCCTGAGGGCTGCTGTGGGGACCCCCTCCATCTCTCCACGCTCTTCTTGGTGGCATGAGCTGCAGGTCAGGCCTCATCGCAGGGAATCCCAAGGCTCACATCCTTAAAATAGATTATTTCAGAGGGAAAAGGGCCTTGTGCCCTGGCCTCCACAGCAGTCCCCATGAAGGGCCTGCAGGGGACTTGCCCCTGCCTGTGTCTGACACTTTGTCCAGGAAGAGGGGTTCTGTCTAGCCTGGGCCTACGCACCCCTGAGGCAGAGGCAGGAGGACCAGGCCATTGACAGCCCACCAGAGTTGCGTGGGATGGAGGAGGAGCACCCCTCAAGACGCAGAGACCTTGGCAGACAGGAGGGGCAGGTGCTGCCTGGGACAGCCATGCTGGGCTAGGCCCTGGATCAGGGAGGGAGCAAAGAGGTGTCTGCTTGGGGAAGTCCCTCAGCCTCTCCTGCTTACCAGGCTTGCTGCTTCCAGAGCCTGGACTTCAGCGTGGACGAGAAGGTGAACCTTCTGGAGCTGACCTGGGCCCTTGACAACGAGCTCATGACAGTGGACAGTGCCGTCCAGCAGGCAGCCCTGGCCTGCTACCACCAGGAGCTGAGCTACCAGCAGTAAGAGGCCACAGGGGACTGGGGAACGTGGCAGTGTGGCTGGCCAGGTGGGCCTGGAGGGGGGTCTGGGACACAAAGGACACCAGTCAGCTCTTATCCACCCCACATGGCCAGTCCTGGGGCAGGGCTCTGCACACTGTCTGTCCCGTGCTCTCTGGCCCCTCAAGCCGGCGCTCGCAGAGGGACAGGAGCAGAATCTAGCCACGGAGCATGGACAGGTGAATGGCAGCCGCTCATCCGTGTTTCTGGGCTGGGTGGGGCCTGAGGACCTGTGCCGTCTGAGTCTACACAATTTAAGGCTCGCTGGCTTTCCTCCCACTTGTTGAGGTGCTTGGGATCTGTATGTTGGGGGCCCCCACTGAGCCCTTTTCATTGAGGTTTCGAAGGGACAGACATGAGGTCCCCCCTCATGCTGGTGCAGGCGCTTGCCAGCGCCAGGTGGGGTCCTGCCGCTGCCTCTCGCGCCAGGGGGCTCCCAGGCTGGGCTGTCAGCAGGAGGAAGGAAAGGCGCTTTTCAAACGTGGTCACAAAATGCCCCGTGACGTTGGGCTGAGAACCCATTCCCTTTTAATTGTGTCTGTTTGGTTTGGCTGACCATTCAGGCCATCCGTCTGCTAAGCAGATTTGCAAAAAGATTGTCGTGGTGTTTTTGTCAATGTTCTGAAGCTGCAGAAAAGATTGGCAGAAACCACAATCTCAATCCTAAAGACTGCATCTGTCCAGGTGCAGACAGCGGAGCCGCCTCTGGCCTCAGGCAGCTCTGCAGATAGAACTGGAGAAAGGCTTGCCCAGGTCCCTCCCCTGGCCTTGGGACAGGGAGGGAGAAAAGCTCCTTTCGTGGGGAAACAGTCACTGGAATAGCAGGTGCCACCAATGATTTACACAGTGCCTCAGCTGGGTCAGGGTGGCCAGGCAGAGCTGAGACCACATACAACCACTGCGTTGTGCTCTGGTGACTCACTGTGTGCTCACTAGCGTGCTGGGATGCCCATGCAGGGCTAACAGGTGGCCATCCTCCCCGCCACATGCCCGTTACTGAATTAGGTACTTGCGATCCACGCCCAGCTGCCGATGAGAGGGCTCACAAACCAACTCCCACATGCCCTGGGGCTGCATAAGTGATATGGCATGCTGTGGGACTCCAGGCTCAGTCTTCCTGGGTTAGAAACCACCTAGAAACTTTCCTTGCCAAGTCACGTGGCCCCTCTCTCTCAGTGTACACATCTATAAAATGAGCATAGCAGTTGTAGAAACTGCCTTAGGAGCAGGCTGGTGGAGCAGTGCCCGCTGTATAGTTGGTGTGCTAGTTTCTATCATTGATGCAGATATGGGGCCCAGAGCCACCTGGCATGGCGGGTCAGGCCAGCAGTGGGGTCCCATCTGACCCTGTCTCCTTCCTGTGGCAGAGGGCAGGTGGAGCAGCTGGCAAGGGAGCGTGACAAGGCAAGGCAGGACCTGGAGAGGGCCGAGAAGAGGAACCTGGAGTTTGTGAAAGAGATGGACGACTGCCACTCCACCCTGGAGCAGCTCACGGAGAAGAAAATCAAGTGGGTTCTGGGCCCAGGTGGTGGATTCTTACCTGGGCCTCCCCAGCCCCTTTGAGGGCAGGTAGTGGACACAGGGCTGCCAGGGGCCAGAGCTGCGGGTGTGGCTCAGTGGAGACCCCCCTATTTCACCTGAGTCAGGGGGAATCCAGGGGGCACAGCCTTGAGAAAGCAGCAGAGCCCTGCTCTTCCTGGGGTTGGTGCAGTGCCTGGCCCTGGCTACGTCCCCATGGGCCGAGGAGGTCCTGCCTCCTGCCCTCGCTTTGCTGGGCTCTTCTCACATAAGCCAAGCCTTTCGGCCCCTAGCTGCGTGCCTGTGATGCAAGAGGCAGGTGGCTATGTTGCAAGGACTGGCAATGGTTTCCTTTTGGCCCAGCAGGTAGAAGGAGCCCAGAGAAGGAACCCAACTCCAGGTATCACAGCTGTAGTGACCCCGATGCGGGGACAGTTGTGTGGAACAGTGGCTGGATAGACCAGAGAAAAGGATTTCTGATTTGTTTTTATTTTTGTTTTTGTTTTTGAGATGGAGTCTCCCTCTGTATCCCAGGCTGGAGTGCAGTGGTGCCATCTTGGCTCACTGCAACCTCCGCCTCCCAGGTTCAAGCAATTCTCCTGCATCAGCCTCCCAAGTAGCAGGGATTAAACAGGCGCCTGCCACCACACCCAGCTAATTTTTGTATTTTTAGTAGAGATGGGGTGTCACCATTTTGGCCAGGATGACCAACTCCTGACTTCAAGTAATCCACCCCCATCAGCCTCCCAAAGTGCTGGGAATACAGGTGTGAGCCACCACGCCTGGCCTTAGATTTCCGATTTGTTTTGTTTAAGGATACAACCACCGCACTGGTTCACAAACAGAACATCTGAGGAAATTCCGCCCAAGAGGGTGTCCCAGGCTCAGGCAGGGAGAGGGGCTTCTCTACGTCATTGGTGGGGCACATGTCTGCCTGGGCTGAGCTGCTGTTTTTCACCTGAAGTTTGCGCATGCCTGGAGGGTCCTCCGGGGTAGCTCAGGACAGGCTTTCCTGGCTCTGAGTCACAGCTCTTGGGCAGGGGCAGCAAGACATGGCTGGCCTCCCTGCCATTCTCCCTTGTCAGTGGGTCCTCTGCTGGCTCGGGAGGTCTGCCCGAGGCTGCAGTCCTGGCCCTGTTGTCCCCACGCCCTTGGGTTCTTGGTCTGCAGGTCGGCCCACCCTCTGCATTGCACAACACAGACACAGCACTCGCTGCCATGGTCCTGGTGGTGGTGGCTCAGCTGAGCGTGGCTAGCAAAGAAGAGCTATGCGCGATGGAGCCACGTGGTGTGGCACCCTCCAGGGATGCGGGCGGTTTGCTTGGGGTGCTGCGGAGTCCCCAGGGTGAGCCTGCAGATGGGAGCCTGGCTGCTGGCCACATCGCATGTTGGAATTGTGCCAGCTGCACTGCGGGCTGAAGCCTGAAGCTGCTGCTCCTTTACCAAAGAAGCCCTGAGCATCTTTGTCGTGAACCTGGGGCTCCAGGGGTTGAGGGGCTACTGATGGGTCCGTGGCCTCTGGAGAAGTGAGTTTGGTTGGTGAAGACAGCTGTGGTGTGTCTCCTGTGTGCACCAGGGGTCGCCTCACGTAACAGCCACTGGGACCAAATAGGCCATTTATCCCCATTGTTCAGCCAAACAAACTGAGTCCTGGAGCAGCTCAGTAACTGGCCCAGTCCCGCAGCAGTGAGCGTGCGTGTGTGAAGCTGACACCCAGGTCTCCCTTCTCCTGGCCTTACACTGTTTCTGGGTCAGCCGAAGGCCACTGGTCAGCTTTCTGGGGAGCAAGAGCCTCAGGTGGGAGAAGCATGAGGGCAGAGCCCAGCCACTCTCCTTCAGGCCTTCCAGAGCCAGGCACAGTCCGGGGCCAGCTCTAAGGCCAGTGGGCGCCCCCCATCTCCATAACCCATGTCCTCAGGGTTTCCACGGATCTGTGCTGGGCAGAAGGGGGTCCCCGCTGCACCTCCTGCAGCCGCCACCTCCACATGGTTCAGTCCATAGGGGGTGGCTGGGACAGGGCGGGGCCTCACCCCGCCTCTGTTCGCCTGCACCTCCCAAGTGCCCTTTCCTTCCAGGGCTGGCTGGGGACGGCTGTACACAGCAGGTCCAGATCTACATGTGCCTCTACATGGTGTGGGGAGTTAGTGTGAGTGCATGGGGCCTGTGGAGTGCAAGGGCATGTGGGATGCAATGAGGGTGCTGTGAGCGTTCATGGGACCTCAGGTATGTGGGGTACAGCGGTGGTGCAGTACGTGTACATGGGGCCCATGGGGTGCCATGTGGGTGCTGTGAGTGTATGTGGGACTCATGTGGTGCCATGTCAGTGCTTTGAGCATGCTTGGGGCCTGTAGGGTGCAGTGGGGGTGCTGTGAGTGTTCCGGGACTAGAGGGGTGCAGTGGAAAGTGCTGTGTGCATGTATGGGGCCTGTGGGGTGCATTGGGGGTGCTGAGTGGGGTTGCTGAGTGTGCGTGGGGCCTGTGTGGTGCTATGTGGGTGCTGTGAGTGTGTGTGGGGCCTGTGGGGTGTAGTGGGGGTACTGTGTGCATGGGACCCATGGGGTGCAGTGGGGGGTGCTGTGTACATGCATGGGGCCTGTGCGGCCTGTGGGCCCCCTGGAGTGTACGTTCTTGGTGCCACTGGCTCCTGTGGCTGTGGTGGTGGTGGGAAGCCCCTGTGGGACTGTGGTCATTTTCAGGGAAGCTAAAAGTCAAGTCTCCTTTAACCAAACATGAGGAGGTGTCTGGTGAGGCGAAAAGCCAGGTACAGGGACAGGTGCAGGCAGTGGCTGGGGCCCTTGCCCTCCACATGGAGGTGCTGGGCCAGGCCTCAAGGCCCGAGTTCCCTGCCCTGAGCCTGGAAGGCATTTTGTTAGGAAGCGGTATCCCTGCTCCTGTGGGCAGGGAGGGTCTCTGTGGTCTCCGTCAGCTGAACTATTCTGGGCCAGCCTTGTAGCGTTATCATTCCCACCTGGCTGGGGAATTCCTAGAGGAGGGACCAAAAGATGCCCCCCGGCCCCTGGGGGAGGTGACCTTGACTTTGTTGCTTAAGACGTTCTCATAGCTCCCTGCCTTCCGGAGCGCACATGAGGCCAGCTTGGATCTCCAGAGGAGACAATTGCTAACATTTAGGAGCTGAAAGTATGTCAGGGAGACCCACGGGGAGCTCCAGGAACTCATTTCCTCTCCCTGGACGCCCCCTCCTTTCTCCTGACGGCTCTGTTGTAAGCTCGGTTCGTCCACCTCTCACTTTCATCCTGAGTATCGGGATCCACCTATCCCTGTTGGTGCCACAGGGATCTTGGTGCTGCCTCTCAGGACCTGAGGGGCTGGGTTCTGACCTCCAGCGACTTCGTTCTCCCGAGCACAGCCTCATCCCAGCCTTGGGGTTAGCAGGGCCCCTAGACAAGAGTGCTCCTTGTGAGACACTTGTGTTCAAAGCTGGAAGTAAGTTGACTCATACTCAGTTTGAGTAACTGAGAACTGATTTGCTTCTGTCCACACGTGTATACCTTGATTCTCTCCCAGCCATTTGGAAAGACTTGTGTGAATTGTCTTTCCCAGGGTTAGAGGATTGGAAACACTCTGTCCTGGAACCTGGTGGAGGGATGCATTCGAGGTGCTAAGCTGCAGCCTCAGAACCCACGTGGCCCTGAGAGCTTGGGTTTTGTCCCATGAGCAATGGGAGTTATGAGTAGGTTTCTGTAAGTAGCTTTTATTATTGCATTAGGTTTTCCTTATTATAAATGTAATGAGTGATACATGTTTATTGCACACATTTTAGAAAGTACAATTAAAGGAAAAATAAAACCAGAAATCTCACTTTCCCGGGGGTATCACTCTTTACATTGCCTATATATCTTTCACCTTTTTTTTCTATGCACATAATTCTTAAAAAAATGATACCATGTTGTGGCCGGGTGTGGTGGCTCACACCTGTAATCCCAGCACTTTGGGAGGCAGATCACGAGGTCAGGAGATTGAGACCATCCTGGCTAACATGGTGAAACCCCGTCTCTACTAAAAAATACAAAAAATTAGCCGGGCATGGTGGTGGGTGCCTGTAGTCCCAGCTACTCGGGAGGCTGAGGCAGGAGAATGGTGTGAACCTGGGAGGCAGAGTTTGCAGTGAGCTGAGATCCCGCCACTGCACTCCAGCCTGGGCGACAGAGCAAGACTCTGTCTCCAAAAAAAAAAATGACACCATGTTGCATATGCTTTTCTGATGGCCACAGAGCATCTCACCTGGGTCTTTGTGTGGATCTGCCATAATTTATTTAACCATTTCCCTATTTTTGTATATTTCAAAAGTTTTTAAAGAGTAGGCTGATAGGAAATATGTAGCTTTAACACTACCCCAAAAGATTTATGGAGTATTAAATTAGTCAGATTATTGTACTTCCTTCATACTCTTCCCTTTTGAGTGTTGTTTCTTTAAAGTTCTAAGCCAAGATTAAAAGCCCGGGCTCTGGGGCTTAGGTGTCTCGGACTTGGTTATGGGCGTCACCAGGCTTCTGCAGAAGTAGGAGCCTCGCTGGTCTTCAGTCTGGGTAGACGTGGTTTGAGAATTCCAGTGAAGCTGCTGTTTCAGAAAGAGATGAGACTGAGCGTTGAACACTGTTTTTCCTGCTAATGGAAACAGTTATTGTAAAAGATGAATGTAGCAGCTGAGAAAAAAATATCCCCCACCTCTTCCTCAGATTGCTTTGGGAATTCACTGTCCATGGGTTTCATGCTGCCTCCCTCCTTGGGAGGGAGGTGATTTTCATGTGCATTTGGTATCGAAAGTCTTTATCAAAGGGCTGTTACCTGCCATGCACACCGGGTGGAGGGGCCACCTTGGGACTCACCCCAGGGAGCTGTGCTCCTCGCTGTGAGGGGGCAGCTGGTGGCATTTGCCATGTGACCCACCAGATCCCCTTGTCTGGGGTCACCTCCAGCAGCCTGTGAGGGAGGAGCACCCACCCTCAGATTTGCCTCCCAGCATGGGCAGCTCAGCCAAGGCAGGGCGGCCCTGCACGTGCTGAGGACAGGGGCGTTTCTAAGAGGGAGGAGGCTAGGAAGGGGGTGGCGTGGGCCTGGGCAGCCCTGACATGACATGTCTGACGTGTGATGTGTGACATGTTACAGGCATCTGGAGCAGGGGTACCGGGAAAGGCTGAGCCTCCTGCGGTCTGAGGTGGAGGCGGAGCGAGAGCTGTTCTGGGAGCAGGCCCACAGGCAGAGGGCCGCGCTGGAGTGGGACGTGGGGCGCCTGCAGGCTGAGGAGGCTGGCCTCCGCGAGAAGCTGACCCTGGCCCTGAAGGTAGGGGCATCCCCAGGGCATCCAGGAAGCTGGGGGGGTGCCTGAGCATTCCCCACACCCACGTCATCCTGGTTGAGGATCCAGATCCACACCTGCCAGTGCCCTCAAGCTTATGTTTCAGGGCAGGGCCCGAGGGAGCACCTGCTGCAGTGAGGAGGTGTCCCACTTGCTGCAGAGCAGAAGGGGTCCTGGCTTGCCAGCAGGACATTGCCCCTCCTTCCCCACCACTCCCACTTTCTGCTCTGGGCCAGGTGGACCTGAGGTCAGGGAGGGCCAGCACCCGCAGCCAGCACTGCTTCAACCCCAGAAACCAGGAACACCCATGGGGGCAGCAAAGAGACCAGAACCTAAAGCCCAGCCTGCCCGAGGCTGGCTTTGTGGCCTGGAGCTGATGGGGTTTGATGGGCTTTGGTGAGTGTCTCACAACTGTCCCCTGATACTGACTCCAGTGAGGCATCGCAGCGGGACAGAGGTGCTGGCCCTTGCTGTGCTGGTCCCTGCTCTGCTCCTGCCTGTGTCCTCCTCTCCTAACTCCCCACACCTGCCCCACCTCCCGGGAGGAGAGGCTGGGCAGCCTGAGCCCCCCAACAGCCTTGCTCTCCACCCTTCTCACTGCAGTCCCCCACCGTCTACAGATGCTGCCTCCTCCCCTGGCAATGGCTGTCTGAGCTGTCCTGGTACGATATCTGATCCCTGGTTCAGGAATGGCTCTGGAAGGATGCCTTTTCTATAATACTTTTGCAATGCTTTTGTATTCCCCACCCTTTCTTTTTTTTTTTTTTTTTTTCCTTGAGATGGAGTCTCGCTCTGTCGCCCAGGCTAGAGTGCAGTGGCATGATCTCCACTCACTGCAAGCCCCGCCTCCCAGGTTCCCACCATTCTCCTGCCTCAGCCTCCTGAGTAGCTGGAACTACAGGCTCCCGCCACCACGCCTGGCTAATTTTTTGTATTTTTAGTAGAGATGGGGTTTCACCATGTTAGCCAGGATGGTCTTGATCTCCTGACCTTGTGATCCGCCCGCCTCGGCCTCCCAAAGTGCTGGGATTACAGGCGTGAGCCACCGTGCCCGGCTCTCCACCCTTTCTCGTATGACTCATGGCCTTTCTGAGCACAGGGTAAGGGAGGGGACAAGAGAAGTGAAGACGATGGGGTAGCCACAGTCTGGGTGGGCTCTGGCGTCTGTCCTGGGAGGGTGGGGGACATCCCCGGCACAGCCGCCTGCACAGCACCAGGTGCCTCGCCTGCGGTGGGTGGGGGTTCTTTCCTGATGCCCAGTCCTATGAGAAGCAAGCCTCTCACCTCCATCCTGCACACATCCCCTCCGTCCTGCAGGAGCCTGATGAGCCACTGGCCTGTGTCTCCTAGGAAAACAGTCGCCTACAGAAGGAGATTGTGGAAGTGGTGGAAAAGCTTTCGGATTCGGAGAGGCTGGCCCTGAAGCTGCAGAAGGACCTGGAGTTTGTGCTGAAGGACAAGGCGAGTCCCTTTGCTGACAGTCTGCCTCCAGAGGGGAGGGCCTGCTGGGCAGAGTGGGGGTGGCGGGGGTGGCCAGGGAGAGATGCGGCAGGTCACAGAATGCGGTATTCTCCTAAAATTTAGAATGAAGAGAAAGTCAGCATGAGGCCTTCCCTCTGCTTCCTCTGCATGACAATGTGGGGGGCCGTCTGCCCACACAGCACAACTGCTCACTAGTGACAGCCCTCAGTGGTGGGGGGCGTGGAGGGAGGGCAGGGCCTTCCCTGGGTGTCACCTAGGGAGGAGGATGGGGAGAGGGGCTGCCCAGGGTCAGGGTCTGGGCTCCAGGGATGAGTGTGGCCACCTTAGATCTAAGTCTGGAAAATCCTTCTGTCTTGTGACCTTCTAGACGGGGGAGTAAGGAGAAGGAGGGGGGATGGCGGCTATACCTGGAGATGCAGCGCCTGGTGTTGGCAGAAGCTGGGCAGGTTCTTGGAGCCCAGGGGCTGGAGAAGCAGGTCCCCCTCTGGCCCGAGGCCCACCCGTGACTTCCTTTGTGTCTGCCTTTCAGCTGGAGCCACAGAGTGCAGAGCTCCTGGCCCAGGAGGAGCGGTTCGCAGCAGTCCTGAAGGAATACGAGCTCAAGTGCCGGGTACGTGCCTGCTCTGTCTGCCTTTTAGTCTCATGTCCAGGCTCTGGGTCTCCACACGCAGGTGGTCCACAGTAACGCAGGAGTGTCTGCTCCAGGGAGAGCCTCTGCTTGCGGCCATGCTTGACCATGGCCTTGCCACACTCCTAGACTTAGGGTTCCCTGGCTCTCGTTGCCACCTATCCTGAAGGCCGCCTCTGTGTGTCCAGGGACCATGCAGGGCATTGTTGTCTTCTGTTGTTCATGTTTAGCTTTCCTGGGCCAAACCTGCCATGCGTGTCCGTCTGTCAGTTGGAGACATAGGAGTGCAGGGCGCAGTGGACGCAGTGAATGAAACTTAAACCCAGGAGGACCCCCGTACACGCTTAATGTTCTCAAGGACCCCAAAGAGCTTTTGTTGATGTAGGTTATATGGATTAAATTTAATATTTACCATGGTAAAAATTAAAGTGGAAATTTTTTAAATTTATTAATTTATTTAAGAATAATAATGTAATAACAGGTTAACATAAATAGCCTATTTTGGGGAACATAGCTGTTTTCCAAAAGAAATAAAAACTAGCCAGGAATGTGCCGTGGTGTTGCATTCTCGCCAGCCTCCTCACTGGCTGGCCAAACAGAGGACGGGATGCTCAAACCTGCTGCTGCGTCAGTCCATCATGATATCACATGACACAGAGCATCTGGAACTGCCACGTGCCCCGAAAGAGAATGAGTGAAGGAGGCCGGGTGCGGTGGCTCACACCTGTAATCCCAGCACTTTGGGAGGCCGAGGCGGGTGGATCATGCGGTCAGGAGTTCAAGACCAGCCTGGCCAAGATGGTGAAACCCCATCTCTACTAAAAATACAAAAATCAGCTGGGTGTGGTGCTGCACGCCTGTAGTCCCAGCTACTCAGGAAGCTGAGGCAGGAGAATCACTTGAACCCAAGCGGCGGAGGTTGCAGTGAGCCGAGATCGCACCACTGTACTCCAGCCTGGGCCACAGAGCGAGACTCCATCCCTCCCCAAAAAAAGAGAATGAGCGCAAGGAAGTCACTTCACACCTCGGCGTGCCACACATTCACCTGCCCCGCTGGGCCACATGTGGGCTGCTGGGAGGCCTGGATGCCCACCCTCACAGCCTGTGTTTCTGGTGCTGTATGACACAGAGTGATTGATTGTTCAGGTTCAGAGCCTGCGGTTGGACCACCACCCTCCTTGGCACATTTTAAATGCAAGCTGCCAGGTTCTGGGGCATTGCAAAGCCTCCATTTCTTCCCCTCCCTGCTCACCTGAGCACGCAGAGACCGTGGAATGTTTTAAAGCTCGGGTGTTTCTCTAGATCTGCAAGAGTGGTTCTGTGAGGAAAGCCTGGTTCCAGTGCCTTGAAGGCCGCCTTGCAGACGAGCTGATGGCTGGCCCAGCCAGCTCCCCATGGTCTCACCCCACCCTGCTCTGGCCCGCAGAAGAAATTCTGTGCGGAAGAAAATTCTGTGTAGAAGAAAACAAACTAGAGTTGAGTTGGGTCGATTATTAACAATACAGAAAAGTTACTTTATCTCTAAGGTCGTTCACCACATGGTTCTTTCATAGGCAGCTCCTGGTTAGGTTTTAATTTACCAAAAGTTAATTTATGTAAAACTTGTACAGAAACATTTTTTTCACCATCAAAAACCCCAGTCCTTGACCCACCTGCCCCTCTTACATCCTGGCATACAGAGGGTTAGGTCCAAACAAGTTGTAACAATAGACACTGAACCCAGCCAAGCTGTCAGCATCAGGAACGGCTGGGCATGTTATGACTGTTATTCTAACAGAACCCTGTATAGGCTTGAAAATAACATGGAAGTGGATGATTTTAGGCATGGAATTCTTTCCAGGCAGCATTGCCAGGTGAACAGATAAGTCATATGCATCCACAAATAACAGCCATTTAAGACCCTGTATAATCCCCCCACCCAGCAAAAATGAGAAAAAAACCTAAAGATATCAGTAGAGCTTGCTTACTGTTCACTCATTCATTTCTCCTGCAAGTTAGCTTTAATAATAATTTTAATAAAAATTTTCAAGTTGGGCAACCATAGTTTATAGCTATATGAACGGGTGATGATCTGAAACTGACTTAATTTTACCCGGTGGATAATCTTTAGTTACCTTGGGTGGTGATGCCACAGCACAACTGGTTTTAGTTACAGCTCATTCTTTCCGTGTGTGAATCTTAAGGCCACATCACCCTGTGCTGAAAATCTGTGATTGTTTCTGGGGATACTGTGATGGTCATTGTTAAGTGAGCAATCGATGTGAAGTAATTTCACAGGATTTGAAATTTGAGCAGGTATTATAGGGAAAATATGTGTCTGTTAAGCTGGTAATTCATGGGCTGCCCTATAGCCAGAGAACCAGATAAAGCATTGTTGTTCGATTTTAAGGGTCTATTCTCGATTCACTCTGAATGATTTCCCTCCCATGTAAAGTGACCCTGACTTTGTCCCTGCCGCACGTTGCTTTGCAACCCCAGAGGATCGAGGTGAGCCCAAGCTTGTGTTCTCAGTGGCTGTGATTACCCCTTCCTGTCTGTGGTTTGCCTCCATCTGGGCACCCTGCCGTTGTTCCCTGCACGTCTCATTCTCCTTTTGAAATCCTATGTGTGATGAGCGGTGTCGCCTTCCTTCTGCCTCGACTGGTGTGTGTGGGGTGGGTGGGGCCTGCCATGCGGATGGGGTCCAGATGGTGTGCTGCTAGGACTGCAGCTGCATGTGGGCTGCTGGCTTCCTCCTCTGGTAGCTGCTGGAGCAGACTCAGAACCTAGAGATAACCTTCCATTAATAGATTCCTTTAGTGCCCTGGATTTTTCAAATTTAAAACCCTTCTTTCTTTAACATGATTCTGTTACTTAAAGACATGCTATTCTTTTCATCTGGGGTTCTTTCAATTTTATTTTTTGAAACAGCAGAGATATTTTATATTTAAATGCTAACCTATTTATTCAGATATTTCCCCTTTCCTTTTTTTGGATTTTTTTGTCTGTTTCAAGCTAACATTTAGAATATTTAAAAACTTTTTATATGAAAACAATTTCAAACTTTCATAGTTACAAACAAAACTAGTGCACAGAGCACGTGTCTGTGTACCCTTTACCCACATGCAACTGTTCACATTTCACCCTGTTGCCTCTGCCTTAGCATACCTGCTCACTGGCTGTGTTGGTGTGGATGTGAACGTGTAGACATTGTTATTTCTGAACCACAGCCTCAATCCAAAGGAAACATCAGCAAACCACAACATGAGACCATTTCTATGAAAAATGGGCAGGAACAACAGTGTTCTTCAAAATTATCAATGTCATAAAAGACAAAGAAAGACTGTGGGAATGTTTCAGAGTCAAGGATGTTAAAGGAACAGGACAACTGAAGGCAGCACCTGGCCCTGGACAGAACACTGTAGAATCCACTGAGAAAAGGAGAAAATTCTGTGATCTTCATGACATCCAAGTTTTATTTACTATACCTTCTAAAGCCTAGTTCATAATAGATTTTTACAATAATAACATTTGATTTAATAAAAATTAAGACCCACTGATCAAAAGACACAAATGGGAGTAAATGTTTGTGATTATGTATTTATCTGATAAAAGACTTGGATCCAGAATATATAAAAACTCTCTCCAAATATGAATACATAACCTAATAAGAAAAAGGTGTATAAGTACCCATAAAGATGCTAAACAACATGATTTAGCATCCGAGGGTCATATATGCACATCCTGACCCTTCACGGCCCAGTGCTTGTGTGCACTTCCTAAGAAACACTTCCTCCCGTTCTGCTGGCAGTGCTGTGCAGCTTCCTGCTCCTGCAGGTGATCATGCAGAGTTCAAGGATTTGCAGATTGCTTATTAAGCCTTTGATAGGCTTCAAATTGATACAGGCTTTAAACCACAGAAATTTGTAAAAGCCACAAGCGAGGGCTTTTATTTCCTGGAGAGTAAGTTTCCCAGCACCTGACTGAATGAGAATATTTTCTCATGACTGAGGCATGCTTGATGAACTGCCATCGAAGCAACATGTTACCTGCTGGCCGAGTTCTGCTTCCCTCAGTGCATCTACCCAGGGCCAGATTGTTTCTTTAATATCCTTTATTCTGACTCATTTCCTTTCTTTGTCTTTATGACATTGATATTTTTGAGGAATGTTGTCCTCCTCGCTTTTTCATAGCAACGTTCCCGTTTTGTGTGTTTCTGATGTTTCCTGTTCACAGCACTGAGGCTGTGCATCCTCAGCTGGCACAGCACATGGGTGATGTTGTGCCCCGCTCGCTGGTGTTGCTTCTGATCTCCCAACCGAGGTGTCGCCTGGTTTCTCTGCTCGGTAATCACCATTTTTTCTCCCCTGCAACTATTAATATTACACAGTCAGTGGAAAGACACTTTAAGACCATGCAAATATACTGCCTTCATCAGAATCTTCCCTGGATTTAGCATCACTGGTGATTCTTGCCTGATTCAGTCTTTACTATGATGGTTGCAAAATGATTTTCCTGCTTAGCAGCCCCTCCACATCTGTCCATGCCATTGGCATTCTACTCAAGCTAGAGAAATCCTGTCCGTCCAGATCTAGCCATACATGTACCAATCACTGGTATGGACTCATGAATTCCCATTTCCTCCCTATGGTTTTTAATTATTTTCGTGCCCAAATTGTGCAAGATTTGGCAAGTGAGAGTCCTCGGCTGCTTGCTGTGCCGCGGCATGCCCCGCAGTGTTGGCTGCTGCCTTGTTTTGTCAAATGTTTCCACACTTGCTGGCATAATGAGATGCCCCAGCACCTGCCCACAATCTGCCATTTCTCCAAGGAGTCTTGGTTCCTTTCCTGAGGGAATGGTTTTAGAGACAGGATCTGGGTGCCTGGCATGCTGCTCGCTCCTAGGGGTCGCTGTGTCTTGACTGAGGGCATCTTTCTGGTCGGTCTCCAGATTCCAGAAGGATCACCCTGAGCCCTCCCCACTGTATGTCACCTGATCTCTGCAAACTCACTTTTGGGGTTTCTTTGTATTTTGTAACAAGGATATTGGTGTTTTTAAAAACTTTTTTTCTTTCAACTTTTATTTTAGATTTGGGGGTACCTGTGCAGGTTTGTTACCTGGGTATATTGCATGATGTGCCGTGTGGGCTGGGGCCTCCCTTCTCCATCTGGGCCTCTCCACGTGGCCTCTGCAGGGCTACTTTGGGCTTCATCACAGCATGGTGGCGGCAGCTGCCCCAGAGCAAATGTCCCAGCAGAAGTGGGTGGATGTCGTGTTCCTGGAAGTCCCGTGGCATCACTTCTGCTGTCTCCTAGGTCGAAGCAGTCACAAGTCCCACTCAGGCTGCAGGGCTGGGGACCGAGGCCCCAGCCACGTGTGAATGGGGAAGCATGCACAGCCTGGTTTATGTCTGCTTCCTGAAGGTCTGCAGGACCCTGGGAGGTGTCTAAGAAAGTGGGCTAGAAACTCTGCCCTTCCTGTCCCTTTAAAGAGCAAGTGACTGAGCATACTGGTTAGGACGTAGTTCATTAAAGTGGGAGCACAATTAAGCTGGCCACAAATGCAGATGCCTCCCCTGAAGCTTCCACCCACCCTGCCATGGTGTCCTAGCCTTCCCGCCGCCCACGCGGCCTCCACCTGCTCCAGTGTCTCCTTACCAACATCATCCTTTCTTTCTGACATGTTCTCTGCTTTGCAGCATATGATCTGAAGCAAATGGTTTCCTCTTTGGTAGTTAAAGCTGCAGAACCCTTTGCAAATTCAGTGGCCGCTGAGGAAGGAATCCTATCCTTACCCAGGGCACTGCCTGACATGCACATTGCAGCACCACTGCAGTTCCAACAAAGACTGTAGTTTCTGGTGGTGACAGTATTCTGCATTTTCTTTTCTTTTCTTTTCTTTTTTTTTTTTTGTTGAGACAGAGTCTTGTTCTGTCACCAGGCTGGAGTGGAGTGGCACAATCTCGGCTCACTGCAACCTCTGCCTCCTGGGTTCAAGCGATTCTCCTGCCTCAGCCTCCTGAGTAGCTGGGATTACAGGTGCCCACCACCACGCCTGGCTAGTTTTTGTATTTTTAGTAGAGACCGGGGTTTCGCCATGTTGGCCAGGATGGTCTCGATCTCTTGACCTCGTGATCTGCCCACCTCAGCCTCCCAAAGTGCTGGGATTACAGGCATGAGCCACCACACCTGGCCTCTTTTCTTTATTTATTTTTTTCTTGAGATGGAGTTTGCTCTTTTTGCTCAGGCTGGAGTGCAATGAATGGCATGATCTTGGCTCACTGCAATCTCTGCCTCCTGGGTTCAAGCGACTCTCCTGCCTCAGCCTCCCAAGTAGCTGAGATTACAGGCGCATGCCACCATGCCCGGCTAATTTTTGTATTTTTAGTAGAGATGGAGTTTCACCATGTTGACCAGGCTGGTCTCAAACTCCTGACCTCAGGTGATCTGCTCATCTGGGCCTCCCAGAATGTTGGGATTACAGGCGTGAGCCACCATGCCCGGCCATACTCTGCATTTTCTACATTTCTCCCCAGGAGCTGCCTCACTTTTTTCTTTGAGCCCCTCCCATATAACAGTGATAGAAAGTGATGTAAGGGCCAGGCATGGTGGCTCACGCCTGTAACCCCAGCACTTTGGGAGGCTGAGATGGGTATATCACTTGAGGCCAGGAGTTCGAGACCAGCCTGGCCAACATGGTGAAACCCCATCTCTACTAAAAATAGAAAAATAAATAAATTAATTAACCAGGCGTAGTGGCGCACACCTGTAATCCCAGCTACTTGGGAGGCAGAGGCAGGAGAATCACTTGAACCTGGGAGAAGGAGGCTGAAGTGAGCTGAGATTGCACCAGTGCACTCCAGCCTGGGCAAGAGAGCAAGATTCTGTCTCTAAATAAATAAAATACAGTAAAAATAAAAGTTTTTAAAAGTGAGAAAGTCAAGAAAGGACCTTTGTTTTGGCTTATCTCACCATGATGTTAGCGACTTAAAATCCAGATGGTTTCCTGCTGGAAGCTGGGAAGCAACAGGCCCTCACCTCACAGTGCACCTCACCTGCAAGGGACCCCCCTGGAGGCCAGCTCGGCCAGCTCGCTGGGCTGAATGGCTGCAGCTGCTAGAGGAGGTGGCTGGCTCTGTCCCCACAGGACCTGCAGGACCGCAACGATGAGCTGCAAGCTGAGCTGGAAGGCCTGTGGGCGCGGCTGCCCAAGAACCGGCACAGCCCCTCATGGAGCCCGGATGGGCGCAGACGGCAGCTCCCTGGACTCGGCCCAGCAGGTAGGAGCCCGTCCCTGGGAGGGGGCTGACCCAAGGCCTGCTGTTGACAACAAGGCCCAGAGCCAGGAAAAGAGAGTGGAGATGATGAAGATGATGATGTTGCTGTGACCTGAAGGGAGGTGGTCTGCTCTGCAGGGACTTTCCAAGGAGGATCCAGGGATGCCACAGGGTGACCTTGCAACACGGAAGGTCACCTGCAGAGGGAGGAGGAAGGGACGCTGAAGGTGGGCAGCCCCAGGGCTGGCCCAGGCTGTTCCCACATCTCAGAGCTGTTTCAGTGACACGGTACTTGCTGAGACTGAGAAGAGCTAAATCCCGGAGAATGCATTGGGGCCTCCCAGTACTCAGGCCTGTTCAGACAGAGGCTGTCGGGGCTTACCCTTGCTGCTTCTGGGTGATGTGGTAGCTGGCACCACCCCCCAAGTCTGACTGAGGCAGGGAGGCACCAAGCACTAAGGGAGCGGCCCCACCTGGCCAACTGCCCCTGTGCTCGCAGCCAATGGGATTAGGACAAGCTCCAAGGACCCAGGGTCCCCGGAACCCACATCGAAGTGTCTCTGGCTCCTCTGCAGAGAGAATGGGGGTCCAGGTGCTGCAGCCGCCCTTGAGGTCTGTGGTGCTCCCTTTGGAGGATGGGGTGGCCTCTGCCCACTCAATAGCAGCATACAATGCACATGGCTCCGTGTCCACTGCTGTGACAGGGGCCCATGGGGACCCAGCAGCCCCACCTGCTCCCCTCGCTCCCCCGTCATGGCAACCTCAGCCCCTCAGAGAAGATTTTGCTGCCATCTGTAACCCCGGGAGAACTTCAGAGTTCTCCTGTTGCCCTGAAACTGTTTACTCAATGAAATAAAAAAAAATAGGCCAATATGGGAACCTCATAGGGGAGCCTAGTCGGGGCTTTTGTGCATGTGAGACTGACCTCCTGGGACCCCTAAGGCACCCCCTCCCCTGCTGGCTCCTGGATTGGAGTCAGGCTCCTGAGGCGCCACCCCAACAGCTGGCAGACTCTCAGGAAGCTGCAGGGAGGTGCAAGACCCCACCGGCCACCCATCCCAGAAACGCACATATCCAGGATTGCCTGCACCCAGGGTGGTGCCTGTGGGTCCGTAGCCCCATTGACGTCCCACCTGGATGCCGCTGGCTGTCACACCTCCCTGCCCGTCAGTCTCAGAGCGCTAATTCCAGCAGGGGTTAGTGTGCCAGAACTGCCTCTCAGAACTTGGCATCGTTTATGTGATGAAATAATAATGTAGGGCCACCAAGGAAAGGTTATCTAAATAGATAGATAACCTCCGTGCACACAGCTGTGGTCATCGGCACATCATCTAAAGCTCTGCACCACCGGGCATCTGCTGTGCCACAGGCCATTATGTCCTTCCATTTCCTCCGTGACCCTGGCATCTTCAGGGAACAGGATTTAGGGTGCAGTAAATGTACCATAGCACAGCATATTTTAGGGACTAAAGGGGCTCCTGTGAATCATGTGGGGAGCCACCTAGTCTCATCTCTGAGTGTTCTGATAAATAACGGAATGCTATGTACTGACGAGTGCTGACTTTAAGGACGCAGCGTCATCCTCACAGCCAGCACCACCTGCCCCTCATGGATGCCAATGCCAAAATATCAGATTGGAAGGTTTGGAAGGGGCCCCCGTGGCATCCTCAGTGTGACAAACGGAAGTGGCCTCTTGTTTGCAGGCATTTCATTCCTGGGTAATTCTGCTCCAGTGAGTATAGAAACGGAGCTGATGATGGAGCAGGTAAAGGAGCATTACCAAGACCTCAGGACCCAGCTGGAGACCAAGGTGAGGGGATTATGGGGCTGTGGGGCCCTGGGGGAGTAGCTGCTGTGTGTTGGGCAGCTTTACTTGGGCACGCTGACATTTCCACATGCGTCTGCCCTGGAATCCTTTGTCTCATTGTGAGCCCCTTTGGGGAGGAAAGTTTGTAGAGAAATGCAATAAAACTGACATGCTGCCCAAACCCTCTTTGGAAGGACACAGGACATAGGATGACTGATGGGGAGGGAATGGTGTGATACTCTGGAGTGTCACAAGGGGATACTTGAGGCAGCGCAGCGCCGTGGCCAGCCCTCCTTGCTGGTCTGTGGGTGGGAATCAGTTACTGGCTGTGCTCCAAGCCTGAGCGACCTGGCATTTGCCCCCTGGGTAGCTCAGTGGCTTTGAGGCCAGGGCCACCCTGGATGAAACTGTCAGGATGAACTTAGCCCTGTTCTGTTCCTAGACTGTGGTGGCTTTTGAGGGACAGTGTCCATGACTTGTTGTGTGTCCAGTTCCTCCGTCAGGGTACCAGCTAGGTGGAGCTGCCTGTGGCCATGCCCTGGGGATCCCTGAAGGATTAACTGGAAGCTCCGGCGAGCCCTGCCCACCCATAGTTGAATGGTATTCCTTCCACTGAGGGCCTCCACGCTGTTCAGAGCCACCCCGAGGTCCTGTAAAGATTCCACCCTCTGCGTCCCTTGCAGTGCTTGGCCAAATGCTCCAGTGAGCCCCGAGCTTCCTGCCTGTCTTGCCTGCCGCCCTGCCTCAGGGGGGATAGGTGACTCACACCTCACTAGGCCCTGGGGAGCACCACCAACATTCATGTCACTGTCCCCTTCTGCACACCCTGGCACCTCGGCAGGCCAGGATGCCGGTCTTTGCACGTTGTGCCAGGCAGCTTCGTGTTTCTGTGTTACGTCAGCAGCAAGATCATTCTTAGGGTCTCCTGGTCCACGGGGCTCATGTTTCTCGTTTTAGGTAAATTACTACGAAAGGGAAATTGCGGCACTGAAAAGGAACTTTGAGAAGGAGAGGAAGGACATGGAGCAGGCTCGCAGGCGCGAGGTCAGCGTGCTGGAGGGTCAGAAGGCCGACCTGGAGGAGCTCCACGAGAAGTCTCAGGAGGTCATCTGGGGCCTGCAGGAGCAGCTGCAGGACACAGCCCGCGGCCCCGAGCCTGAGCAGATGGGCCTGGCACCCTGCTGCACCCAGGCACTGTGTGGCCTGGCCCTGCGGCATCACAGCCACCTGCAGCAGATCAGGTCCAGCCAGCTTCTTTTGAGATTTCAAGTCTGGGGTTTCTTGCCAAGAACCAAAATTTGAAATTAGACTTAGGAAACAACTCAGAATTGCTGTGCCTCCCGACTGGGTGGTTTTCCTCTGGGCAGATGGGTGAGTGCCAAAAGAACAGGTCCTGGCATGAGGATTCTGGCTCTGAATTTAAAATATACATTGGATCATGGGCCATGAAGCTGTTCACTGTGTAGAAACAGCCCAGTGTTCTGTACCCTCTGCCTCAGCCGTGCCCGGCAGCAACATTGCCTCCATCGCTCAGAGACACCCGCTTCTCCAGGGCCAGGCAGGGTAGCATGTGGGGAGATGGAGAAAGGCCTGAAGCCCTGAACAATGGGAAAGATGGCCAGCTGGGGTTAGTGAGGTTCCCAAAAAGGCTCAAGTGTGCAAGCGAGAGAGAAGGCTTACAGAAAGCCTGTGCTGGTGTTTTATGTGTTCTGGTGTGAGGTACATGTGAAGTGACCACGTCTGTTCTTGTTGGGGGCATCTGAGGTAGGAGAGGAAGTGCCTGGTCATCGCAGACAGGCTGCTGCTCAGCTGGCACCCACTGTCCTGTGGAGAGCATTGGCCCCGGCTTAGAAGAGGACGGGCCCTCCCACCACACTGGCCAGGCCACCCCCAGCCTGACAGAAAGTCATCTTTCCGGCCGGATGCGGTGGCTCACACCTGTAATCAGCACTTTGGGAGGCCAAGGCGGGTAAATCACTTGAGCTCAGGAGTTCGAGACCAGCCTGGCCAACATGGTGAAACCCTGTCTCTACTAAAAACACAAAAAATTAGCTGAGCATGGTAGCAGGCGCCTGTAATCCCAGCTACTCGGGAAGCTGAGGCAGGAGAATCACTTGAATTCAGGAGGCGGAGGTTGCAGTGAGCCGAGATCTCGCCATTGCACTCCAGCCTGAGCCACAAAGTGAGACTCGTCTAAAAAAAAAAAAAAGTGAGACTCGTCTCAAAAAAAAAAAAAAGTCGTCTGTCCATCCTGTGCCTCCCCAGGCTTTCAGCTATTTCCCCTTAAAGCCAAGAGCGTGTGGTAAGAGATTGGGTCAGAGTCCCTGCAGACCCCAGTGGGAACAGAGGGGCAGGCACAAGCAGCCCCTCTCCTCTCAGCATCCAGGCCCTTGTGCACCTGGCCCCCACCCGGAGCTGTCTCTAGCAGCCTGCTCCTGGGGAGCTGCTGTCCCCGCTCTGCAGGGCTCCCGATCTGCCAATGCTTGGAGGTGGAGGCCCTCCAACCACTTCCTTGCTCCCCTTGCCCTGGCCAGGCATGGACCACATACCCCTTCTGGTGCTGTGGTCTTGCCAGCTCTCACTTCACTTCCACTGGACTCTCCTGCGGGCCACCAGAGGTCCCAAGGCCCAGCAGCTTCAGGGAATTAGGGGACAGTTTTGGCTCTGGGTCTCCAGCGCTATCGTGTAGAACCCACTGCAGTGTGGGCCACGTCGTATGTCTGCCCTGTCCAGTTGGGAGCCTTGAGGGCTTGGAACGTGGCCTGCACGGCCGAGGGGCTGCAACCAGGTCCTGCATGGTGGCGGCCATCTTCCATGTGAACACTCCACATGGAAAGGGTTCGTGCTTGGGCTTCCATGTGCAGAACCTCGCTCCGTGGGGCGGATCCTCGTCTGGACTCTGAAGTAGGGCCCAGGGTATAGGTTGAAGCCAGGGCTGAGGGAGGCGAGGAGGGATAAAGAAAGCCAACCACAGAGAGGAGGTCGCAGCCGTTGCAACAGCTGGGCAGACTTCAAACCCGAGAGAGGGGCTGGGGGCGGCAGGGCTGTGGTGTGTGACGGTTCTACTTCCACAGGAGAGAGGCTGAGGCGGAGCTGAGTGGAGAGCTGTCGGGGCTGGGAGCCCTGCCCGCTCGCAGAGACCTGACCTTGGAGCTGGAGGAGCCGCCGCAGGGACCCCTGCCACGCGGGAGCCAGAGGTCGGAGCAGCTGGAGCTGGAGAGGGCACTGAAGCTGCAGCCCTGTGCGAGCGAGAAGCGCGCCCAGATGTGCGTATCGTTGGCCCTCGAGGAGGAGGAGTTGGAGCTTGCCCGCGGGAAGCGAGTGGACGGGCCCTCCCTGGAAGCAGAGATGCAGGCCCTGCCGAAAGATGGGCTGGTGGCAGGAAGTGGCCAGGAGGGCACACGTGGCCTCCTACCACTGCGTCCGGGCTGTGGGGAGCGGCCACTGGCCTGGCTGGCCCCAGGTGATGGCAGAGAGTCTGAGGAGGCGGCAGGAGCCGGGCCTCGCCGCAGGCAAGCCCAGGACACAGAAGCTACGCAGAGCCCGGCCCCCGCCCCTGCCCCGGCATCCCACGGCCCCTCAGAGAGGTGGTCACGCATGCAGCCCTGTGGAGTGGATGGGGATATTGTCCCAAAGGAGCCAGAGCCTTTCGGCGCGAGCGCAGCGGGGCTGGAGCAGCCTGGAGCCCGGGAGCTGCCTCTGCTGGGAACAGAGAGAGACGCCTCGCAAACCCAGCCACGGATGTGGGAGCCACCCCTGAGGCCGGCCGCTTCGTGCAGGGGACAGGCTGAGAGGCTACAGGCCATTCAGGAAGAGCGAGCACGAAGCTGGAGCAGGGGCACCCAGGAGCAGGCCTCGGAGCAGCAGGCCCGGGCCGAGGGCGCCCTGGAGCCTGGGTGTCACAAGCACAGTGTGGAGGTTGCCAGGAGAGGGTCCTTGCCATCCCACCTCCAGCTCGCAGACCCGCAGGGTTCCTGGCAGGAGCAGCTTGCTGCCCCAGAAGAGGGGGAGACCAAAATAGCGCTGGAGAGAGAGAAGGATGACATGGAAACCAAACTTCTACATCTGGAAGACGTCGTCCGGGCTCTGGAGAAACATGTAGATTTGAGAGAGAACGACAGGTTTGCCTTCTACTCATTCTTAAAACTAAACACTTCAAACTAAAAATGCAGAACTAACCCACTGACCCCTGTTGCTAATGGTGCTATGTGGCCCTTCCTGCCGACAAGCTCGCAGCCCCTGATGGGGGCTGTGTAGCCCTTCAGCCTGAGTAGGGGTTGTGAGCCCAGCCCCGTCCCGGAATGCCACGGTCATCTGGTGCTCTACCACTGGGCAGAGGGAGGGCAGGACTGCCTTTCGGGGTCCTGAACCCACCTTCCGGGTTCAAGATATTCTTGTGCATCAGCCTCCCAAGTAGCTGGGATTACAGGCACCTGCCACCACGCCTGACTAATTTTTGTATTTTTAGTAGAGACGGGGTTTCACCATGTTAGCCAGGCTGTCCTCAAAGGTGATCTGCCCGCCTTGGCCTCACAAAGTGCTGGGATTACAGGCGTGAGCCACTGCGCCCGGCCCTCGCTTCCAAAGATTTTTCATTGTTGTTCCCAGAAGAGGCTGTATACCCATTAAACAATAACTTTTGCTAGTATTTTGTTGAGGATTTTAGCATCAATTTTTGCATCATAAGGGATTGGTCTGCAGTTTTCTTTTCTGGACTGTAGTGTCCTTGTCTGGCTTTGGTATCAAGTAATGCCTCATAGAATGAGTTTGGAAGTGTTCCCTTCTCTTCAATTCTTGGAAGAGTTTGAGAAGAGGTGGTGGAAGTTCTTTTTTAAGTGGTAGAATTCACCAGTGAAGCCATCAGCTCCTGGGCTTTGTTAGGAGGTTTTTTTGTTTTTTGTTTTTTGTTTTTTTTGAGACAGAGTCTCGCTGTGTGGCCCAGGCTGGAGTGCAGTGGTGCTGTCTGGGCTCACTGCAACCTCTGCCTCCCAGGTTCAAGCGATTCTCCTGCCTCAGCCTCCTGAGTAGCTGGGATTACAGGCGTGCACCACCAGGAATCAGGAATTTAAAACCTCGTAACAACTAGGGCACGGTGGTTCATGCCTGTAATCTCAGCACTTTGGGAGGCCAAGGTGGGTGGATCACCTGAGGTCAGGAGTTCAAGACCAGCCTGGCCAGCGTGGTGAAACCCCATCTCTACTAAAAATACAAAAATTAGTGTGGTGGCGTGCGCCTGTAATCCCAGCTACTCGGGAGGCTAAGGCAGGAGAATCGCTTGAACCCAGGAGGTGGAAGTTGCAGTGAGTTTTGAGATCGCGCCACTGCACTTCAGCCTGGGCAACAAGAGCGAAACTCTGTCTCCAAAAAAAAAAAATACAAAAATTAGCCGGGCATGGTGGCATGCGCTTGTAGTCCCAGCTACTTGGGAGGCTGAGGCAGGAGAATCGCTTGAACCTGAGAGGCAGAGGTTTCAGTGAGCCGAGATCACACCACTCACTGCACTCCAGCCTGGGTGACAGAGCAAGATTCCATCTCAAAAAAAAAAAAAGTTCCTTTAGTGAAACTCTGTTTAGAGTAAATTTCCTGTTTTTGCTTATCTGAAAAGTATCTTAAATGTTCCTTCATTTTTGTAAGACAGTATTCTTAGGAACGCACATCTAGCCATTAAATGGCCGCCTCTCCACCCTTGGAATGTCTGCTGTCCGTGTCAGAGACCCGGTTGCTGACACTGCATGGTTGGCCCTTGGTCCGTCTGTTCTTCCTTCGTGTGCATTTCCACGGACTTGGTGGCTTAACAAGGCACAAAAGTGCGATGTTTTAGTTTTAGAGGTTGGAAGAGGAAAGGGTCTCCTTGGGCTAGGAATGAGGTGCTGGCAGGGCTGCAGGGCCATCCAGAGGCCCCGAGGGGAGCTCCCTGCCTCACCTTCTCCAGTGGCCTTGACTTGAGGCGTCCTTCCATCCTGGAAGCCAGCCCTGGATGGCCGAGTCCTCCTCATGTCACCTTACTCCAACACTGACTCTTCTGCCTCCACTTTCTACCTCTAAGGACACTTGTGATTACGTTGGGTTCCTCTGGAGAATCCAGAATAATCTACAGTCAGAGAACGAGCAGCCTTCATTCCCCCTGCTGTGTAATGTCACATAGTCTCTGTTAGAGGCCAGTATTGTGCCATCCACAGTAGGTATCTGACTTTTGTGCTCTGGTTACTTCTGAGACCTGTATCTTTAGTGGTTTTTATTTGCTGTGTGCATTTCTTTCTTTTTAACTTTTTATTTATTTATTTATTTATTTTTTTGAGACGGAGTCTCACTCTGTTGCCCAGACTGGAGTGCAGTGGTACAACCTCAGCTCACTGCAACCTTTGCCTCCCAAGTTCAAGCAATTGTCCTGCATCAGCCTCCCAAGTAGCTGGGATTACATGTGCCCACCACCATGCCCAGCTGATGTGTGTGTGTGTGTGTGTGTGTGTGTGTGTGTGTGTGTGTGTATGTGTGTATTTTTACTACAGACGGGGTTTCACCATGTTGGCCAGGCTGGTCTTGAACTCCTGGCCTCAAGTGATTTGCCTGCCTCATCCTCACAAAGTGCTGGGATTACATAAGGCCTGAGCCACCAGGCCTGGCCACTTTGTTTTATTTTATTTTATTTTATTTTATTTTATTTTATTTATTTTATTATTTTATTTTATATTTTATTTTATTTTATTCATTGTAGAGATAGTCTCTCACTATTTTGCCCAGGCTGGTCTCAAACTCCTGGCCTCAAGCGATCCTTCTGCCTCAGCCTCCCAAAGTGGATCCTCCTTGAAATTACAGGTGTGAGCCACCATGCCCAGCCTCTTTTTAACTTTTTATTAAAGTGTGATACACATAAGAAAATGTATATATTTGTACAATTAGGAGAATTGTCAACAAATTGAACACGTCTGTGTTACCAGCGCCCAGAACAAGAGATGGAATTCACCAGAGTCCCCGGGGTAACCACTTCTTACAGCATAGATTCAGTTTGCTTGTTTTTGTACTTTATGGAGAGGAATCATGCAGTGTGTACTCTTCTGTGTCTGACTTTCTTGGCTCAACCTGGTTGTGCGATTGATCTGTGTTGTTGCTGTAGTTCATACATTTGCATTGCTGTGTGGTATTCTGTTGTGTGAACATACCACAGTTTATTCTTTTCTCCTGTTGATGGGCATTTGGGTAGTTCCTAGTTTTTGGCTCTCACAAATGGAACTGCACTGAACGTTCTTGCATTTGTCTTTTGGAGCATTATGTTGGGCTGTACCTAGAAATGGGATTGTTATGTTGTGGGTATAGGCATAGTTTTCTTTTTGTTCATCCTACTTAGAAAACATTGTCCCAGCCAGGCACAGTGGCTCACACCTATAATCCCAGGACTCTGGGAGCCCAGGAGTTCAAGATCAGTCTGGGCAACATAAGGAGACTGTTTTCTACAAAAACTTAAGAAAAATTAGTCACACATGGTGGCACGCACCTTTGGTCCCAGCTATTTGGGAGGCTAGATGGGAGGATCACTTGAGCCTGGGAGGTTGAGGCTGCAGTGAGCTGAGATTGCACCACTGCACTCCAGCCTGGGCGGCAGAGCAAAAGGGAAAAAAAAAAAAAAAAGAAATATTTTCCCTGTTGAATGTATGGATTGCATTGGTGTCTCATGAAAATCTCTCAGCCATTACTATTAAAATATTGCCTCTCCGGAGGTTGCAGTGAGCCAAGATCGCGCCATTGCACTCCAGCCAGGGCAACAAGAGCAAAACTCCGTCTCAAAAACAAAAAAAAAGTATATATATATATATATATATATATATATATATATATATATATCCTCTCCTCCCACTATTTTCTTCAATTAGATATGTGACTGTTAGAGCATTTCACTTTATGTCTCAACCTCTCTTTTATATTTTCCATCTTCTGTCTGTATCACATTTGGGGTATTTTTTACATACCTATGTGTTCCAGGTCAGTATCTCTTTCTTTCAGCTCTGTGTAATCTGCTATTTAAACCATCCCATGAGTTTTTATTTTGACATTGACTTTTTGTTCATTTCTAAAAATTCTGTTTGGTCCTGTCTGATCATTGTCAATAGTTTCTTGTTGCTTGTTCATTGTTTGTTGCTGTCTTTTATTTATGTAAACATTTCATAACACTTATTTTTAGTTTGTGTCTAATAAGTCCAATACCTGCAGTTTCTAGAGGATTGAATTCTGGCTTCTGGCTTCTGCTGTCATTTATGGGTGGCTTTGCTCCATGTATGTTATGGTGATCTTTGATTGTGAGCTCATATTTGCTTGATGTTAATCTCTGGGAATATAAAGAGCCTTATATGGGATGCTATTGCTTTTGCAGAGAAGTGAGAAGGTGCTAATCTGGGACTGTCTGAACCTCCTTCCAGGGCCCTGTCTGGTGCAGGTGTCCACAGTGCAGCTTCTCCATTCTGCTAATAGCAGTGCTGACACATAGGCATTGGTTGCAAGGTCCCCCCAGCTTTGTGTTGCATAGTGCTCACGCGTTGGTTTCAGCTTCCAGGATTTTGTTTTGTTTGGAGATTCTTGCAGGTTTTCTTTTCTTTCCATGAGGACAGTCACAGAGGTTGCGATCAGCTTTGCGCAGGATCTAGTTGTTTGGTGGTCATGTGGGGGATGGGGTAGGGCACCCCTCAGCTTTCGGCCTTGCATCAACTTGTTCTCCATTCTAGAGCCAGAGTGATAGTTTAAAAACACAGAACTCTCCTGCTTGAAACCCTTTGCTGCCTTTAATTCCAGTGACTATTTATTTTTGTCTTTAGTTCCTCATGAGATAAAATGAAGGCATATGAAGAAGATACTTATGTTTACTATTATAAGTATAATACATAAAGCGGGCTGGGCGTGGTGGCTCACATCTGTGATCCCAGCACTTTGGGAGGCCTAGGTGAGAGGATCACCAGGAATTCGAGACCAGCCTGGGCAACCTATCGAGACCCCATCTCCACCACAACAAAAATTATCCAGGCGTGGTGGCGCATGCCTACTGTAGTCCCAGCTCCTGGGCCTGGGAGTTCAAGGCTGCAGTGAGCCATGATCGTGCCACAGTACTCCAGCCTGGGTGACAGAATGAGACCCCATCTCAAAGAAAAAACAAAAAAATACATGAAGTGAACATGGTGAGATCATGTGGCTTTCAGTATTTTCAGACTGAAAAAATAAGAAGCTAGTACCATATGGAGACCTATTTGGGGAATACACGTTAGCCTTACCAGTCAGTATTAAGAATGCATTCTCTGGGTAGCAAGTATGGGTCTTAAGCTACTTCACTGGTGATCTTTTTTGTTTTTTCACAGACAAGGTCTCACTATGTTGCCCAGGAGGGTCTCAAACTCCTGGGCTCAAGCAGTCTTCCTGCCTCAGCCTCCCCAGTAGCTGGGATTACAGATGCATGCCGCCACTCCTGGCTCCCATTAGTGATCTTCATTGGTAAATTGCCATCTTCATCTATCAAATCAATGGCATTACCCAAGCAGGGACTCCCTGAGTTGTCAGAGAACAAAGACGGCCCAGGCAGACTTGGTTCACATAGTGGCTGTCTATCCCTGCCTTTTCCCACTTTGAGATTCACCTAGCAGAGGTTTCCCATATATCTTGGCCTTCTGATTCCTGTGTTTCTTAGCTCCACACTGAGTTCACTGCCAGGGCATGAGTACCCTGCAGTACCTGAGGACTCACGCCCAGCACTGGCAACCAGGACACACGTTTGGTGAGAGGCCATAGATGCAGGAGCAGTTCAGCTATAAACTCAGCATAAGCAAAACCCAAGGTTCTGAGTGCATTTGTGACTTGATGGCGTGGCAGTGTAGAAGCTAAGAAAGTTCCGTTTTCTGTGGCTTGGCTCATGGGAGATGTAAGACGTTAACACCTGGTGCAGGAAGAGGGAAAGGAATGGTGTCTGGCGCCACCTCCAGGGACGGGGAGATGGGGACGCACAGTTCTCAGGACTCCCCGCTGCAGAGCCAGCCTCCGTGACCACATGTGGCTCCCCAAGTGCTCACCGGTCTTTTCTCAATTTTTACGCAGACTGGAGTTCCATAGACTTTCTGAAGAAAACACTTTGTTGAAAAACGATCTGGGAAGGGTTCGGCAAGAGCTTGAAGCTGCAGAAAGTACTCACGATGCACAGAGGTAAGGGCCACGCCCCTACCCAGACCTTCTGGGGGTGCGTTTTGCCCTCCGTAGAGTGACCTTATGCAGTCTCCATATAGACAGTGGGAAGTGTTCTCAGATTAGCCCTGCATTCCAGAAAACCCTAAACCATGAGCCTTGTTAACTTCTGAACGACTCGGCAGATGTGGGAGGCTCTGGCCTCCTTCCTCGTGTGGGCGGCACCTGAACGCCCCAGCTCCTTGGTGTGGGAAGTGAGGCAGAGTGCCCACAGCATGGTCGGGACTGCGAGCAGAGCCCTAGCACAGGCGCCGTTCACCCCACAGAGATGATGCACGTCGCACTTAGGGGTTGGGGGAGGCCACAACAGTGTCTGTAGGGGTCAGAGGTGCTCCTAGGATCCTCTCCTGATAACAGCTTCAGCTCTGCCTTCCTCAGAGGGTCATTGCTGGTTTATCAGTTTCAGTGAACAAGAGCTGGGGGAGGGGATGGGCGTGGGGAGGGTCAGGAACCTGAGCACTGAGGCAAGAGAGGATGGGGGTGGGGGCACCAGTGAGAGTCAGGGGACAGGGCAGTGGGCCGCCCACCAATGAGAGTCAAGACAGGGCAGGGGGCCACCAGTGAGAGTCAGGGGGGCAGGGCAGGGCGGCCACCAGTGAAAGTCGGGGGACAGGGCAAGGGGGTACTCACCAGTGAGAGTCGGGGGACAGGGCAGTGGGGCGCCCACCAGTGAGAGTTGGGACAGGGTAGGGGGGTGCCCACCAATGAGAGTCAGGGGGACAGGGCAGGCGGGCGCCCACCAGTGAGAGTCGGGGGACAGGGCAAGGGGACACTCACCAGTGAGAGTCGAGGGACAGGGCAGTGGGGCACCCACCAGTGAGAGTCAGGGGACAGGGCAGTGGGGCACCCACCAGTGAGAGTCAGGGGACAGGGCAGTGGGGCACCCACCAGTGAGAGTTGGGGGACAGGGCAGTGGGGCACCCACCAGTGAGAGTCGGGAGACAGGGCAAGGGGGGACTCACCAGTGAGAGTCAGGGGACAGGGCAGTGGGGCACCCACCAGTGAGAGTCAAGGGACAGGACAGTGGGGCACCCACCAGTGAGAGTCAAGGGACAGGACAGTGGGGCACCCACCAGTGAGAGTCGGGGGACAGGGCGGTGGGGCGCCCACCAGTGAGAGTTGGGACAGGGTAGGGGGGTGCCCACCAGTGAGAGTCAGGGGGACAGGGCAAGCGGGCGCCCACCAGTGAGAGTCGGGGGACAGGGCAGGGGGGCGCCTACCAGTGACAGTCAGGGGACAGGGCAGAGAGGCGCCCACCAGTGACAGGGGACAGGGCAGAGGGGCACCCACCAGTGAGAATTGGGGGACAGGGCAGGGGGGCGCCCACCAGTGAGAGTCAGGGGACAGGACAGAGGGGCACAGACCAGTGACAGGGGACAGGGCAGGGGGGTGCGCACCAGTGAGAGTCGGGGGACAGGGCAGGGCAGTGCCAACCAGTGAGAGTCGGGGGACAGGGCAGGGGGGTGCCCCCCAGTGACAGTCGGGGGACAGGGCAGGGGGGTGCCCACCAGTGAGAGTCAGGGGACAGGACAGGGGGGCACCCACCAGTGAGAGTCGGGGGACAGAGCAGGGAGGCCACCAGTGAGAGTCAGTGGGGACAGGGAGGCCACCAGTGAGAGTTGGGGGACCAGACGGGGGGCCACCCATCAGTGAGAGTCAAGGGACTGAGCAGGGGGGTGCCTGTCAGTGAGAGTTGGCGGGGACAGAGCAGGGGGCATCCATCAGCGAGAGTCAGGGGACAGAGCAGGAGTGTCCCCTCAGTGCAAGCTGGGGAAGGGCTGGGACTGAGGAAGGGAGAATGTGTGTTCTGGGGAGGGTGGCTTTCTGCTGTCACTACTGTAGCCATATCCAAGGACAATTGTTTGGCCTTTTTTTTTCCCAATTATGCATCTCAAGGTGAGCTTAGTTCTCATAGACAGTAATTCTGAAATGATGGAATTGCCATGGTGATTAAAGTAGCGAGTCCCAAGCAGGTACCCAGGGATTGCCCTTCCATGACAGCACTTCCGAAATCTCAAAGCTAGTTTTCCTTTAGAAACCATTTTTTCTCTGGTTTTCTTGAGTCTGTGAGGACCCTGCTGATGGCATACCTCCGGAGATGCAGGCTGTTTCGGTCTCTATTCACTCTGCTGAGTGTGAAGTGTTATGTGTTTTACAAAAGAAATATTCATGTATTTGATTGAGGAATGTCATGCAGGGTGTGCGTTCTTACAGTGCTGGCAGTGTAGATTACTAGAGGCTCTCTAGTAATCCGACAGTTTCACATTCCTAAAGTCTTCGTGGTTTGGGATAAACCATGGAAGACGGGATCGTCGTCTTCATTAGTAGTGGCAACAGCAGGGACTGAGAGGGGCTGGAGAATGCCAGGGGCAGGTGTGGGCGTCTCTGCTGTGGCTACAAACCCCCATGCTGCTCTTACCCTGGGTGCTGACCAGGAAAGAAGGCACTGGTTGGTCACAAGTGGTATCACTGTTAATTGTGCTTCTTCAACAGGAAGGAAATTGAGGTTTTAAAGAAAGACAAGGAAAAGGCCTGCTCTGAGATGGAGGTGCTCAACAGACAGGTGACGTATCGACGCCTGGCATGGAGCTCATGCCACCATTCCTTTTTTTCATTATTTTGAAATCATTTTAAACTTACAAAAGGAAGTAGAGAATATTCTTCTAAAAGACTTGACAGTGAGTTGCTGACTGGCCCCCAGGCCCCATCAAAGTCAGACACTAAACACGGCTGTGAAGACCCCTGCCCCAGTCAAATCTGCCGGTGGTCCCAAGGATGTTCAGAATCATGTGGCACGCAGTAGTTGGGACCACAGGCATCCCCTGCAGGGTCCCTTTGGTGTTTTGATCTAGAAACTGTGAGCAGCTTCTCATAGACGCTGGCAGGCAGGCACTGTCTGTGTTGTGAGTGCCTGAGGCTCTGCACTGGCCCGAGGCCCAGCTGCTTGTGGAGATGACCTGCCTGGGGAGCCGCACGCCAGCATGCTCAGCCCATCTTTTGTGTTTTTAGTAGAGACAGGGTCTCACTATGTTGCCAAGGCTGCTCTCAAACTCCTGGCCTCAAGCAATCCTCCAGCTTTGGCCTCCCAAAATGCTGGGATTATAGGTGTCAAACACTGCCTGGACACTCCCCAAATTTTGGGGGTTTTTTTTGAGACACATTATCACTCTGTCACCCAGGCTGGAGTGCAGTGGTGCGATCTTGGCTCACTGCAACCTCCACCTCCCAGGTTCAAGCAATTCTTCTGCCTCAGCCTCCAGGGTAGCTGGGATTGCAGGTGTGTACCACCATGCGTGGCTAATTTTTATATTATTAGTAGAGACAGGGTTTCACCATGTTGGCCAGGCCGGTCTCGAACTCCTGACCTCAAGCTATCCGCTGGCCTTGGCCTCCCAAATTGCTGGGATTATAGGTGTGAGCCACTGTACCCGGCTTACCCCAAAAATTTTACCATGAAAAACTTTAAACACAGGAAAGTTGAAACAATATAGAGTGATCATCCACATACATCCACAACATTAATGCAACTGTTATCCGCATTGCCACCTGCACTTTAGTTCTGTTCATATCTATATATTTCACGTGTGCATGTGTATGTGTGTGTTCTGAACCATTTGAAGACAAGTTACAGGCCGGGTGCAGTGCCTCATACCTATAATCCCTGCATTTTGGGAGGCCAAGGTGGGCGGATCACTTGAGCCCAGGAGTTCAAGACCAGCCTGGGCAACATGACAAAACCCCATCTCTACAAAAAAAAGAAAAATCAGCTGAGTATGCTGCCATGTGCCTATAGTCCCAGCTACTCAGGAGGTTGAGGTGGGAGGATGGCTTGAGCCTGGGAGGTTGAGGCTACAGTGAGTAGAGATCGTACCACTGCACTCCAGCCTGACAGAGTGAGACCCTGTCTCTCATAATAATAATAATAATAGAAAATAAGTTCCAGATGTCATGATACTCCACTTCTCAATATTTCAACAGGCATCTCTTAAAAGGAAGTGCATCTCCCGCCTCGCCACACTGAAGGAGTGCTGTCACACTTAAGAAACTTAGCAGTAGTTACCTCATATCAGTATTCAGACCATATTCTCATTTTTTCAGTTATTAAAAAGTGTCCTGCACAACAAGGTTGCTGGCAGTAGGGTGCAGCTGGGGGTGCCACATTGTGTGTAACTATGACTCTGTTCAGCCATGTTTAGCTATCAGATCAACTTGCTGGCATAAACCAGCCACTTGAGTGCATTCATGGCACCTGTGGGTCAGGCATTCAGACAAACACAGCGTTGACGGCCGTCCCTGCTCTGTGATGTGGGGTCTCGGCTGGGAAGGCTGGACAGTTGGGGTGACCTAATGGCCAGGGTTGGAGTCGTCGGGGACCCCTTCTGCTTGTGTCTGTCTGGGGCCTCTCCTCATGGGGCTGGACCTGGAAGGAGTGTCGTGGGGGGTGTCAGGGAGCTAGTGTTCCAGGGCAGCTGGTGGGAGGCGCATGGCTCCCAAGCCCTCCTCGGAAGTCACACTCTACGTTATTCCCACTGAGTCCCTGGAGCCGCGGGGGAGGCTTCTCTGATGGGCAAGTGTTCAGGTCACATTTCAGAAGAGGATGTGGGATGGAAGAGGCTTCTGGAGGCTTCTTTGGACAACACATCCCCTGCATGGTCCCTTTGGTGTTTTGATCTAGAAGACCTGTTTTTCCCCATGACACTGGCTTTTGGAAGAGCCCCAGTAGTGGTCCCGTGGGCCATCCCACATTCTGGATCTGTCCAGTTGTTTTCTGAGAGTGTAGGCTACTCTGGTCGTATGTCACTTGTCTGCCTTGTAAACTGGAAATTAGGCCTAAAGGCTGGAGCAGATGCAGAGTGAACATATTTTGACACAGATGTCATTTGTTTTAACACACACCCAGGAGACAGCTGCTGACATCTCATGTTGGCTTCTGCAGTGAAAGCCAGATGAATGCAAGTTCAAAATTAAGAGGTGGCCAGCGTGAACGCCACCAGGAACAGATAGCATCTCTGCCTCCTGATGCAGCTCCCTGCACAGTGTCTGCCCAGGAACTTGTCACTCGAGTCACAAGGAAGCACCAGACAAACCCCAAATGGGAGGGGGTGGAACTGTATTTGTCAAAAAATGTCAAAGTCATGAGACACAGAAGCTGAGGAGACATTCCACATTTGAGGAGGCTGAAACAGCTGGACAGGGCCCAGCTGATCCTGTGCCGGGAAGGATGCTGCCAGGCTCGTTGACAAAATGAAGTGTGGGGACATCAAGGCCACTGTCCTGAAGCAGTAGCTGCACAGCAGCCGCGTGAGAGCTGCTGTCCCCGGGAGGCAGGCGGCTGTGGAGAAGGGAAGACATCATGTGTGCGCCTGTGTGTGTAGGGGGCAAAGCAGATTGGGGGAGTGTTGTCGGCTAGGAGCTGGGATGGAAGGCAGGTTGGTTTCCCTGGTGATGTTCTAGTCTTGCAACTGTTCAAGTCTGAAATTATTTCCAAATGAAGAGTTTGTTGTGTGTTTGTTTGTTTGTTTGTTTGTTTGTTTTGAGATGGAGTCTTGTTCTGTCACTCTGGCTGGAGTGCAGTGGTGCAATATCAGCTCACTGCAACCTCTGCCTCCCGGGTTCAATCGATTCTCCTGCCTCAGCCTCCCAAGTAGCTGGGACTACAGGCATGTGCCACCAAGCCCGGCTAATTTTTGTATTTTTAGTGGAGATGGGGTTTCGCCATGTTGGCCAGGCTGGTCTCAAACTCCTGACCTCAGGTGATCCTTCCACTTCGGCCTCCCAAAGCACTGGTATTACAGGCATGAGCCACCACGCCCAGCCACCAAATGAAGAGTTTAAATGTTAAAGGTGAATAGAAGAAAATCCACTATTGTGTTTATCTCAAGAACTGAAGGAAGATTCCATTTCTACTCATGAAATCAAGGCTGTCTTTAGAGGACAAGGTGAATGTGTGTCAGTATTAAAACAATTCTAATTTTCACAATAAAATGTCATAAAACACATGAGCTCTATACCATACACAACTGCCACACGCTTATGTCGTGGTGGAAGCTTCTCTTAACCTGAGGCTTGAGGTTCTAGGGAAGGGATGAGGTGAGGTTAATTTGCAAGGAATTGCATGAGAAAAATGCGTGGACTCCCTAATCTTGAGTAAATCCAAATGGAAAAACGTCCCAGTTTTCTTACATGCCTGTAAAACCTATAGAAGCAAAGGCAGTGGTTGTGGGCGTCACTCTGGGAAGGTGACGTGTGCGTGGTCGATTGTGCTGAGAGCGGGTCAGAGGACATCACTCCAAACCCCCAGGAGCTGCGGTGGGAAAAAGCAAGTAAGCAGAAATATGGTTGCATGAAGATGTTCCTGACAGGTGGCTGCAGACAGCAGAGCCTCCGTGGTCCAGACCGCAGGGCCACTTTCCTGCCGCTGTCACTGCACTGCGCCCTCACAGGTTCCCCTCATGAACGTTTGCTGAAATCCTTTGTCTGTGGGAGGTGCTATTGAGAAAAAGCAAAACATACAATTTGATGAACCTATGTACCCTGCCAAGAGCTACGCTTGTGTGTTCAATGACTGAGATCAGAGGAGACTTAAGAGATTCATGTACCTCAAGTTTAAATAGGTTGCTTTTTTGTTAAAATTGCCATATATTTTTAAATATATTAAAATAATCGTGGAGGAAATGAGAAAAACGTGAAAGGTCTTCCAAACAGTGGTTTGGACGGTCATGGCATATACTCCCTTCTGGTGGCCTAGATGTGTGTGTGTTTTTCCTAGGGGCTGGAGCAGGGCTTTCTGTCCTCGGCACTGGTGACGTTTGGGGCCAAATCATCTGTGTTGTAGGGTGTCAAGTGCCCCCATGCCTCCATCTCCAGCTGTGATTACCAAAAATACCTGGAGACATTGCCAGACATTTCCTCAGGAGCAAAGTTGTACCTGGTTGAGAGCAATTACAATGATATGAATTGAGCTGCTGGCTTAAAAGTATTTTAGGGGGCAAGGTGGGGCTGGGCTCAGTGGCCCACACCTATAATCCCAGCACTTTGGGAGGCTGAGATGGGAAGATCCCTTGAGGCTAGGAGTTCGGGACCAGCTTTGGCAACACAGCTAGAGACCCTGTCTCGACCAAAAAACAAAACTAGGTGGGAGTGGTGACGTGTGCCTGTGGTCCCAGCTACTTGGGAGGCTGAGGTGGGAGGATCGCCTGAGCCTAGGAGGTCACGGCTGCAGTGAACCATGAATGTGCCACCGCACTCCAGCCAGGGCAACAGAGCGAGAGCCTGTCTTGAAAAACAAAACAAAACAAAACAAAACAAATGACTACTTAATAAAAATATAGCCAATGATGGGCAAATGTATATATAACATGAAAATTAAAAACATTTTTTTCTTATGTATTTAAAAACTTTTTCCCCCAGAATCAGAACTACAAGGATCAATTATCCCAGCTCAATGTCAGGGTTCTTCAACTGGGACAGGAGGCTTCTACCCACCAGGCCCAAAACGAGGAGCATCGTGTGACCATTCAGATGTTAACACAGAGCCTGGAGGAGGTGGTTCGCAGTGGGCAGCAGCAGGTGGGTGGCCTCAGCCGCAGGGAGCTGAGCTGGAGGCTGGGAGCTCAGGGTGGGGAGGCGGCTGCAAATAGGTCAGGACACGCGCTGAGGAGCCTGGAGGGAAGTGAGGGACTTCCCAAGCATGCCTTGGAGAAGTAGGTGGACTGTGCTGTGTTGGCAAATCCCAGTATCTAAAGAAAATAGCAGAATAGCTTTATATGCTGCTGACAGAGGAGTGAATTGGTACAAAGTTCCCCGAGGGCAGTTTGGCAAAATACACACTTAGAGGCTGAAGAAAGTCCACATGCCTTGACTTCACGATTCCGATGGGGATGTTCCCGAGAGCCTTGTGGAAGGATGCAGCTGCAGCATTTTCCTTGCTGTGCTGTTTATAATAGCAAAGCAGAACTGAAATCGGCCGAGTCACCAACAGAAGCTGAGGGAGTCACTGGATCACAGCACAGCCACTGAAAACCATGTTTTCAAATCATAACTAATGCCCCAGGAAACGCTCCCACTGCAGTGAGGAGAAGGCACTTCCTGCAGTGCGTGGCGCACCTGACACTGTCTCACCAGGGAGATGCGTGTGTGTAGAGGAGGGGCCGGGGAGTGACTGCAGGACACAGGGCCGGCCTTGGTTGGTGGGTTCACAGGGATTTAAATTTTGTACTTTTTTTCTTTTCTGTAATTTTCTGAGGTTTTTGCACGAATTACATACCAGACTCTTCAGATACTTCTTGACTTGTGCAATTGATTTTTTAAAAACAGAGTGACCAAATCCAAAAACTTAGAGTTGAACTTGAATGCCTGAATCAGGAACATCAGAGCCTGCAGCTGCCATGGTCAGAGCTGACCCAGACCCTTGAGGAAAGTCAAGACCAGGTGGGTGTGAGCGATGGCTGGAGGCACTGGGTCCAGTCCCACCTGGGAGCAGCATCACCGCAGTGCCAACGGTGTTGCCAGGCCTCCTCCAGCCCAAAGAAGTAGTTGCGCTGCTGGGCACAGCTGTCCAGGTGCTTACCGGGCCAGGACCGAAGCTGCTCCCAGTGCAGGGTTGGTTTGACTGTCAGCAAGCCCCGTGAAGAGTAGTGACTGTTTACTCCCGAGGGAAGGAGTGCGGGCACCATGCCTGTGGGTGAGCCCTCCACAGAATGGAGGAGCCAGAGGCAAGCCTGGGGACTGTGTCGTCAGAACCAAGGCAGCAGGCTCCAGCCCTGGGAGTGGGGTGACATGGGCACTCATGGGCATGCATGACACTGGCCTCTGTACACGCCTCCGGGTGCCACATCTGCTGGCCCCGCAGGTGAGAGGCGCGGGAGGTGCAGACACAGGAGGCTGGGCTATGGTGGCAGGGGCTCGTGGTCCGGGACAGACAGGTGTGTGCAGGGGCAGCCGAGCAGGGGCCTCAGGGAGGGGAGCCGGCTCAGGGGATGCTTGTGGAGGGGGTGGCTCAAGGGAGAGGAGAAGAGCAGGTGTGTAACGGCCAAAGGTGCCCAGAGGGCGAGTGCCCAGTGTGGACACAGGTGCGGGGCACACTTGGAAGCTTGGCTACAGAGAGGAAAGGGGGCTGTGGGAAAGGGTCTCTCCCCACCTGCCTGTGAGGCTCGGCTGAGCCTCTGCACCTGGTCCCCCCCGGCGCTGGCCCTGGCGCCCTGTGCAGAGGCTCCCCCTAGACGTCCTGAGGCACAGAGGGGTCAGCTGGGCATGGACCCCAGAGCTTTCTGAGGCGCTGTTGGGGCTCCCATAGGCTCTTGGCCTTGCAGCTACAGGCTGTCAGTTTTCCAGAGGTGCTCTGCCTATTTGAGGCACCCTTCTCTACTTTTGAGTCTAAAAGGAACCCTGGAAAATTGCCTGGGCCAGTTCGAGTCCTTTGAGGTGAGGAGTAAGGCCACCTGAAAAGGCCAGCACTTCCTCAGCACCTGGCGCTGGGAGGCACCGCTGGGGCCAAGGGAGAGCATTCCACACCCCTGGGGCCACGCCTGCCACCAGCCTCTCAGTTGGGAAGCACCTCACCAAGTCTGTCCTTGCAGCCATGTGGGTCACCCCTTCTTCCTCGTGATTTAGAGGAAGACGCTCCCCCAAAGCACGTGGCTTCCAGTCAGCATCAGGAAGCTGGGGGCTTCCAGGGTAGCTCAGGACACTCTGGAAAAGGCAGATGGGGCTCCCTAAGAGTGGCCACGAGAGGCTGGGCCTGAAGCTGATGTGGTTGCCGTTTCCATGTGGGAGGGAAGCTAGGGCAGTCACTGTCATGCCCATGTGTGGTTCAGGAGGAAGGCCCCAGAGGCCAGAGCAGACAAGAGGGATGGGGCCTCGTAGAGGAGCTCAGAGGGCGGAGGGTCTCCCAGGGGAGCTCAGAGGGCAAAGGGATGGGGACTCACAGGGCCCTCTCCACGGGAAGGACAGGAAGGGTGGCTGCACTCAGGATGGGAGATGATGCCCCATCTGCCGCTCTGCCTCACTCCAGCACCCAGAACACAAATGTCCTTGTTTCCAGTGCTCCCCTGGGGACGTCTTTCCCTGTCCCTGTGACTGTCAAGGTCTGTAGATGTGGCCCGTCTCGCGTTGCCAAGGAAGGAGATGAAGAGGACTGGATGGCTCTCCATTCAGTAGATGTTTACAGGCTGCCCACCATGGGCAGAGATCCCCCTTGGGCTGGACCCTGGCCATGCTGTGGAGCGGCTTAATTAGTGGGGGTTCGGTCCCAGGATGGCTGTGGGGGGTGGTGCAGTCCAAGGACCTGCAAGCATCAGAGCCCAGGGAGTTGGGGTGCCGGGCCAGAGCCTTCCTGGGTGGGTAGATGTGCTTGATGCGTGGGAGTCCCGCAGGCCTGGGCGGCGGCAGCCAGAGTGACCGTCTTGAGACGAGCCTTCGGGAGAAGGCTGCGTTTGGTGGAGATGCTATTTAGAACTGGTTCTTCCCTCCTTTTCTGTCTCAAACCATAAGCTGCCTTCCAGGGCCTGGAAAATGTGGGGTGCAGGTGTGTCTCTCTGGGGTGACCCCCGTCCTGAAGAAGGGTGAGCTTTACAGTGATGACCTGGCCCCCCCAAGACAGGCCCCCAGCTCGGCTGAGTCAGTGCAGGGACTACTGAAGGGAAGCCGGACCTGGCAGTGTGGCGCAGGGTGTTGCCTTCCCTCTTCCTCCACCATGTGGTGATGTCAGGCCCAGCCCAAATATGACCCCGATGGAGCGTGCGTGATTCCCACTCCGTCTTGGGGTCTCAGGTGAGTAAGGGGTGGCGTGGCCAGTTCTTATAGGGTGCCAAAGAAATCCTGGTGAAGCCTCCAGTCAACTGGATGTAAATTGTATTTGGATCTTGCTTCGAGCTGCTTCATTAAAGTGGCTGGCATAGTGGTGCACAGTTTACTGTAACAGCTCAGCCCACCTCCAGCAGACAGTGCCATCCAGGAAACCAGGCGCTGCCAGGAATTCCAGCCCTGGCCCCACCTTCCCTTCAGCAGTCCGTGTTGTCTGGGTAGTCTGTGGCCAGTGTAGCCCTGTTGCAGAGTGAGGTCTCCGCTGAAAGGAGAACTGGCGTGGTCGTTGTTTGAAAAGAATCAGGCCCCAGCAAGGTTCACTGGAAGCTAACACTGGACGCAGCAGAGTCTGGGTCTGACAGGAGGTCAGCGTCACCATTTTGAGGGTGATGGACATGTTTTCTGCACTCTAGCACTGTGTGGAAGCGCTGGCTGACAGCAGCCTGGCTGTCCGAATTCCAAAGAAATGGGCTCCTTCTAAATATTCAGGTGCTGCTGCATACTCGGGAGCACACGCTTTCCTTGCCCTTGCAGGTGGGGGTGTCCTTGGATGGAGAGGGTGCTCCTCTGTGCCGCGTCTCAGCAGCCCCACCAGAGCTGTCTCCCCTTCCCCATGCAGGTGCAGGGAGCTCACCTGAGGCTGAGGCAGGCCCAGGCCCAGCACTTGCAGGAGGTCCGGCTGGTGCCCCAGGACCGTGTGGCCGAGCTGCATCGCCTGCTCAGCCTTCAGGGAGAGCAGGCCAGGAGGCGCCTGGATGCACAGCGGGTAAGTGGGGATGCAGCGAGAGATGGCTGACGAGATGAGGAGGAGGGTGAGGCGGGCCCACCGGTCCTCAGTTACCCAGAAGCTGCACAACTGTGAATACATGAGTCACGTATGTAGCATGTCAGATGGTAAGGAAGGCTGTAGGGAGAGAGGCAGTGTGGTTTTAAACAGGGTGGCCAGACAAGGCCTCACAGGTGGCCCCTGAGATGGTGAGACCTGAATGGGGTGAAGGAGCGGTGGCGCCATGTGGCAGGGGAGCAGCAGAGGCCCTGGGGTAGGGGGTATTTGGCATGTTCCAGGGGAACAGGGACCAGAGGCCGAGGGCAGAGAGCAGAGGGTGACAGATTGGGCCCGGCAGGTGCCGTGGGCAGTGCAGGTGGTGGGAGATGGGAGACAGTAGCTCGGAGCACAGACTGTGGAGGGTGGGATCCCGCCCACTACCTCCCAGCTGAGTGAACTTGGGCAAGTGAACCTCTCTGTGCCTCAGTTTCCTCATCTGTAAAGTCCTGCTAGCAGTAGTGTCCACCTAAAAGGCTTATTGGGAGGCATCAATGGGTTGGCGACTTTAAAGCACTTGAAGGGTCCCCAGCACAGCTGTGCCCTATGCAGGAGTTTAATTCAAAAGTCTGAGAGAATAACTCACTCCTGAAATTCCCAACATAGTTCATAGTTCATCAGGGACAGACTTCAGGAGAGATCAGGAACCAGAGGGCAGGGGACACCCTCATGAGAAAGGAATTGGCGCACGACTTGAAAAGTGGGTAACATTTGATGTTTGTAAAGTGTAAGTTCTAATGAAGAACAACCTTGTAACATCACACAAAGGGGTCAAGCTAAAGTTAAGTGATGCTACATTATTGACAAAGTTAAGGAGAATCCCCCTAGAAGAATACACTAACACAGCGAGGGAAGCTCGCTTTGGAGTTATTTATGGTTAAAATCTTAGGACCAGTTCTCTGAGGACAAATGAGTCTGCTGATTCTCCCTGAACTGCAAAGAGAAAGGAAAGCTGTGTGGTTTGGGCCAGAACATATTTTTGTTTTGTTTTGTTTTGTTTTTTGAGACAGAGTCTGACTCTGTTGCCAGGCTGGAGTGCAGTGGCGTAATCTTGGCTTACTGCAACCTTCGCCTCCTGTGTTCAAGCAATTCCCCTCCCTCAGCCTCCTGAGTAGCTGGGACTACAGGCACGCATCACCATGCCCAGCTAATTTTTTGTATTTTAGTAGAGATGGGGTTTCACCGTGTTGGCCAGGATGGTCTTGATCTCCTGACCTCGTGATCCACCCGCCTCGGTCTCCCAAAGTGCTGGGATTATAGGTGTGAGCCACTGCGCCCGGCCCTGGGCCAGAACATTTTTAAACCCTTGCTCTGGACAGATGAAAGGTTACCCACAGTCACTGTCAGATGTGTACATTTGAGCTGATTTCCATTTTATGTATTTATTTATTTTTGAGATAGAGTCTTACTCTGTCACCCAGGCTGGAGTGCAATGGTGCGATCTCGGCTCACTGCAGCCTCCACCTCCTGGGTTCAAGCAATTCTCCTGCCTCAGCCTCCTGAGTAGCTGGGACTACAGGTGCCTGCCACCATGCCTGGTTAATTTTTTGTATTTTTGGTAGAGACGGGATTTCACCATGCTGGCCAGGCTGGTCCTGAACTCCTGACCTCAGGTGATCTACCCGCCTTGGCCTCCCAAAGTGCTGGGATTACAGGTGTAAACCACCTCACTAGGCCACTAATTTCCATTTTAAAATAAATAGCCTTGAGCTGATTCTTTTTAAAATGTAAAATATTGCCTGTAACCTTTTTGTTTTTGTTTTTTGTGTTTTTTTTTTGAGACGGAGTCTTGCTCTGTCACCCAGACTGGAGTGCAATGGCACAATCTTGGCTCACTGCAACCTCCGCCTCCTGGGTTCAAGCAATTATTCTGCCTCGGCCTCCCGAGTAGCTGGGACTACAGGCGCCCGCTACCATGCCCGGCTGATTTTTTGTATTTTAGTAGAGATAGGGTTTCACTGTGCTGCCCAGGCTGGTCTCGAACTCCTGAGCTCAGGTAATCCGCCCGCCTCAGACTCCCAAAGTGCTAGGATTACAGTTGTGAACCACTGCACCTGGCTTTTTTTTTTTTTTTTTTTTTTTTTGAGATGGAGTCTCACTCTGTCACCAGGCTGGAATGCAGTGGTGCTATTTCGGCTCACAGCAACCTCTGCCTCTTGGGTTCAAGTGATTCTCCTGCCTCAGCCTCCCAAGTAGCTGGGACTACAGGTGCACGCTACCACGCCCAGCTAATTTTTCTTTTTTTTTTGAGACTGAGTCTTGCTCTGTCACCTAGGCTGGAGTGCCACTGCAACCTCCACCTCCTGGGTTCAAGTGATTCTCCTGCCTCAGCCTCCCAAGTAGCTGGGATTACAGGTACGCACCACCACACACGGCTAATTTTTCTATTTTTTTTAGTAGAGATGGGGTTTCACCATGTTGGCCAGGTTGGTCTCAAACTCCTGACCTCAGGTGATCCGCCCGCCTCGGCCTCCCAAAGTGCTGGGATTAGAGGCGTGAGCCACCATGCCCGGCCACCTGCAACCTTCTTTTATGGCAGGAAGAACATGAGAAACAGCTGAAAGCCACAGAAGAGCGGGTGGAAGAGGCGGAGATGATTCTGAAGAATATGGAAATGCTCCTCCAAGAGAAAGTGGATAAGCTGAAGGAGCAGGTGAGTGATGGGCGCTGCTGCTTTCGTGTTCACGTCCTCTTCTGAACGCTCTCCACTTTTATGGGTGTGCAGGTAGCTAATACAGGAAAAGGCTGTCTTGTCACAGAATTCCAGGGAACTAAATGTATACCCTACACTGCAGGTGCACATTCATTTATTTTCCTCCGGGAATGGTTTTAAGATCTGTCCTTTGGGTGTTCACATACACTCAGAAAGGACTCATCCGTTCATTTGTTCATGTAGTCATTCAGGCATCCCCAAGCACCTCTGGTCTAAGCTTTCCCAGGTAGACCTGAGATGAGCAGGGCTGAGCCTGCATCCCAGACCTGACCCTCTGGAGACAGAGGCAGATGCTTCCATAGAGCATACATGACCTCGGGCCATGATGAGTGCTCTGAAAATGAGAGAATAGAGGTGGAAGGAGCCGGTGGGGTGGTCAAGGCCACTTTGAAGAGCCAGCATTTGGTCAGATGCCCAGTGACCAGCACAGGAACGTCCAGCTGTGTCCCCAGCAGAGGCCAGGTGGCATTTGGAAGGCTCAGTGGGTGGGAGATGCACACATCTCCTCGTGTCTGGGGGACTCCGAGGAGGGTGCATTCCAGGCAGCGGACAGCCATGGAGGAGGCCGCCATGGCTGGTGTGAACTGGTAGGGCTCAGGTAGGCAGTGCCTGTCGTGTGTATCCTAGAAGCCAAGGTCAGGGGTTTGGGTTTTATCATAATGGCAGTTAGAAGGCATAGGGAGATTTTAAGTAAAAGCATGACAGGATCTATCTTTTAAAAGAAACCATACTAGGGAAAAAGTCACTTGGGCTACTGTAAGGAGCAAAGACCAAAAATGAGGTGCCATAACTCACCTGGTCTGTAGATGTTCGAAGTCCAACTCAGCAGGTGGGAACTGACGTGCAGCAGTGCTGTGCCCTGAGGGCTGATGGCACAGGGTGTGGGTGGACCCCACGGGTGTGGGGTGCACACACAGAAGAGGCCCGGCCACGGACCACATTCAGTGTTAGGATTAAGAGAAATATGAAAACCTGGAGAAGTATTTTTGCTCCATCGTGATCCAGTATGGTTTGGTCTACATGAGGGATCCTGAGCTCAGCCCAAGCTAGACAAGGCATTTGTGGAAGGTTCCCAGTCCCTCCCTGGGGCCACCCGTCCTTGCCCAGCTTCCTCCCCTACTGGTGCCCCCGGTCCCTCTCACCCTTTCTCCCTGGCACACACCCACAGTCCTCAGTTGCCCGTCTCGCCAGCAACACCTGACTTCTGGTTCAATCCTGTGGCTCCTGCATACCTGCCCTGGCCCTGAGCACAGGCCACAGCCCAGGGCCTCAGTACTGCCTGTCCTGCGCCTGCTCCCTCCCCTGCTTCTCTTGGCTCCTGGCCTTGCTGACATCACAGCCAGTAGCGCATACGCAGATGAACCTGTTCCACACTCTGACCGTCCCAGGGCCTTTTGAGGACTGGCCACTTTTGCCTGAAGTCCTTGTTTCACGGCACAAAGCTGCCTCAAGTTTTCTCCATCACATAGCCCAGCAGATTCTCAATTTCCTCTCATGCCAGGGTAACAAAACTTGTCATTATAATCCAGTATTTGTGTCAGATTTCTTTTTTTTTTGGAGACAGAGTCTTGCTCTGTCGCCTAGGCTGGATGGAGTGCAGTGGTGCGATCTCTGCTCACTGCAAGCTCCACCTCCCGGGTTCACACCATTCTCCTGCCTCAGCCTCCCGGGTAGCTGGGACTACAGGCGCCCGCCACCACGCCCAGCTAATTTTTTTGTATTTTTTAGTAGAGATGGGGTTTCACCGTGTTCGCCAGGATGGTCTCGATCTCCTGACCTTGGGATCTGCCCACCTCAGCCTCCCAAAGTGCTGGGATTACAGGCGTGAACCACTGCCCCCGGCCTTGGGTCAGATTTCTAAGAGCCCAAAACTGTGGTTTGCGTAAACCTGGGAGGATAAAAGAGAGCAGGCTGATCTGTAGCGTTTCTCCACCGGCCTCATGCAAAGCATGGCTTCCTCCCCTCTCTAGTTTGAAAAGAACACGAAGTCCGACCTGCTGCTGAAGGAGCTGTACGTGGAGAACGCCCACCTGGTGAGAGCACTTCAGGCCACCGAGGAGAAGCAGCGAGGCGCCGAGAAACAAAGCCGCCTCTTGGAAGAAAAAGTTCGCGCTCTCAACAAACTCGTCAGTAGGATTGCCCCCGCAGCCCTCTCTGTGTAAAGACAGATTATTTTCTAGGATTCATTCGAAAGCACATCTTTTAAATTAAGCCACTGTGCTGCCTTAGATTCCGTGGGTCATGAGCCATGAGTCCTGGGACATCTGAGGATTGGGATTCTTTGTTCACCCCGCAGATAGTTAATGAATGGTCTGCCCTGGGCAAGATGGAGGTGGGGGCTGGGGGAATATGCATGTTGCAGAAGCCGGCGTTTTTATTAGCGGTCCTGAGTAATTTCCCTTGGCAAAATTCCCAGTTTTGCCACTCTCTGGAGCCAGATCCTGGGAGCTGTCAGCAAGGAGCAGGTAAGTGAGCAGTTATGGACAGCACTTTCCATGTGGTGCTTCCGACCCTGGCTGTCAGAGTGAAATGTAAAGTCAGGGCTCTGTACAGTTTTGCCATTTCACTGTTCTGCTTTAAGCTTAGCTTATTAGAACTCTTGGTGGAGGGTGCGTACACACATTCCAGAAAAGGCTTCACTCGCTGGGAACGTCAACCCAGCGAGAAAGGAGGGGAAGCCCCTTCTCCGGGGACCTTATCTGTGGACTCAGGAATGATGGTGTTTATTGCAAATGCACAATCTTTTTCCCATTGAAATGTCATCACACTGGAAATTGTACTATATGTAAAAAAAAAAAAAAGTATAGTTTTATATTTGAAATGTATGCAAATTATGGCCATATGGCTGATTGGAATGTACTACTGTAATATAAAAAGTCACTGTATTTGCAATAAATTCTTTTCTATTAAAATTGACTTCTAAGTTTGTTTTTAATTTTTTAAACTATAAAATATTTCAAACATAGAGGAAAATAGTTATGTAAGAAACACCCATGTGCCCATCAACATATCTAGTAAGAATAATATCCTGCCACAGCACTGTGGAGGGCGGGAGCCTGTTCTGTTCTCAGCCTCCTCCCTCTTCCCGGGGCAGCCGCCATCCCAAAGCTGGCATGTCTTCTCCTTTCTGCAGGAGAAAAATGTCACAGCACCGTGGAAAGATAACAAAGCCTGGAACAGATGGAAAGGTCGGTTCTTTGGAAGATTCGGCAACATGAAGTTGACTGGTTCTTCAAAGTTTACTGATGATAAATGTAATTAATCCCAATATAAATACAGATGTTACATGCCCCAATCAACCCCAGAATTGGACAAGACATTCTAAAGTTTTTACATACAACTAAATAAGCAAACAAAACAATTAGGAAAACTCTGAAGAAAGAAGAGCAATGTATGGGGACTAGTTCTACCAGTTATTAATATGTAAGTCCTAATACAGTTTATGTTACATGGGTGTATGCATTTGTCAAAACTCATTGAGGAGTACACTTCTTCATTCACTTTGGGCTTCTGTCTGAGACTGGAGTAACGAGATTGGAGTAACCAGGAGACCTGAACAACATTATCAATCTACTGACATCTAGAACCCACCACACGACACCAGTAGAAGCAAATGCAGCCAAACACTTACCAAGACAGACCATATCTTGGGCCAACAAATCTCAAAAAATTACGAAGATTCAAGCCATACAATGTATGTACTGTGACCACAATGGAACTAAATTAGAAATCTGTCCCCCAATACGAAGCTGGAAACCATCATTCTCAGCAAACTGTCACAAGGACAGAAAACCAAACACCGCATGTTCTCACTCATAGGTGGGAATTGAAAAATGAGAACACTTGGACACAGGAAGGGGAACATCACACACCGGGGCCTGTCCTGGGGTAGGGGGAGGGGGGAGGGATAGCATTAGGAGCTATACCTAATGTAAATGATGAGTTAATGGGTGCAGCACACCAACGTGGCACATGGATACATATGTAACAAAACTGCACATTGTGCACATGTACCCTAGAACTTAAAGTATAATAAAAAAATAAAAAATGAGGTAAAGTGAAATAAATAAATAATTACCTGTGCCCTGAAAAAAAATATATATATATCCCCCAATATTTGGAAACTGAACAACATACTGCTGAATAACGCATGAGGCAAAGAAGAGATAAGAGGGGAAGTTGGGAAATATCCTGGATTGAATGGAAATGAAAACACAATATATCAAAATTTGTGGGGTAGAGTGAAAGCATTACTTAGGGGAAAAGTCTTAGCACCAAACACCCAGGTTAGAAGAAAGGTCTCAAATCAACGACTTGAGCTTCTACCTTAAATAATTAGACAAAGAAGAGCAAATTAAACCTAAAGTCAAAAGAAAAGAAAATGATGATGATCACAGCAGAAACCAAGGAACGGAACAGATTGGCTGTGCCATGCTGCAGGCTAGAGCTGCTGTGTTAAGTTTGGTTGGCACGGCCACACTCAGTTACAGATTCCCTACGTCCACAGATTCCCTACGCCTGCTTCGTGCTCCAGCAGCAGCACGGAGCGGCTGTTAACAGGTCATGTGGCCCACAAAGCCTAATACACAGAAAACATTTGTTGACCCTTGAAATAGAAAACAAAGAATAGAGAAAGTAAACCAAAGACATGTTCTTTCAGAAGATTAGTAAAACTGATAAACTTCTAGTCCAGTCAGAATAAAAGAAAAGAAAAACTAATACCAAAAATGAGAAGTGATATCACTACAGGTAATACCACTATAGTCTACAGATATACAAGCATCATAAGGCAATATTATGAAGAACATTTTTATTTTTTGAGACAGGGTCTCACTGTTGCCCAGGCTGGAGTGCAGTGGCATGATTATAGCTCACTGCAGCCTCCAACTCCCGCTTCAGCCTCCCGAGTAGCTGAGACTACAGGTGCACAGCACCACACCTGGCAATTTTTTTTTTTTCCTGACGTCTCGCTATGTTGCCCGGGCTGGTCTCAAACTCCTGAGCTCAAGCGATCCTTCTGACTTGGCCTCCCAAAGTGCTGGGATTGCAGGCGTGAGCCACCGTGCCCAGCCCATGAACAACTTTATATAAATAAATTTGGTAACTTAGATAAAATGGAGAATACATAAATTGCCAAAGCTCATTCGAGAAAAAAAATGGATAACCAAAATAGCCATGTATTTATTAAGCCAAAACTGTGGTTAAGCTTCCCACAAAGAAACTTCGGGCCTAGATGGCTTAAATATGAACTCTATAAACATTTAAGAAATAAATAATACCAAGTATATAAAACGTATGATAGATATATTGATTTCATCCATGGCTCCTTGTCTGTAACTAACTCCCATGGCCTTCGTTGCAGTCTTGTAATGCTTGGGCATTTTAGGCCTCAGAAGACATTCTCTTTCTGCCCTTCTGCCCTCCTTTCACCTGCTCCTTTTCCCGCCTTTCTGTCTTGGAGCTGGCCATAAAGAAATTCTCTGTGATCAGAAGGGGCACTGCCTCATACTCTGAAAGAAGAAATGCAGCAGAGGCTAAGAACCAGAGCAGACGGGCCTGGCTGAATGGCGCCACTCAGACTGTGAGCATTAGATCATACCCTCTTAGTCCAATCGTCTCTCTGCTTGGTTGTTGATAATGCCTATCTAATGAGATTTCTATAAAAGGCCCAAAAGGACAGGGTGTGGAGAGCTTCCGGATTGCTGAACATATGGAGGCTCCTGGAGGGTGGTGAGCATCGAAGCTCCATATCCTTTCCCCATACCTTACCCTATGCATCGCTTCCATTTGGGTCCTTTCATCTGCGTATTTTACCATATCCTTTACAATAAACCAGTAAGCTTAAGTGTTTCTGAGTTCTGTGAGCTGCTCAAGCAAATTAATTGAATCCAAAGAGTGGGGCATGGGAACTCCAACTTGAAGCTAGTTGGTCAGAATCTCAGAGGCCCACACTTGTGGCTGGTGTCTCAAGGGAGGGCAGTCTTGGACTGAGCCCTGACCCTGTGGGATCTGACGCTATCTCCAGGTAGTGTCGGAACTGAAATAGAAGTAGAGGACACACCTGCTCTCCACTGCAGAGCTTGGTATGTGGGAAAAACCCCCATGCATTTGGTCACAGTCTTCTGTGTTGTTGTTGTTAAGTGACAGAACAGTTTTTTTTTTCTATTTAGAAAACTCTTCCAAAAAACTGAATAGGAGGGATTATTTTCCCAAGAACACCAGACCAGTATTTCTCATGCACACTGATGCAAAAATTCTACAAAAAAATTTCAAATAAAATCTTACAAAAAGGAGAATATATCATGACCAGGTGTGGTTTATGCCAGGAATCCAGGGTAGGTTTAACATTGAAAACTCAATCGATCAATCAGCCACTGTAATTCACCAGACTAACAAACTAAAAGACAAAACCATCTCAACAGATGCAGAAAAAAGATATGACAAAATCCAGCATCCATTTCTGACTTTTAAAAAAATTCTCAGTAAACTAGGTGTATTAGTCGTCTTATGCTGCTAATAAAGACATACTGGAGAGTGGGTAATTTATAAAGGAAAGAGATTTAATTGACAGTTCCACATGGCTGGGGAGGCCTCACAATCACAGCATAAGGCAAATGGATAGGGACCAAAGTCACGTCTTACATGGTGGCAGGCAAAAGAGCATGTCCAGGGGAACTCCCATTTATAAAACCATCAGATCTCGTGAGACTTATTGACTAACACCAGAAAAGTATGGGGAAAACTACCCCCTTGATTCAATTATTTCACCTGGCCCTGCCCTTGACACATGGGAATTATTACAGTTCAAGTTGAGATTTGGGTAGGGACACAGCCAAACCATATCACTAGGAATAGGAAGGAACTTCCTACCCCAATAAAGGGCATCTACAAACAACTTAAGAGCTAACAAACATCATAATAGTGAAAGACTGTTTTCCTTCTTAGATCAGGAACAAGATAGGGGTGTCTTTGACCACATATATTTAGTACTCTACTGGAAGTTCTAACCAATGCCATCAGGCAAGAAAAAGAAATAAAAGGCATTCAGATTAGAAAGGAAGGAGTAAAACTCTTTATTCATAGAACACATGACTGTTGATGTAATTTACAAAAACACCATGAGAACTCACAGTTTAGCAAGGCTGAAGGATACAAGTTCAACATCAATTGTATTTCTATTTACTAGCAACAAGTGGTTAGAATTTGAAATTTTAAAATACCATTTAGCATCAAAACTATGAAATGCTGACATGGTAGACCTGTACACTGAAAACTACAAAAGATTATTAAGAGAAATAGAAGACAAAACATTAATACCTAGGAAGACAGACCTTGTTTATAGGCCAGAAGACTCAATATTATTAAGATGTCAATTCTCCCAACAGTTTTATATAAATTCAATGCAATCTCAATCAAGGTGCCCAACAGGGGTTTTTGTTGTTGTTGTTGTAGAAATTGACAAATTGATCCTAATTTCTTTTTGAGATAGAGTCTCACTTTGTCACCCAGGCTGGAGTACAGTGGTGTGATCTCAGCTCACTGCAGTCTTGACCTCTGGGGTTCAAGTGATCCTCCCACCTCAGCCTGCCGTGTAACTGTGACTACAGGCATGCACCACCACACCTGGCTAATTTTTTCTATTTTTTGTAGAGACGGAGTTTTGCCATAGGCCCGGGCTGGTCTGGAACTCCTGAGCTCAAGTGATCCACCCATCTAGGCCTCCCAAAGTTCTAGGATTACAGGCATAAGCCACCACACCCTGCCTGTTCCCAAATTTCACATCAAAAGCAAAGGACTTAACATAGCCAAAACAAATCTCAAAAAGAAATGTGGTACACTGGGCCAGCACCAAGGCTCACGCCTGTAATCCCAGCACATGGGGAGGACGAGGCAAGTGTATTGCTTTAGCTCAGGAGTTCAACACAGCCTGGCCAACACGGTGAAACCCCATCTCTACAAAAAATACAAACAACAGCAAAAATATGACACATTAATACTATCTGTTTCAAGAATTATTAGAAAATTACATACACTACATACAAATATGGTATTGGCATTCAGGAGAGAAAAACAGGTCAATGGAACAAAACAGAGTCCTGAAATAAACCCACATATACATTGACAACTACTTTTTAACAAAAATGCAAAGGTGATAGAGCAAAGGGCAGTCCTTTCAAAAAATGGTAGTGAAACAGCTGGATATCTATATTCCCAAGAAAAAGTGAAGGTGGATTGACACCTTGCACCATATAAAAAATTCATTCAAAATGGATCATAGGCTGGCCGCGGTGGCCCACACTTGTAATCCCAAAACTTTGGGAGGCCAAGGTGGGTCACTTGAGGTCAGGAGTTTGAAACCAGCCTGGCCAACATGGTAAAACTCTGTCTCTACTAAAAATACAAAAATTAGCCAGGCGTGGCGGCCTGTGCCTGTAATCCCAGCTACTTGGGAGGCTGAGACAAGAGAATCACTTGAACCCAGGGGATAGAGATTGCAGTGAGCCAAGATCACGCCACTGCACCCCAGCCTGGGTGACAGAACAAGACTCCATCTCAAAACAAAGAAACAAACGAAAAAACAAAACAAAACAAAAAAAAAAACGGGTCATAGACCAAAGTATAAAGCTTAAAATTATAACACTTCTAGAAGTAAAAAGGAAAAAAAATTGTGATCTTGGGATGGGAAAAGATTTCTCGGATGCAACACCCAAAGCATAAAAGAACAAACGAATAAACTGGATTTCATCAAAATTTAAAATGTCAGCTGTTTAAAACATACCATTAAAAGACAATCAACTCTTCATGTGACTTTTCAGTCAATCTGAATCTCAGGGAAAACTGTACAAAGTTCCTTCTCTAGCCCCAATTTCACTGTCCCCTTCCAAAGTGGTGATACTGGTGATCACCCCATAGCCACAAGCCACACCAGCCACCATGGTGGAAATGTGCAAAATCCATGTGTGTCCTTCCTTCCCAAATAGCCAGATGATAAATTAGTATGTCATTAAACATTATATATACTGAAAATTTCTACAGACCATCATCTTCACTTGCATGTGATTTGAAAATGTGTATCTCAGAAATTCAGCTCTCTAGCTTGTACAATACACATGACCAGAAAACAAGACACACAGGATCTACCTTCTTCCTGTCCAGCCAAGTGACTGCTTATTTAAGAGATTCAAATGTAACCATGTTTACTTTCATTTAAAAAACACACTGTAACAACTGTAGGAATGCTGTGATTACAGATACAGCTTATTAGAAAAAGGAGTAGGGGCCGGGTGCAGTGGCTCACGCCTGTGATCTCAACACTTTGAGAAGCTAAGGTGGGAGGACTGCTTGAGGCCAGGAGTTTGAGACCAGCTTGGGCAACATAGTGAGACAGTCTCTACAAAACAAAACCAAAACCAAAAAAGAGTAGGAAGAATAGTGTACAACATTAAAAAAAGAAAGTCCTTAATAGTTAGCAAATTATACTTCTTAGCCAAGTATTCTTAGTTATCTTAAACAATGTCTATAGCTTCTAAAATCAAAGAGGGAGGTGAAGGGAGTGGTGGAGAGAGTGAGTACAGAGGAGTCCATGAGTTGAGTGAAGCCTGGAAGTGCCTCGGCGCATGGTCATGACAGGATGTGCTCCAGGACTCCTTGTCTGATCAGCTGCTCACATTTCCATCGAGGTAAAAAGTGCTGAGGGGACAAGAAGGGATGGAGAAAGAGTAAAATAAATGATTGGGAAAGAATTTGAAATTATTTCTTGTATCATTAAAAAGTAGCACTGATTAGTTTTCAAACTCCAACAAGTAAGTAGTTGAAAGTTAAACTTAAGGGGCTGGGTACGGTGGCTCATGCCTGAAATCCCAGCACTTTAGGACACCAAGGTAGGCGGATCACCTGAGGTCGGGGGTTCAAGACCAGCCTAACCAACATGGAGAAACCGCGTCTCTACTAAAAAATACAAAGTTGGCCCAGGGGCAGTGGATCACGCCTATAATCCCAGCACTTTGGGAGGCCGAGGCGGGTGGATCACGAGGTCAGGAGATCAAGACCATCCTGGCTAACACGGTGAAACCCCGTCTCTACTAAAAATGCAAAAAAATTAGCCAGGCATGGTGGCGGGCACCTGTAGTCCCAGCTACTCAGGAGGCTGAGGCAGGAGAATGGCGTGAACCCGGGAGGCAGAGCTTGCAGTGAGCCGAGACCGTGCCACTGCACTCCAGCTTGGGCAACAGAGTGAGACTCTGTCACAAAAAAAAAAAAAAAATTAGCCAGGCGTGGTGGCGCATGCCTGTAATCCCAGCTACACAGGAGGCTGAGGCAGGAGAATCACTTGAACCTGGGGGTGAGCCGAGATTGTGCCATTGCACTCCAGCCTGGGCAACAAGAGCAAAACTCCATCTCAAAAAAAAAAAGTTAAACTATATTTGCTGTTTTAATCCATTGAAATTGATTCCATTTAGAGCTGTATGGAATTCTGACTTTTACAAATGAATTCAGTTTGCTTAAGTTCAATTCAACTAAGACTTCTGAATTCTAGTAGGTATTGTACTTAGTGTTTATATTTTTAAAATTTATGCACAGAGAAATCCAGATAGGTGCGATTTGGATTATCACTGGCTCAACAGCCTATCAAGAAGACCCATGAAACGCTCATTTCTCCATAAAACCTGTTCTTGGATTTCAGAGTCTGAACATTCTTCTAATAACAAGTGACAACTTTCCTCCTGTATGTCTCAAGGTTGAAAAGTATTCATGACCCACCGCGTGGGTGCTATTCACATGGTACATGGGAAGATGCCGGTACCCAGGTATTGCTTGTCCTGTGTCTTCCTAAGAGGACATCGCTCTTGCTCTGAGGGAACCAGGGGCAGGTGGAAAGATGTCTCCTTCCCTCTCAAATACCAGGACTTACAGAAAACACTGACTGCCTTGGAGGAGGGAGGTTAAGGAAGCAAGGCAGGAAGGCTTTTCAATTCATAGGTGGTCAAAGAAATCTCAAAGGAAGATCTCAAGGAAGCAAAATGTAACCTCAGTAGCCATGTGCACCTGAAGGTCCTGCCTCACAAACTCAAAGGCCTGGCAAGAGACCCATGACCAAATTCTTCTAAACCAATCTTGAAGATACATGAGCCAAGAAAAATGTAAAAAAACACAACAAAAACAAAATAACTGAGTTGTTCATTTAATGTCCATACTAATGCTGGTATTAAACAGATGGAGAGTATTGATTTCTGGATAAAAAGTAACAGTGCTTGCCATAGTGACAAATATAAAAGAATGTATATTAGAAAATGTTTCCCAGCCAGGCGCAGTGGCTCACGCCTGTAATCCCAGCACTTTGGGAGGCCAAGGCAGGTGGATCACGAGGTCAGGAGTTTGAGACCAGCCTGATCAACATGGTGAAACCCCGCCTCTACTAAAAAAAATACAAAAATTAGCCAGGCATGGTGACACACGCCTGCAATCCCAGCTACTCGAGAGGCTGAGGCAGGAGAATTGCTTGAACCCAGAAGGCAGAGGTTGCAGTGAGCCAAGATCACGCCACTGCACTACAGCCTGGGTGACAGAGCGAGAGTCCATCTCGAAAAAAACCATAGATAGATAGATAGATAGATAGATAGATAGATAGATAAATGTTTCCTACTAATATTTTAGAGTATGTGAATGATCTACACCACAGATTCTACAGAAAGTTTGGATGTGGTTGAACATTAGAAGCCCCTAATACCAACCATCAACTGTGGCTGATATTGTTTCTTTTTCATGCCTCCATTTTTATAATTGAGGGTAGGGTCACAGCTGAGAAACAGAGTTAAAAAATTCAACCACCAGGCCAGGTGCGGTGGCTCACACCTGTAATCCCAGCACTTTGGGAGGCTGAGGTGGGCGGATTACCTAAGGTCAGGAATTTGAAACCAGCCTGGCCAACATGGTGAAACGCCGCCTCTACTAAAAAATATACAAAAATTAGCCAGGCGTGGTGGCAGGCGCCTGTAATCCCAGCTATTTGAGAGGCTGAGGCAGGAGAAAAGCTTGAACATGGGAGGCAGAGGTTGCAGTGAGCCAAGATCATGCCACTGTACTCCAGCCTGGGGGACAAGAGCGAGACTTTGTCTCAAAAAAAAAAAAAAAAAAAGAAATTCAACCACAGGACAGCATTTGGGATGAAGGGACATTTCACATATCTTGCTTTATGAGGATGGCTTTTTTCTTGTTCTTGTGCCAGAGCTTCCTCCTGGGCCCTCCAGAAATATAGCTGCTTATCAGAGCATTAATTCATTATCTGCTTTAAATTCATTAGTGTCCTAAGAGAATACTTGGGACAGAAATTGTTGCCTTAACAACTGAAGACTTTAGGGAACCCTCAAAATCTTTTTTAAAAATATTCAACCTTTGTTTTAGAAGCTCCAAGGGTATTAGTAAAATAATTTTAGTCAACTATTAGTAAAATAGTTTTAAAGATCCAAGGGTATTAGTAAAATAAGAGATCAACTCACCCTGTTAGGAAAATAAGCTCAAGAACCACATGACCTGAAACATTCTTTTGCTCCCTGGCATGAACAAAGTGAACACCAAATCCTTAGGGTCAACAGATCCTAAATGGCTGACCCCAAGACAGCAGGCAAGGAAAGAAAGAGAACAGCTTTTATTAGGTCATTTTTCCTCCTCACGACTTCAGAAAATTGGGATAGGATAAAAAATTTAGTGGCCGGGCACAGTGGCTTAAGCCTGTAATCCCAGCACTTTGGGAGGCTGAGGTGGGTGGATTGCTTGAGCTCAGGAGTTCAAGACCAGCCTGGCCAACTGGTGAAACTCCGTCTCTACAAAAATTACAAAAATTAACTGGGTGTAGTGGCGTGTGCCTGTGGTCCAGCTACTTGGGGAGGCTGAGGTGGGGGATCACTTGAGCCCAGGAGGCAGAGGTTGCAATGAGTGGAGATCCCGCCACTGCACTCCAGCCTGGGGAACAGAGCAAGACTCCGTCTCAAAAAAAAAAAAAAATAATAATAATAATAGTAATAATATAGTTAACGTGAATTCATCTAATGTGAATATGAAGATTTCTAGGGAAATAATTAATATACTGAGATTACTTAAGGCATGGTGGTTCACACCTGTAATCCTCGCACTTTAGGATACTAAGGAAGGTGGATTGCTTGAGCCCAGGAGAGTTTGAGACTAGCATGGTCAACATAGCAAGGCCCCATCTCTATTTTCTTTAAAGATAGATAGATAGATAGACAGACAGACAGACAGACAGACAGACAGACAGATAGATAGATAGATGGATAAAGATTCCTTATAAGGACAAATTTAGCTTAAGTTACAACTTTACAATTTTAATCTTCCTCTATTAAATTGTTATGTTTATATACCAAATACTTGAAAATTCTTCTTTTGAAAACAGAAAAATCTGTATCACTATTTGCTTGCTAAAGAACTAGGATTTATAAGGCAAAGTGTAAGCTAAAAAAACTGCTTAGGAACTTTTAGAATAAATTATATGAACAAAGGAGCTAAATCCAACAGTTCAATAGCCTCCAGATAATAATCTATCACTTACCCAGAATAAGGCTGATTATGGTAATTCCCCTAGAAAACACCTAGTTTTAAATATAAGCAATATCCTACTAAATTAATGAATCTTTTATTATATGCAACATTTGCTTCCAGTCTTAATATTCAGAAAAAGTACAGAACAGGGTATATTATACTAAAAGATAATGCCTAATATATAAACGATCATCAAAAGTTGATATTTATTTTGCTATTCCAACTTTTCCACCATACAACACTCATAAGATTTAAAGTAAAGAATCTGAAGATAAGAAATACCTGGCTATTTTTTTTTAATAGGACTGAAGTGCCATCATCAACTTCAAATTCTCCATAGTCTTTTAGACACCGGACCTGAAAGAAAAAATGAGAGATGTTTTATCTAAATTAGTTTTTAATATGCAGTGACCAAAAAATAAATCAGCATTATACAAATACACAGACAATAAGGACTTTGTTTGTTTCCTCTCCATGTACTTAGGCCTAGTACTACTATTGTGGTATTCTAATAGTTCCAAGTGTCCAGTTTTGACAGGGAGGAAGAAGAACCGCAAAATCTCTGCTAGTAAATGTCAGCGCTGACAGCAAGGCGATGCAGGGAGACAACGATGTTGCCTCCTTCCCCTCTGAAATCCTGAAAAATTAAGCAGGTGAAATATCTATCCACAAGGAATGTTTTAGATCTGCTCCAACCTGCTTCTTATAGATCCCTCCCATAAAATATCAGTATCTGAGAATGGGACACAGGTAAGTCTGCAGTATTCGTTTTTGGAAGCAATTCTTCCAATCCCATTCAAAATTCAGATAATTTCCCAGGAATACTTACAAGTACACCATGGAGGAGCAGATGCCACCTCACGTGACAGGATTCAGGAGTGGTAGCATTCTGATATCTACCTCTGCAACTACAAAGGTGTTCCCAGGTACAGGTTATAGACCTGCTACAGCACTAAGTGCTGCCACAGGAAGTAAGGGGGCACTTTTCCTCTTCTAGGAGAATTCAGACTGAAGTTTACTCTCACGAGTACTAGTGATGAACTGCTGTTGTTGCCAGGAGAGTCAACGCCAGCAACGACTATGTCTTCCACTTTTCCAGATAATTTTATCATGTCCTACCATCCCTCCGGAACCTTACCAAGACACCCAAAGTATTTTAATTAAATATGAGAAATACCACTCCAGAAAAATCCCCTGAGTCCTTTGCATTTGCTGTTTTTTCTTTCTTTTTTTTTTTTTTTTTTTTTTGAGACAGAGTCTTGCTCTGTTGCCCAGGCCAGAGTGCAGTGGTGTGATCTCCACGCACTACAACCTCTGCCTCCCAGGCTCAAGCGGTTCTCCTGCCTCAGCCTCCTGGGTAGCTGGGATTACAGGCGCTCACCACCATACCCAACTAATTTTTGTATTTTTAGTAGAGATGGGGTTTCACCATGTTGGCCAGGCTGGTTTCGAACTCCTGACCTCAAGTGATCTGCCTGTCCCCGCTTCCCAAAGTGCTGGGATTACAGGCATGAGCCACCACGCCTGGCCGCATTTGCTTCTCTAAATAAACTTTTATTTTGGGAAATCTCAAACACATTCAAAAGTAAAAAGACTACTCCATGTCCCCATCAACTGACATCAACACATGGCCAAGTTTATTCCCCTCACCCATTTGTGGGTTATTCTGAAGCAAATCTTAGACATCATTTCACCTCATCTGTAAATATTCTATTGTCTACTTCTATAAAACCAGATAATTTTAAAAATCCCAATACTGACTGTACATGGCAGCTCATGCCTATAATCCCAGCATTTTGGGAGGCTGAGGCAGGTGGATCACCTGAAGTCAGGAATTTAAGACCAGCCTGGTCAACATGGTGAAACCCCGCCTCTACCAAAAATACAAAATTTAGCTGGGTGTGGTGGTGCGTGCCTGTAATCCCAGCTACTCAGGAGGCTGAGGTTGCAGTGAGCGAGATCACACCAGTGCACTCCAGACTGGGTGACAGAATGAGACTCCGTCTCAAATAAATAAATAAAAATTATTAAGATGAGATAGTATTGGCATTTTTTTTTTTTTTTGAGACAGAGTCTCACTCTGTCACCCAGGCTAGAGTGCAGTGGTGTGATCTTGGCTCACTGGAACCTCCGCTTCCCAGGTTCAAGCAATTCTCCTGCCTCAGCCTCCCTAGTAGCTGGGATTACAGGAGGGAGCCACCACGCCCAACTAATTTTTTTGTATTTTTAGTAGGGACGGGGTTTCACCATGTTGGCCAGGCTGCTCTCAAATCCTGACCTCAAATGATCCACCTGCAGCTTCCCAAAGTGCTAGGATTACAGGCATGAGCCACCGTGCCCAGCCTTAATTAATAATTTTTAGTATCATGAACTATCTAGTTAGTATCCAAATTTCCCACTTGTCTCATGAATTTTTTTTAAGGTTTCCACGTTGAAATCAGAATCCAACAAAGCCACACATTACTTTTTTTTTAAATGTCTTGTAAGTCTCTTTTAATCTATAGGTTTCACTTCCTCTTTATTTTTTCCTTCCTCTTGGTATTTTATTTGTTGAAAAAATTGGGTGAGTAGTTTGTCACTGCAGGCTTGAACACCTGGTCTCAAGCAATACTCCTGCTTTGGCCTCCCAAAGTGTTGGGATTACAGACGTGAGTCACTGCACAGGGTCAGTACAACTTTTCACAATCAAGATTTTGTTGTGGATTTCTTTGGGGTCATTTAACATTGTTCCTTTGTCCCTGAGTTTCCTATAAAATGGAAGTTAGGTCTACATCAGATAAGGTGATTTTGTGGCAAATGGTGTTATGTACTTTCTGTTACAAGACCCCATAAAACACAAAGTGCCTGGCTGTCTCTTTTTGGATGTTGAGATTAATCAGTGGGCCCAAGTGTCATCCATACTCATGCATTATAAAGATCTCCATTATCTACTGAAAGGTTTTAGTAAATAAAGGGTTACAAGCATTAATCTAATTCTTATATTCCTGCTACATTTGTTAGCTGGAATTCTTCTATAAAAACAAATTTCCTTTGTAAACTATTGGGCTACCTTAAGATAGAGTTTGTATAGTAAAGACAATGGATGCTTTTATTCCATTCTCTAACTTGCCACTTTTCAAATGAGTTGGATCCCTCACATTCTCCAAGGAAACCTCAAAAATGTTTTATTTTTTAAAATTTTTGTTGGCCAGGCACAGTGGCTCATGCCCGTATTCCCAGCACTTTGGGAGGGAGAGGCAAGAGGATTGCTTGAGCTTAGGAGTTCAAGACGAGCCTGGGCAACATGGTGAAATACCATCGGTACAAAAAATACAAAAATTAGCTGGGTGTGGTTGTGAGCACCTGTAGTTACAGCTACTGTGGAAGCTGAGGTGGGAGGATGGCTTGAGCCTGGGAGGTGGAGGTTTTAGTAAACCAGGACTCCTTGCACTAAAATAGCTGATTCCAGGTCCTAAATAACAAATGAGCCGAGATTGTACCACTGTACTCCAGCCTGAACAACAGACCCAGATACTGCCTCAAAAAAAAAAAAAAAAAAAAAAAAAAGTGTTGTTCTTTGGTGTCATTATGCATTCATACTTCTAACGTAATTGATGTGATCCAATTCACCGCAGTTATTAGTCATGTTGATGCTAAAATTGTCCATTTTTTGGTTAGCAAGAGCTCCTTCAAATTGGCCCCCATATCCTTCCAGTAGTCCCCGCTTAGTCCTTGACACCTTCCTTCCTTTCTGGGAAGACAAGATGTTTCATGCTCAGTTCGTACATTTTTAATTCAGAACCTGGAATCAGCTATTTTTGTGCAAGGAGTCCTGGTTTACTTTAGTGGGAAATGGCATTTAGGTATAGACTCTGGACACTCATGGCTAATTGGCTTGGTCATTGTTTCTAGGCCTTTTCGGTAGGCAGAGCTAATCAATACTTTTTTTTTTTTTTTTTTGAGACGGAGTTTTGCTCTTGTTGCCCAGGCTGGAGTGCAATGCCACAATCTCAGCTCACTGCAACCTCCTTCTCATGGGTTCAAGCGATTCTCCCGCCTCAAATTCCTGAGTAGATGGGATTACGGGTGCCCGCCACCACGCCTGGCTAAATTTTGTATTTTTAGTAGAGATGGGGTTTCACCATGTTGGCCAGGCTGGTCTCAAACTCCTGACCTCAGGTGATCCACCCGCCTCGGCCTCCCAAAGTGCTGGGATTACAAGCGTAAGCCACTGTGCCCGGCCCCTTTTCTCTTATTCTGAAAACTGTTGGTAATGTCAATTACCCTTTTGCTCTATTCTTCAATATGAAAACTGTTTCAAAATAACAGTAACAAAATTATTACTAATAATATGATTAGTAAAAACAGGTTAAGAACTCTTTGTAATTCTTTTGTCCTCAGAACATATATACCAGGAATATACAATTTATGTGTTTTAAAGTAATGTAAATAACTCCTGGATTCAGGTAAAATGGTGGAGTAGGAAACATCAGGAATCTGTCTGCCTACCTCCACAACAACTGCACGGGCAGACTCTGTCTGACGTCAGTATTTTGGAACTCTGGAGTCTACTGAAGGCTTGAGGTTGGAGCTTTGACAAACATTCACTGCAATTTACTGTCCATTTTGCCTCTTAGCATAGCAGCAGCTAACCATCCCCTGTTCCTAGCTTTGTGGCAGGCCACAGTGCATGTGTTCTTGGAGTAGCTTGTACACAGGTTGCTGGTGCAGAGTGTGCAAAAAGCACCCTGCTCCTCACTGCTGATTGCTGTTTCTGATCACAGAGGTGCAAATGATGAGGCTGGCAGACATTTTTGTCACACCTTCTCAAAGGCTGCAAGCCCCTCCCGCATTCCACTGAAGTGAATTCCAGGGGATTTAAAGGGCTAGCACCGTTTTCCCACCTCTATTCATTTTTCTTTTTTCCCCCTTTCAGGAGCCAGACATTAAAGACTAGGGCAGTGAAAAGCAACTGTGTATACAGGAAAAATTAGAAAGTGACCAAGGAAAGGCACAGGTTCAATAAAGATTTGAGAAAACCTTAAGGTTATACCTCAGGTTGATTCTAAGCACAGCGACAGCTTACAACAACCAAAAAAACAAAAACAGTAACAAAACCAGCAAACCCTGGGGGAAAGGGGAGAATCTGATTTATAGAGTTATAACATTATTAGACTGAAATGTCTGGTTTTCAGCAAAAACAATCAAATCACAAGACATACAAAGAAACATAAAAGTATGGTCCATTCAAAGGAAAAAGAAAAATAAGAAATGGTCCCTGAAAAAGACTTGATGGTAGATCTATTACACAAAGACTTTACAACAAGAGTTTTAAAGATGCTCTAAGAACTACAGGAAGATGGGGAGAAAGTTATGGAAACAATGTATGAACAAAATGGAAATAGTAGAGAAATAGAAAACCTAAAAAGACCAAAAAGATATTCCGGAGCTGAGAACTATAAAAACCGAAATGAAAAATTCACTTGAGGGATTCAAAGACAGATTGGAGCAGGCAGAAGAACAAGCAAACCTAAAGACAGGATAACAGAAATGACTAAGTCTGAAGAACAAAAATAAAAAAAGACCGAAGAAAAGGACAGAGCCTGAGAGACCTGAAGGGCACCATCAAGCAAACCAAGAAGAGAAAGACAAAGGGGCAGAGAGAATTTTTGAAGAAATAGTAACTGAAAACTCCTTAAATTTGATAAAAGACATAAATATAAACATCAAAGAAGCTCAACAAACTACAAGATGATCTCAGACTCGCAATGAGACACATTATAATCAAACTTTCAAAAGACAAAGAATCTTGAAAGCAGCAAGAGAGGGCTGGGCAGGGTGGCTCACACCTATAATCTCAGCATTTTGGGAGGCCAAGGTGGGAGCATCACTTGAAGCCAAGAGGTTGAGACCAGCCTAGGCAACATAGGGAGACCCTGTTATCTAGAAAAAGTTTAATTCGGCCGGGCACAGTGGCTCACGCCTGTAATCCCAGGACTTTGGGAGGCCAAGGTGAGATCACAAGGTCAGGAGATCGAGACCATCCTGGCTAACATGGTGAAACCCCGTCTCTACTAAAAATACAAAAAAAAAAAAAAAATTAGCTGGGCATGGTGGCAGGTGCCTGTAATCCCAGCTACTTGAGAGGCTGAGGCAGGAGAATGGCATGAACCCGGGAGGTGGAGGATGCAGTGAGCTGAGATTGCGCCACTGCACTCCAGCCTGGGTGACAGTGTGAGACTCCGTCTCAAAAAAAAAAAAAAAAAAAAGTGTAACTCTACAAAAAGTTGGTTTTTTTTTTTTTTTTTTTTTTTTGAGACGGAATCTCACTCTGTTGCCCGTGCTGGAGTGCAGTGGTGTGATCTCGGCTCACTGCAACCTCTGCCTCCCAGGTTCAAGCAATTCGCAATTCTCCTCCCTCAGCCTTCCGAGTAGCTAGGATTACAGGCGTGCACCACCACACCCGGCTAATTTTTGTATTTTTAGTAGAGATGGGGTTTCATCGTTTTGCTCAGGCTGGTCTCAAACTCCTGACCTTGTGATCTGCCTGCCTCGGCCTCCAAAAGTGCTGGGATTACAGGCGTGAGCCACCACACCTGGCCCCAAAAACTTTAAAAATTAGCCAGGCTTGGAGGTATGCGCCACTAGTCCTAGCCACTTGGGAGGCTGAGGTGGATTGCTTCAGCCCAGGAGTTTGAGATTACAGTGAGCTATGATTGTGCCACTGCGGTTTATCCTGCTTGACACAGTGAGACCCTGTCTCTAAAAAATTCAAAAAGAAAGCAGCAAAAGATAAGTAAGTCATCACATACCTGGGATCCTCAATAAGATTTTCACCAAATTTCTTATTACAAACTTTGGAGGCTAGAAGGCAGTGGGCCAATATATTCAAAGTACTAAAAGAACAACATCACCAACCAAGAATCCTATATATGGTAACTATCACAAGATAGTAACTTGAACCCATGTGAAGAAATAAAGATCTCAATATAGGTAAATGCTATGTCTGAATGCATCCCCAAAAATCAATGTGGTAGAAATTTAATCCTCAATTCAACAGTGTTGGGAGGTGAGGACTTTGGTGAGGTGGTCAGGGCATAAGGGCTCTGCCTTCATAAATGGATTTATGCCATTATAAAATGACTTGATGGAAGGAGTTTGGTCCTTTTTGTCCTTCCACCTTCTGCTATGCAAGGACACTGCATTTCATCCCTCCAGAGGATGCAGCATTCAAGGCGCCACATTGGAAGCAGAGTGTAGCCCACAGAAGACAAATGAATCTGCTGGCACTTTGATCTTGGACATCCAGGCCTCCAGAATTAATTGAGACAGGCTGGCTGGGCACAGTGGCTCAAGCCTATAATCCCAACACTGAGAGGCTGAGGCAGGAGCACTGCTTGAGGCTAGGAGTTCAAGACTACCCTTGGCAACATAGCAAGGTCACATCTCTACAAAAAATGTAAACATTAGCCAGGCACAGTAGTGCATGCCCGTAGTCATAGCTACTTAGGAGGCCGAGGCAGGAGATTGATTGAGCCCAGGCGTTCAAGGCTGTAGTGAACTATGATTGTACCACCACACCCCAGCCTGGATGACAAACAGAGCAAGACCTTGTCTCTTTAAAAAAAAAAGAAAAAAAATTACTGTTCGTTAGAAATTACCTAGTCTCAGGTATTTTGTTTTAGCTGCTCAAATGGACTAAGACAGTGAATACATGGAAAATTCTAAAACCTAGCAATATTGTAACATTTTATAACTCTATTTTTTGTTGGGTTTTTTTTTTCTGGGCAGCGGGGAGGTGTGGAGACTCATTCTGTCGCCCAGGCTGGAGTGCAATGGTGCGATCTCAGTTCACTGCAATCCCCACCTCCTGGTTCAAGTGATTCTCCTGCCTCAGCCTCCTGAGTAGCTGAAACTACAAGCTCGTGCCACCACACCAGTTAATTTTTTTTATTTTTAGTAGAGATGGGGTTTTGCCATGTTGCCCAGGCTGGTCTCAAATTTCTGAGCTCACGCAATCCACCCACCTCGGACTCCCAAAGTGCTAGGATTACAGGCATAAGAGCCACCACCCCCAGCCCCTATTTTTTGTTTTTAACATGATTTCAGTGACTAACACATTTAAAAAAACATTGATTAGTCTAAAAGCTAGTATTATTGTAACTTTGCAACCCTAAATTTTGTTTTCTACACAATTTAAGAAACTAATGCATTTAAAAGATTTATTAGTTTATGTTTTGGGGCTCACAACATATAAAGATGTAGTTTTGTGACATCAACAATAGAAATAAGGATGGAGCTTTTGATTTGAGGGATCAGAATTTTGGTATGTTACTGAAGTCAAGCTGCTGTAAGTTGAAATTAAAGTGTTATAATTTTAAGATATTAAATGTACTAGCTATCACTAACCACAAGGAAAACAGCTATAGAATATAGTTGGTCCTCTGTCTCTGTAGGTTCCGTATCTGCAAATCAAAAATTTTTTTAAACAAATGGATGGTTGTGTCTGTACTGAACATGTACAGACTTTTTTTCCTTATTGTTATTCCCTAAAAATGATATGGTATAACAACTATATCTATGGCATTTATATTGTATAAGGTATTGTAAGTAATCTAGAGATTATTTAAAGTATATAACAGCATGTACCTAGGTACTATTCAAATACCATACTACTTTATATAAGGGACTTGAGCATCCATGGATCTTGGTATCTGTGGGGGGTAATGAGGAAATGAGAAAGAAATCTAAATGTTTCAAAAAATCAACTAAATACTGAAGAAGGCAATAATGAAGGAAATGAGAGACAAAAAAGTTATTATTCCCCAGTCCATTGCAAGAAAAAAAAAGTTATAAGGCATATAGAAAAACAGCAAAATGACAGAAGTCCTTCCTTATCAGTAATTATGTTAAAGGGGATGGATTAAACTCTTTAAGCAAAAGACAGAGATTAGCAGAATGGATTAAACAAAACGATCCAATCACATGTTGTCTACAAGAGACTCACTATAGACCCAAAGACACAAACATTAATAGATTGAAAGTGAAAGGGTAGAAGAAGATATTCTATGCGAATACCTGCCAAAAGAGAACCAGGGTGGCTGTACTAATATTAGCTATAATGGACTTTAAATTTAAAAAGCTTACCAGAGACAAAAAAGACTATTATATATTATAGAATATATATTAATATATAATGTTATTATATAAGTTAATATATAATAAACATATACTATATAACATAATATATGATAAATATATAATACATACAAGAAGATATAACAAGTATAGACACATCTAATAACAATTCATCTGCCAGTTGTGGTGGCTCACGCCTGTAATCCCAGCACTTTGGGAGGCCGAGGTGGGCAGATCACCTGAGGTCAGGAATTCCAGACCAGCCTGGCCAACATGGCGAAATCCCATCTCTACTAAAAATACAAAAATTAGCCAGGCATGGTGGCACGTGCCTGTAATCCCAGCTACTCGGGAGGCTGAGGCAGGAGAATCGCTTGAACTCGGGAGATGGAGGTTGTAGTGAGCCAAGATCGCACCACTGCACTCCATCCTGGACAACAGAGCAAGACTCTGTCTAAAAAAAAGAAGAAAATTAGCCGGGCGTGGTGGTGCACTCCTATAATCCCAGCCACTTGGGAGGCTAAGGTAGGAGAATCATTTGAACTCGGGAGGCGGAGGTTGCAGTGAGCCGAGATTGTGCCACTGCCTGGGCAACAGAGTGAGACTCCGTCTCAAAAAAAAAAAAGAAAGAAAGGAAATTTTGAAAATACTTAAAGGTGAAAAAACAAAAACATAACACATCAAAATGTATGGAATGCAGCAAAAGCAGTACTGAGAAATTTATAGTTACAAACATAAACACCTACATTAAAAAATAAGACAGATTTCATGGCCAGGCGCGGTGGCTCACGCCTGCAATTCCAGCACTTTGGGAGGCTGAGGCAGCAGATCATTTGAGGTCAGGAGTTCAAGACCAGCCTGGCCAACATGGTGAAACCCCGTCTCTACTAAAAATACAAAAATTAGCTGGGCATGGAGGCACATGCCTGTAGTCCCAGGTACTCTACTTGGGAGGCTGTGGTGGAAGGATCACTTGAACCCGGGAAATGGAGGTTGCAGTAAGCCGAGATCGCACCACTGCACTCCAGCCTGGAAAATACAGTGAGACTCTGTCTCAAAAACAAAAACAAGGCCAGGCATGGTGGCTCACACCTGTAATCCCAGTACTTTGTGAGGCCAAGGTGGGTGGATCACTTGAGGTAAGGAGTTCAAGACCAGCCTGGACAATACAGTAAAATCCTGTCTCTAGCAAAAAATACAAAAATTAGCCGGGCGTGGTGGCGCACCCCTACAGTCCCAGCTACTCGGGAGGCTGAGGCATGGGAATCACTTGAACCCTGGAGGCGGAGGATGAAGTGAGCTGAGATTGTGACACTGCACTACAGCCTGGGTAACAGAGTGAGATCCTGTCTCAAAAAAAAAAAAAGAAAAAAGAAAAAAGGAAAAAGAAAAAGAAAAAGAAAAAAGAAACAAAAACAAAAACGAAAGAAGACAAATTTCAAGCCAACCACCTAACTTTACATCTTAAGGAACCAGAAAAAGAAAAGCAAGCTAAACCTAAAGCTAGAAGGAGGAAATAATGATTAGAGCAGACATTAATAAAATGAAGAACAGAAACACTCATAGAGAAAACCAATAAAACTAAAATTTGGTTATTTTAAAAGGTCAACAAAATTTACAAACCTTTAGCTAGACAGACTAAGAATAAAAGAAGGCTCAAATTACTAAAATCAAAAATGAAAGTGAGGACATTACTACCAATCCTACAGAAATAAAAAGAGTTCTAAGAGTCCTATGAACAATTGTACACCAACAAATTGGAAAACCTAGATGAAATGGACAAATTCCCAGAAACACAAACCTACAAAGACTGAATGATTAAGAACTAGTAAATTGGAATAGACCTATAGCTAGTAAGGGGACTCAATCACTAATCAAAAATCTCTCAATAAAGAAAACCCTAGAGCTGATGGCTTCACTGGGTAACTCTATCAAACATTTCAAGAACACCAATCCTTCTCAAACTTTTCTAAAAAATATAAAAGGAGGGAACACCTCCCTAACTCATTTTATGAGGCCAGCATTACCCTAATACCAAAGCCAGAAAAGATACTCCAAGAAAACTATAGACCAATGTCCCTTATGAACACTGATGCAAAAATTCTCAACACAGGCCAGGCATGGTGGCTCACGCCTGTAATCCCAGCACTTTGGGAGGCCAAGGCGGGAGGATCACCTGAGGTCGGGAGTTCGAGACCAGCCTGACCAACATGGAGAAACCCCATCTCTACTAAAAACACAAAATTAGCCGGGTGTGGTGGCACATGCCTGTAATCGCAGCTACTTGGGAGGCTGAGGCAGGAGAATCGCTTGAACCCAGGAGGCAGAGGTTGCGGTGAGTCAAGATCGTGCCATTGCACTCCAGCCTGGGCAACCAGACCAAAACTCCGTCTTGAAAAATAAAAATTAAAAAAATTATCACCACAATAGTATCAAATCAAATTCAGCAGCATAGTAAAAGAGTTCATCATAAATCAATTGAGATTTATTTTTGGAATGCAAGGACAGTTCAAGATATGAAAATCAATCAATATAAGTCATTAACAGAACGAAGGGAAAAAAACATGATCATTTCAATTGATACAGAAAAAGCGTTTGACAAAATTCAACTTCCTTTCATAAAAATACTCAACAAACTAGGAACAGAAGATAACTATACATCAACATAATAAAAGCCATATATGGAAACTCTACAGCAAACATCATATTCAATGGTGAAAGACTGAAAGCTGGCCAGGCACGGTGGCTCACGCCTATAATCCCAGCACTTTGGGAGGCCAAGGCGGGTGGATGATGAGGTCAGGAGTTCAAAACCAGCCTGGCCTCTATGGTAAAACCCTGTCTCTAATAAAAATACAAAAATTAGCTGGGCGTGATGGCATGTGCCTGTAGTCCTAGCTACTTAGGAGGCTGTGGCAGGAGAATCGCTTGAACCTAGGAGGCGGACGTTGAAGTGAGCTGAGATTGTGCCACTGCACTCCAACCTGGGCAACAGAGCAAGACTCTGTCTCAAAAAGAAAAAGAAAGACTGAAAGCTTTTCCTCTAAGTTCACTAAGAAGGCAAAAGATTTCTGCTTTTGCCACTTCTATTCAACATAAAACTGGAGTTACAGTCAGAGTAATTAGACAAGAAAAAGAAATAGGATTCTAAATTAAAAAGGAAAAACTAAAATTATCTGTTTGCAGATGATATGATCTTACATGTAGAAAATTTTAATGATTCCACAAAAAACTTTTAGAACTAATAAATGAATTCAGCACAGTAACAGGATGCAAAGTCAACACACAAAAATCAGTTGCATTTCTATACACTAACAACGAACAATCTGAAAATAAAAATTATGAAAATAATTCAGTTTATCAGTGCGAAAAGAATAAAATATATAGAAATTAAATTAACGAAAGAGGAGAAAGATTTGAACAATGAAAACTAAAAAACACTGCTGAAGAAAATTAAAGATGACATCAACAATTGGAAACACATCCCATGTTCATGGATTGGAAGATTTAATATTAAGATGTCAATGCACCCTAAGTGACCTACACAATCCCTACTATAATCCCAAAAGTGTCTTTTGGAGAAACAGAAAAACCCATCCCACAATCCATATAAAATCTCAAATAGTGAAAACAACCTTTAAAAAGAGGAATGGGGCCGGGCGTGGTGGCTCATGCCTGTAATCCGGCACTCTGGGAGGCTGAGGTGGGCGGATCACCTGAGGTCAGGAGTTCGAGACCAGCCTAGCCAACATGGTGAAACCCCATCTCTACTAAAACTATAAAAAATTAGCCGGGCATGGTGGTAGGCGCCTTTAGTCTCAGCTACTTGGGAGGCTGAGAAAGGAGAATCACTTGAACCCAGGAGGTGGAGGTTGCAGTGAGCCAAGAGTGCACCACTGTACTCCAGCCTGGGCGACAGAGCAAGACTTCGTTTCAAAAAAAAAAAAAAAAAAAAAAAAAAAAAAAAAAAAAGAGAGAGGAATGAAGGTGGAGGACCCAAAATCCCTAATTTAAACTTACTGCAAAGCTACAACAATCGAAATACTACAGTTCTGGCATAAAGACAGATGTATATATATATTAAAAAAACTTTTTTTACGACAGATGTACAGAACAATGGAATAGGATAAAGAGATAAAAAATAAACCCTTGCCTACATAGTCAAATGATTTTTGACAAGAGTGTCAAAACCATTCACAATGGGGAAAGGGCAGTCTTATTAAGAAATTATGCTTGGAGGCCGGGTGCGGTGGCTCACACCTGTAATCCCAGCACTTTGGGAGGCCGAGGTGGGCGGATCACAAGGTTAGGAGATCCAGACCATCCTGGCTAACACGGTGAAACCCCGTCTCTACTAAAAAATACAAAAAATTAGCTGGGCGTCGTGGTGGGCACCTGTGGTCCCAGCTACTCGGGAGGCTGAGGCAGGAGAATGGCGTGAACCCAGGAGGCAGAGCTTGCAGTGAGCCGAGATTGTGCCACTGCACTCCAGCCTGGGCGACAGACAGAGACTCTGTCTCAAAAAAAAAAAAAAAAAAAAAAAAGAAATTATGCTTGGAAAGCTAGATTTCCACATGCAAAAAAATAAAGTTGGACCATCACCTAACACCATACAAAAATTAACTTGAAATGGATCAAAGACCGAAATGCAAATGTAAAACAACATAATACTTAGAAGGAAATACAGGTCAAAAGTTTTATGACATTGTATTTAGCAATGATTTCTGGGATATGACTCCTAAGGCACAACCAACAAAACAAAAAAAATTGGCCGGGTGCGATGGCTCACGCCTGTAATCCCTGCACTTTGGGAGGCCAAGGTGGGTGGATCACCTGAAGTCAGGATTTCAAGACCAGCCTGGCCAACATGATGAAACCCTATCTCTGCTAACAATACAAAAAATTAGCTGGGTGTGGTGGTGCATGCCTGTAATCCCAGCTACTCAGGAGGCTGAGGCAGGAGAATCGCTTGAACCCAGGAAGCAGGGGTTGCAGTGAGCCGAGATCACACCACTGCATTCTAGCCTGGGCAACAAGAGCAAAATTCCATCTCAAAAAAAAAAAAAAAAAAATGACGAACTGGGCTGCATGAAAATTTTAAAATATCAACATGATACTGAAGGAAGAAAACAGAAAAAAAAGAAAAAAAAAGACACTATCAACAGCATAAAAAGGCAACCCAGAGAATGGGAGAAAATATTTGCAAATCATATATCTGATAACAAATTAACATACTGAATACATAAAGGATTTCTAAATCTCCACAACAACAAAACCCTATTTGAAAATGGGCCCCATAAAGGGGGCCAATTATTTGAATAAACATTTCTCCAAAGAAGACACAGGAATAGCTAATAAGCATATGAAAAGATGCTCAACATCACTAATCATTAGGGAAATAAAAGTCAAAACCACGTTTTACATCCTTTAGGATGGCTATGATTAAAAAACAGAACAAGGCCAGGCATGGTGACTCATGCCTTTGGGAGGCTGAGGCGGGAGGATCACCTGAGGTCAGGAGTTCAAGACCAGCCTGGCCAAAATGGTGAAACCGTGTCTCTACTAAAAATACAAAAATTAGCCAGGTGTGGTGGTGGGCACCTGTAATCCCAGCTACTTGGGAGGCTGAGGCAGGAGAATCACTTGAACCTGGGAGGTGGAGGTTGCAGTTGAGGTGAACCTGGGAGGTGGAGGTTGCAGGTTGAGCCGAGATCGCGCCACTGCATCCAGCCTGGGTGACAAGAGCAAAACTCTGTCTCAAAAACGAAACAAAATAACCCCAAAATATTTAGTGTTGGTGAGGATGTGGAGAAAATGGAACCCTTGCGTAATGTTGGAATGTAAAATGGTATGGCTGCTGTGGAAAGCAGTATGACAATTCCTCAAACATAGTATTACCATATGATCTAGTAATTCCACTCTGGATATATGCCCCCCAAAATTAAAAGCAGAGTCTCAAAGAGATTTATATATCCACGTTCATAGCAGCATTGATCATAAAATGATAGCTAAAATAAAGAAGCAACCCAGTGTCCATAGATGGATAAATGGATAAGCAAAATGTGGTATAGCCAGAAAAAGGAATATTACTCATCCTTAAAAAGGAAGGAAATTCTGGGCCAGGCGCAGTGGCTCACACCTGTAATCGCAGCACTTTGGGAGGCCGAGGAGGGAGGATCACCTGAGCTCGGGAGTTCGAGACCAGCCTGACCAACATGGAGAAACCCAGTCTCTACTAAAGATACAAAATTAGCCAGGGGTGGTGGCACATGCCTGTAATCCCAGCTGTTTGGGAGGCTGAGGCCAGAGAATCACTTGAACCCAGGAGGCGGAGGTTGCGGTGAGCCAAGATCGCACCACTAGACTCCAGCCTGGGCAACAAGAGTGAAACTCCATCTCAAAAAAAAGAAAAAAAAAATTGTGCAATGGTGCAATCTCAGCTCACCGCAACCTCCTTCTCCCCGGTTCTAGCGATTATCCTGCCTCAGCCTCCCAAGTAGCTGGGATTACAGGCATGTGCCCGGCTAATTTTGTATTTTTAGTAGAGACGGGGTTTCTCCATGTTGGTCAGGCTAGTCTTGAACTCCCGACCTCAGGTGATCCTCCTTCCTCAGCCTCCCAAAGCGCTAGGATTACAAGCATGAGCCACCGTGCCCAGCCGGAAATTCTGACACAAATTCTTACCACAGATACCACAGAAATGAACCCTGAAGATATTACGCTAAGTGAAATAAGCCAGTCACAAAAAGACAAATAACTTGTCATTTGTAGCTTCTCAGAAATTATTCTCTAACGAGAACAAAAGAAAACAAAAAGACAAATACTATATGATTCCACTCACATGAGGTAGTTACAGTAGTCAAAATCAGAGACAGACAGTAGAATGGTGGTTGCTGGGGGATGGGAGGCAGGGGTATTGAGAAGTTATTGTTTAATGGGTAGAGTTTCAGTTTTATAAGATGAAAAAAATCTGGATATGGAATGGTGGTGACAGCTGCAAAACAATATGAAAGTTGCAAAACAATATGGAATGTTAAACAATATTTAATACCACTTAAATGTACATTTAAAAATAGCTAAGATGGTAGATTTTATATGTATTTTATTATTTAAAAAATAGAAAAAATAAACAAAATGAAACAAAAATACCTCTTGTTTTGACTAATCCACCAACTTGAAAGACATTTGCTTTTTTTACTTTCAAAATTTAGCATTGATTTTCCATTTTGATTTAACTTTGTTTTGACATTTGTTTCATTTTACTTTCAAAATTTAGGGACTGATTTTCCATTTTGATTTAACTTTGTTTTGACATTTGTTTCATTTTACTTTCAAAATTTAGGGACTGATTTTCCATTTTGATTTAACTTTGTTTTAGTAATAGCTAAAACATTTATAGGGTTCCATACTCAAAACTATTAAAACAGGTATATTCAGAAAATTATAGCTGTTCCATCGTATTCTGTCATCCCCCTACAGGTAGCTTGTTTGATTTGGTCTATGCTTCTTTTCTATTTTAATAGAAGCTAACACATATTCATATACTCCTCTCTTCTTAAAAGGTAGCACAATTTACACATTAAAGAAAAATGCATTTTAAAAAGATATACATACTTCAATATATAGGCTTTTTGGTGGTTTCATATCCTGTGTAATGTCCAAACCTTCATCTCCTCCCAGTGACCTCATATAAGTAGCAAGAGATCTTTTATAATTATTAAACCACTCCATCTGCAAACATAGAGATGATCATTTGACAAAATTCTAAGAAAACTTGCACACACTGAATATCATCCATTCGAAAACAGTACACATCCCAACACAAATCACTGTTGTGACCATTCATTCATTAATGCTAAAATATTAATTGCCTCCTATGATATAGGCATTGGTCTGGGTACTTACAATGAATCATTCAATAAAGTGAACAAAAATCTCTGTTCTCAGAGAGCTTACATTTCAGCATACTTAATAATAAACCTTAGGAATCTTTGACCAGAAACAGAACCATGAAAAAGACGCCATTTCAGAATTATATCTTCAAACTCTGCATTGATGCTATTTCTGAAAACTATAAAACATTGTTAAGAAAACCCAAATGTCCACCAGCTGATGAATGGATATGTGCCCATATGATGGAACATTATTTAACCATAAGTAACAATGAAGTTCTGAAACGTATTGCCATTACCACATGAAAGACAGAAGGCCACATATTGCATGATTCTACTCATATGAAAAACCTGTAATAGGTAAATCTATAGAGACAGAAAGTAGATTCGGGATTTCCAGGAGCTGGGAGGAGGGAAGAAAATATAGAGTAACTATAAAGGGGACAGGGCTTCTTTGTAGGGTGATGAAAATATTCTCAAATAAGAATGTGGTATTGGATGCACAACAACTCTGAATATACTAAAAACCACTGCACTGTACAATTTAAGATGGTAAACTTCACAGTGTATGAATCATATCTCAGTAAATCTGCTATTTTAAAAAAAAAGTTGAAAACAATGAAAGACCTAAATAATACCATATTCACAGATTGGATGATTCAATATTGTAATAACGTCAACAATCTATAGATTCAATTCAATCTCAATCAAAATCTTAACTTTCTTTAAAATGGAACCTGACAAACTGAGTCTAAAATTTACATGGAAGTGCAAAGGGCTAATAGTTGAAATGCTCTCAAAAAAGAACAAGATGGGAACTTGCTCCAACTATACTATATAGTTACAGTAATTACAACAGTGGAATTGGTATAAGAACAGATAGACTAGCATAACAGAAGAAAAAGTCCTCCCATTCAGAATCCACAGGAATACTGACACTCAATGTATGACAAAGGTGGCACCATGCACACAGTGATGGGAGAGGCAGATCTGTTCAATACATGGTGCTGGGTCATCTCAATATCTATATTCAAAATGAAGCATGCCTCCTGTAGTATACACAAAACTTAATCCCAATACTGTAGATCTCTTTGTAAAAGGTAAAATATAGCTCCTAAAAGATTACATAGAAAAAAGGCCGGGCACGGTGGCTCACGCCTGTAATCCCAGAACTTTGAGAGGCCGAGGCGGGTGGATCATGAGGTCAGGAGATTGAGACCATCCTGGCTAACATGGTGAAACCCCGTCTCTACTAAAAATACAAAAAAATTAGCCAGGCGTGGTGGCGGGCGCCAGTAGTCCCAGCTACTCGGGAGGCTGAGGAAGAAGAATGGCATGAACCCGGGAGGTAGAGCTTGCAGTGAGCTGAGATCATGCCACTGCACTCCAGCCTGGGGGCAACAGAGAGACTCCGTCTCGGAAAAAAAAAAAAAAAAAGAGAGAAGAAAAATATCTTGGGAGGCTGAGGTAGGAGAATGGCTTGAACCCGGGAGGTGGAGCTTGCAGTGAGCCAAGATTGAGCCACTGCACTCCAGCCTGGGCGACAGAGTGAGATGCCGTCTCAAAAAAAAAAAAAAAAAAAAAAAAAAAAAAAAAAGAAAAGAAAAATATCTTAATAACCTTAATAACCTCTGGGTAGGCCAGGCACGGTGGCTCACTCCTGTAATCCCAGCTTTGGGAGACCAAGGTGGGCATATCTCTTGAGGCCAGGAGTTCAAGACCAGCCTGGTGAACATGGTGAAACCCCACCTCCACTAATAATACAAAAATTAGCCGGGCATGGTGGCACACACCTGTAGTCCCAGCTACTCCAGAGGCTGAAGCAGGAGGATTGCTTGAACCAGGGAGGCGGAGGTTGCAGTGAGCCGAGCTATGCCACTGCACTCCAGCCTGTGCGACAGAGTCAAACTGTCTCTCAAAAAAAACAAAAAAAAAACCAGAAATACTATTCAGCATTAAAAAGGAATAAGCTCGGCCAGGTGTGGTGGCTCACACCTGTAATCCCAGCACTTTGGGAGGCTGGGGCAGGTGGACCACCTGAGGTCGGGAGTTCAAGACCAGCCTGACCAACATGGAGAAACCCATCTCTGCTAAAAATACAAAAAATTAGCCAGGCGTGGTGGTGCATGCCTGTAATCCCAGATAGCTGGGAGGCTGAGGCAAGAGAATCGCTTGAACCCGGGAGGCGGGGGTTGCGGTCAGCCAAGATCACGCCACAGCACTCCAGCCTGGGCAACAAGAGCAAAAAACTCCGTCTAAACAAAATAAAAAACAAGGAATGAGCTCTTGCTAATATATCAACAGATTAGAATCTCAAAAATATTACATTTAGTGAAAGTCATCAATCATTAAAGGATACTGCATGAATCTATATAAAGTTCAAAAAATGGGCAACACTAAATTATAGTGTTTAGAAATGCATGCTTAGGTGGTAAATGGCAAGTTTTTTTGTTGCTGTTTTAAGACAGGGTCTCACTGTCACCCAGGCTGGAGTGCAGTGGCGCAATCTCAGCTTACTACAACCTCTACCTCCAAAGCTCAAGTGATCCTCCCACCTCAGCCTTCTGAGTAGCTGGGACCACAGGCGCATGCCACCACACTTAGCTAAGTTTTTTTTTGTTTTTTTTTTTCTTTTTTTGGTAGAGATAGGGTTTCACCCTGTTGCTCAGGCTGGTCTCAAACTCGTGAGCTCAGGCAATCCATCCACCTTGGCCTCTCAAAGTGCTGGGGTTGCGGGTGTGAGCCACTGCATCCAGAGCAATAAGATTTTTAAAAATAAGGAAGTGATTAGTCTGCACAAAAGTCAGGAGGGTAGTGATCACTGGGAGGAGGGACACAAAGGTTCCGGAGCAATGTTCTTTCTTGAACAGGGTGATGGATACATGGGAATTCCTCAGTGACACATCATTGGGCTGTACATCTTCGTTTTCTGCACCTTTTCAGATGTGTTTGCATGTGCCTGTTTTTATGTTAGATTTCACAATGCAAATGGTTAAATTAAGTGATTTTAAAAGATTTAAAAGGTATGTATGCCAAGGTGGTAAAAACTGCATTGTTTTTTATAATATAAAGGATAAAAAATGATATTTTGTATTGATAAGTATGAAGAAAAGTTCTCTGAGAGAGATCTTGCCAAATGAGTCAAACATGGGTGTTTCCACTGTGGTCTTTTCTACTTTGTCTCCACTGAGAAGAGTGTAACAGACCCCAAAGAGAAGATGAAGTGGAAGAAAAATCAGAAGCTGTTTTGACAATGAGGGTGTTACCCTCATTCAGTCTCATTCACAGATAAAAGGGAAATGTAGAATAAGCACGTTACTTCCACAAAAGAACATACTGATATAGTCACAAATTTTTTAGTTTTCCTTATGGAAAAATATTAATAGGAAAGAAAAAAATACCTATTTTCACTATCTCTCATGTTAGTGGCTTAAAGATTCTAAACAGAAACTTAGGAAATCAAAAAACAAAAGATGTTACTATTTTAAAAACATAAAAGATGTTACTACTTTGAAAACAAAAGATGTTATTATTTTAAAAACATAAAGGATGTTACTACTTTGAAAACAAAAGATGTTACTACTTTGAAATCAGATAATAAGATTTTTACTTATCATCAGTGTGCTTTCATATTCTTTCAATGGTGTTTTCTCTAAACATTAACACATGATCATCTGTTTCATGTTAGTAACCTTATTTTAGCTCTGCTTTTACTTTTATTGCTAGCCTGAGTCAACAATATTGAAATCATCACTCCCAGTAATAAAGTGCTTACTATATACCAGGAATTTGCTAAAATTTTAATATGCATTATTTTCTCTTTTTCATTGCCCCATGATGTAACTACTATTATTATTTTCTTTTTATTCATGAAGGACTGAAGCTTTGAGAGATTAGATAATTTACCAAAGGGCTCAGAGTTAACAAGGCAGGGATCTGAATTTAGGTGGCAGACTCAAGCCCATGTGCTTCAGTCACCCATTGAAGCACTATCCTTGGGTAATACAGATACCTATGATGACATTCAGACCTCATAGGCTCCTATAAGCTGTCAGGGATACCTGGAAATATTCTTTGTTACTGGTCCAAAATGGCTGATGCAGTTGCCACGATGCAATTGCTCAAGCAGAGATGTCTGTGGTCTACTACAGAGTTTATCTGTATTAATCTCTTCTCATCCTTCAGTGTTTCCAAAACATCACTACTAAGAGAACGAGACCATGTATATTCCTTTTATTCTTTTTCTTTTTTTCTTTTTTTTTTTTTTTGAGACAGGGTCTCACTCTCTCTCCCAGACCAGAGTGCAGTGGTGCGATCTCAGCTCATCGCAACCTCCACCTCCCAGGCTCAAGCAATTGTCCTGCCCTCAGCCTCCCTGACCAGCTGGGATTACAGGTGCACACCACCACACCCAGCTAATCTTTGTATTTTTAGTAGAAACAGGGTTTCACCATGTTGGCCAGGCTGGTATATTCCTTTTTATAGATGAGGTCACTGGGGTAGAAGGAAGTCATTTGCCAGTTTTGCAGTAATTCACAAACTCTTCCAAGAAACTATCTCAGGTTTCACTATTCTCAAACAACTTAATCTCTAGACCCATTAATATTATTTTATATAAGGCCAGGCACTGTGGCTCACACTTGTAATCCCAGCACTTTGGGAGGCTGAGGTGGGCAGATCATCAGGTCAGGAGCTCAGGACCAGCCTGGCCAATACAGTGAAACCCCGTCTCTACTAAAAATACAAAAATTAGCTGGGTGTAGTGGTGGGCACCTGTAATCCCAGTTACTCGGGATGCTGAGGCAGGAGAATCGCTTGAACCCGGGAGGCAGAGGTTTCAGTGAGCCAAGATCGTGCCACTGCACTCCAGCTGGAGCAACAGAGCGAGACTCCATCTCAAAAAAATATATATATATTTTATTTGCTGTTAACATTGTTATATTTCATTAAAATAGAAACTGACTTTGGGAACTCAGTAATCACAGAAAAGTGCCACCCTTACAGAAACAATGCCCAATATGAAATCTAATTGATGTGCTTGAATAAATGCAGCTTGTAATCATTTACTAAATTGTAAGAAACATATTAATCGCCAGGCGCTGTGGCTCACACCTGGAATCCCAGCACTTTGGGAGGCCAAGAGGGGCAGATCACAAGGTCAGGAGTTCGAGACCAGCCTAGCCAACATAGTGAAACCCTGTCTCTACTAAAATACAAAAATTAGCCAGGCATGGAGGCACGCACCTGTAATCACAGCTACTTGGCAGGCTGAGGCAGGAGAATTGCTTGAAGCCAGGAGGCGGAAGTTGCAGTGAGCAGAGAATGCACCACTGTACTCCAGCCTGGGCAACAGAGCGAGATTCCATCTCAAAAAATACACAAAAAAATTAATCTAAAATATTGTATGAGAAAAATCATTAAAGCTACTGTCGTTAGAGAAACATAATGTTCTGTTCATCTCACCATAATACACAGTAAGTACCCCAAAGTTCAATTAATATAAGTAGATTTGAACACAAAGAGCATAAAGTGAGGTACTAACATGTTACCAATTTCGTAGTCACTGGTAAATCTGAGGTAGAGATTACTCATTTATTTATGCAGAAAATGAACAGAATGAAAATGAAGCTATGACAACAAATAGATCACTTTCAAAAATGTGCAGAATCTAATGGCAAACACATTGAATATTTGTTTTTTTTTTTTCTTTAAGTTCTGGGATACATGTGCTGAACGTGCAGGTTTGTTACATAGGTATACATGTGCCATGGTGGTTTGCTGCACTGAATATTTTCTTTCTTAAGCTCTGTGCTATGCAACTGTAATGTAGTAACTGTTAACATTTATTGAGTGCCATCCTATGCTGTGCTCCACATGGACCACCTGAAGTAACCCTGTGATAGGCCTTGTAATAACACTGTTGTAGAATAAAGAATTTGGTGGGCCTCTCTCCCTCATTCCTGGGAGGTAGCTTCTAAATTCTTGTACTTTCTCAAGTAATAGGAGTGTCTTGTTATTTATGATGTGCCCTGAGAGTATGTGCTACTCAGGTGACTCGTGGTGAACCCCTACATAGTCTGTGCTAACAAGATGACTCAGAGTTGGGACTGGCTACCCCAGAAAGACCAACCATGTGATTAAAGTATTGGGCCTTTGGCCCTCCTGATGTCAGTCTGACCTCCAGGGAGGGGAAGAGGGATGAAGATTGAACTCAATCACAGGGCCAGCAATTTAATCAGTCATGTCTATGTAATGAAGCCCCAATAAACACTCTGGACATCAAAGCTTGTGTGAGCTTCCTTAGTTGACAATAACTGCAGGTAGTTAGTGTCAAAAGTCATTGCAACCTGTAATAGATAGGTAATATGATCTTCATCCTGTAACAAGGAAATTTAGGCACAGCAACAGGTCAAGTGACTTGCTCAATATTAGACAGCAGAGATTTGAACCTAAGCCCACCTGACTCCAATCCTATGTCCTTAAATAATGGGCTAGTTCTTTGCCTCAGTGACTAGGCAAATATGAATTTTGATTAGGAAAGTATATATACACATGTAAACATTTCATGGAATATCACCAAATAATAATGCCAGTTTTTTAATCCCACTGATGGATCACTAATAAGTAACATCATGGGACTCTATTTTGTTAAGTAATAATAGAATTTTCCACATATGATTTAGAATTACTCCTCACCACATAGTTCCCCTCACATTATATACTAAATACCAGCCAAAAATTGGGGAAAAACAGACATTAAACACAAAAAGAGGAATACCAATAAACACTATTATAGAACAATGCCAGAACTTTAGCATTTTCAAAATTTATAAACTTGAACAATGCTAACTCACTTCTTCAGCAGCCATGTGAAATCGTAATGCATTTGGCAAGACGCTACCATATTCCCATCTGAGTGCTCTGATCCGAAGCAAGCGGTCATACCTAGGACATCAAGAAGGTATTGGGTGGCATAAGAATAAACGGGGGATCACGTGTGGACTTCATTTGGCCCCTGATGCAAACACACCAGCTCTAAACAGACATCTTAGGGAAAACAAGAAGAACATGAACACAGTCTGAGAGTCGACCTGAAGGCACTGTCCACTCCTCCACGTGTGACAGCAGCACAGTAGTCCTGGGAAAAAGGTCCCTAAGGTCCTTATTTCTTTCTTTCCCCCGCCTTTTTTTGTTTGAGACAGAGTTTTGCTCTTGTCACCCAGCCTGGAGTGCAATGGCACGATCTCCGTTCACTACAACCTCTGGCTCCCAGATTCAAGCAATTCTCCTGCCTCAGCCTCCCAAGTAGCTGAGATTAGGCACCCGCTACCACTCCCAGCTAATTTTTGTATTTTTAGTAGAGACAGGGTTTCACCATGTTGGCCAGGCTGGTCTCGAACTCCTGATCCCAGATGATCCACCCGCCTTGGCCTCCAAAATTGCTGGGATTATAGGCATGAGCCACTGTGCCTGGCCAAAGGTCCTTATTTCTAAGACAAAGAAAAAATAGTAAGAACACTACCGTATTCAGTAGTGAAAGACCGTGATGCACTTAAATAGTGTGGCACCAACAAGTGAAACACGATGAAAAAAATATGGCAAAATAATAAAAATTGTTAAAACCATATGATAGCTCCACTGGGGTTCATTATAGTATTATTCTCCCTACTTTTAAAAGTGTTGTGATTTTTCATAATAAAAAATTAAAAAAATGAAAACACAGAGGAAAAATTTAGAATGCTTACAAAGAGAGAGAGATCTAAGATTTCATGTTACCCATTTGAGATGGTCAACTGGGAAGCCACACAGAAAATCCTGCCACCCCAAGCAAAAACTGAGAAGCTTACAGGTATGCTACAGTGCAGCGTCGATTTCTTAACAGAGAACAGTGTCGAAATTTGATAGTTGGTATCAAATCACTTCGTCCACCTGACTTTGCTTCATTCCTGATAGGAGCATTTAAAAAGAAAAAAAATATGTACTTTTCAGGATAAGTAAAATTTTCAAAGCCAACTAACAACTGAGTTACATGCTTGTTTTTAATCCATTTGTGATTAGCAGTTAACCTAAGCAAATAATAACTATTTGTACATCAGAGCTTTTATTAATATGTTAAAAAGCCAAAACCTAAACAACTTGCCTAAGATCATGCTACCAGATACATTTTGTTTAGGCATTTGGTACTTTGCATTTTTGCACACTGATTAATCTCTATTCTTTCTAAAAGACACTGTGTTATTCACTTTTCAGGATTCCATTATCACGCTGAGATAAGAGACAAAGCTAACATGATGGACATGAGGTTATGGTCTTACGTCATGTCGCTATTCTACATAGTACCTCCCTTCCAGTGGAGCTTCCAAATCCTCATTATAACAAAGTGAGGTAAAATGGAGTCAAAATGGTCTTTCACTCATCTTACAAATATCTGTTGATCTCCAAATACGTGTACGTACTATACTTCAGTATTTCTCACACTGAAAATTTTGGTTTTACCCTATAAAAAGTACATGTAACTTTTGAATGAATAAGAATCTACTTTGGAGTTTTTAAGCAACCATATGCATATAAAAAGAATTCATTCATGTAGTGCCTGCCTCTATGCCAGGCACTGTGCTAGGCCCTGATAATACAGGCAAAATACATGTCCCATCCTGTCATGTCTTCTAGGGCTGTTCTATATACTTCTGCCACCCTATGAAAGTCTGATGAAACTAGGAAGGTGGAATAAAGAATTTTGGATCATGAATTTGCGAATGGCATAAACACAGAGAATACAAGAAAATCATTCCCTTACTGAACCAAGGCCTATAGGGTCTCCTCCAAAACATTTATAACCTTCTCACTTTCTACCAAGTCTGGGTCACCTCTCTAGTAACCTGGTGACCAGCTTCCCCCACCTCTCAGCCCCTCCACACAGCAACCAGCATTATCTTTTAAGACACAAACACACCACCACCTGTCCACACTTACACCTCATCTGGTGTCATCCTTTGCCACTTGCCAAACTCCAGCCACATAGGTCTTCTTTAAGTGTCAGTTTCTTGAGTGCCCCATTCTCTTCCATGATTCAGGGGCTTTTGCATATGCTGTTCCCTCCACCTAGAATGTTCTATGCCCACAGTCACTGCCTCCCTAAGACTTGCATCTCCTGCAGGCCTCAGCTGAAATGTCTCCTCTTTGGAGAGAAGTTCCCTGATTCCTCAATTTAAGCTAGACCTTCTATTCATTTTTCTTTCTCCTTGCACTCTTCTGATTTCCTTCATAGCATGAATCCCAATTTGGCATATCTATATTTCATGTCTGTCTTCTGCACTAGACAGTGAGCGCCAGGGACAGGCATCTTTTTTTTTTTTTTTTTTTTGAGATGGAGTTTCGCTATTGTTGCCCAAGCTGGAGTGCAATGACGCGATCTCGACTCACCACAACCTCCGCCTCCCAGGTTCAAGCGATTCTCCTGCCTCAACCTCCGGAGTAGCTGGGATTACAGGCATGCGCCACCACGCATGGCTAATTTTGTATTTTTCGTAGACAGGGTTTCACCATGTTGGTCAGGCTGGTCTCGAGCTCCTGACCTCAGATGATCCACCCGCCTCGGCCTCCCAAAGTGCTGGGACTACAGGCATGGGCCACACTGTGCCCAGCCCGGGAAAGCCATCTTGACTGTTGTTTACCACTGAAATAGCACAGCCACTTATTGATACATATTTGTTTAGTACATATTTGAGTAAATCAATGAATGGCTTAGGGACTTGAGTTCAGGACTTTAAATCTGCCTTATATTTACTGCAAATCTGTTGAGGTTCACTTCCTCAGTCCACCTGTAAAGATTTTTCTGTATCTCTCCTTATACACAGGAGTTGGAAATGCTCCTATCATTTTATGTGCCTCACAAATCTTACCAGCCATAACACTGATTTCTATATTCAAGTAACTGATAAAAACACTGTAGCGAACAAGCCCAAAGAGGAAACCTCATGTCACAGACAGTTGAGACCCTGAATACTTCAACTTTGATCCAGTACTTGACTCCCTTTGGTGTCGCACAGGAACATACGAAGTTTGTCATACGCCCAAATTCTCCACTGTGCCAGCTACCATGCTCAGTTCTAAAGAGTCAATAAATCTAGTCACCTCTCTGGACCTACTACACTGAAACCTTTTATAGCTAGTTCTCAGAGAACTCCACTCAAACTATCAGAAATCACTGCTGCTCCTATTTATATCCATTTAATAAACTGCCTATTCTTCCTTTAACAAACTCACTAAGGCAACTGTTGATAAAAATATAAACAGTGGGAACCATGTATTTCACTTTGTTAGGTTTTTATTTTTATTTATTATTTTTAAAGATGGAGATCTCCTTCTGTCACCCAGGCTAGGGTGCAGTAACGTGATCATAGCTCACTGCAGCCTCAAACCCCTGCACTCAAGCAAGCCTCTCACCTTACCCTGCTGAGTAGCTAAGACTCCAGGTGTGTGCCACCACACCCAGCTAATTTTTATTTTTTTAATAGAGACAGAGTCCTGCTATATGTCCAGGCTCCTGGCCTCAACTGATCCTTTTGCCTTGGCCTCCCAAAGCACAGGGATTTATAGCCATGAGCCACCGTGTCCAGCCTATTTTTATTTTTTATTTTAGGGTATGTCATTTATTTTAGGTCCACTCTAATTCCTTTCAACTCTTATCAGCCAAACAACAGATATTTATTAAGCAGTGATCAGCACAAATTTCTTCAGACTTTTGCTAATTTGTACAGCTAGAGCAGATAATTTTACAGATAATTTTTAAAAATCGCATCCCAAAACTAATGCAAGGTTATCTGATTTCAACATCTTTTTTTTTTTTTTTTTTTTTTTGGAGACAGAGTCTTGCCCTATCGCCAGGCTGGAGTGAAGTGGTGCAATCTCAGCTCACTGCAACCTCCACCTCCCGGGTACAAACAGTTCTCCTGCCTCAGCCTCCTGAGTAGCTGGGATTACAGGCACCCACTACCACACCCGGTTAATTTTTGTATTTTTAGTAGAGACAAGGTTTCACCATGTTGGCCAAGCTGATCTCAAACTCCTGACCTCGTAATCCGCCCGCCTCAGCCTCCCAAAGTGCTGGGATTACAGGCGTGAGCCACCGCGCCCGGCCAATTTCAACATCTTAATTATTGAATTGTTTTAGAATATCATCTTATGAAACTTACACATCAGACTGGTTTTGTTCATACAAAGCTTTCATCTCCTCCAGAACTTGTCTGAGTCCATCCTCCTAGAACATATAAACCGATATTGAAATCCACTGATTTCCCCACCAATTCTGTGGCAATATGCTATCAATACTGAACTGTATCTTTCATTTATATACTTTAGCAAAAAGCAATAGTCCTTTCACACCCCACTAGCATGGTTATAACAAGTGTTGGTGAGATGCGGAGAAACTGGAACCCTCGTACATTGCTGGTGGGAATGTAAAACGGTATAGCCCTGTGGGCAAAAACTTGACAGTTCCTCAAAAGCTACACACAGAATTACCATATGACTCAGTAATTTTACTCCTAGGTGTATATATATACTCAAGAAAACAGAAAACACATGTTTTTTGCAGCATTATTCATAACAATAAAAATGTAGAAACAACCCAAACGTCCATCAAATGATAGATGGATAAACCTTCCACTTATCTGAAAAATCTAATATAATAAAAAGAATGGGTCAAGGGTGGTGGCTCATGCCTGTAATCCCAGCGCTTTGGAAGGCTGAGGCGGGTGGATCACCTGAGGTCAGAAGTTCAAAACCAGCCTGGTCAACATGGTGAAACCCCGTCTCTCCTAAATATACAAAAATTAGCCAGGCGTGGTGACAGGCTGTAATCCCAGCTATTCAGGAGGCTGAGGCAGGGGAAATCGCTTGAACCCGGGTTGCAATGAGCCAAGATCATGCCATTGCACTCCAGCCTGAGCAACAAGAGCGAAACTTCGTCTCAAAGAAAAAAAAAAAAAAAATGAACTACTGACAACATACACAACAATGAGGATAATCTGAAATACGTTATACTGAGCAAGAGATGCCTGACACAAGAGTTTACATGAAATGATTCCCTCTGGCCCTTCACAGGAAAAGTTTGCCAAAAAGAATAATATCATCTGTAGTCAGAGAAAGCAAATTCATGGTTGCCTAAGGCTATAGGTGGGAGGTAGCTACAAAAGGGGGGCAAAGTTACAGAAATCTTTTTTAATTTTTTTATTTTTGTGGGTACACAGTAGGTATGTATATTTATGGGTTATATGAGATATTTTGATAATTACAGAAATCTTGATCAGGGTGCTGGTTATAAAGATGTACATATTAGTCAAAATTCAAAAATCTATTAAAATACACATGTTGTATGTAAATTATACATCAATAAAATTGACGAACAAAGATATCAATCGTCCTACTGAAGCATGAGGTATAAAGAAAAATATGTAAATAATTCATAATTTACTAAAAAATGGTCTTTTTTTTTAGATGGAGTCTCACACTGTCGCCTGGGCTGGAGTGCAATGGTGCAATCTCGGCTCACTGCAACCTCTGCCTCCTGGGTTCAAGCAATTCTCCTGTCTCAGCCTCCCGAGTAGCTGGGATTACAGGCGCCCACCACCACGCCTGGCTAATTTTTTGTATTTTTAGTAGAGACGGGGTTTCACTATATTGGCCAGGCTGGTCTTGAACTCCTGACCTCGGGTGATCCACCCGCCTCAGCCTCCCAAAGTGCTGGGATTACAGGGATGAGCCACTGGGCCCAGCTTAAAAGTGATCTTAAAAGGTTAATACCAAAAGAAAGAAAAAGGAATAGTGTTTTTGGTTTGCACTGCAAAAACCGGCCATAGGAGTTTTTCTAGTATCCAGTTTCGGGCAAATTTTCCCTTGGAAAAATAAAACATTAGAATTCTGATTTTTTTCGTTGTTGTTGAGATGAAGTCTCACTCTGTGGCCCAGGTTGGAGTGCAGTAGTGCGATCTCAGCTCACTGCAACCTCTGCCTCCCAGGTTTAAGTGATTCTCTTGCCTCAGCCTCTCGAGTAGCTGGGACTACAGGTGTGCACCAGCAATGCCCAGCTAATTTTTTTTTTTTTTGAGACGGAGTTTTGTTCTTGTCACCCAGGCTGGAGTACAATGGTGCAATCTTGGCTCACTGCAACCTCCGTCTCCCGGGTCCAAGCAATGATTCTCCTGCCTTAGCCTCTCAAGTAGCTGGGATTACAGGTGCCCATCACGTCCAGCTAATTTTTGTATTTTTAGTAGAGACAGGGTTTCACCATGTTCACCAGGTTGGTCTCGAACTCCTGACCTCAGGCAATCCACCCACCTCAGCCTCCCAAAGTGCTAGGATTACAGGTGTAAGCCACCAAGTCTGGCTAATTTTTGTAATCTTTTTTTTTTTGGTAGAGACAGGGTTTCGCCATGTTGGCCACACTGCTCTCAAACTCCTGACCTCAAGTGATCCGCCTGCCATGGTCTCCCAAAGTGCTGCGAGTACAGGCAGGAGCCACCGTGTCCAGCCCAAAATGATTAAATGTTACCCAATAGGTCTGCCAACAATCGAAAGAGAAGCAATCCCATCTCTTTTTCACTGTCTATTTTTAGGGCCAAAATATATGTGTTGGCAAAAATGCTGTGGCATATACAAATGGCACAATTCCAAAATCAACTACTCAACTCTGCTCAAAAGATGTAATTCCTGATGGAAAATGCAAGCATGACTTCTACCTGAGCCCAAGGTAATTTTCTTACCTTTTCCTTTTTGAGACAGGGATTCAGTCTGTCACCCAGGCTGGAGTGTAATAGCGTGACCACAGTTCACTGCAGTTTCAACTTCCTGGAGCCATGCAATCCTCTCACTTCAGCCTCCTAAGTTGCTGGGACTACAGGTGTGTGCCACCACACCCAGCTAATTCTATTTTTTGTAAAAATGGGGTCTCACTATGTTGCCCAGGCTAGTCTCGAACTCCTGGGCTCAAGTGTTCCTTCCACCTTGACCTCCCAAAGTGGTGGCTGGGATTACAGGCATGAGCCACCATGCTTGGCCTAACTTTCTTAAAAATGTACTTTTTAAAAAAAGTATCAATTCTGCATATAGAAAGGGTGTAATCACTTTTCTGTTTGCTGAACACAGCGCTTAACCATGAGTGATTCCAGAAGAAAAGCCTGTGTGTTGGGCCGGGCACGGTGGCTCACGCCTATAATCCCAGCACTTTGGGAGGCTGAGGTGGGTGGATCGCCTGAGGTCAGGAGTTCGAGACCAGCCCGGCCAAAATAGTGAAACCCCATCTCTACTAAAAATACATAAAATTATCTGGGCATGGTGGCAGGCGCCTGTAATCCCAGCTACTAGGGAAGCTGAGGCAGGAGAATTGCTTAACCCAGAAGGCGGAGGTTGCAGTGAGCCGAGATCACACCATTGCACTCCAGCCTGGGCCACAGGAGCGAAACTCCCATCTCAAAACAATAAAAAAAAGAGAAAAGCCTGTGTGGTCCTTGGGCCTCTCAGATCCACTGTCAGCCTTCCTCTGTGCCGCTGAGTCGGAGGCCAGCCTCTGCAGGCTGACTAAGTGTTCCAGGCTGCTGGATCACCTTGAGTATCAGGTGGGTTTGTCAGTGGAAGGCACTAGTGAGACAAAAGGTGCTCCACCAAATTAAGACCTACAAGACAGTGATTCTACAACTTTTTTTTTTTTTTGAGGCGGAGTCTCTCTCTGTCGCCCAGGCTGTAGTGCAGTGACCCGATCTTGGCTCACTGCAACCTCCGCCTCCCAGATTCAAGCCATTCTCCTGCCTCAGCCTTCCGAGTAGCTGGGACTACAGGCACATCCCACCACGCCTGGCTAATTTTTTGTATTTTTAGTAGATACGGGGTTTCACCATGTTAGCCAGGATGGTCTCAATCTCAGGACCCTGTAATCCGCCCGCCTCAGCCTCCCAAAGTGGGGGGATTACAGGCGTGAGCCACCACTCCTGGCCTGATTCTACAACTTCTAAGACCAGCCCCTAGCCCCACAAAGTGATAACCCAACACTTAACTTAAAATTTGAGTAAAACAGAGAGCTAAACTAAGTGTCAGAGTCAGGTCCAAAATCCAGCTTGGCCGCACCTGTTTGCACAGTCTCTCTGTTCTCTAGGCCTGTGTCCTGATATGTACAATGACCTCTAAAGTTCCTAGTTCTCAGGCCACATTTTAGCATTTACACACTTCTGCATTCAAGCATCTCTACTGAGCTGCAGACTGCTGCCTAACTTTTTAAATGAGGTAACTGCTCTGAAGTTGAAAAAACAATTGACTAGAAACTGGAAAACCTGTGTTCAAGTTGAAGCTCTACCTCCAATATGCTGTAAATTCAGACGAGTTCCTTAACTTGACCCATAATTTGTGTCAGCTCAGTTTCTTCATTTGTAAGACAATCTAATTGTCTGGCTAGGTGCTCTTTAGTGTTCAAAACAAAACTCATTACCTTTCCCAACACACTCTATCTCCTGAACTCTGATGTTGTTTACCCAGTTTCCTAAGGATCCTCCAAGATCCCAATTCCTCCCTCTTATTCATTATGGACCCCATCTCTGCCCCTGCTCTAATAGCTACAAGTCATGTTTGCTTCATGTCTCTAAAACCCAAACACTGATCTCAGTGCCACTGACCTGACACAGTTCAGACCACACACCTCTCACCTGCTCTATCAGCCACCCAGTAGCCATCTCCCTGTCCCATTCTTTCCTCTCTTCAATCCATTCCCCATATTGCTGCCGCAGTTACCTTCAAAACACAAAAATTACCCTATCACTTCCTTGTCTAAAATCCTCTACCAGCTCCCAGCATGCCTTATAAGTGAACAACAAATTCATGTAGGCTGTGAGCCACCTTCCTAGACTCCCCACAGGCCCTATTGGTCACCCTCTCCAGTGTGACCACGTGACTTTGTGCTGCAGCATCCTTTGGCTGGGATGCCTCGCTTCCTTCTCAGATCAGTAACCTCATCCTTGAGGATGGAAAGGCTCATATATCACCTCTTCTACCCCAGCTCATACTGGTGTTTCTCCTTCGTGCTCCTTGCTATACCTCCTTAGTATCACTTAGCGTGGTGAATTCTATTATCTGTTTTTGTGCCCATCTTCCAGCAGAATGTGTCCTGACATCCACATAATGCCTGCTCTATGACGTAAGTGAAATATACAATTTAGAGTGCAGGCTCTGGAGCCAGAGTGCCAGGGTTCAAATCCTAGCTTTCTTGCTGTGTCACCTTAGGCAATATACTTAAATCTCCCCAATCCTATGCATATATAGCTGAAAAAAGTAGAAAACAATAGTTTAAACATCAAAAAGTTATTTTTGTTTTGTTTGGGACAGGGTCTCCCTGTCACTCAGGCTGGAATGCAGTGGCAGGATCAAGCGATCCTCCCGCCTCAGCCTCCCAAAGTGCTGGGATTACAGGCAGGAGCCATGGTACCGGGCCCTCAAAGGGTTATTAGAAAGACAAAAGATAATGTACATGAAGTGCTTAGCACTCTCCCTGGGGTAGCAGTGATAGAAAAATACAAATAATCATAATATTAATAGTAACAGCAGCAGCAGGAGAAAAGTAATATTAATAGCTAACACTGACTCAGCCCTTACTGTATGTGAGGCATATGCAGAGACCCTTACACATGCCACTCATTTTGCGTCCACTACATCATGCGTTGGGTACTATTATTGTCACCATCCCCATTTTTGCGTATGAGAAAACTGAGAGCACAGAAAGCTTGAGTAACTGCCCCAAAGTCACACTACAGAACCAGAATCTCAGCCAGGTTCCAGAGGCCTAGCTTTTACTGACCACGATTAGATGCCTGAGTGAGCAAGAAATGCTAAATTATCAGGCAACCTGTAAATATTTTAAGGGACCGGAACAAATCTGTCCAAGGAAAACTGCTAAAATGCAAAATTTGCTCAGATGAGGAAATTCACCAAATCGCTGGGTAGCGTAAGCATGAATGCTTTCTCTTTCCTCCTGAATTTTGTTTTGCTGCTTCCCAAGTTTTCCGGAGCTCGGAGGGAACAAGGTGCGAAAGTGAACCCTGACGGGGAGCCGCCCCGCCCCAGAGCCCAGGGCCCAACGCCGGCATGCCCCGTCCAAGTCTACCCGCCCCTCACGTTGAAGGCAGGCAGTTGCCCTTCGGGCGCGCGATGCAGCTCGCGGATCAGTTCCATGGCTTTTTCGCAGAACATGGCGGACGCTTCCCACTCCCGCGGCCTTGCCAACCACCAGCTCTCACGCCAAAATGGTATCTGGGCTCTCGGCGCCTCACTCCTTTCGTTCTAGTCCTACAGCGCCAGGCTCTCGCCTCGGCCTCCGCTCCGCGCTTTGGCGCCGAACAAAGCTAGCCAATAGGAACGCGCCTACGGCGCCCGAAAAGGGACATCCACCGCTCAGCCGCATTCCAAGAGGGGCGGAGTGGGAGGGGTCTTTCCAAGGTGAGGTCCCCGCCCCGGAGATGGCAGAACCCCTCGGCTGAGCAGAGACGGCTTTTCCAGTTCTCAGGCAGTGGGCCGGGGGACTCTACGGGCAGCAGAGCTGGAAATAAATGCACGCCCCGCAGCTTCCTTGTCATTTTCCTTTTGATTCATTCATTCTCGTTTAGGTTCAAGAAAAGAGCACTTTGAGGTTAAGAGGAAAGGCCCAAAAACTTGGTGTGCATTGGTAGGACGCAAGGGTTTCAGTTTTGCAGTGCGGGTTTTCTGTTTGATATTAAAATGAAACTCTCTTTTATTGGGTACCTAGTGCTGGTAGGGACTGCAGTGTGTATTTCATTCCCACAATTATCTCTGAAGTGTTTTAAGACCCGGGATTAATAAGGAAACAGAAGTTAGGTAACTTGCCCAAGGTCACACAGCTCCAGAGTGATTAGACTGTTATTTAGGCTTTCCATTTCCAACACCACAGTACCACCCTTTGATTTTAAAATAGTCTTTTAAAAATATTTGTAATATCTGCCCTAGATTAATACGAATTCACTAGGAATTTTCTTGGCTAGATGGTTATGGAATATTTCTTAAGCATATGGAAGATGGGAATCACTGCTAAAGAATTGTTTTATTAGGCAATTTTTCAAAAAGCAATGTTAATTTCTAACAAGCAATCTTGGATTTTTTTTTTTTTGAGATGGAGTCTCGCTCTGTCGCCCAGGCTGGAGTGCAGTGGCGCGAACTCGGCTCACTGTAAGCTCCGCCTCCCGGGTTCACGCCATTCTCCTGCCTCAGCCTCCCGAGTAGCTGGGACTACAGGCGCCCGCCACCACGCCCAGCTAATTTTTTGAATTTTTTAAGTATAGACGGGGTTTCACCGTGTTAGCCAGGACGGTCTCAATTTCCTGACCTCGTGATCCGCCCACCTCGGCCTCCCAAAGTGCTGGGATTACAGGCATGAGCCACCGCAACCGGCGCAATCTTGGATTAATTCTAGCTAACCCTAGAAACTATGTTGATCTTTTGCAAATATACAGTAGATATGTCATCTAAGGAATGGGCATGGGAATGGCCTACTCAGGCTTATGTTGAATAATGACATTGCCTTTTTTTTTTGGAGACAGGGTCTTAACTCCCGTTACCCAGGTGGAGTGCAGTGGCGCCATCTCAGCTCACTGCAGCCTCCACTTCCCGGGCTGAGGTAATTTTCCCCCCTCAGCCCTCTGAGTAGCTGGGACTACAGGCTCAGGCCACCACACCTGGCTATTTTGTATTTTAAGTAGAGACAGGGTTTCACCATGTTGGCCAGTCTGGTCGACAACTCTTGAGCTCAAGGGATCCGTCCGCCTGGGCCTCCCAAAGTGCTGGAATTACAGCGTGAGCCACCGCACCCAGCAAACATTGCCTTTTTGAAACCGCCTTTGAAAAAATTATAATAGAGAAAATTATTACAGTGAAAGAGATCTGACCTAACTGGCTCCATCTTGCTTCTAACCGCCAAGCCATCCTTGTTCATTCCTGGGCTTAGGGCGAATTAACTTGGGGAGAAACTTAGTTTATAGTTTAATTTTGAAACAAATACTTAGCCCTTTACCAAAGCGAAACCCTTTTTGTCTGGGGACTAGATTGCCTTTGCAGGAGTAACAGAGTAGCCACAAGACTAGAAATTTACGAGTCTCGCAGCGGGAGGCTACAAGATTCTAAAACCTCCCCAAGTGCTCCTAGGGATAGCAGCACTATTATAAAACCTAAGACCAGTGCTTGAGATATTTTGTAGACCCTGCACTTGATGGGATCAGCTGGCACCACCCAGATCGATAAACTGGCTCATCTGGTCTTGTGGTCCCCACCCAAGAACTGACTCAGCCCAAGAGGACAGCTTTGACTCTCTATGATTTTATCTCTCATCCAACCAATCAGCACCCCTCACTTTGTGACCCCCTACCCACTAAATTATCCTTTAAAATCCCTATCTTGGAGTTTTCTAGGAGACTGATTTGAGCGATAATAAAACTCCAGTCTCCTGTACAGCTGGGTCTGCGTGAATTAAACTCTTTCTCAGCCAGGCCCAGTGGCTCACGCCTGTAATCCCAGCACACTGGGAGACTGAGGCGGGTGGATCACCTGAGGTCAGGAGTTCGAGACCAGTCTGGCCAACATGGTGAAACCCCATCTATACTAAAAATGCAAAAATTAGCCTGTCCGGGCATGGTGGCTCACACCTGTAATCCCAGCACTTTGGGAGGCCAAGGTGGATGACCTGAGGTCAGAAGTTCAAAACCAGCCTGGCCAACACAGCGAAACCCCATCTCTACTAAAAATACAAAAAAATTAGCTGAACATGGTGGCACACGCCTGTAATCCCAGCTACTCAGGAGGCTGAGGAAGGAGAATTGCTTGAACCCAGGAGGTGGAGGTTGCAGTGGGCCGAGATCTCACCACTGCACTCCAGCCTGGGTGACAGAGTGAGACTCTGTCTCAAAAAAAAAAAAAAAAAAATTAGCTGGGCCTGGTGGCACATGCCTGTAATCCCAGCTACTTGGGAGGCTGAGGCAGGAGAATCACTTGAACACTGGAGGCGGAGGTTGCAATGAGCTGAGATTGTGCCATTGAGCTCCAGCCTGAGCGACAGAGCAAGACTCTGTCTCAAAAAACAAACAAACAAACAAACAAACAAAAAACCAAAAAACTCTTTCTCTATTGCAACTCCCCTGTCTTGATAAATCAGCTCTGTCTGGGCAGTGGACAAGGAGAATCCCTTGGGCAATTATATTTTCATCTCTACAGTAAGGAATAGTTTATCTAGGTGTTTTTCCCAAATACACAACTCTAGACTGGACTATGCTGCAGGACTGAATCAAAGACCAGCATGCACTACCCTCCTCAGCCATAGGCCTTTTTAATTTCAGCCCAGAGGCAAAGTTCATTAATGACCCCAAGACTCACTTCCTTAACAGTAGAATGAGAACAGTGGAACCACCTCTAAGGAGTTAAGATGATTCAGTCATACCTTCTGCAAATATTTATGAAATGCCTAGTGTTGAAGTTAAAACCAAACTCTAAAATATTTAAAGAGATTTATTCTGAGCCAATGAGTGACCATGGCCCAGGAACAGCCTCAAGAGGTCCTGAGAAAGCGTGCCTGAGGCAGTGCAGTTACAGGTTACAGGTTGGTTTTATGTATTTTAGGGAGACAGGAATTATAGGTAAAATCATAAATCAACACATGGAAGGTGTACTTTTGTTCAGCCTAAAAAGGTGGGATATCTTGAAGCAGGGAGCTTACAGATTTTCTGATTAGCAATTGGTTGAGTCAAGTTTTGTCTAAAGACTGTCAATAGAAGGAAATTATTGAGTTAAGGGGGAGGTTGTGGAGACCAAGTTTCTTGTTATGTGGATGAAGCCTCATAGGCAGCAGCCTTCTGAAAGAATTGATGGTAAATGTCTCTTTTTGGATCTTAAAAGGTGTGTTAAACTCTTGTTTAACCTCTCCTAGATTCAGGAAAGACCTGGCTGCATTAACGGAGATTCTTAACAGATGCAAATTCCCCACACAAAAGATGGCTTTCCAGGGCCATTTCAAAATATTTCAAAGAAATATATTTTGGGGTAAAACATCTTGATTTCCTTCAGAGTCTGCTATCTGTCATGTGATGCTACATCAGTCAGGTTGGAGTTTGGACCTTATTGCCACAAAGAGTGTGTTTGTGAGTCTTAGGATCTTTATTTTAATGTTAATGCTGGCCAGTTGCACCTATACTCCAAAAGGGAGGGGGTACAACAAGGTGCATCCCATCTTGCTTCTTGTCATAGCCGATAATTCCATTTTTGTTTTTTTTCAGGTTTCCCTGGGGTCCCCTTGGCCCAGAAGGGGTCCATCCAGTCAGCAGGGGATGGAGGGTTTGGGATTTTATTTTTGGTTTACACTAGTATTAGCCTGGCATTGACCTAGATACTGAAAATAAAGCAGTAAACAAAGTCCTTTCTACAGAGTCTACATTCCAGTGTGGGAAAACGCAATACACAGATACACTGATAAGAAATATATTGGTGAAAAAGCACTAAGAATAACCCAAAGAAGATGAATAGAGTGAAGGTGAAAGAGTCAGGGTTTTGAGTTCAAGTGTTCAGAGAAGGCACAGACCTGAACAGGGAGAAAATAACCCAAGTGGTTATGGGCCTTAGGGAAGGCAGGAAATTCCAGGCAGAGGAATCAAGCTGCAAAGGCCCCAGGAAGGTCGGCTGAGGATGAGCAAAGAGGCAGTGATGCTGGAGCAGGTTGATGATAGGAGAGGCCAGCAGTCAGGTCAGATGTTGGGAGCTGAAAAGGCCAAAGGGATTGTGACCAACTCAGCATTCCACTGGAGGCTATATTATCAAACAGCAAACTGTTTATCAAGAATGCAGGATGTGAGCAAACTCACACTGTGCCTGCCACCAAAAGGTTGGCTGAGGGCCGCGCTCCCTGGTGCCGGGCTCCTTGAAGTTATCTACGGAGAAATCTAGTGCCTATTGTTCAAAGGATGCAGTCTCGCAAGCCTGCTGTGAACCAAACAGCTGACTGACAATTACCCGACAATCACCCCCCCCATTTATCACTATCTGTTTTGCCTAATAAATATGGAGGGCTGTGTAAAGCTCAGGGCCCTTGTCCACTAGAGGCAAGGTGCCCCTTGACCCCTTCTTTCAAATATACTCTTTTGTCTCTTGTCTTTTATTCTCACATTCACCGCCCCCTTTGTTCAGTCCCCCTAGGTTCATGCAGGTTACAGGTGGCACCCCCGATCAGCGACAGAATCAGGTACTCTACAAAGTGGCGCCCAAACAGGGACTTCAAGGACATGAAGAAGAAGGTCTGCTGGAGCAGAGGAACTGAAATTGACAAGGTGAACGGGGATCCCAGGGTGAGTCTGCCGGTAGCGGATATAAGGTTAGTGCCCTAAAGAGGTACTGGGAGCAGTGCTTTAAAGAAGTACTGGGAATGGGAAGTTTTCTGAATTCAGGGTAACAAGGGGCAGAATTTGTCTATTAAAGAAAAACATTATGTGCAGTTGCTTAAAGTTCGGTTGAGACAGTCTGGAGCTCAGGTTAATTCGCAGGCACTAACTAACCTCCTGCAGAAGCCACAAAAGGTATTACACATAACCCATGGTTTCTACAGGTAGGCACTCTTTTTTTTTTTTTTTTTTTTTGAGACAGAATCTTGCTTTGTTGCCAGGCTGGAGTGCAGTGGCGTGATCTCGGCTCACTGCAATCTCTGCTGCCTGGGTTCAAGTGATTCCACTGCCTCGGCCTCCCAGTAGCTGGGACTACAGGCGTGCACCACCACACCTGGCTAATTTTTTGTATTTTAGTAGAGATGGGGTTTCACCATGTTGGCCAGGATGGTCTCGATCTCCTGACCTCATGATCTGCCTGCCTCGGCCTCCCAAAGTGCTGGGATTACAGGCATGAGCCACCGCGCCCAGCCACCAGGCAGGCACTCTTGATGTGGAAAATTGGGCTAAAGCAGGAGAAGGATTAAAACAGACTCATCAAAAAGGTCCTAAAGTTGATTCTTCTGTTTTTTCCACTTGGAGTTTAATTCGTACTGTACTTCTGCCATTATCTCCTTATTATTCTGTGGGGGAGCAGGCTGAATCTAAAAATCTGAAAGAATCTGTTGTCCCACCCACAGCGCCAATTGAAAATAAAAAACGGAGGAGGATAAAAATTGGCCTATACTGCCTCCTCCAGTTGCAGAAACATCTGTACTGCCTCCTTCAGTAGCAGAAATAGAGACCCCAATACAAAGATTTTTACACTCTGCTGCCATAGCTGGAGAGCCCTTAGAACCCTGTGCTTTTCCTATTTTTGTAAGGTCTGATCCAAATAATCCACAGCAGGTTATTCATGAACACACTCCACTAGAGTTTAAGTTGTTAAAGGAATTAAAAGCAAGTGTGGTAAATGATGGCATACAGAGCCCATTTACCTTAGGATTGCTAGAATCCGTGTTTGGTGCTATGAGTCTTTTACCCTTTGATGTAAAACACTTGGTGCGAGCTTGCTTGTCCACTAGCACATATCTGACATGGAATTTAAATTAGCAAGAAATGTGTGCAGACCAGGCTAGACAGAATCATGTTGCTGGACATGGAGACATTACAGAGGATATGCTATTAAGTAATGGCCCTTATTCAGACCTGGAACATCAAATGGCACTCCCAGACGCTGCTTATCAGCAGTGAACACAGGCCGCTAAAGGTGCCTGGGCCACAATTCCTGAAGACGGAGTCCCAGTACAATCCTTTTTACATATCATGCAAGGGTTGCAAGAGCCCTATGAACATTTTCTTTTTTCTTTTTTTCTTTTTCTTTTTTTTTTTTTTGAGACAGAGTCTTGCTCTGTTGCCCAGGCTGGAGTGCAGTGGCGCAATCTCGGCTCACTGCAAGCTCCACCTCCCGGGTTCACGCCATTCTCCTGCCTCAGCCTCCGGAGTAGCTGGGACTACAGGCACCCACCACCACAATTGGCTAATTTTTTGTATTTTTAGTAGAGATGGAGTTTCACCGTGTTAGCCAGGATGGTCTCGATCTCCTGACCTCGTGATCTGACCGTCTCGGCCTCCCAAAGTGCTGGGATTACAGGCGTGAGCCACTGCACCTGGCCACCCTATGCACATTTTCTTGCAAGACTGCGAGAAGCAGTGAAGCGCCAAATTCCTCATACCGCAGCTGCAGAAATGCTAATCTTAACTCTAGCTTTTGAGAACGCAAACACGGATTATAAACATGCACTGGCACCGGTGAGGTGTACAAAAAACTTGGGAAATTTTCTCAGAGCTTGTCAGGACGTGGGAACTGAGCTTCATCACTCTGAAATGTTAGCGCAAGCAATGGCTAATTTAGCAGTTGACAAATCTAAAAGGAGCCAAGGGTCAAACCCTAAAATGGGAAAATGTTATGATTGTGGAAAAACTGGACATTTTAAAAAGGAATGCCGCCAGATCTCAGGACAGAAAGGACCTTACAATACAGTGCCCCACCGAGCGGAAAAAACGCCAGGACTTTGTCCTTGCTGTAACAAAGGAAATCACTGGGCTAATCAGTGTCGCTCAAAATTTCATCAGAATGGGACCCCCATGCCAGGAAACGAGACGGGGCCTGGACCCGGGCCCCACAAACAATGAGGGCATTCCCAGCCCAGACTTCAACCCCGTTTCAGGGATGAGTTCCCAGAGGCACTTGATTCCCTCACCCCAGGAACACCACAAAGTGCAGGATTAGATCTACCCGCCAGAGAAAGAATCACGTTAGTAGGGGGAGACAGACCTATCAAAGTTCCCACTGGTATTTGGGGACCTTTACCAACAGGATACATGGGACTAATTTTAGGCAAAAGCCATCTTAACTTGCAAGGCATCACTGTAGTCCCAGGAGGGATTGACTCTGATTATGAAGGAGAAATTCAAGTAGTTTTAATGTCACAAGATCTTTGGGTTTTTGAACCGGGAGAATATATTGCTAATTATTGCTTATTCCCTGCAAATTACACCCTTCTCCACGAAAGGAGAAACAAGGAAATAAAGGGTTTGGGAGCACAACTACATGGGAAATCTATGTATCCCAACCCATAGCCTCTAACAGACCTGCTTGTGTAGTACAAATTAAAGGAAAAAAATTTTATGGGCTTATGGATACAGGAGCTGATGTATCACTAATCTCTAAAGACAACTGGCCCCCATCCTGGCCCTTGCAATTAACTTCTATGTCCCTAGTGGGAGTAGGCACAGCTCAAAGTGTTCAACAGAGCCCTGAGATTTTGTCTTGTCTTGGTCCAGATGGACAGTCATGTACTTTTCAGCCTTATGTTGCAAATATAGCTATCAATTTATGGGGTCAAGACTTACTTACAGCATGGGATATGAGACTTACAAATGAAAACTTCGATAACCCAGGATTTAAAATGTTGAAGAACACGGGATATCAGAGGGGAAAAGGTTTAGGAAAATTTCAAGGAAATCCTAACCCGATATCAGTAACTGGAAAAACAGAAAAGGGCTAGGACATCAGGATTTCTGATGGGGGTCATTGATATTTCTCCTCCACCCACTACCTTACCATTAGAATGGCTCAGTGACAAACCCATATGGGTAGATCAATGGTCCCTATCTCAGGAGAAGCTGACACAACTTCAGCAGCTAGTGAAAGAACAATGGGATGCCGGACTCAGAGAGGAGTCAGCCCCTGGAATTCTCCAGTGTTTGTTATTACAAAAAAGTCCAGAAGATGGCGACTGCTACATGATTTAAGAGCTATTAATGCACATATAAAACTGATGGGTGCCTTACAAAAAGGTTTACCATCTCCAGTGGCTATTCCAAGAGACAGGCCTCTTGCAGCAATAGATCTTAAGGATTGTTTCTTTACTATGCCCTTACACGGCAAGGACGAGCCTCGGTTTACCTTCTCTGTGCCTTCTATTAATCAAAGAGAATCTGTTTCTCATTATCAATGGAGAGTTTTACCCCAAGGCATGCTTAACAGTCCTATGCTATGTCAGCCTTTCGTAGGGCAGGCATTAGAGCCTCGGAATACGTTTCCTACTGCTTACATCATTCATTTTATGGATGATATTCTTTTGGCTGCTCCTACAGATCAAATCCTACAACAGTTATTCAGAGAAACAAAGAAGGCTTTGACTAAATGGAGTCTCCAAATAGCTCCAGAAATGGTACAAACAACTTCCCCATTCCAATACTTAGGAACTATTGTTAGAGAGAAGTTTACGGCCTCAGGAAGTAGTTCTCCATAAAGACAGGTTACAAACTTTAAAGGATGTTCAGCAATTATTAGGAGATATTAATTGGCTATGGCCAATGTTAGGTATTGTTACCTATCAACTTACACATCTTTACCAAACCCTGCAAGGAGATTCTTCTTTAAATTCCCTGCAGCAATTAACTAAAGAGGCAGAAGCTGAATTATGGCTTGTAGAGCAAAGGTTACAGCAGAGACATGCCTCAAGGCTACAGCTGCAAAAACCCTTGCTTTTGTTTATTCTTCCTACCCCCCCACTCTCCAACAGGACTTTTGGGACAGTTCATAGACAAGTCTGTAACAATAGAATGGCTCTTTTTACCTAATCAAACAGTCAAAACCTTGCAAGTTTATTTTTCTTTAATTACACAAATTGTGACTATGGGCAGGCATAGGTCAAAAATGCTTATGGGATATGACCCCGACAAAATTATTGTTCCTTTAGACTCCCAGCAACAAGCCAAAGCTTGGGAAATGTTGACTGCCTGGCAAACTGCTTTTGCAGACTTCGTGGGTGCTATAGATAACCACTACCTCTCAGACAAAATTTTACAGTTTTATAAAATCCATTCTTTCATTCTTCCTGTGATTACTCATCACAAGCCTATTCTAGGTGGACAGACTTATTTTAGTGATGGCTCTTCCAAAGGTTGTGCTGCTATCTATGGACCAAAACATACTCAAACAATAATGACCTCTGGGGTTTCAGCTCAACACTCAGAGCTAATTGCAGTCATTCAGGTTTTACAGCTCACAGCTCAGATCCCATCAACATTGTCTGTGATTCAGCTTATGTTGTAAATGTAGCCAGTTGCATAGGAACTGCTACAATTAAAAGTACACTAGACCCAGAACTGCTTCGCTTCTCTTCCCTTCCCTTCCCTTCCTTTCCCCTCCCCCCTCCCCCTTTCCCTCTCCCTTCCCCTCCCCCTTCCCCCTTCCCCTTTCCCTTCCCTTTTCACTTTTTTTTTCTTTCATTTTTGAGACAGAATCTCGCTCTGTTGCCCAGGCTGGAGTGCAGTGGCATGATCTTGGCTCACTGCAACCTCCGCCTTCTGGGTTCAAGCAATTCTCCTGCCTCAGCCTCCACCACCACGCCTGGCTAATTTTTTTGTATTTTTAGTAGAGACGGGTTTCACCATATTGGCCAGGCTGGTCTCCAACTCCTGACCTTGTGATCCTCCCACCTCGACCTCCCAAAATGCTGGGATTAGAGGCGTGAACCACCACGCCCAGCCGGCTTAATTTATTTGTAAGACTTCAACAAGCTATTCGCTCTCCTGAAGCTCTTTTTCATATTTCTCATATTCACTTTCACACACAACTTCCTGGGCCACTATCTCTAGGTAATGAGAAAGCAGACAAGCTGATTGGTTCTGTGTTTCAGCAAGCTCAAGTGTCTCACATGCTTCTGCACCAAAATACTGCCGCCCTTACTCGCATGTTACCTTTATCTCGCAGCCAAACTAGGGCTATAATACAAGCCCGTCCTACTTGCCAGCATGTCCCTAGAGCCACACCTGTAGAAGGCTGTAACCCACGAGGTTTGGCTCCAAATGATATTTCGCCAATGGATATTACACACATAGCAACCTTTGGTAAGCTTAGCTATGTTCATGTAACTATAGACACTTATTCTCATATGCTGCATGCTACATGCCAAACATGTGAGACAGCTGGTCATGTACAGTGACATTGTCATCATTTGCTCACATGGGGATACCTAAGCTATTAAAAACTGACAATGAACCCACTTATACTAGTCATGCTTTTCAAAATTTCTTATAGCTTTGGGCTATAATCCATAAAACGGGAATTCCTTATAATCCTAGAGGACAAGGCATTGTAGAGCGGGCACATCGAACATTACAATGCATGTTGAAAATACAAAAAGGGGGTATAGGAGGCCAACTACCACCTCAATCAAAACTACATTTAGCCTTATTTAAATTTTTTGACTCCTGGTACGGATGGTAAGACTCCAGCAGAAAGACATTGGCAAGTGTTAGAGGAAAAGAGGAAAGTTTATCTGAAAGTGTTATGGAAACCCCTGGAAGAAGGAAAATGGAAAGGTCCGGTGGATTTACTGACATGGAGAAGAGGGTATACTTGTGTTTTTACAGGAGATGGACAAACTGTGTGGGTGTCCTCAAGGTGCACGCGACCATGGAATAGGAGACTGGAGGAACCCAGGGTGGCCAACCATGGGCCCGGCCCCTCCGATACGAGCCATGAGCCAGCTGAGCCTGACTCCAAAGATGGAGAGAAGGCCAAGCAGAGTGATGATGACATCAATCCCCACAACCTGGGGAGAACTCAAGAAAACCACGTGGGAAGCTGAGAAACTACTGGAGCATCAGTGACAGGCAAAAACCCCTGATTCCATGTTCTTGGCCATGTTAGCCATAGTGTCCCATGTGGTATGTTTTCGCTGTGCAGAGGCAAAAACATTGGGCATACGTTCTCAATCTCCCAGCAGTACGACCTATACTTTGGAGCGACACTCCTCCTGAGATTTATCATGATCAGGGAGAGTAGGCTCCAGGACCCCTAACTCCCCCTGACATAGAACAGTTAGACTCTCAGAATAATGTCATTAATTATACTGCTCCACTGGAAGGACTTCCTTTGTGAATCAACACAAAGATGTCGCTCAGCCATAGCTGTCTTACAATTCAAGCTCAAACATGGTTGAATCATTATGGAAAAATTATGTACTTATTAAGTCTTGGTTCTATTAACCAACCTTTCCCGGCCCAATCGCCCTAATTGTGCTGATTATATGGAATGGATTCCATTCAGTAGTTCCTACCCCCCTCCGTGGACCCAGTGTCTTGGTCCACTGGCTAGAAAACAATCTATGTTAACTGGAGACATTGTGGATTGGGAACCTAAAGGTCAATTAGATCGAAAAGATGAAAATCAGAAATCATGGCACAAACTTCATTGGCATTGGTGGCAAGCTTTTAATGCTTCTTCTTTATACAGTACTGGGATCCAATCCCAGTCTGCCACCCAGATTGCTTGGCATGGAGCAGGCTTTAGCCCACCTCTTCCTCAGTGGCATTATCTAGGGAGGAAAGGACCAATTCAAGAGACTATATGGAAGGCAGCACTCCCATGTATGAATGGCAACATCTGGACTGGAATACTATCCAATAATAGCAATAGTAAGCAACACAATCTTAATGTTGCATTTGTAAAGAATATCACCACTCAATTTACAGTTTTTGTTTTTAATTCTTATGTCTTTTTGGCAGCTAAGAAGAACCAGCTCCAGGTAAACAATACCCAATTGACCTGTAAATCTTGCCAGTTTTATCACTGCATTAATCACAGCACATTGCAAACACATAGTATTTCTACCTTGATGATTCTGGGTCACATCCCTGGGCTATGGATTCCTGTTAATCTGTCTGAACCTTGGGCTGCCATGCCTGCTTTGCATTTTGTGAAACTTCTTCTAACTCAGCTTACGCATCGTGTCTGTAGAGACTTAGGCATAATTTTTGCTATTGTTTCCTTAGTCACACTAATAACTTCTGTTGTGATGTCCTCTGTAGCTTTGCATAATTCTATTCAAACAGCTCAGTACCTGGAGAACTGGACGCGCACAGCTGACCAACCGTGGCTACTTCAGAATAAAATTAACACTGAGTTACAAACTGAAGTGGCAATGTTAAAATCCACGGTCCTTTGGTTAGGAGAAAAAGTACAGAGCTTGCAGTTGCAGCATCAGTTGCATTGTCATTTTAACCACACTCATATTTGTGTAAACAACTAAGAATATAACCAAAGTGACTATCCATGGGACCTTGTGAAAGCCCATTTACAGGGAGCGTTCACATCCAACATCACCTTTGATATTGGTGAATTACAAAACAAAATTCTTGTTTTAAATAAGCAAACTCAAAAATTTCAACCTGCTTTAGAAGACTGGACCAAATTCCAGCAACGCCTGGCAAGCCTCAACCCTTGGACCTATCTAAAGCACCACATTAACAATTTATATGTAGTTCTTGGAATAATGTTGTTTTGTCTCTGTCTTCTGCTCATAGTCTGTAAAATCGGACGGACTGCCAATCAGAGAATGAGAGATGCCCAGCCTGGCCTTACATTCTTTCAATTAATACATAAACACAAAGGGAGAGATGTTGGGAGCCAAAAAGGCCAAAGGGATCATGATCAACTCAGCATTCCACTGGAGGCTATATGATCAAATAGCAAACTGTTTATCACTATCACGAATGCAGGATGTGAGCAAACTCACACTGCGCCTGCCACCAAAAGGTTGGCTGAGGGCCTCACTCCCTGGCACGGGGCTCCTTGAAGTTATCTACTGAGAAATCTAGTGTCTATTGTTCAAACGATGCAGTCTGGCAAGCCTGCTGTGAACCAACCAGCCGACTGACAATTACCCCACAATCACCCCCCATTTATCCCTATCTGTTTTGCCTAATAAATATGGAGGGCTGTGTAAAGCTCAGGGCCCTTGTCCACTAGAGGCAAGGTGCCCCCTGACCCCTTCTTCCAAACATACTCTTGTCTCTTGTCTTTTATTCTCACGTTCACCACCCTTTGTTGTTACCCTAAGTCCATGCAGGTTGCAAGTGGCACCCCTGATCAACGACAGAATCGGGTGCTCTACAGTCAGGGAGGGCCATGTTAAACCCTTTTGTAAGCCTTGGGTTTTGAGTGAGATGGGGAGCCACTTAGGTGTTGTGAGCAAATAAATGACAGAATTAGACCTTGTAACAACAAGAAAACCCTATGTGGCAGCTGAATTAAGTGGACAGAAGTGAGGCAAAGTGGAGGCAGGAGACCAGTTAGGCTATTCAAATAATGGAGGTGAGAGATAACAGCAGTTTGGCCCAGGGTGGGGACCATGGAGGCGGTAAAATTTAATGGTTAAATTCTCATAGATTTTGAAAGCACAGCTGACAAGGCTTGGTGATAGACATGCTATAGCACAAGAAAGGAGAAGTCAAGGATGACCCCAGAATTGTGGCCCCAGGAACTGCAATAGAATTACCAGAGAAGGTCATGGATGGAGTTGGGGGTGGGAGAAGAGTTGGGAGCTCAGCATTGAAGTGGTGCTTGTCAGAAATCAGAGCAGAAATGATGAGGAGCCTAAGGGTCAAGGAGAGGTGTGGACCAATGATAAAAATGTGGGCATCACTAGCATGGGCTCAACCACCAAGAGTTGAGCACTGTGTGGGCAGGGCCTCGTGCCTGTAAGAAAGATTCAATACACGGTACAGATTTTTCCTCTCCAGCTCTTCCTTCCTTGTTTTTTTTTTTTTTTTTTTTTGGTTTGTTTGTTTGGTTTTTTTGAGTCGGAGTCTCACTCTGTCGCCCAGGATGGAGTGCAGTGGTGCGATCTCCGCTCACTGCAAGCTCCGCCTCCCGGGTTCACGCCATTCTCCTGCTTCAGCCTCCCAAGTAGCTGGGACTACAGGCGCCCGCCACCATGCCCGGCTAATTTTTTATATTGTTATTAGAGAGACGGGGTGTGAAACCGTGTTAGCCAGGATGGTCATGATCTCCTGACCTTGTGATCCGCCCGCCTCGGCCTCCCAATGTGCTGGGATTACAGGCATGAGCCACCGCGCCTGGCTGTTTTTTTTTTGTTGTTGTTGTTTTTTTAATTGAAGTGAGCGATAGAGTCAAAACCTCTTTTTTTTTTTTTACGTTTTAGTTATTTCCTAGATTTCCAATCTCTCCAGGATGTGTTACTACATCACTATAAAGAATTTATAATTTACATTCCATAGTATGTTTGTTTGTTTATTTTGAGATGGAGTCCTGCTCTGTCACCCAGGCTAGAGTGCAGTGGTGCAATCTCGGCTCACTGCAACCTCCGAATCCCAGCATCCCGGGTTCAAGCAATTCTCCTGCCTCAGCCTCCCAAGTAGATGGGATTACAGGCGTGCGCCACCACACCCAGCTAATTTTTTTGTTTGTTTGTTTTTGAGAGGAGTCTCCCTCTGTCGCCAGGCTGGAGTGCAGTGGCACAATTTCGGCTCACCACAACCTCCGACTCCCTGGTTCAAGCGATTCTCCTGCCTCAGCTTCCCAAGTAGCTGGGAATACAGGCACGCGCCACCATGCCCAGCTAATTTTTTTTTTTTTTTTTGAGACAGAAGTTTGCTTTTGTCCCCAAGACTGGGGTGCAATGGTGTGATCTCAGCTCACTGCAACCTCCGCCTCCCAAGTTCAAGCGATTCTCCTGCCTCAGCCTCCCAATTAGCTGGGATTATAGGGTTGTGCCACCATACCTGGCTAATTTTTGTGTTTTTAGTAGAGACGGGGTTTCACTACATTGGCCAGGATAGCCTCAATCTCCTGACCTCGTGATCCGCCCGCCTCGGCCTCCCAAAGTGCTGGGCTCACAGGCGTGAGACACCTCGCCCAGCCTTTTTTTTTTTTTTTTTTTTAAACAGAGTCTTGCTCTGTCACCCAGGCTTGTGCCACCACACCCGGCTAATTTTTGTATTTTTAGTAGAGACGGAGTTTCACCATGCTGGCCAGGCTGATCTGGCCTCCATCTCCTGTGCTTAAATGATCCACCCACCTCCGCCTCCCAAAGTGCTGAGATTACAGGCATGAGCCACTGAGCTCGGCCCATAATGTTTTTAAAAAGTATATCTGGAGATATTGACACAATTATGAATGCAGGCTGTAACACTTAGTAATATGGTCAATAAATTATTTTGCAATTTCAAAGTATCATTACAAAACTAATTTAAAAAGCAGCCGGGCGCGGTGGCTCATGCCTGTAATCCCAGCACTTTGGGAGGCCGAGGCGGGCGGATCACGGGATCGAGAGATCGAGACCATCCTGGCTACACAGTGAAACCCTGTCTCTACTAAAAATACAAAAAAATTAGCCGGGCATGGTAGCCGGCGCCTGTAGTCCCAGCTACTTGGGAGGCTGAGGCAGGAGACTGGCGTGAACCTGGGAGGCGGAGTTTGCAGTGAGCCGAGATCGCGCCACTGCACTCCAGCCTGGGCGAGAGCGAGACTCCGTCTCAAAAAAAAAAAAAAAAAAAAAGAAAAAACTAATATAAAAAGCTGTTGAATTTCTAAACGCATTTCCAATTGACCTTTATCAATTGCCAATAGTTTTCAAAGTGACAAATGCTGAAATTTCTAACGTTACTTTGGAATAAGCAAATATCTCTCTTTGTTATAGATCATCTGTAAAACTAATGCCATATTGAAGAAAGCCAAAGTTATAAAACTAAATTTGTGAAACAGCCCTTTATTCTTTCCTTTTCTCTTTCTAGGATGGGTTGAATTAGTACTAAATTTGGGTTTCATAAGGGCGAATTTATCTTTGAAATGGATTTTCCTCCCATCAGGTAGTCTTAATTGCTTTATAAAAATCTAAAATCTAACACAGGTTTTTAAAAAGTAAATTTTTCAAGCAGTTCATTTCCTGATGTTCGGCCCAAAAGTAAACACTGAGTATATACATTTACTTCAAATTAAAAACTGACGACCGGAAAGCATACTTTTAAAGGTAATGTCCTTGTGGAAAAAGAATTAAGAATCACGAGAACGGAACTGCTATTTGCTACCTCTGGTTTTCCGTTCACAGAAGCACGAGGAGCCCAGCGCTGCGGCTCTGCCTCGCTGGGCCACCCCTTTCGGGCACGACCGGGAGCGGGTGCTCCTCACACCGAGCGCCCGGGCGAGCACAGCTGCAGCCTGCGGATGGAGCCCAGAGCCCTGCCCTGCAGATGACGCGCCGCTGCAGCTTCGCCCACCCTCCCACAAAATGGCTGCGGGTGGCGCCAGGGATGCTGGGCGCGCGCTCCTTGGAACTAGAGAGGAGGTGGCCGGGGCGGGGCCGGGGGAGGGGGGTAGGGCAGAGCCGGCGGGAGCCCGGCGCTGATTGGCCGGCCTGGCTGGCGGGCCCCCGCCGCTGGTTCGTAGCCGGCGCAGCGGCCTGGGCTGGGATGTGAGGAGCGGCGGGTTCCGGGCTCCGGGCTCTGGGTGGCGGCGGCTGTGAGCGGCGGCACTGCGGCGCAGGCCAGCGGGCGCCGTCGGCGGCTGGCCCTGTCGGCCGCGGGATGAGGAAGCGGACCGAGCCCGTCGCCTTGGAGCATGAGCGCTGCGCCGCCGCGGGCTCGTCCTCCTCCGGCTCGGCCGCCGCGGCGCTGGACGCCGACTGCCGCCTGAAGCAGAACCTACGCCTGACGGGCCCGGCGGCGGCTGAGCCGCGCTGCGCAGCCGACGCGGGAATGAAGCGGGCGCTGGGCAGGTGAGGCTTCGCGCGGAGCGGGGGGGGGGGGGGGGCCGGTCCCTCACTTTGCGCAGGTGCGTCCCGCAGGGGGCCGCGGTACCTCCCAGCCCCTCCCAGAGTGGCCGTCCGCCCGATCCGCGGCCGCCCCCGTCCGCGCCTGTGTCCCGCATTTGGCCCGCGGCAGCCCCACCCCCGCTCCCTTCCCCAGGCACCGCGGCGGGAGCGCCCTGCCCTGCCGCTGACCCCCTGTGTCCTGCTCCGGCCCTCTCGCCAGGCACTCCTGGCCTAGCCTTGCACCCCGACCCTTTCCCGGGGAAGCCGGGGGGACCCTTACGCTGGGGGCTTGGCGCCGCCCGAAGTCATGACCCCGCGTGGGAGAGCAGGGTAGGGGGTGGGGAGTCCTTGGAAGATCCCTGGACGCCAGGCACAGCAGAGGCGGGAGGCAGAGGGGCCGGCGCCAGACCCTGAGAGCGCTGGGGCCCACTCGGACCTCCTCCTCCTGCTCTGCATCAGGCCCCACACCGAGCGCCCGGGCGGGCGCCCCTCGGGCTGGGCTGCGTGCGCGGAGCCTTACTGGCGCCTTGGGCCCTCGGCGGCTCTCCCCGGTAACTAGGGTCGGGGGCGTGCGTCGCTCAGAACTCGGGGACCTTTGGGGAAGGGCTCAGTGGGCGGCGGGGTGCTAGGGGAAGGAGGGACTCGGAGCATCGCAGCCGTCGGAGGGAAACCTGCCCTTCGCTCTGCTGGTGATGGTTCGTGGTACTTGAAATCTGTCCGCACAAGTTCGCCTCCTTGGGAATCATCTCGCAGTCCTGAGTCGTTTGGTTATTGGCGTTCAATAACCTTTGGGTTATTGGGTAGAAGATGAATGCGTTTATATAAAGCCACTTTCAAAACTGAGATGGGAACGTGTTTCATAGGGACAGATTTCTCCTCCCATCTGCTGGTTTCCTAATTATCTGGCTGTTGTAGAACGTAGCATTCCTGACAGCTTTGAAGCCTTGCTACTTCGTGGTGGTTTGAAGAAGTTACTATATGATGATCTCAGGCGTTGTAGCAGAGGCACTTCTTTTTTGACCATCTGGAATGCCCTTAGTTGACGCTGGCCACTTGAGTGTAAAATATGCGTATCGCTCCTAAGGAAAAGTAGAATTTCAACTTCATTGCTTAAAAAAATCATGAAATTAAACTATAGACACTTCTAAGTCGATGGTTTGACAGAAGGGCGGAGACTGATAGTTTTGTGTCTTTATGTGTAAAATTATGTAGCATCTGATCAATATCTTTTGTGAAACTAATCTGTTCTCTTTGCTATGGAAAGATTTATCTGCATTAAAAACTCATGATTTAACTTTAATACAATTTTATTAACAGACATGGCATAACGCTTAGATAAATTGGAAAATTCTTCCTTCGAAAAAATCAAATTGCCGGGCGCGGTGGCTCACGCCTGTAATGCCAGCACTCTGGGAGACCGAGGCGGGCAGATTATCAGAGGTCAGGAGTTCGAGACCAGCTTGACCAACATGGAGAAACCCCGTCTGTACTAAAAATACAAAATTAGCCGGGCGTGGTGGCGCATATGCCTGTAATCCCAGCTACTCGGGAGGCTGAGGCGGGAGAATCGCTTGAATCTGGGAGGCGGAGGTTGCGGTGAGCCAAGATCTCGCCGAACCGAGATCGCACCAGTGCACTCCAGCCTGGACAACAAGAACGGAACTCCGTCTCAAAAAAAAAAAAAAAAAAGAAAAAATCAAATTGTTTTACACAACGTTTGGGGAAACAGCGGCGACCTGGCACCTTCTTGAAGAATGTACTGTATTAAAATTACCCGATTAATTTTTATTTTCGTGTCAGGACAAAGAGAGACATTCCAGTGGTGTCCATATCCTTTGGATAAGCAAAAGGCTGTTAGGGGTAAAAAGCAAAACAAAGGGAAAGAAGACCAAATTTGTTAGGTTGTCTTCCTTCCCAGCTGGCTGTCTCAGACATCCTTGAGCTTTCTTCTCTTCCTCGCTCAGGCTCTGCGCCACCATCACCTCCTCCTCACTGAGGCCTTCTTAGACCAGCCCACTCCTGTCGACCTTGTTATCACTCGAGATTGTAATTTTTGCTCGTGTGCCTCCCCCGCAACCAGAATGGAAGCGCCATGAGAACAGGAGCTTTGTTTTCTCCACTTAAGTATCTCCAGTACCTGGCACGTAGTAGGTAGCAGAAAATACTTGTTGAATGAACAAATATCCATAGAACAGATATCCATTGCGCCACAGAGCCGGCTCGTTTGTGTCTTTTATGATCCTTCTTTGGATCCTTCCGCACATTTTTTAAACTCTTTATTGTCGACATACGTGGAAGTAGAGAAGACAATCTAATGAGCCTTCTTCATGTGTCCATCACTTAAAAGTTTTCAGTGTTTAGCCAATTTTGAATCATCCATCCCTCTTCTCTTTTTTTTTGTAGGATGAAGGATTGGATTTTTTTTTTTTTTTTTTTTTGAGAAGGAGTCTCGCTTTGTCGCCCAGGCTGGAGTGCAGTGGCAATCTCGGCTCACTGCAACCTCCACCTCCCAGGTTCAAGCAATTCTCCTGCCCCAGCCTCCTGAGTAGCTGGGATTACAGGCGCCCGTCACCGTGCCTGGCTAACTTTTGTAGTTTTAGTAGAGACGGGGTTTCACCATGTTGGCCAGGCTGGTCTCGAACTCGTGACCTCGTGATCCACCCACCTCGGCCTCCCAAATTGCTGGGATTACAGGCGTGAGCCACAGCGCCCGGCCTGGAATATTTTTAAACAATTTTTTTTTTAAGAAAGTTCCGTCACCCAGGCTGGAGCACAGTGGCATGATCATGGCCCACTGCAGCCCAGACCTCCTGGGCTCAGGCGATCCTCCCATATCGATGCTGGGTGTATGCCACCACTCCTGGTTAATTTTTTTTTTTTTTTTTTAATAGAGATGAAGTCTCACTATGTTGCCCCCAGGCTGGTCTTGAATTTCTGGCTTCAAGCGATCCTTCTTCCTGGCCTCCCAAAGTGTTAGGTATGAAATACCGTGCCAGGCCTAAATTCTCCTGCCTCAGCCTCCCGAGAAGGTGGGATTACAGGCATGTGCCACCACACATGGCTAATTTTTGTATTTTTTGTAGAGATGGGGTTTCACCATGTTGGCCAGACTGGTCTCCAACTCGTGACTTCAAGTGATCTCCCTGTCACGGCCTCCCAAAGTGTTGGGATTACAGGTGTGAGCCACCATGTCTGACCTCTTTTTCTTTTCTGATTGCATTGTATTTCTAGAACAAAGTTAAATAATAGGGATGACACTGAGTAACTTGTTTCATTCCTGACTTTAATGAGAATGCTGTTAGTGTTTTTGCCATTTAAGTGCCATGCTGGGGTGTGTTGCTAATGTTGTGGGGAGCTTTTTGTTTTTGTTCCTGCTCCCTCACTGATGTTTTTAAAATAAAAAATGGTGATTGAGTTTTCTCAAATGCCAGTGTACATCTGTGGAATGATCATAGAGATTTTCTTCTTTTATCTGTTAACATAATGAGTTATAGTAATGGATTTATATTATTGAATCATCATTGTATTCCTGGGATAAACTCTCTTATTGTATAGCCAGATTCTATTTATTCATTTATTTTTTATTTTTATTTTTTGAGGCGGGGTTTCACTCTGTTGCCCAGGCTGGAGTGCAGTGGCACGATCTCGGGTCACTGCAACTTCTGCCTCCCAGGTTCAAGCAATTCTCTGGCCTCAGCCTCCCGGGTAGCTGGGATTACAGGCACCTGCCACCATGCCCGGCTAATTTTTGTATTTTTAATGGAGACGGGATTTTGCCATGTTGACCAGGCTGGACTCGACCTACTGACCTCAGATAATCTGCCTGCCTCAGCCTCCCAAAATGCTGGGATTATAAGGCGTGAGCCACCGCACCTGGCCTATTTATTAATATTTTATTTTGAAATTTTACATCATGAGGCCGGGCTCGGTGGCTCACGCCTGTAATCCCAGCACTTTGGGAGGCCGAGGCAGGCTGATCACGAGGTCAGGAGATCGAGACCATCCTGGCTGACGGGTGAAACCCCGTCTCTACTAAAAAATACAAAAAAAATTAGCCAGGCGTGGTGGCGGGCGCCTGTAGTCCCAGCTACTCAGGAGGCTGAGGTAGGAGAATGGCATGAATCCGGGAGGTGGAGCTTGCAGCGAGCCCAGATTGCACCACTGCACTCCAGCCTGGGCGACAGAGCAAGACTCCATCTCAAAAAAAAAAAAAGAAAGAAAAAGAAATTTTACATCATTTGTGAGAATAGTCTGTAATTTTCTCTTATGCAACCTTTATCAAGTTGTTTTAGTGTTTTCTATAGCTTTGTAAAAAGTTTCTTACATAACATTTTATTCTAAACTTTTATTTTTATTATTATTATTATTATTTTTTTGAGACGGAGTCTCGCTGCATCACCCAGGCTGGAGTGCAGTGGCGCGATCTTGGCTCACTGCAAGCTTTGCCTCCCGGGTTCACGCCATTCTCCTGCCTCAGCCTCCCAAGTAGCTGGGACTACAGGTGCCCACCAACACACCTGGCTAATTTTTTGTATTTTTTTTAGTAGAGACGGGGTTTCACCGTGTTAGCCAGGATGGTCTCAATCTCCTGACCTCGTGATCCGCCTGCCTTGGACTCCGAAAGTGCTGGGATTACAGGTGTCAGCCACCGCACCCGGCCATTTTATTCTAAACTTTTAGCCAGCTTAAGAATTTTTTAAATTATTTGTTTAAAATTTGGTAGAAATTCTCTTGTAAAACTGTCTAAGCCTGGTGCCTTTCTATTTATTTATTTATTTATTTATTTAAATTTTTTGGTACAGGCAGGTCTTGCCACGTTGCCTAGGCTGGTCTTGAACTTCTCTCTCAAGCAGTCCTTCCACCTCTGTCCCCCAAAGTATTGGGATTATAGGCATGAGCCACCACCCTAGCCAGTGCTGTTTCAGAATATAGCACTTCGGTAACTACTACAGTGTCTTCTACGTCTGTTTAGAATTTGCTATGTCCTGGTTTCAGTTTTGGTGGTTTATGTATTCTTATAAAATTACCAATTTAATTCACCTTTTCTCCTCTGTAGCTATGGCCATTTCCCTAGTTTTCTTCCCTGTTTTTTGTAATTAGGGTTTTTCCTCCGTTTTCCTCTTTTTTTTTTTTTTTTTTTTTTTTGAGTCTCACTCTTGTTGTCCAGGTTGGAGTGCAATGGCATGATCTTGGCTCATTGCAACCTCCGCCTCCCAGTTTCAAGCGATTTTCCTGCCTCCGCCTCCCGAGTAGCTGGGATTACAGGTATGTGCCACCACACCCAGCTAATTTTGTATTTTTAGTAGAGACAGGGTTTCTCCATGTTGGTCAGGCTGGTCTCAAACTCCCAACCTCAGATGTTCCACCCGCCTTGGCCTCCCAAAGTGTTGGGATTACAGGCGTGAGCCACCGCGCCTGGCCTGCTTTTTCCTCCTGATTTAGGCTAGTCAGTAATATATCTAATATCCATACATACACTGAAGTGGGGAAATATATATACACACACACATACACACACACACATGTTTTGTGCTCCATCAAAGAAAATATCTCTTTTTAGTTCTGGGGGATGCTGAGAAGTGGAGAGAACAGGTTCTTTCTGAAGGGGACAGCAGCTACCACACCCTGTCCTGTTGCTGCCTGGCAGGAATGTGGTCCCAGAGTGGCCAGATTGTCCAGTCTTTCTGGAAAAGACTAGCTGGTGTTTTTTTTAGTTTGTTTTGTTTTGTGTTTGAGATCGGGTTTGGCTCTACACCCGGACTGGAGTGCTGCAGTGCAGTCATGGCTCACTGCAGCCTCTGCCTCTCAGGGTCAAATGGTCTTCGCACCTCAGCCTTACAAGTAGCTGGGACTACAGGCACCCACCACCATGCCTAGCTAATTTTTGTATTTTTTGTAGAGACAGAGTTTTGCCATGTTGCCCAGGCTGGACTTGAACTCCTGAGCTCAAGTGATCCACCCGCCTAAGCCTCCCAAAGTGCTGGGATTACAGGCATGAGCCAGTGCACCCGGCCTTTTGTTTGTTTATATAGTTTTTTTTTTGTCTTAGTGTGTGTGCTTGTGTGTGTGTGTGTAGTATTGCCAACTTTTTTAACATTGGTAAGTAACTCAGATGAGAACAATTTTGGAGGTTAAAAAAAAAACCCCAAACCAGTTTTTTTTGTTTTTAAATTCTGGGCCAAAAGATAATTTTTAAAGGTAAATATTTATCTCATTCATAGGTCAACTCTGTACTCCTTGAGACGAGGAACTAGATCAGTTTTGCTTTGCATGGTATCTGGTGTGAGGAGGTACTGGGCAAATGAGTGATTTTTTTTTTTCTTTTTTTTTTTTTTGAGACAGAGTCTCACTCTGTCACCCAGGCTGGAGTGCAGTGGCGTGATCTCGGCTCACTGCAACCTCTGCCTCCCAGATTCAAGCGATTCTCCTGCCTCAGCCTCCTGAGTAGCTGGGACTATGGGCGCCCGCCACCATGCCCGGCTAATTTTTTTTCTTTTTTTTCTTTTTTTTTTTTTTTTTTTTGAGAAAGAGTCTCCCTCTGTTGCCCAGGCTGGAGGGCAGTGGCGTGATCTCGGCTCACTGCAACCTCCGTGTGCCAGGTTCAAGTGATTCTCCCGCCTCAACCTCCCGAGTAGCTGGGATTACAGGTGCACGCCACCATACCTGGCTAATTTTTTGTATTTTTAGTAGGGACGAGGTTTCACCATGTTGGTCAGGCTGATCTTGAACTCCTGACCTCATGATCCGCCCACCTTGGCCTCCCAAAGTACTGGGATTACAGGGGTGAGCCACTGTGCCCGGCCTTAATTTTTATATTTTTAGTAGAGACGGGGTTTCACCATATTGGCCAGGCTGGTCTTGAACTCCTGACCTTGTGATCCGCCTGCCTCGGCTTCCCAAAGTGCTGGGATTACAGGCGTGAGCCACCGCGCCCAGCCCAAATGAGGGATTTTGTGGGCCTTTCATTAGCCCTGGAATTGTTGGGAATGTGCATTGAAGGCATGACTGGTCTAATTTGGACCCTGAGAAGGCAGTCATGAGATGTACACGGTCTGTGTGTTACCTAGTCTTTATCCTCCAACTCCCAACCGACAGGCCAGATCTGCTGGATTGACAGAGATCAGTGGGCTGCATGGGAGGTTTCATAGCCAGATCACCCTCATACGTAAATGCCAAAGAACATAGTCATCACACCTATTTCTTCCTTTACCCAAAGAAGATACTTTATCCAAGGTTGCTAATGGCTTCCCCCTAACCCAGAAGAGTGGGTGGCTGAGGTTAACATCTGTCTTCTTCAGTGTCAGCCTTCCCGAGGTTCAGTATCAACCTCACCCTCTAAGTGTCCCTGTATGGTATCTCTTCATCTTTTCTTTACAGATTAGGAAGATGGGAGCGAGTTCTGAGCTAGCTTTTGTGGTTAAAGTCTGCTTCATCCATCTCCTTTTTCCTTTTGCTCCACCCTCAGTACAGTCTGGGCCAGGACTGTGACAAGGCATGGGGCTGGCTTTGTTTATGGCGCCATAGCTGGCCCCCCCCCTCAACTGGTACTGGTTTTCCTCTTCCTAACTCAGTGTACCTTATCAATGCTGCACTCCAGCCAGGGACTGGCCACACTGGGACTTGGTGCTTTGCCACTGCCTTCTGCTTTATTAGGACTCTGCATCCTGTATCTCTGCTTGGTTCCTAGTTCCTTTCAGCCACAGTGACCCTTCCCAAGGGAGTGTCCGCCTTCTATGGTGACTTTGGCAGACAGGCCTGAACTGTGAGGGGTATCTTTGGGCAGGCTGAAAGCACCTGAGGCACTTTCATGGAGGAAGCCTTGGAGAGAGGCATGGAAGATGGGTCATCTTGTCAGGTTTGTGCTAACAGCGATGGAGACAGGACCTCATTTCAGACTCCCGCTGCTGCAACTTCTCCTCCTCTTCGTTCCCCTCCTTTCTCTCCTCTTCCATTAGAACACTTGTCCTTCCAGAGTGAAATCTGCAGGGAAAATGTTTATTGAAATATAACCTCAAAAGCTGACAGATGAAGTCAATGCTCTTCACCCAGAGATGACGCCACAGGACTTTGGTCTCAGTGTGCTTGTGCTTTGGCAGGGGCCCTTTCAGCATGAGAGTGGGTAAGCCATCTATCTCGTGCCACACCGAGAGCCAGCGTCTAGAGTGTCAGTCAGTGAACAGGGGCCAAGAGCCAGGATGCCGGAACCAAACTGTCCCATTACCAGCAAGACTTCTCATTTAGGCCTCAGCCCCTTTGTATTGTGATTTACTGCTTCAGAGGATAGCCTTCATAGAGACCCAGGTCTCAGGTGAGTTTTCAGATTCTCTGGCTTGGGTGAGTTGTGTAACACTCTGAGTTTGTTTCTTCATCTGTGATGTAGGGATAAGAGTGTCTTCCCTGTAGGATTGTGGTGAGGCCCAGGTGTGTGGAATGTTCCTGGCACATGGTGAGTGCTTGGTCAGTGACATCTTCTAGATGACTAGCCCCATGATGATTATAATATTAAGAGCTCAGGGTACTGGCCAGTGTGGTGGCTCATGCCTGTAATCCCAGCACTTTGGGAGGCCGAGGCAGGCAGATCACTTGAGTTCAGGAGTTCAGGACCAGCCTGGCCAACGTGGTGAAACACCATCTCTACTAAAAAGACAAAAATTAGCCAGGTGAGGTTGTGAGCACCTGTAATCCCAGGTGAGGGATTATCTCCTGTAATCCTGGGAGGCTGAGGCAGGAGAATCGCTTGAACCCAGGAGGTGGAGGCTGCAGTGAGCCGAGATTGCACCACTGCACTCCAGCTTGGGTGACAGAGCGAGACTTTGTCTCAAAAACAAAACAAGGAAAAAAAAAAAAAAAGAGGGTACTGAGAAAGATCTGTTAGCTCATGTCTAGAAGGATTTTCTTCTACCCTTTTCTGCCCCAAACAATTAAGAGTCTGGCTTCTCAGCCAGTCGTGCATATAGGGTCCATCCTGATCAGTTAATGTGTCTGTTGGTATTAGAGCATTTGTAGCAATACTATTTGCTTATTTAACACTTTTTTCCAGCCACTCATTTAACAGTTTGAGTACCTGTTACGCCCAGTAACACCTGTGAATGCTGAGGCCGTTGCAGTTCTCCTGGCCTTTACATTCTGGTAGGGGAGGCAGATAAAACATGAAGAAACACATGATGTCATGTGCTTAGGGCACTAAGGAGGAAAATGGTGCCAGTGAGGGAATAGCCGCAGATGAGGCCCTGTGGCTGTGTGTGCACAGTCTGGGTGTACAGGGGATGTTTCTGACAAGGAGACATGTGAATGGATGCCACTGGCTGCTAGAGAAATGGCATGGTGTGTGTCATCATGTCACTCTGACTGTGTGACAAGCACAGACTGCGGTGGGCAAGCAGGGAGACCGGCTAGGGGCTGCCAGGGTCATCCAGGCAAGAGATGACAGGGGCTCAGGCCGGGACAGCAGCTGTGGAGATAAGAAGAGGCATGTGATTCTGGATTCACAAACTACTTTCTGAGCAACAGGAAGAATGGAGTTGCCAGATACTGAGATGGGGACAGATGTGGAAAGAGCAAGTGCTTTGGGGCAGGAGAAGTAATGTTTGGTTTTGGACATATTGAGGTGCCTGTTAAACATCCAGGTGGATAGGGGATAGAGTTCAAGGGGGAGGTTAGGGCCTGTACCTGACCATGGCTGTGACAGGTGGTACCTAGACCCTTGCAGCAGACTCTCCCAGCAGACAAGTCAGGACAGAGGAGTCAGGACCTGGGCAATGAGTTAGAAGGATTGCTGGGAAAAGGTGTCAAGGCAGCCACCTAAAGAAGGCCTGTTGCAGAAGAAAGCCTGATCTGCAATTGGATTTGGTGACACGAGATCAGTATTGACAGGAGTGGCTTACTGCAGTGGTGGGAGCAAAAGCCTAATGGTGAGGGCTCAAGGAAGAAGTGGAGAGAGGAAATGCAGGTAGCTTTTCCAGGGAGCTGTGCAGTAAAGGGGGAAAGACAGGGAGGGATGGCTGGAGGGGGTGAGTTTTCTTAGCAGTGATATTAGATATCAAAAAATAAATAAATAATAAAAGCATCACTATGCCATAGGACAACTTCAGGCAGCCCACTATATTGATAATTATGATATTATGATAGTTATGTGATATATTAGCCAAAATCGCGCCATTGCATTCCAGCCTGGGCAACAAGAGCGAAACTCCATCTCAAAAAAACAACAAAAGAAACCACTCAATGGTAATTGTATTCCATGTGTTCCAGAAGTTAAGTGGAGTTATGGAAAACCTGAAAATTACTGAAATGGAATTTCTAAAGATGAAAACCACAATGTGTGAGATAAAGGTTACACTGAAGGGAATTACACTGAAGGGCAGATTAAACACTGCTAAAGAAAGGGCTCAACTATTCAATGTGAAACCTGGGGAAAAGAGAACCAAACAAATTTTCAAAAGCATCGTTACAAGGCCAGGTGCGGTGGCACACACCTGTACTCCTGCCATGCCTGTAATCCCAGCATACCTGTAATCCTAGCACTTTGGGAGGATAAAGAAGGAGGATCACTTGAGCCCAGGAATCTGAGACCAGCCTGGGCAATGAAGGGAGACCTCATCTAGACCAAAAAAAAAAAGAATTAGCCAGGCATGGCGTGCATGATTGCTTGAGCCCGGGAGGTCAAGACTGTGTGAGCCATGATCAAGCCACTGCACTCTGGTCTGGGCAACAGAGTGACACCCTGTCTCAAAAAAATATATAAATAAATAAAAGCATCACTATGCTATAGGATAACTTCAAGCAGCCTATTATATTGATAATTATGATATCATAATTGTGCAATATTAGAGCAGTCTGGAGTGTGCATGGGAATAATCCAGGGGAGAGGAGAAGATGGACGGCATGGGACAGAGTAGGTGCAGTGATGTCTCTGGGCCTGTGAGAAGGGATGGGACCCAGTGTTCTGAGGCTGAGCAGAGGAGTTCCCCTCAGATAGGAAGGAAGGCCAAGGCTGTGGGGAAAGACATGGGTAAGTTGATCTATTTGTGGGTGAAGGAATCTGCCAGTTCTCTTCTGAGTGCTTGTGCTGTCCTTAGGAAATAAGCAGCAAGGCCATCTGCTAGGAGGGCAGAGGGAAAAGGAGGTACTGGGCCTCTCTCTCTCAGTTCCCCACGTGGGCGCAGTCTGAGCTCTCATATCGTCTTTCTGACATTTAATGTTTTTAAAAAGGATGACAAGGACAGTTCCCTTGGGAAGTCATTTCAGTCACGACCTGCTGTGTATCTGTGGAGTTGACATGTTCTGCATAGTTGAGTGCTCCCCTGCTCTGGGAAGCCTGCACGGGGTCCCTGCACACATCCCAGCATGGAGGGTCTCAGGGCTGGGTTTGAGACGAAGGTGGGCGAAAGGTTCACATGAACTGAGGTCATGACAGAGTGATCAGGTGGGACCAGGCAGAACTCTCGGCCCCCAGGGCTTGCTGGTACACAGATTGCTAAGTGTCTTCATTGTTAAATAGAATTAATCTTCATATGGTAGTTGTGGGCTGAGTTGCCTCATTCACTTGTGATAAGTTTAGCGGATAAGAAAATGTCCTGACATAATGAGAGCAGAGGGCAGATGGGTGTTGGTGTGGGAAAGGCTGAGAAAGCCAGGACTTTTGGGTTTGTAAAGGTGAACGTGGACACGGCTGTCAGTGAGGGAATACACGCATACCTCAGGGGTGCTGAAACTTAGGGTTTGTTCTTGAAGCCTGAAGTTGTCCTGAGCTTCATGGTAAAAAAAAAAAAAAAAAAAAGTTCAAATTATCTTCAGTTCTTATCAGGCTGGTGGAGTCTTCAAACAAAGCTTGGGGTATATTGACTGAACTGTTCGTAATGGGAAGGTAAGAATGTTCAGGGTCAATGCCGGTCATTTTGATGTGGTAGTTCAGATCACTAGAATAGATATGGCTTTTAACTTTCAACTATTTTTTTCTCCTCATAATGTGTACATCATATATGCCCTACCCCTTCATCCTTGACCTTTGCCACTCCTGGTCCTGGATAACCACATTGCTCCTACCTGAAAGTGGCCCTGTCAATGCCAAGTGCCCATAGGTCATTTTATTCAGTAGCTACTGTATTCCTGCTGTTTGCCAGATGTTGTGCCAGGCCCTGGGGATACAAGGAGATAGTACCTGTCCTCAGGGAGCTAGTTGTCTGTCATGTTTTATGCTTGGCAACCATCAGCTCTTGCATACTCAGGCTTTGATGATGCCTTTGGCAAAGAGAAAATACAGGGATGGCTGGAGAAGGTTAGTCTACCTTCATTCACATTTATCCTTTCTTAAAGACTCCTGTGTTGCTCTGACATTTTTATGTACTGATTTATCTTCAGGGTATCTGCTATGGCTTGATGGTTTAATGGTTTAAATGTGTCCCCGAAAATTTCATGTGTTGGAAAGTATTGGAATCTTGGTCCTCAATGTAGTACTAACTACATATAAGAAGTGGGACCTGGCCGGACGCGGTGGCCCACGCCTGTCATCCCAGCACTTTGGGAGGCTGAGGTGGGCGGAACACGAGATCAAGAGATCAAGACCATCCTGGCCAACATGGTGAAACCCCGTCTATCCTAAAAATACAAAAATTAGCTGGGTGTGGTGGCACACGCCTGTAATCCCAGCTACTTGGGAGGCTGAGGCAGGAGAATCGCTTGAACCTGGAAGGCAGAAGTTGCAGTGAGCCGAGATCACGCCACTGTACTCCAGCCTGGGTGACAGAGCAAGATTCCATCTCAAAACAAACAAACAAAAAAACTAGAGGTGGGACCTTTGGGAGGTGATTGGGTCATGAGGGCTTTGCTCTCATGAGTGGATGAATCCATTCATAGATTAATGGTTTATTGAGGGTTTGGGTTAGTTATCATGAGAGTTATCACTGTTGTAAAAGGCAGTGTGGCCATCTCCTCTGATCCCCATTACCATGTGATGCCCTGAGCCACCTTGGGACTCTTCGGAGTCCCCACCAGCAAGAAGGTCCTCACCAGATATGGCCCCTTGACCTTGGACTTCCCAGCCTCCAGAATGCTAAGAAATAAATTTCCTTCTTTATAAATTACTGACCTCAGTTATTTAATTATAGAAACAAAAAACTGACTAAGAATAGGTCTCTTAGCCTCTTGCTTGACAGGATGTAATGCAAAATGCATTGCTGGCCAATAGAGCCATCTAAAGACATGAGAAAAATTCTCAGTTTGGGGACACAGGACACCTTGACAAGGCACATCATGGCATAACCTACAAGAAGGCAAGCAAAAAAGACTGCCATTCTAGGACATTCAATATCTGGCTTAGGGTTCCAGGAGGAAGGGACTGTTAGGCCAGTACAGGCCAGCTGGGAGGCTGCCAGTGCAGCCCCAGAGCCTCAGGAAAAAGCTGAAGGAGATTCTGCCAGGGCCCAGGGAAGCATCTCCAGGTATGAGGTCGCCTGGGAGATGTCATAGCTGTGGTGAAGGGCGGCCTCTGAGGGGCCCTCTCTCTCTCACTCTGTTCCTCTCTCAAACAGTTTGATTTTTTTTTCTGATTCCAAAGTAATAAAGAGTTCTTAATAAAAATTTAAAACAGAGAAAGTGAAACTCCCTCTGGATAATTGCTGTGAACAGTGTGGCCTGTGTTGAGAGTATTGCTCCTGTGTTCTTCCATCCATTTAGCAAGTATGTCTTTTTCGTTGACCTAGCCTTCACTGAAGGCTAGAGTGGATAAAATGCTGCACAAGAGTGGGACAAATCCCAGTCCTTGTGGGACTTCTGTTCTCATGAAGGAGAAACACGGCAACAAAGATAGCACATAAGTATACAGTAAAATTTCAAAGGGTGATAAAGTGCTATAAAGAAAAATAAAGCAAGGTAAGGTTATGTGGCTGTGTGTAAAGCACCTGAAAACATGCCGTACCACAGTGGTGAAATATTTTTGTTTCTGCCAGGAAAATAAGGCCTTCTCACAGTAGGATACCCAGTTGTTCAGTTCTGCCGACTGAATCCTCATGATTTTTTGTTTTCTTCTTTGGGAACAAAGAGACATTTATGGACTGCTCTTGTGTGTTTTATTAAGGCCTTAAAGTTTTCAATTCAGTAGAGTGAAATTGCTCTCAACACTGACTGCTTTTGAATATGATTATGGAGATTGTTGTTAAGATTTCCGCCTAAAAGCTAAGAAGAATTTAATCTGTTAGTCTTGGGGAATGAGATTTGGCGTTACTCTCTTGTTCCTTCTAAGAGAATACCATGGAATTAAATGATAAAACACTTTTCCTCAACAATTTTGATGGTTACATTAATGAAGGAGTTGATGAAAACTAATTGTAGACATTATTATTATTATTATTATTTTTTGAGACAGAGTCTCACTCTGTCGCCCAGGCTGGAGTGCAGTGGTGCGATCTGGGCTCACTACAATCTCCGCCTCCCAGCTCATGCCATTCTCCTGCCTCAGCCTCCCAAGTGGCTGGGACTACAGGCGCCCACCACCACGCCCAGCTAATATTTTTGTATTTTTAGTAGAGACGGGGTTTCACCGTGTTAGCCAGGATGGTCTCGATCTCCTGACCTCGTGATCCACCTGCCTTGGCCTCCCAAAGTGCTGGGATTACAGGTGTGAGCCACTGCACCCAGCTAATTATAGACATATTTTAAAAGAAACATAGAACTTCCACTACTGACCAAGGTGGCTGAATTTACCCGGAAATAACCCAAATAGCAGCCACAACAAAAACGACAACATACACGAAACAATTTTTAAAACACTGGGCACCAAGCAACAAAGGACAGTAAACTCGGAGAAGTGACAGACAAAGGAAGTGAGCCCTACAGTACCCTAGCTGATCTCCTTGAGAGAGCTTCCACGCCATGGCACAGGGAGGGGAGCCACGTGGACTCCCAGGGTTGTGGGTGTGGAGCTGAGAATCTGGAGAGACCAATGTGGCTAGAGTTTATAGGACAGAGTACCAGAGAGGAGAGAGCAACACAGAGAGAGACCCTGGGGTCTGCAGAGGGTCCCCTTGATCAGCACACGTGTGTGAGGAAACTCTCTGTGGCTGGGGAAAGAACTGTCTGAAAAGATCAGAAGATACAGTCCCTGCTACTTAGAGCAAGATTATAATTTACTGGTAGAACATTCAGGAACAGCATGCTTCAGTAGTGGGAAATTCCAGGTGTATGGGTTTGTGAGGGCTACCATAACAAAGTAACACAGACCAGGTGACTTAAATGGCAGAAGTTTATTTTCTCTCGATTCCAGAGGCCAGAAGTCCAAGATGGAGGTGTCAGCAGGGCTGGTTTCTCATGAGGCCCCTCTGCTTTGCCTGTAGATGACCACCTTCTCCATGTGTCTTCATATGGTCTAACCTCTGTGTGTGGCTCTTTCTGCATTTCTTCTTACAAAGCTGAGTCATAGTGGATTAGGGTCCACCCTGATGACCTCATTTTAGCATAATTACCTCCTTAAGACCCTCTCTCTAAATACAGTCATATTCTGAAGTGCTAGGGGTTAAGACTTCAACATACAAATTTTGAGGGGACATTATTCAGCCCATAGCACAGGCATGCAGAGTGGGAGGAAACTATGATGTGTATATAATGAAGAGAATAATCAATGAAAACCGACTGAGTACTGACACGCACGTTAGTGTTGAAGAGAAGCACATTAAAACACTGTAGGCTGGGCGTGGTGGCTCACACCTGTAATCCCAGCACTTTGGGAGGCCGAGGCGGGAGGATCACCTGAGGTAAGGAGTTTGAGACCAGCCTGACCAACATGGAGAAACCCTGTGTCCTGTCTCTACTAAAATTACAAAATTAGCCGGGTGTGGTGGCACATGCCTGTAATCCCAGCTACTCGGGAGGCTGAGGCAGGAGAATCACTTGAACCTGGGAGGCGGAGGTTGCAGTGAGCTGAGATCGTGCCACTGCACTCCAGCCTGGGCAACAAGAGCGAAATTCCATCTCAAAAACAAACAAACAAACTTACTGTAATTGTATTCCATATGTTCTAGAAGTTAAGTGGAGAGTCATGGAAAATCTGAAAATTACCCAAATTGAATTTCTGAAGATGAAAACCATAATGTGTGAGGTAAAGTTTACACTGAAGGGAATTACATTGAAGGGCAGATTAAACACTGCTAAAGAAAGAGCTCAACTATTCAACATGAAACCTGGGGAAAAGAGAACCAAACAGATTTTCAAAAGCATCATTACTAGGCCAGGTGTGGTGGCACACACCTGTACTCCGACCATGTGTGTAATCCCAGCACACCTGTAATCCTAGCACTTTGGGAGGATAAAGAAGGAGGATCACTTGAGCCCAGGAATCTGAGACCAGCCTGGGCAACAAAGGGAGACCTCATCAAAAAAGAAAAAAATTGAACAATTAGCCAGGCGTGGTGTGCATGCCTTTGATTACAACTAATTGGGAGGCTAAGGTGGGAGGATTGCTTGAGCCTGGGAGGTCAAGACTGCATGAGCCATGATCAAGCCACTACACTCTGGTCTGGGCAACAGAGTGAGACCCTGTCAATAAATAAATAAATAAATGCATCACTATGCTATGGGACAACTTCAGGTAGCCTATTATACTGATAATTAAAGTCCTCAAAGAAGAGGAGAAAGGAGAGAAAAAATATTTGAAGAAATAGTGGCCAGAAACTTTACAAGCTTGGTGAAAACTGTAAACCCACTGCTAAGAAGCTTAATTAATCTCCTGCATAAGAAACATGAAGCAGTATACCAAGGCACTTCGTAATCAAATTGCTCAAAATCAGTGATAAAGAAAAAAAAAACCTTCAAACCAACCAGAGGAAAAAAGACATACTGTGCACACAGGAACAAAGATATGGGCAAAGAAGTTTTCTTAAAAGAAAAGTAAGTAAGAATTCAGTGAAGCAACGTCTTTATTTTTTTAATTTTTTTTTTTGAGACGGTGTCTCAGTCTGTATCCCAGGCTGGAGCACAGTGGCACAATCTCTGCTCACTGCAACCTTCATCTTCCGGATTCAAGCAATTCTCCTGCCTCAGCCCCCCAAGTAGCCAGGATTACAGGTGCCCGCCACCACACCCGGCTGATTTTTGTATTTTTAGTAGATACAGAGTTTTACCATGTTGGCCAGGCCGGTCTTGAACTCCTGACCTCAGGTGATCCACCCGCCCCGGCTTCCCAAAATGCTGGGATTACAGGTTTGAGTCACTGCGCCTGGCCTTGAAGCAACATCTTTGACGCTGTCATGCCATGTAGTAATGTCACTCAATATAGTAATGTCACTCAATAACAGGTACACCTTCTGAGCAATGTGGTGTTAGGCAAGTGCATTGTCACGCGAAGATCAGAGTGTATTTACACAAACATAGATGGTACGGCCTATTACACGCCTGGGCTATGTGGTAAGGCCTATTGCTCCTAGGCTGCAAACCTGCACAGCATGATACTGTACTGAGTCCTGTAGGCAGTTGTGACACAATGTTAAGTATTTGTGTATCTACACATAGAAAAGGTACAGTGAAAATACAATATAAAAGATAAAAAACAGTACAGTATAGGGCACTTACCATGATTGGAGCCTGCAGGACTGGAGGTTGCTCTGGGTGAGTCAGTGAGTGAGTGGTGAGTGAATGTGAAGGCTTAGGACATGAATATACATTTTTATACAACTTGCAGTGGTTTGTTTATACCACATCACCACAAATGTGAGTAATGCTTTTCACTGTGACGCTACAGCCATGACATTAGGCAATAGGAATTTTTTAGTTCTATTATAATCATATGGGACAACCATTGTATAAGTGGTCCACTGTTGGCTGAAATGCTATTATGCAGTTTGCATGACTGTACTGAAAGAAAAAGCTATCCGTCCAAAATTCTTGACCAGGTGAAAATAACTTTTTATGTTGTCATTCCTCCCACCCCAAATATCTTCAAAGGCAAAATAGTGAAGTTTTCAGATATAAAAAAGCTGAAAGAGGGCCAGGTGTGGTGGCTCACGCCTGTAATCCAAACACTTTGGGAGGCCAAGATGGAAGGATCACTTGAGCCCAGGAGTTCCAGTCCAGCCTGGGAAACATAGCCAAACTGGCTATGTTTTATAGACTCCATCTTTACGAAAAGTCAAAGATTAGCTGAGCATGGTGGTGTGCACCTGTGGTCCTAGCTACTTGGGAGGCAGGAGGATCACTTAAGGCCAGGAGGTGGAGACTGCACTTAAGCGCAGGTGACAGAGTAAGATCTTGTTTCTTAAAAAAAAAAAAAGAAGAGGCTGAGATAATTCATCATCAGCAGACCCATGCTTTAAGAAATGTTAACACCCAGGTGTGCTGGCTCATACCTATAATCCCAGCACTTTGGGAGATCAAGATGGTGGGATCGCTTGAACCCAGGAATTTGGGGCTTCAGAGAGCTATGAGCATGCCACTGCACTCCAGCCTAGGTGACAGAGAAAGATCCCCTCTCTAAAAAAACAACAAGTGAAATTACAAAGTAGCTCACATGGAATGAAAAGGAAGACACACGTATGCCCCGAAAGCATGCTTGAGGAAAGTGAAAATATAGCACTGAATGCCTATAGTAAAAAAGAAAGATCTTCAATTGATGACTTTAGCTTTCACATTAAAAATCTAGGGGACCAGGCACTGTGGCTTATGCCTGCAAGCCCAGCAGTTTGGGAGACTGGGGCAGGCAGGTCACTTGAGTCCAAGGAGTTCGAGACCAGCTTGGGATCCACAGTATTTTGGACTACTTTTTTACTGTGAGGAAGGGAAATGAGAAAATAAATGTAGAGAACTGGCATGAAGCTAACTTTGTATAATGATTGAACCCTGAGACAGTGGCCTTTCTATCAAGTTTCTGAGATCCTTACTTGGCAAAATAAAAACCCGGCAATATTAGGTCAGTCCCCATTTTATAGAACATTTTATTAGTTCATGAAACAAAAATCTAGGAACCAGTTCTTTGGGGAGTGTCAGGAAGCGGGGAGGGTTATGTTGGGAGGAATCACTTCTGAAGAGAGATGAATAGGGTTGAAGATGAAGCAGTCAAGATGGTTACTAAGCGTTTTATAACCAGGTGTTTTGGTTTTTAAAAAATCAGGCATTTCTGTGCATTAGAGCCTGCTGCTGCCTCCAGGTTGTAAACAGTGTTCTAAGGGCCAGCCACAGTGAAATCCAGTGCAGGGCTACCATCCTGATAGAGCGGCTTGGTACCAGTGTCCCACACCCCAATGTAGGCATTGCCCATGGGGACGAGAGGGGACATAGACACTCCTTGGGGGCCTTTTGTGTAGGAACCGTGACCACCAGTCCAGTGTCTCAGTCTGTGGTCTCTCCTTTAAAGTAGGAATCTTCCTAATTAGCTGATCACTCTCGTTCTTCCTGGACTCCCCAGTGTCTTTCAGAAATAGCTTCTGGTAAGTTGCAGCTTGCTCATGATGGGAGGGAAGGAAGAGGAAGTAGAACAGTAGAGGCAGAACAATTAAAAATAAATGGTGAAGGGCCTGGTGTGTGGCTCACACCTGTAATCCCAGTACTTTGGGAGGCTGAGGAAGGAGGATTGCTTGAGCTCAGGAGTTTGAGACCAGCCTAGGAAACATGGTGAAACCTGTCTCTACCAAAAAAAAAAAAAAAAGTCAATAAAGGCACAAGAAGAATTAATAAAAATAACATTGATTGAGAACTGTGTACCAGATACCGTTTCCTTAAGCGCTTTACGTGTGTGAATTCATGGAATGCTCACAGCTGCCTCATGAGATTGGTGGGTCGCCCTCTTCACAGATGAGGAAGCCAAGGCATGGATGGTTAAGTAGCTTGCCCAGGGTCGCACACCCATCCAAGTGGCAGACCTGCCATCTCCACTACTCATGCTCTAATCGCTGTGCTCTCCTGCCCCTGCTTAGGGCTGTCTCTCTTATACATCCTGACTATTACAAGGGGAAATTATTATGGGTTGAAAATATTGAGCCAGTGTCACTTGAGAGAAATAGTTTATTCATCAGCATATTGCTTTCCTTCTCTGACAGCATTGGTGACTCTGCGGCTGTGCCTGAGGGGTGGGCTTCTGAGGGCACAGAAGTCTTTTCTTGGAGTTGGTGGCCTCTGAGTCTTCCACAGAGCCTTCTCTTGGAGTTGGTGACCTTCTCTGTGGCCCCCTTATTGTCTTGGCACCTTCAACCTCCAGTGCTTTGGTTGTGACTGGGAAGCTCTGGGTGCCAGCTGAGGGAGTAGGGAAGCAAGACCTCCAGGGAGACCTGTGTACCCCAGTAATCACTGGGATGCATGAGAGATCTGATGCATCACTGTGACTCAAGGGGACCCCCCACAGTCAGCGCCCCAAGGCATTGAAAGCTTTGAAGGATGAGTGTGTTTGGGTCCACTGTAATCAATTTAAGTAGGAATTCCCGCAGTGGTTTTGTGCATTTCTTTAAGAAAATAACCTGGAAGCCCAGTCTTTCCAGATAGGAAAAAACAAAGGGCAAGGACCCACTTATATCTAAAAGTGTCCTTTGTTAACAAAAAATCTACAAAGGGCTTTTTTTTTTTTTTTTTTTTTTATAACAGAGACAGAGAAACAGGGTCTTGCTGTGCTGCCCACACTGGTCTCATTCTCCTGGCCTTATGCAATCCTCTCGCCTCAGCCCCCACAGAGTGCTGCATTACAGCAGAGTGCTGGCATTACAGGGGCGAGCCACCATGCCTGGCCAGAGCTCCTTTAAAGAGCAAGTTTTTCCAGTGTGAAGTTATAAAATAGCTTACTTAATGTGTTGTGCATGCATGTGTAGCTATTTAAACCTGTGGACACAACATCAGTGCTCACTGGCACTCCTGGTTTGGGATCTTACCCTCTTGAACTGAGACGCGGTCTCACAATCTGAATGGAAGTGACGTGTCACTTCGGTAGGCAGAAGTGGTTAAGAGCAGGTACGTGATCCTTCGTGCCCTCTGCTCCTGCTGCAGCAAACCCTAAAGCCTTGTGTGGAGGTGGCAGTGTCGCAAAGTGATGGAGTTTCTGCAAGACAGGTTCCTGAGTAATGTGTTTAGTAGAACTCCAGCTGACCTGTGCTGGACCCACAGCTAGAGGAAGAAATAAGCTGTGGTTCTTTAGGCCTCTTAGATTTGGTAGCTGTTGCTGCATTTTAACTTTATCTAGAATATATAGAGAAATTTTAAAACTCCGCAACAAAACACCAATTCAAAAATGGGCCTAGAACTCGAAGAGACATTTCTCTAAAGACGGATAGATGACTTATAAGCACATGAATAGATGCCCAACATTACTAATCCATTGGGGAAATGGAAATCAAAACCACAATGAGATACCACCTCACACCAATTAGGATGGCTAATTTTTTTTTTTTACTTTTGAAATGTGGTCCTTCTCTGTCACCCAGGCTGGACTACAGTGGTGCAATCATGGCTTACCCTTGATCTCCCTGGCTCAAGCGGTCTTCCCACTTCAGCCTCCCGAGTAGCTGGGACTATAGGTGCATGCCACTACACCTGGCTAGGTTTTTAATTTTTGATAGAAAGAGGGTCTAAATATGTTGCCCAAGCTGGTCCCAAACTCATGAATTAAGCAATCCTGCCGCAGCCTCCCAAAGCACTGGAATTACAGGCATGAGCCACTGCGCCTGTCTGAGGATGGCTAATAATTTTTTTAAAAGAAAGTAGGCTTTGCAGATGCCACCGCCGCTGGGAGCCCTGTACTATCAGCCATGGTCAACCCCACTGTTCTTCAACATTGCTGACGAAGGCAAGCCCTTGGGCCGCGTCTCCTTCAACCTGTTTGCAGACAAGATTCCAAAGACAGCAGAAAACTTTCATGCTCTGAGCACTGGCGAGAAAGGATTTGGTTTTAAGGGTTTCCGCTTTCACAGAATTATTCCAGGGTTTATGTATCAGGGTGGTGACTTCACACCCATAATGGCACTGGTGGCAAGTCCATTTACGGGGAGAAATTTGGTGATGAAAACTTCATCCTAAAGCATACAGGTCCTAGCATCTTGTCCATGGCAAATGCTGGACCCAACACAAACGGTTCCCAGTTTTTCATCTGCACTGCCAAGACTGAGTGGTTGGATGGCAAGCATGTGGTCTGTGGCAAGGCGAAAGAAGGCAAGAATATTGTGGAGGCCATGGAGCGCTGTGGTTCCAGGAATGGCAAGACCAGCAAGAAGATCACCATTGCTGACTGTGAACAACTCTAATAAGTTTGACTTGTGTTTTATCTTAACCACCAGACCATTCCTTCTGTAGCTCAGGAGAGCACCCCTCCACCCCATTTGCTCTCAGTATCCTAGAATCTTTGTGCTCTTGCTGCAGTTCCCTTTGGGTTCCATGTTTTCCTTGTTCCCTTCCGTGCCTAGCTGGATTGCAGTGTTAAGTTTATGATTATGAATAAAAACAAAATAACAAAAAATAGTAAATGTTGGCAATGATATGAGAAATTGGAACCCTTGCACACTGTTAGTGGGAATAAAAATGGTACAGAAACTGTGGAAAACAATATGGCTGTCTCTTTAAAAATTGAACATAGAATTACTGTATAATGCAGCAGCTGCGCTTCTGGGTATCTACCAAAAATAATTGAAAACAGGGTCTCTAAGAGCCATTTATTTGTACACCCATGTTCATAGCAGCACTATTCACAATAGCTAAAACATGGAAGCAACCCAGATGTCCACCCATGGATGAATGGATAAGCAAAATGTGGTATATCTGTACAATGGAAAGAATTTCTGAAATATGCTACAACATGAATGAACCTTGAAGACATTATGCTAAATGAAGTAAGCCAGTCACAAAAAGACAAGTACTGTATGATTCCACTTACGTGAGGCACTAGAGTCGTCAAGGTACTAGTAGCAGAAAGTGGAAGGGTGGTTGCCATGGGCTGGGGGATGGAGAATGGGAGTTACTGTTTAATGGGTACAGAGTTTCAGCTTTACAGATGGAAAGAGTTACAGAGATGGATGGTAGTGGTGATTACACAACAGTATGAACATATGAACATATTACCACTGAACTGTACACGTGAAAATGGTTATGATGGTAAATTTTGTTACGTGTAAAAAAATTGGAAAAATGTGTAAAATTTCTTAAATTGCTGAAGTATATGTGGCAAATTCTCTGCCCCCCATTTCCCCTTTCTTAATATGAATGGTCCCTCCTCCCACAAAACTGTAAGCCCTCCCTCCATGTCACCGTATGAACACTCATTCTTTGTTTTTTAATGACTACATGTCATCTCAGTGTATGGACACACTATCCCCTATTAAAGAGATGTAAAATTAGTGTGCTGTAATCTGTAGCTTTCTTGTATACAAACAACAGTAGTTGGTTGTAAGATATAAAGGAAGAGAAGACAAATTCAAAAAACATTCCTCAGATTATTCATCTAACAGAATCCCAAATTTTAAAATGCCCATCCGTTTCTCTCTTGTTCAATACAAGCTGATTCTGAAGTTCAGATGAAAAAATATACAGAGATCTCGTACCAAGGGTATATTCAAAAAAGAAAAAAAATGACCTACAGAAGTGCCATGAGCCTCTGGAAAAAGAAGAGAGGTGTGTGGGGTCTGGTCCATGCTACAGTGCTCAGCTCAGGAATAACAGGCCAGTGTGACAGGACAGAGATTCCCAAATAGACCCAAATACACTTGTGAATTTAGTTTTAGGTGAAGTTGGAATAATAGTTGAGTGGAGTCAAGGTTGATTTTGATTGTTAATAAAGGTTTTTGGGACAATTGGGTAGCCATTTGAAATAAAATAAATCTGGATCCATATCTTACTCTGTAAACAAGAAACCAAGAAGTACTAGAAGAAAACAGGAGTGAAATTCTAAAGTCTTGAAATGGAGGAGGGCTTTCTAACTATAACTCAAGAGTCCAAATTCTATTAAGATGGCTGAAAAGAAAAATGGGTGCAGTGGTTCATGCCTGTAATCCCAGCACTTTGGGAAGCTGAGGCAGGCGGATCAACTGAGGTCGGGAGTTCGAGACCAGCCTGACCAACATGGAGAAACCCCATCTCTACTAAAAATACAAAACTAGCCAGGCATGTTGGCACATGCCTGTAATCCTAGCTACTAGGGAGGCTGAGGCAGGAGAACCTGGGAGGTGGAGGTTGCGGTAAGCCGAGATCACACCATTGCACTCCAGCCTGGGCAACAAGAGTGAAACTCCTTCTTAAAAAAAAAAAGAAAAGAAAAGACTTAGAATAAATTTGACTTTGTAATATGAAAAAAATTTGCATGATGTAAATAATGACAAAATACAAATATTTGCAACTCATAGGTAAAGAGGTGTAATAATAAAGAACTTCTAGGAATTGAAAAGAAAAAAGTTCAAGGCCCAATGAAAAATATGCGAAAGATAGCATAATTCATTGAAAAGGAAATATAACCCTTCAATATGTGAAAGAATTAACAATATTTATTTGATTTTTAAGGGTCTTACTATGTCAGCCAGGCTGGAGTGCAGTGGTGCGATCTCAGCTCACTACAGCCTTGACCTCCCGGGCTCAAGCAGTCCTCCCAACTCAGCCTCCTGAGTAGCTGGGAGTATAGGCACACACCACCATGCTTAGCTAATGTTTAAATTTTTTGTAGAAACCTATGTTGTCCAGGCTGGTCTTGAACTCCTGGCCTCAAGCAATCCTCCCACCTCAGCCTCTCAAATTGCTGGGATTATAGGTGTGAGGCCCTGCACCTGGTGAACACTTTATTAATTAATGAAAGTCAAAACTACACCAAGATGCCATTTCTCACCTATCAGATTGGAGAAAATGCATCTTTGACAACCACTTTGTTAGTGAGGGCTGAGGGAAGCAAGGATTTGGGAGGATAATCTTTTAATAATATAGATGCACTTACTCTTTGATCCAGTAATTTCCATTCTAAGAGTGTCCTATCTGTACATACAAAATTAGGTATGTACAGAGTGATTCATTGTAGCACTGATTGCTGGAAACCACCTGATTGTCCAGCAGTGGGAAACTGGCTTAATAACCTATGTTATGCCAACCCAGTTAGGAGCTGTAAAATAGGTAAGCATTGATGTGGAGAAATTTCTTGGATATCTTGTTGATAGAAAAAAAAATCAAGGTGTAAAACAGTTTACAATACTACCTTTTTATGAGAAAAAGGAATGAGAACATGCACCTGTATTTGTGTAAGGAAACACTGGAAGGATAAATAAGTAGCAAATAAAAATGCTTATCTGTGGGCATGATGGGGACAGGATACATGGTGACAAGTTGGCAGTGAGACTTTGTTTTAATTTTTGAACTATGTAAACATATGACCTTTTTCAAAAAAGCTATTGTTAAGCTAGAAACAAAAATGAGCATGTAGAGTATTAATCTTTAAGAATTAGTTAGGATAACACTTGGTGCTGTACCAGCAGCCAGCCACATGAGGCCTTACTCACGTTGCATAGGTGAGAACTACTTACCTGGCTACACCTGCCTCCATGTTGAGCTGGGAAATGTAGCCCCCAGCTAGGCAGCCATTCCCATGCCCAACTCTACACTCCGTAGGGAAGGGACAGTACAAGGTTTTGGTGGTCTCCTAGCCATCTCCACCTCAGGACTTGGGCCCCTGATCTGTATGGTCACCTCTTCAGAGGGCCAGAGAGCAGCTCCCATTGGCGGTGTGAGAGTGTTTGCCCAGAGTTACTCTTTTGATATTGTCAGTATTCTTATATTCTTATTCTTTGCCAGTGATTTAGGTGAAAATGGAACCTCATGGTTTAATTTGCATTTCTATGTGTCATCTTAATTTAGTGACGTATGTTTTGGGAACAGGAAATATAACAAAATAGCTCTGTAGGCCGTTAGGTATGGTTTAGATATGGTTTGTTTGGCCCTGCCAAGTCTCATGTTGAAATTTGATCTGGCAGGAGGTAGGAGGTGTCTGGGTCACCCAGGGGGAAGATTCCTTATGAATGGCTGGGTCCACTCTTATGGGAATGAGTGAGTTCTGACTCTGAGTTCCTGTAAAAGGAGCCTGGCACCTTCCCTCCCCTCTGCTCTGCGATCTCTGCCCACCACATCCCCTTGCTTTCCACCCTGAGTGGAAGCAACCTGAAGCCATCACCAGATGTGGATGTGGGCACCATGCTTCTTGTCTAGCCTGCAGAACTGTGAGCCAAATAAACCTCTTTTCTTTATAAATTACCTAGCCTCAGGTATTCCTAATATAGCAACACAAAAATGGACTAAGGCACCTTTGTCATCTGAAGATAAATTTCTAGAATATTGTCTTATCATGAGTTTTTGTTTTGTTTGAATAAAAAGTGAAGGCGAATGATTTTGAGAGCTAGTTTAGGAGAGTCTTAGTATGGCCTTGACCCGGAAGGCTGAAAGGCAGGGTCCTGGGGCCTGTGACCTGTCCTGATGATCAGGCCTGTGGGATACAGTAGTGGGGAGGAGGTTTTCCTGCTCCATTCTCAGCACAAGGAGCCTTAGGGCTTAGAGATTTTCAACTGGATGAAAATGCAGATGCTTGTGTTTGTTTATTCTAAAGCTTTTTTTTGCACCTTCATTTCTAATTCTTCATTGATAAGTTGCCCACATACTGCATTTAAAATTAATTTCTTTTTTTTGTTGTTTTTTTGAGACAGAGTTTCTCCCTTATTGCCCAGGCTGGAGTGCAATGGCGCAATCTCAACTCACTGCAACCTCCGCCTCCTGGGTTCAAGCGATTCTGCTGCCTCAGCCTCCCAAGTATCTGAGATTACGGGCATGTGCCACCATGCCCAGCTAATTTTGTATTTTAGTGGAGATGGGGTTTCACCATGTTGGTCAGGCTGGTCTCAAACTCCTGACCTCAGGTAATCCACCTGCCTTGGCCTCCCAAAACGCTGAGATTACAGGAATGAGCCACCGTGCCTGCCCCCTTAAAATTAAATATTGATTAAAGGCATCCATCTCATCAACCAACATTATAATGAAAAGTAAATGTCAGCCAGGTGCGGTGACTCACGCCTGCTCTCCCAGCACTTTGGGAGGCCGAGGCGAGTGGATCACGAGGTCAGGAGATGCACACCATCCTGGCCAACATGGTGAAACCCCGTCTCTACTAAAAATACAAAAATTAGCTGGGCGTGGGTGCGTGTACCTGTAATACCAGCTACTCGGGAGGCTGAGGCAGGAGAATCATTTGAACCTGGGAGGCGGAGGTTGTGGTGAGCCAAGATTGCACCACTGCACTCCAGCCTGGCAACAGAGCGAGACTGTCTCAAAAAAAAAAAAAAAAAAGTAAAATGTCAATCATTTTATTTACTGCTGGCACCTGGTGAACACTTGATAAATATTTGTTAAATGAATGGAAATTCAAATAAATAATACTTTTTATTTGTTCTCACCTCTACTATAAAATACTCTGAATGTTCTAGACATTATTGGAAGATGAGAAATAGATAACCCTTATAAAAAGGAGGAGTCAAAATTGCCATTGATTGCAGTGACTTTCTACTTGAAAAACTCCAAAAAAAAAATCAAGTAAAAGGCTGGGCACAGTGGTTCACGCCTGTAATCCCAGCACTTTGGGAGGCCGAGGTGGGCAGATCACCTGAGGTTGGGACTTCGAGAGTAGCCTGACCAACATGGAGAAACCTGTCTCTAGTAAAAATACAAAATTAGCCGGGGGTGGTGGTGCACGCCTGCAATCCCATCTACTCGGGAGGCTGAGGCAGGAGAATTGCTTGAACCCGGGAGTTGGAAGTTGTGGTGAGCCAAGATCGCGCCATTGCACTCTAGCCTGGGCAACAAGAGCGAAACTCCGTCTCAAAAAACAACGACAAAAAAAAAAACAAGTAAAAATTCTCAAAACTCATGGAGTCCCCTCCCCTCCCCTCCCCTGTCCTTCCCTCCCCTCCCCTCCCCTGTCCTCCCCTGCCCTTCTGTCTCTTTTTGAGACAGAGTCTCGCTCTGTGACCTAGGCTGGAGTGCAGTGGCGCGATCTCAGCTCACTGCAACCTCCATTTCCGGGGTTCAAGCAATTCTCTGCCTCAGCCTCCCGAGTAGATAGGATTATAGGCACCCGCCACCACGCCCGGCTGATTTTTGTATTTTTAGTAGACACGGGGTTTCACCATCTTGGCCAGACTGGTTTTGAACTCCTGACCTCGTTATCCACCCAGCTGGGCCTCCCAAAGTGCTGGGATTGTAAGCCACTGTGCCCGGCCTTTTCTTTCTTTTTTGACAGAGTCTTGCTCTGTTGCCCAGGCTGGAGTGCAATGGCACAATGTTGGCTCACCACAACCTCCGCCTGCTGGGTTCAAGTGCTTCTCCTGCCTTAGCCTCCTGAGTAGCTGGAATTACAGGCATGTGCCACCACGCCCAGCTAATTTTTTCTGTGTATTTTTAGTAGAGACGGGTTTTCACCATGTTGGCCAGGCTAGTCTCAAAATCCTGACCTCATGTGATCCACCCGCCTCGATCTCCAAACGTGCTGGGATTACAGGCATGAGCCACCGTGCCCGGGTGTAAGATTTTCTTTTCTTTTTTTGTGTGTGTGTGTTTTGAGACGGAGTGTCGCTCTGTCCCCCAGGCTGGAGTGCAGTGGCGGGATCTTGGCTCACTGCAAGCTCCGCCTCCTGGGTTCACGCTCTTCTCCTGCCTCAACCTCCCGAGTAGCTGGGACTACAGGCGCCCGCCACCACGCCCAGCTATTTTTTTGTATTTTTAGTAGAGACGAGGTTTCACCGTGTTAGCCAGAATGGTCTCGATCTCCTGACCTCGTGATCCACCCGTCTCGGCCTCCCAAAGTGCTAGGATTACAGGCGTGAGCCACCACGCCCGGTCCCAGGTGTAAGATTTTCAAATGCAAAATAAATATACCAACTGATAGCTTTCTTATATACCAGTAACCAGCTGGCTGGAAAGATGGAACAGGATAAACTTTTATTTCACAGTAGCAATAGCAACAACAAAATACACATCTAAGAATTACATAAGAAATACATAGAATGTTACCTAGGCGAGGTGGCGCATGTCTGTAATTCCAGTGAGCTGAGATCGCACCACTGCACTCCAGCCTGGGTGAGCAAGTGAGACTCTGTCTCAAAAAAAAACAAAAAACACGCATAGACTGTTTATCAAGAAAATCATTAAACTTTACTGAGAGACATAATATTTAAGTGGAAAGATACAGTTTGTTTTTAGATGAGAACATACAATATTGAAAAGATACTGTTCCTTTTTCAAATAGATTTCATGCAGTTCTGGCTGGGATTGGTCAGACTCAGCTTCCTGTCTAGGGAAGTCAGAGTGCAGGGGCCTGAGTGAGTCTGGCAACATGGGGATTCTGTGGTTGCAGACGGCAAGCTTCAGTGTGGACCAGGGACTGGAGGTTCAGCAGCCGCTTAGCGTGGGATTGCAGGGGCGGTGGGCCCTGTATCTTTTGTTGCTAAGCTCACCTTGGCCTGTGTCCAGCTTCCAGCTCTCTGAGAGCTGCGGAAGATGGCTGGGGGTTCTCCACACTGTTTTCTAAACTTTAACATACTTCTGCTTTTAGTGTATCTGGCCTTCGTAGTCCAAACCTTCTATGGTTTACCCTCTGCAGAGAATAAATCTTCAGTCTCTTGATGAATTGGGGCAGTGGCCCCACTCTGTTCAGTGAGGTAGAAGCCCAGACGGGTTTTTCCAGTTGTCCGCCTGATCCTGGCCTCCACCTGATCCTCCCGCCACGGGTACCTGGTGCTGTTGGTTCATGTGCCTTGTCTTCCCCTGTGCTGGTTTTGGACTTTTCTGGATCTGTCACCTTAATTCCTGTCCTTCTGTTTTCCAGCTTCTAATGTGGTATTGGTGTCTCTCCTCTCATTCTGACCACTATGGTTTTATATCCTTTTAAAATTTTACTGTCATTTTAGTGGCATTTTAAGAGGAAATAGTTAAATCTACCATCTTTAGCCTCAAACATAAGACTGTAACATGTGTGGCCGGGGCATGGTGGCTCACACCTGTAATCCCAGCACTTTAGGAGGCCAAGGCGGGTAGATCACGAGGTCAGGAGTTCAAGACCAGCCTGGCCAATATGGTGAAACCCTGTCTCTACTAAAAATACAAAAATTAGTCGGGCGTGGTGGTGCATGCCTGTAATCCCAGCTACTTGGGAGGCTGAGGCAGGAGAATTGCCTGAACCTGGGAGGCGGAAGTTGCAGTGAGCCGAGATCGCACCACTGCACTCCAGGCTGGGTGACAGAGTGAGACTCCATCTCAAAAAAAAAAAAAAAAAAAAAAAAAAAAAAAGTAACGTGTTCAAGGTGGCAATTTAAACACAGTGAAGAATTGCTTGGGTAACTATTTAGAGATACAGAAATTTAGAATCCTACGTCCCACTATATACCAAAATAAATTCCAGAGAGACTGAATGTAAAGTGTAAAGCCCTAAAATAAAAAGAATATTTACCCACTCTCAAGGACAGAGGAGAACATCAAGAAACCATAAAGAAAAAGATGAATAGAGTAGAAATACATAAAAATTTAAAATGGTCCTTAATTTAAAAAATCCTAAATAAAAGAGACAAATGATAGAGGGAAATATTTTTAACGTACACTTCTATAATGTCAGACAAAGATTTAGCATCCTTAATATAAAAAGTTCTTGGCCAGGCACAGTGGCTCACGCCTATAATCCTAGCACTTTTTGGAGGCTGAGGTGGGAGGATCACTTGAGGCCAGGAGTTCAAGACCAGTCTGGCCAACATGGTGAAACCCTGTTTCTACTAAAAATAAAAAAACTCAGCAGGCATGGTGGTACATGCTTGTAGTCCCAGCTACTTGGGAGGCTATGGCATGAGAATTGCTTGAACCTGGGAGATGGAGGTTGCAGTGAGCCGAGATCGCACCACTGCACTCCAGTCTGGGCGACAGAGCAAAATTCTTTCCCTGCTTACCCCCACCTAGACAAAGTTATTATACATCAGTAATGAGAAGATAATATGAGATATTTTGTCATTAACCACAGTGATTAGAGCAGCATGTTATTCTGATTTTTAAAAATGTATAGAAGAAACAGTGAAATAGAAATGTTTTTTTTTTTTTTTTTTTTTTGAGACGGAGTCTCGCTCTGTGGCCCAGGCGGGAGTGCAGTGGCGCAATCTCGGCTCACTGCAAGCTCCGCCTCCCGGGTTCACGCCATTCTCTTGCCTCAGCCTCCCGAGTAGCTGGGACTACAGGCGCCCGCCATCACGCCCGGCTAATTTTTTTTTGTATTTTTAGTAGAGACGGGGTTTCACCGTGTTAGCCAGGATGGTCTCGATCTCCTGACCTCGTGATCCACCCGCCTCGGCCTCCCAAAGTGCTGGGATTACAAGCGTGAGCCACCACGCCCGGCCAATAGAAATGTTATATGCAATTTTTTTTTTTTTTTTTTTACAAAGGAGGCATCATTAATGCATGCTAGGGTAATTGTATACTTGTTTGGGAGAAAATAGTTTTGTCATCTCGTATATGCTAAAATAATTCCAGATTAATTTAACAGTAACTATTGTTAACATTTTGGTTATAACTTTTCACACTGTTCATACACCTATATTTTTGCATTTTCACATATGATTTTATAAGCTGTAAAACCACTATATTCTGGATTTTCATCCAGGTCTTCACATAGAGATGGCATTGCTTTGAATGACTACATAGCACCTCCTTATCCCATGGATGCCAGCCTCCCTTGGCACTGGTGTGGCACAGTGCTGTCTGACCCTGAAAGGTGTTCTGGGGGGTGGCCGATATGGACAAGGGGTCCAAGTTCACGTGTGCCCGGAGTGCCACCCTATGCACTCTGCATAGGTCTGCATAGGTCTCCTGCCACCTCCTAGCCTGAGGCCTGCAGATGTGGAGTTTGTACCTTTGTTGCCTCTTCTGGGTACTTGCTGTGTTTTGACACATACTGAAGAGGGTGTGCAGGTGATGGTGCTAGTTTGCTTGTACAGAAGCAAAGAAAGAGGGATAAAATGCAGACCAGTGAGGAAACAGGCAGTAATGTTAGGAGGCCTTCACAAACTTCACTGTTGCCCATGAGGATAGACCAACAGTTGGTGGAATGGTAGCTGGAAGAAACTCCTGCCTGCAGCATATCATGACTTCAGGGAAATTTTAGAAGAATAGTCACTGACTTTGCCAGTAAAGATCCTATATGATGTGCACCCAGCATCCTTGTGCTAAATGGGCTCATCGTTTATTTAATTAGCTTCCTATTGATGGACAATTGGCTTCTTCCTAGTTCTTCCTGCTATTATTAGCAACTTTCATATGTCTAACTTTTGTTCCTTTGTTAGTGTCCAATTATTTAGCGTAATTTGAGATTTGATGGGTCAAAGAGTATGAATATTTAAAATTTTGAAACTGTTGCCAATGTGACTTCCAACATGATTAGGAAAGTTTGCCTTCCTACCAAGAGAGCCTCAGTGCCCATTTCCCCCACCCCTGCTGTCATTAGATGGTATTATTATTATTACTGTTTTTGAGACAGGGTCTCACTCTGTCACCCAGGCTGGACTGCAGTGGCATGGTCTTGGCTCATTGTAGTCTCGACCTCCCAGGCTCAAACAATCCTCCCACCTCAGCTTCCTGAGTAACTGGAACTACAAGCACGTGTCATGACACCCAGCTAATTTTTGTGTTGTTTGTAGAGGCAGGGTTTTGCCATGTTGTCCAGGCTGGTCTTGAACTCTTGGGCTCCAGTGATCCTCCTGCCTTGTCCTTCCAAAGTGCTGGGATTACAGGTGTGAGCCACTGCACCTGGCCATTAGGTGATATTATTATGAATGTCTGTCAGTTGATGGGTGAGATTGAAATTTGTGTGATGTTTGCCTTTTATATATATGTTGCATAATATTTATATCACTTGAATCTTAAATTTTTTATAAATTCTTACTTTCCCTTGAACATATTTTGAATGGTCCAAGTTGTGTTTAAGAAACTCATCTTATCCTACAGAACCAATTTTTCTACCTAATGAGAAAGTGGTTCACGATAGAAACTGCAGACCTCATTCATTAGCTTCATCCCACCAATACTTCTTGAGCATCCAAATTCTGGGCACTGGTGATAGAGTATTGACAACAAGAGCTACGCTACTTATTCGTGGGGAGAGATTCTGTCCATCATGTTAGAGATAAATGTTTTGTTGCAGACAGAAGGGAAAGGAGTGAGTCTGACACAACATGGTGAGAGAGCCTGATTAGGCTGGATGGCCAGGGGACTTTCGAGAATAGCAGTGAAGCATATGTTTGGAGGAGGCAGAAGATTTGGGGCCCCTGCGAGAGACTGAAAGGCGCTGGAGAGTCAGGGGTTGGGTGAGGAAGTGCTAGAGAGGGGACAGCAGCATGGGGCACAGGGTCCTGGACCAGTTTTAGAGGCCCTTGGCAGGATTAAGGGGGCATTGACCCCAGACATAGTCTCTGGAGTCTGGGAAGGAAATATCGGGCCTTCTAGTTATATTTCCCCAACCTCTGAGGAGACCTATTTAGTTCAGTTTACTGTGTCTTTCTTTGTTCATTTGTAGAGAGCAGAGTCTTGTTATATTGCCCAGGCTGGCCTTGAGCTCCTGTCCCAGGTAGTTCTCCTACTTTGGCCTCCCAACGTGCTGGGATTACAGGTGCGTGCACTGTGCGGCCTCATTGTGCTGCTCACTGCCCAGTCCTCATTCGAGATGCCTGCCTCGCTAAGCATTTCCCTTCCTGCCTCATTCATATGCACAGCAGCCCATTAGGGCAGATTCCATCACAGTCAGAGGCTCTGGAGACCCCTCTCCTACCACTCTGCCACCTGCCACTCTGCCACAGTGCTCCTGGTGCTCCGCAGGGCTTTTAAAGTCCTCAGACTGAGGGCCCAGCCCTCTCTTCCTCCCCCGTCAAAGGAACCAGGGCAGGTTGTTCAAACAGTTACCCTGGACAGTAGGAGGAAAAGGAAATCACTGTCAAACTGGCAGAGGGAACGCTGGCACCTCTGCCACACTCCCTGCCCAGCTGCTGTTCAGCAAGGCCCTGAAGGCCCACACCTCCCAGTCCTGTAATCTAAGGGATATCCACAGAGGGACCTGCACCCTGCAAGGAAAGTGTGCAAGAGCAGCGCCTGGGAAAGCCATCTGCCACCTCTGAAAGCAGACAGGTGGCCATCTGCCTGGCTGAGCTGATAGAAAAGCCTCTTGCAGGCACTGAGTGTTTATTGATATGTGGCAACCTAAGGAGCCCTGTGCCCCCGTGGGAAGCAAAACCTCCGCAGTCTCAGGTGCAAGAGTGGAGACCTAGAGGAGCTACCATAAATGTCTGACCCTGGATGTGTTTTTTCCCTTGCAGTTTTACAGATGCTGTTTGATGGGAAGGCTTTACATAGTACACTCAGGGTATGCCCTTCTTCATCACCACCAAGCGCAGAAACTGCATCAATAGAAACAGGCTTCATCAACACAGATGATCTTGTGGGCTCCCCTGGTTGTTAGAATGGCTTTTGTTCTCTCAGGAAAGGACTCTGTGTCTGTCCATCAGTACCTCCTATTATTGGCCCAGTTTCACAGCTCAAAGCATGCAAAAGGAAGTCAGCCTCCTGAAATATAAATGACAACTTTTATTTGGTGGCATGCAGTGAAACTTTTTTTTCTTAAAAATACCCTTTATGGGCTGGGCGCAGTGGCTCACGCCTGTAATCCCAGCACTTTGGGAGGCTGAGGCCGGTGGATCACGAGATCAGGAGATTGAGACCATCCTGGCCAACATGGTGAAACCCCGTCTCTACTAAAAATACAAAAATTACCTGGGCATGGTGGTGGGTGCCTGTAATCCCAGCTACTCGGGAGGCTGAGGTAGGAGAATGGCTTGAACCCGGGAGGCGGAGGTTGCAGTGAGCTGGGATCGTGCCACTGCACTCCAGCCTGGTGACAGAGCAAGACTGTCTCAAAAACAAACAAACAACAAAAAAAAAACCGTTTATACTTTGTCAAATGCAGTATGGGAAATCAAAGTACAAAACAACAAAAAAACCCTTTAAATTTCCCAAAGAAAATGTTTTACTCTTTTAGCAGGAAATGGTAAAAACAAAAAGGGGGAAGTGGCAACAGAAAGCTTTCTAGATTGAGTTCAGGGACACAGCATTTCTTCTTAAGCATGATGAGCTCAGCTTTTTTTTTCTATATTGCCCTTAAAACTGGGGACAGGGTCTGTTTTTTAAAATCTTTGTTTTCTGCATATTTCTCTTTGATAGGCAGCAGCAGGGAATGGAAGTGCTCTTCTTGTAGTCTGGAGGGGCTGCATTAAGTGTCGTCCAGCCTGCAGGTCGTCAGGATGGAAAACATCAGTTGTGTACATGCATGATGTGGCACCAGTGAATCCAGTGGTGCCCAGAACACCCCACTGTAGCTTAGCAGGAATGTGCTGCATTATTTGAGAGTGGGGGCCCTCTGGAGTGATTGTACCTTTACTTTTCCTGTTTCCTGATCCAAATACAAAATCATTGACAGCTCAGACCTCTTAGGAAATAATGTCTTTGTTCTTCAAAGTAGTCTAATTATGCTTGAGTATCTGTTCAGAAAGTACAGAAAGAGAAGAAAGAGATAGGAAAGAGAAAGCAAAGTCAGGTAAAAGAAGGGATAGATGTGATTGGGGTAGGTTTCTAATTCTGAACTGCTGGAGGGAGGCCAAACACTGTCATTCTAAGAAAATACGACAGTCAAAAGCTGAGGAAACCAGACAAGTTAATTTTTTTTTTCTAAAATAGTAATTTTTTTTTCTAATTATAACAATTCTATCTTAGGATTTTATTGCACTTAATAGTTTGGCTTGTCAGATTTCTTTTGGTGTCACTGTCTTTCACCATCCATTTGGGATCCTGTGGTTGTGTAAATGGGGAACCAAAAGGGTCCTCATCATGGCCATCAGGAAAGATGGGCTGTGTCCAGTTCCAATGGACAGTGCATCTTGTACACAAGCCTCAGCTTTTCATCTGTAACACGTGGCTTATGTACAGCCTTTTAGACTATGAGGCATGAATAGCAAACAGTGGCAATCGATGCTGAAAAACCAGAATGTTTAAAAACTGGGCCATAAAAATGTAGAACGTATTCTGTCACCAGAGCTGGGGTCAGTGGGGTGACCCCCTCCCTGCCTCCCTGCCCCCCAGTTCTCCCCAGACCTTCCTGCCTGCCTGTTTCCTGCCTCCAGGACAGTGTGCACCCTGTGTCCGTCTTCTGCCGCTACACCTGTGAACTGGCACCACAGGTGGGAACAGCCCTTCAGGCCAGATTCTGGTTTTTGGTTTTTGCTTTACTGCCAAATATGATCTAGTGCTACATTCAACTTAGTTGATTTATTGAGGCTATAAATTCCTACCCATTTGTTTATTCACTTAGGAATTTGCTTTAGGTCTTGAAATAAGAACCTCCCCGTCCTTAAAGATTAAAGGCTTTATTTGGCCGCTCCAGGATGGCTTCCTTTGTCTCCAAATTCCCATTCCCCTTGGGTTTATACAAAGACCACTGCGAAGGAGAGTCCAGCATCCTCAGTATCCTGACCAGCCTGTTCCAAATGTCAGCGGCAGGGGAGACCTTGAGACACTGAAGTGCAGGTGGTGGCACGTTAGTGATCACGCAGCAGTCATTCTTTGATGAGCAGAAACCACGGCCTGACGTTGAGTTTGGTTCTGCAGAGGACAGAAGGAAAGGCCAGGAAGGCGAAGTGAGCAGTGTGTCCCAAGGTGTGCAGACAGCCGTTGGCCCAGGCAGGCTATGGTCTCTAGGCCCAAGACAAATTTTAATTTCTCTATGCCTCGGGTGCTTGCTTATTTCCTGGACCTTGGAAGGATCACAGCAACTCTCCCGTAAGAGCCAAGGGTCTGCCTGCCGGGGGTAGAAGCTAACATTCTCAGTCCTGCTCTAAAGTGAACCCAGCAGCAGCCCAGCCTGTACAGAATACAGCTGGGTCAGGCTTAGGTTCAGCTGTGTTTTTCCCTTTGGGGCCTTTATCTGTGTGCCCTCCTGAGTGCTGCATAAATAACCATATTCCCAAACACATGTTTTGAGAGCATTGTCTTTTGGAAGAGTTAGAAGGTAATGCTGCATATTCTGCTTAAATATTTACATATTCTGCTTATAAATTTGCTTATTCTTTAAATTTTTTGTTTGAGTTATTTACTTTCATTTACAGATACTTGTTCACACTTTGGGAATTAACTTTAAAGGTATATTAAACATGGCATGTTTGCCAGGAAAAAAAAAAACAGAAACAAACAAAAAAAACACCTATGGCTTGCCCTCAGCTCTAGAATTTGGAAAAAGCATTATATGAGATTTCTGATTTATTTTGTCTGTTATTTTGGTATTACTTAGAGATTCAATTTTTAAACTAGCTAATTTTCATTTACAGATTATTTGTATGTGTCCTTCATAATTAGATGACAGAACTGTGGTGGCGATAGAGCTGCTAATTTAAAATCACCAATTTTGGAGGCTCTGTTTGTTTATTTATAAAAATAGAGACAGAGTCTCACTCTTGCCCAGGCTTGAGTGCAGTGACGTGATCATAGCTCACTACAGACTCAGCCTTCAGAGTAGCTGGGACTATGGGTACACACCACCACATCTCGTTAATTTTTTTTTTAAATTAAGACACCTGGTCTCACTGTGTTGCCCAGGCTGGTCCTGAACTCCTGTCCTCAAGCTATTCTCTTGCTTTGGCCTCCCAAAGTGCTGGAATTATAGGCATCAGCTACCATGCCTGGCCTGTATGTATTTTAATTAGAATTCATTTTAATTTTGAGAAATCTTTTTGATAGATATGTACAATAAATAGATACGCTTTTCAAGAACACTGTCCTGAGCTTGAGAGATACAGATAGTCACTTAATTAGCAGTCCCTTCATTTAGCCTATCACTTTAATAAACAAATGTGGTTGTGCCAGGCATGGTGACTCATGCCTGTAATCCCAGCACTTTGGGAGGCCGAGGTGGGTAGATCACCTGAGGTCAGGAGTTCGAGACCAGCCTGGCCAACATGGTGAAACCCTGTCTCTACTAAAAAATACAAAAATTAGCCAGGTGTGGTGGCACGTGCCTGTAGTCCCAGCTACTTGGGAGGCTGAGGCAGGAGAATCGCTTGAATCCATGAGGTGGGGGTTGCAGTGAGCTGGGATCCTGCCACTGTACTCCAGCCTGGGCAACAGAGCGAGACTCCGTCTCAAAAATAATATAAAAGGCCAGGTGCGGTGGCTCATGTCTGTAATCCTAACACTTTGGGAGGCCAAGGCGAGTGGATCACATGAGGTCAAGAGTTTGAGACCAGCCTGGCCAATGTGGTGAAACCTCATCTCTACTAAAAATACAAAAATTAGCCAGGAATGGTGGCAGGCACCTGTAATCCCAGCTACTTGGGAGGCTGAGGCTAGAGAATCTCTTGAACCCAGGAGGTGGAGGTTGCGGTGAGCCGAGATCATGCCATTGCACTCCAGCCTGGGCTTCAGAGAGAGACTCTGTCTCAAAAAATAAAAATAAAATAAAAAATAATCAAATGTGGTTGTTTACTGTGCCTAGCACCATGTTAGATACAGTGTGTAGTTTTTTTGTTTTGTTTTGTTTTTTTGTTTTGAGACACAGTTTCTCTCTTGTTGCCCAGGCTGGGATGCAACGGTGCAATCTCAGCTCACCTCAACCTCCACCCCCTGAGTTCAAGCAGTTCTCCTGCCTCAGCCTCCCGAGTAGGTGGGATTACAGGCATGTGCCACCACCCCCTGCTAATTTTGTATTTTTAGTAGAGACAGGGTTTCTCCATGTTGGTCAGGTCCCAACCTCAGGTGATCCACCCGCCTGGCCTCCCAAAGTGCTGGGATTATAGGCGAACCACCGTGCTGTCCAGTTTATTTTAAATGATAATAAAAGTCCTAGTCTAGAGCCTAAGGGCCAGGGTCAACTTGAGGCCAATAAAATTAGACTTTCCAGGGCAAGTCCCAAGCATCAGTATTTTGTAAATGTTATAGGAGGCTGCAGTACACAGCCAAGTGACTGTCAAGCAAAGTGACTTCCAATGCAGTTATTTCAATGGGAACAAGACACACACTGTGAAACAGAAAAAGGTGTGAAACTCTTAAGTACAGTGGAAGCCCAAAGAAAGTGATGGTGGTTCTGATCCTTTTTTTGCACTAATCATGGGACAGTAATTCTTTGATTATGGGTTCATCAAGCACAAACTATGAGCCTGGCATTGAGTTAAGTGCCTTGGAGACAAAGGTGAAAGACAAAGTCTTTGCTGGCAGGAATCCATCATATTGGAGAAGAAAGACAACCAGATCCAATGATGTCACTGTTGGGAAGAAAAAAACCTTTCTTCCACCAACTTAGATCCAAATTGTTAGGGGGACTGTGAATTAAATGACAATAGACAGATCAACAGAAGAAATGTTTATTATGCATATGGCAATACTCTAAGAGAGAGTAGCTCTCTGAAGAAGAGGTGAAGGTTTATATACCAGCTTAATAAGGGTGTGTGTGTGTGTGTGTGTGTGTGTGTGTGTGTGTGTGTGTGTGTGTGTGAAGGATTCGTAGGATGGAAGCCTCTGATGAGGCTTTTCTACAGCTTTTTTTTAAATGCTCTGGTATCCAAGGTCAATCATCAGCCTGACTGGAGATCTTCCCAGAGCAGGAGGTTTGTGGCAGCTGACTGTCATAAAGTTCTGCTCTAGTCAGGTAAGGGAAGTTCAGATAAGATGTCTTTCTGCATTTGCTGTAATTCTGTTAACAGGTTTCTCTGGGATCCCCAAAGGGGGTCCATTGAGTCTGTTGAGGGGCTTAGGATTTTATTTTTAGTACTCTTGGGGTACTAATTTACTGTATTAGTCTGTTCTCACGCTGCTAATAAACACATACCTGAGACTGGGTAATTTATAAAGGAAAAAGATTTAATGGACTCACAGTTCCACATGGCTGGGGAGCCCTCACTATCATGGTGGAAGGCAAAGGAGAAGCAAAGTCACATCTTACATGGCGGCACACAGGAGAGCTTGTGCAGTGGAACTCCCATTTATAAAACCACCAGATCTTGTGAGACTTACTACCATGAGAAACAGTATGGGGGAAACTGTCCCCATGATTCAGTTATCTGTACCTGGCCCCACTTTTGACACATGGGGATCATTACAATTCAAGATGAGATTTAGGTGGGGACACAGCCAAATCATAACACGACAACTATTTTTTTATCTTCCAGTTTTTATGGTTATACTTTGTATTTTCTCTTGCCTTATTGTTTTAACTTGCACTTCCAGAATAGTGTTAATAACAGTGATGCTAGTGAATATCCTATCTCTGTCTAGTATTTTACTGCTATGTTTTGCTTTGGTTTGATTACTGGTTTGAAGCAGGTATAAACTTGATCATCCTAAGGGAATGTCCTGTATTCCTATTTCACTAGGGGTTTTATTATTGGGACTACATGTTGAATTTTACTAACTTTGTAAGCCCCTCTTTTATCCTCACTATTGATGCAGCTGATATGTTTGCTCCTGAAATAAAACCTATTTGGTGATATTATGTTAGCCTTTCATTATGTTCCCTAGATTTCATTTTTTATTGGGATGAAATATATATAACATAAAACTTACCATTTTAACCATTTTGAGGTGTATAATTTAGTGGCATTAAATACTTTCACATTGTTGTGCAAACATCACCACCATTCATTTCCAGAACTTTTCACCATCCCAAATAGAAACTCTGAAACCGTTAAGCAATACCTCCCCATTTTCCCCTTCCCACAACTCCTGGTAAGCACTGTTAGACTTTCTGTCTGTATGAATTTGCCTATTCTAGGTACATCACATAAATGGAATCATATAATATTTATCCTTTGTGTCTGGCTTATTTCACTTAGCATAATGTTTTAAAAGTTCATCCATGTTGTAGCATGCATCCAAATTTCATTCTTTTTATGGCTACATAATACTCCATTGCATGTGTATCCATTCATCTGTTCATTTGTCAATTTATTCATCTGCTGATGGACACTTGGGTTACTTCCACCTTTTGACTATTATGAATAATGCTGCTATGAACATTGGTCTACAAGTATCTATTTCAGTCCTTGATATCAGTTCTTTGGAGTATATATCGAGGAGTGGAATTGCTAGATTATATAGTAATTCTAGGCTTAACTTTTTGAGGAATGGCCAAACTGTTTTCCATAGCAGCTGGACTATTTTATATTCCTACCTGATTCGTTTTTATACTCCCAGCATGTGTGTATCTCTTCATATTTGAAACTCTTGGTAGTTTGCTTTGTGGTGCTATATTGATTCCATTTTCACATTATACTAAAGCCAGCTTTGATTTTTAATGTGCTCTCTTATTTTCCCCGTTTTGCCAGATTGTATGATACAATATCTGTTTCTTTTTTTCTTTTTTTTTTTTTTTTGAGACGGAGTCTCGCTCTGTTGCCCAGGCTGGAGTGCAGTGGCGCGATCTCGGCTCACTGCAAGCTCCGCCTCCCAGGATCACACCATTCTCCTGCCTCAGCCTCCCGAGTGGCTGGGACTACAGGCGCCTGCCACCATGCCCGGCTAATTTTTTTTGTATTTTTAGTAGAGACGGGGTTTCACCGTGTTAGCCAGGGTGGTCTCAATCTCCTGACCTCGTGATCCGCCCATCTCGGCCTCCCAAAGTGCTGGGATTACAGACGTGAGCCACCGCAACCGCCAATATCTATTTGTTAGAATTTAGGGGGAAATGCTTGTCAGTCCTTCTGGGATTAGTGGCTTTCAGGGATGTAATTCTTTGATAGCTTTGTCTAATACCTCCTTTGGAGAAAGGTTTAATTAGTTTTTTTCCGCACAATTTGAGTGAGTTGTCGCTACTTGCTTATTTATTGAGATGGAGCCTTGCTTTGTTGCCCAGACTGGAGTGTCATGGCTAGTCACAGGCTCAGTCACAGCTCATTGCAGCCTCAACCTCCCAGGCTCAAGTAATCCTCCCATCTCAGCCTCCCGGGTAGCTGGGACCACAGGCTCAAGTCAGCACACCCAGCGCATTTGTTTTTTTTTTTTTTTTTTTTTACCAAATGGTTTGTGTCATTGAATTATCAAAATTGTATTGGCTTAGCAAAGTACATAGTATTCTTTATTAAAAATAAAAATCTCTTCTATGGCCATCTGACCTTTTTGATCCCTGATTTTGTATATTCATATTCTCTTTCTAGCCCAAAACTTATTAGTCTATTTCTTGCCTTTTCTCGAAGAACTAGCTCTTGTATTTGTTGTTTTTATCTGTGAACTTTTTTCCTTTTTTTTTTTGAGACAGAGTCTTGCTCTGTTGCCCATGCTGGAGTGCAGTGGCGCCATCTCGGCTTACTGCAACCTCTGCCTCCCAGATTCAAGCGATTCTCCTGCCTCAGCCTCCCGAGTAGCTGGGACTACAGGCGTGTGCCACCACGCCCAGCTAATTTTTGTATTTTTGATAGAGACGGGTTTTCACCACGTTGGCCAGGATGATCTTGATCTCCTGACCTCGTGATCTGCCCACCTAGGCCTCCCAAAGTGCTGGGATTCCAGGCGTGAGACCCTGCGCCCAGGCTTTTTTCCTTTTTTTTTTTTTTTCTAAACCCACAGCCAACATCATATGTGAACTTTTTTTAAAAACATGAAAACATTTTTATTTTTCTGATATGCCTTTCAAGTATAATATAGACTTACAGAATTTGCCTTTCCAAGAGATTTTCAGACTTGCTGAAGAGATTTATCTTTCCTTCTGGGCTCAAGTGATCCTCCAATCTTAGCCTCCTAAGTAGCTGGGACCACAGGCATGCACACTGTGCCCAGCTAATTTTTAATTTTTTTTTTTATAGAGACAGAGTCTCCCTGTTTTGCCCAGGCCAGTTTCAAACTCAAGGTGCTCAAGGCGTCCTGCTGCCTTGGCCACTCAAAGTGCTGGGATTACAGGTGTGAACCACCACACCTGGCCAAGATTTATCCTTGACCATAACACTGACTGAAATGGAATCTAGAAAAAATAAATTTTATTATGGGAACTATACTCTTAGGTATTAAAATAATATAGTTAGTAGTTCATAATTAAATGAAGAAAAAACTCACAGGATGAGAGAGAAAGAAAGAAGCATACCCCAATCACACATCCTGGTACAGTTTTAAAGACAGATAATGGTTGCAGTCCAGGAGAGAGAAGGGTGCTGGGGAGTACCCTGCTGAAAACAGCATGCTGGCAGTATTTCCAGATGACAAACTCCTGTCCCTTATGAGACTCTTGCAAAACTTAATTATTTACAGGAATATATGTCTGTCTGGTAAAAATAATGATATAAAACTTCTAATATGTAAGCTGTGAAGGTTTCAAAATTAGGTAGTTTTCTCTTTCTGGTTCTGTGGATTTCTTCGTGTAATATTTACTTTTGTTTCCATCTCAAGTCTCTGAACACTAACTGCCATTCTCGTACCACCCTCATCTCTCATCCTGTGCTTCAGGTTTTCTGTGGAGTCCAAAGACACTTGACAGCTATGAGTAACATTTTATTGTTGTTGACTTTTTAAAAAATTAATAAACTTGGCCGGGCGCAGTGGCTTACACCTGTAATCCCAGCACTTTGGGAGGCCGAGGCGGGTGGATCACAAGGTCAGGAGATCGAGACCATCCTGGCTAACATAGTGAAACTTGTCTCTACTAAAAACACAAAAAATTAGCTGGGCTTGGTGGCAGGCGCCTGTAGTCCCAGCTGCTCGGGAGGCTGAGGGCAGGAGAATGGTGTGAACCCAGGAGGCAGAGCTTACAGTGAGCCGAGATCACGCCACTGCACTCTAGCCTGGGCGACAGAGCAAGGCTCCGTCTCAAAATAAATAAATAAACTTTATTTTTTAGAGCAGTTTTAGGTCTGCAGCAGAATTGAGTGGAAAGTACAGAATTTCCCATACACTCCTGCCCCGCCCCTACCACACATGGTATGCCACACTATCCACATCCTGCACTGCAATGGCATATTTGCTAGAATCAGTGAACCTGCATTGACACATCATCACCCCAAATCCATAGTTTGCATTAAGTAGGGTTCACTCTTGATGTTGTGCATTTTATGAGATTTCGACAAATGTATAATACTTATTTACCATTGTAGTATCATACACAATAGTTTCACTGCCCTAGAAATCTGTGTTCTTCCTGATCATCCCTCCCTACCCCATCCCTGGATGACCACTAATCTTTTTGCCATCTCCATAGTTTGACCTTTTACAGAATGTCATATAGTTGGAGTCATATAGTATGTAGCCTTTTGAGATGAGCTTCTTTCACTTAGTAATAAGCTTCACTAAATAATATTAAGTTTCTGCCATGTTCTTTTCATGGCTTGATTGCTGATTTCTGTTTAGCACTGAATAATATTCCATTGTCCGGATGTACCAGTTTATTTATTCACTCACCTATCAAAGGACATCTTACCTTGGTTATCTTATATTTATTAATAACTGCCAGACTCTTGGCAGTTATTAATAAAGCTGCTGTAAATGTCTGTTTACAAGTTTTTGTGTGGACATATATTTTTCATTTATTTGAGTAAGTACCAAGGAGCCTGACTGCTGGATCATATAGTAAGAATATGTGTAGTTTTGTGAGGAGTTGCCAAACTGTCTTCCCAAGTGTCTGTGTACCATGTTTGCATTCCCACTGGGAATGAATGAGAATTCCTGTTGCTCCACATTCTCCTAGCATTTAGTGTTATCAGTGTTTTGCATTTTGGCCATTCTAATAGTGTGTAGTGGTATATTGTTTTAATTTGCCTTTCTCTGATTACATATGTGAACACCTTTTCATATGCTTACTTGCCATCTGTGTATCTTCTTTGGAGAGGTGTCTGTTCAGGTCCTTTGCTCCTTTTAAAATCCAGTTATTTATTTTCTTATCAAGTTTTAAGAGTTCTTTGTATATTTTGTATAACTGTCTTTCATCAGATATACTTTTGTTAATATGTTTTTCCGAGTCTGTGGCTTATCTTCTCATTCTGTTGACATTGTCTTTTACAGAGCAGAAGATTTCAATTTTAATGAAACCTAGCTTGTTAATATTTCTTTCATGGATCATACCTTGGTGGTTTTGTATCTAAGAAGTCTTCATCGGCCAGGCGCGGTGGCTCAAGCCTGTAATCCCAGCACTTTGGGAGGCTGAGGTGGGCGGATCATGAGATCAGGAGATCAAGACCATCCTAGCTAACACGGTGAAACCCCGTCTCTACTAAAAATACAAAAAATCAGCTGGATGTGGTGGCGCTCACCTGTAGTCTCAGCTGCTCAGGAGGCTGAGGCAGGAGAATAGCTTGAACCTGGGAGGCAAAGGTTGCAGTGAGCTGAGATGGCACCACTGCACTTCAGCCTGGGTGACAGAGCGAGACTCCATCTCCAGAAAAAAAAAAAAAAGTCTTCGTCATACCCAAGTTCACCTAAATTTTTTTCTCTGTTATCTCCTAGGAGTTTTATAGTTTTCTGTTTTTACATTTAGGTCTATGACTCATTTTGAGTTTTATTTTTGTGAAGGGTATCAGGTCTACTTTCATTTTTTTCCATACGAATGTACAGTTGTTACAGCACCATTTGTGGAAAAGATCATCTTTGCTCCATTGTATTGCCCTTGCTCCTTTGTCACAGATGAGTCGACTATAGTTATGTGGGTCTATTTCTAGGCTCTTTGGTCTGTTGGTATTTTTGACAGTACACCACTGTCTTGATTACTGTGGCTTTATTGTAAGTATTCAAGCCAGCTTGTGTCAGTCCTCCAAGTTTGTTCTTCTCCTTTAATGCTGTCTATCCTGAGTCTTTTGCCTTTCCATATAAACTTTAGGATCAGTTTGTCAATATCCGGGAAATAACTTGCTGGGATCTGATTGGGATTATATTGAATCTATAAAGTTGGGAAGAACTGACATATTGACAATATTGGGCCTTCCTGTCCATGAAGATGGAATATCTATTTAGTTCTTCCTTTATACGTTTCATCAGAGTTTATCGTTTTCCTCATTAGATCTTGTACATATTTTGTTAGATTTGTATCTAAGTAGTTCATTTTGGGGGTTGCTAATGTAAATGGCAATATGTTTTGGATTCACATTGCTGGTATATATGAAAACTATTGGCTTATGTATATTAACCTCGTATCCTGGAACCTTGCTATAATCACTAATTAGTTCCAAGTTTTAGATCTTCTACATACATAGACAGTCATGTGATCTGCAAAGTTTTATTTTTCCTTCCCGGGTCTCTATACCTGTTATCTCCTTTTCTTATCTTATTGTGTAATCTTGCTTTGTTCCTAATCTTAGCAGGAAAGCTTCAAGCTTTTCATCATTAAGTAAGATGTTAACTGTTTTTTGTAGATATTATCAAGTTGAGGAAGTTCCCCTTTATTCCTAGTGTGCTGAGGCTTTTTAATCATGAATGGTTGTTGATTTTGTCACATGCTTTTTGTGCATCTATTTATATGATCATGTGATTTTTCTTTTTTAGCCTGTTGATGTGATGTATTACATTAATTGATTTTCATATGTTGAACTAGCCTTGCATACCTGGGACAAATCCCACTTGGCCGTAGTGTATAATTCTTTTTATACATTGTTGGATTTGCTTTGCTAATATTTTTTAGAGGATTTTTGCATTTATGTTCATGAGAATATGGGTCTTTAGTTTTCTTTATTTTTTAATTAATTTTATTTTTTGACACAGAGTCTTCCTTTGTTGCTCAGGCTGGAGTGCAGTGGTGCGATCTCAGCTCACTGCAACCTCCGCCTCCCAGGTTCTCCTGCTTCAGCTTCCCAAGTAGCTGGGATTACAGATGCCTGCCACCACACCCAGCTAATTGCTGTATTTTCAGTAGAGACAGGATTTCCCCATGTTGGCCAGGTGGTCTTGAACTCCTGACCTTAGGTCATCCACCCGTCTTGGCCTCCCAAAGTGCTGGAATTACAGGCGTGAGCCACCACGCCTGGCCTCATTCTTTTTTTTGAAGATGTTGCCCAGGCTGGCCTTGAACTCCTAGGCTGGAGCCATCCTGCTGCCTCAGCCTCCCAAGAAGCTGTGATCACAGGCACATACCACTAGGCTCAGCTTAGTCTTCTTTTTTGTAATGTCTTTGTCTGATTTAGGGTAATGCTGAGCTTATAGGATAAGTTAAAAAGAGATTGTTTCTATCTTTTGGAAGAGATTGCGGATAATTGGTGTAATTTCTTCCTTAAATGTTTGGTAGAATTCCCCAGTGAACCCATCTGGGCCCAGTGATTTCTGTTTTGGAAGGTTGTTAATTATTGATTGAATGTATTTAATAGAAACAGGCATGTTCAGATTGTCTATTTCTTACGTGAGTTTTGGCAGGTTTTGTCTAAGACAACAGTGTACATACCTTAATTTAAAAATACTTTAGGCCAGGTGTGGTGGCTCATGCCTGTAATCCCAGCACTTTGGGAGGCCAAGGTAGGTGGATTGCCCTAGCCCAGGAGTTTGAGACCAGCCTGGGCAACATAGGGAGACACTGTCCCTACGAAAAATTTAAAAATTAGCTGGGCATAGTGGCACATGCCTATAACAGCCCCAGCTACTCAGGGGACTCAGGTGGGAGGATCACTTGAGTCTGGGAGGTTGTGGCTCACACCTATAACCCCAACCCTTTGGAAGGCCAAGATGGTAGGATCACTTGAGCCCAGGAGTTCAAGACCAGCCTGGGCAATATAGGGAGACCTCGTATCTACAAAATAAAAAATAAACCTGGCTGGGTATGGTGGTCTGAGCTACTTGGGAGGCCAAGGTGGGAGGATGGCTTGGACCTGGGAGGTTGAGGCTGCAGTGAGCTATAATTGTGCCACCGCACTCCAGCTTGGGTGACAGAACGAGACCTCATCTCAAAGCAAACAACAACAACAAAAAAACTTTACCGGTAAAAAATACTGACCCAAAGATACAAAGTGAGCACATGCTGTTGGAATGTTGGAAAAATGGCACTGACAGACTTGCTCAGTGCAGAGTTGCCACAAACCTTGAATTTGTAAAAAAAAAAAAAAAAAAATGTGGTATCTGCAAAGTGCAGTAAAGTGAAGTGCAATAAAATGTGGTGTGTCTGTACTGGTTTTGCTAATGAATAGAGATACCTTTTGGGTGAAATCATGTATCAGTGAAAATCTGCCAGTGACCTGGCCATCTTTCAGGTGGTTTCTATTGCTTAGTGAATTATTTTGAGATTCATCTACGTGGTTGCATGTATCAATAGTTTATTCCATTTTATTGCTGCATTGTATTCCATTCTAAGGGCATACCATGGTTTGTTTATCCATTCACTCATTGATGGCCATTTGGGTTGTTTCTGTTTTTGGCTACTGTGAGTAAAGCTGTGAACTTTTTTTTTTTTTTTTTTTTTTTTGAGACAGAGTTTCACTGTTGTTGCCCAGGCTGAAGCTGTGAACATTTTTGAACAAGTCTTTCTGTGGACATAGGCTTTCCTTTCTCTTGAGGCACAAAATTGCAAACCACTTGATGCCTTACAGTAAGGCAGAGATCTGTGCAGGTGCTGAAGGATGAGTAAGTAGATTGTGGGAGGGACACAGAAGTAACTGCAGGTGCCAGAGCAGATGATCCAAGCATAGGCGCCAGGCATTGAAGTGGTGGCACACTTGATTGCAGGCTTTTTTCTTTTTAATGGGCTTTTCGTTTTCTCTCAGGATAACGTCCTGAGTCTTTCTGGTCCTCTTCCCGCCTCTCACATTATACCCAGTTTCTCCCTGCCAGGGCCGTTAGCTGTGTCAGACCCTGCTCTTTTCTCTAACAAGAATAAAGAGTTGGTGATGGAAGCTAAGATGTGTTGCAGGTTTGGTGCAAGGACTCACATGTGCAGTCTACATGTGTTACTGTGTGTAATCCTTCCAGGAACCTACACAAAGGAGGTACCATTATCATCCCCACCAAGCATTAAGGAGAACAAGGCTCAGAGAGGTTAAATAACTCATTCAAGATTGCACAGCTAGTAAGTGATGGGTTAGATGTTGAACCAGACTTCAGAGGTGGCACTTTGAACCTCAATATTGTGATTAATGTACCCTCATTGAAAAGCTAGATCATGTATGGCGTTTAAGATGACATTTTAAACTGTTTTCCCCATCATCTAGTTAACTCTTGTATTCCTGACTTACTGTGTCAGTCCAATGGCCTTGTCCCTGGTAGCCCAGCTAGCTCAGATCACCCTGGGCAGTAACCCCAGCAGCAGTATCCCCAGCAGCAGGTACCTCTCACCAAGCCTGCCATGGCCCTTGTGCTTGATTAACGCCCACTGGGCTGTGAGCACAGCACAAGTGCGGGCGCCATCCTTTGCTGCCCTGACTGTCCACCACTTCAGAGTGCCAGGCGCTCGATGATGATCTCTGAATGAACCAGGAAAATGAGTGAATGAGTTACATTATCGGATGTGCATATTTGTCATCAGCTTTATTGAGGTGTTTGTCAGCTTTATTAACTTATTTACATCAGTTTTATTGAGATTATTTACATATAGCAAAGTTCATGGATTCTAAGTATACAGTTCAGTGAGTCTTGATAAATGTGTGCCATCATGTGACCACAGCCACATCAAGGTAAAGTATGTTCCATCACTCCAAGACCCTCTCCTGGCCCTTGCAGTCAATCTCCTGCTCCACCCCCAGCCTCAGCAACCTCTGTTCTGTTTTTCTGTCCTTAGAGTTCTGCCTTTTCTAGAATTTTAGACGTGGAATTATATAGTATACAGTCTTTTGTGGATGTCTTATTTAACATAACAGTCCTTTTGAGATTCATCTGTATTGTTGCTTGTATCAGCAGTTCAATATGTGGTTTTAAGACTGTTTGGAAATTGTCCAGAGATAGCTTGTCCCACTAGGTTTAGAGTCATATGGCAAGTTAGAGCAGTGGTCCTGCAGGTGTGCCCCTGGCACTCTTTCTGTTCCCAGATCCTTGCAGAGGGTCAGTAAGGTCAGACTGATTTCCATAATAATGCCAAGGTGTGATTTGCCTTTTTTCACACTCCTCTCATGGGTGTGCAGTGAGGTTTTCCAGATGACACATGATATGTGGATTCACAGCAGATTGCATGCAGAAGCAGATAGGAGAGTCAATCTTTCTGTTAAACTCTCTGGCTTAAAGAAATTTATAAAAATGTTAATGTCACTCCTCACTAAAATTTTTTTTCTTCTCACTAAAATTTTTTGTATTGGAAAATTATTTTTCATAACAAATATTGTTTATAGCAACATGTAATGGATTGTTATTATTAGATGAATTAATAGACATTTTTAAATATCTTTGATTTCTCATATGACAGATCATCATAAATATAAACTGTTTATGACTGTCTGTCAAATAAGAAGTAAAGAAGCTCTTTGAGCAGAAGCTCTGTAGGGTCCTCAATTTTGTACTGTAGAGAAGTCCTGAGACCAAGGAATTTGAGAATCACCGGGTTAGAGATAGTTTTGAAAGGGGGTTTGGGAACAAGATAAGAACTCTGGAGCTGGAGAGGAATTAGAAGAGGGTCATGAGACCCTGGGCTGGCGACCTGGCTTGACGGGCCTGGAAAAGGGTCCTCTGTTGGGTGGGTACAGAGGGGCTCGCCCACGCGTAAATGCAAGGACACACCGTGCCAGTTCTTAGCCTCCTGCTCTCTGAGGACCTGGTCAGGCAGGTTCTGTTGATGTCCTTGGTCTACGTGCTTCCTACCAGGAGCTAATAAGTAACCTACGCCTGCCTGCAGTTGTCTCACAGAAGACGGATCGGGAGGCCTGAGGAGGCCGCTCTTTCCTGATACGAGGTTACAGCTGGGGTCTGATGTCAGGTGGGGGGCATGGTGGGGTCTGCTTTCTCTGCTGTATTCTTCTGCAAGGGTGAGTGTAAGAAATCATTAGCTATTTCTATGTCTTTCAAGAAAAAAAGTTCCTCTTACCCCCAGTAGAGTTCTAAGCCCAAATTAAAAGACTATGTAAAATAATTACTTGAGTGAAGGCAGGTGGGAGGCTACTTTTATTATTGGCAGTATCCTTGTGGAAAAAAAAATATGTGTGGCTCTTGTTTAGGGATTTTGATAACACTATTAACAAACTACAGCAAAATGGCACCTACTGCCTTCTGACCTATTCATTGCTTTTCTCTTGCAGGCGAAAGGGCGTGTGGTTGCGCCTGAGGAAGATACTTTTCTGTGTTTTGGGGTTGTACATTGCCATTCCATTTCTCATCAAACTATGTCCTGGAATACAGGCCAAACTGATTTTCTTGAATTTCGGTAAGTGGTATGTGTCCATTTTTCCTTTAATTTTAGTAAGGGTTCATTTTCATGGTGATGTCTGATTTTAGGGGTAGTCTTTTTACTTTAATGGAGATTTAGTTTACATACAGTGAAGGGTACATATCTTAAGTGTACAGTTTATATACCTATATCTTTAGAGATAGATAGGTAGAGCTACCACCCAGATTGAGAACTAGAATGCTTTTATTACCCAAAAAGGTCCCTGTGCCCCTTCCCAGCTGGAGGACTTTCTGTGCTAGTGTTGCTCCCCAGCACTGGATTTCTGTCCACAGAAGACTACACTGCCCTGGGGGACCAGCGTATCTGTCTTCAGCTGAGGTGAGTAAAAATGTTGACAACATGAGAAGTCAGCTGAAGCCATCATGTTGGAGATGCCTTGTCAGTTGTGCATTCCAGGAGCCTAGCTGCCCTTGGAAAAGATGACCACTGAAAAATATAGTACCTTTAAAAAAAAATGAGGCCTTTTTTCTTTTTTAAAACAAATTAGTTTTTTATACCCTTAAAAAAATCCAGATACACAGTACTTTGGTTTCTGTGGAATTTTGTGCTGGCCTTGTAGGTATTGTAGTCTCCTTGAGTGAACTTGGACCTTGTGTGTTTTTTCACGCTGTGTATTTACTTTTGGAGATGTGGGAGGAGAAAGGTGCAGAAGTATCAAGCCCATGAGGTCAAAGGCAGAGGCTCTGGGCACATGGCCCTGGGAACAGTCCTACAAGCGAGGCTCCAAGGAAAGGGCCGCATCTGTGGGTTCGAGGTTTGAGAACAACGGGGCTCGCACACGGTGGGTGTTCTGTGAAGGACAGCCTGAGAGGCAGGTGCTGACAGCATTAGAACAGGATGAGGCAGGGGCTCTGGGGTCACTCTGTGGCTAGATTGGTTTGCACATAGTGAGTCTGGCCTTATGCGTTTGGGAGTTTGAGGCTTGGAAAGCTGGGCCTGATATTGCTGAGGCAGCAGGTAAGCTGGTGGAGTGGGAGGAGGAGGAAAGGAGGAGGCCGCAGAGGAACACAGGAGGTACTGAGAGGTGCCGGACTCCCTCTGCAGGCATCTGGGCTTATGAGTTTGGGTGTTCAGTCTATAATAGACTTAATCACAGAAACTTAGGAGATGACTGGCTAAAAAAGGAATTTCTGTTTCTTTGTTTTTGTTTTTTTTAATGCCGGTAAGAAGAACATAAATTATAAGGCTATTTAATACTTTGTAAATCTGAGTTTTTATTTGGGTGTCTTAAAATAACTGTAAAACACATGTAGTATACTAAGAGGCATTTGATTTTTCTAATGGAAAAGTAGAACTTCTAGGAATTTTTCATCTCTAAGTTTTGTCACTTGTGAGAAGCACAAACTCAAAAAGAAACTAACAGTATACCAAAATGATGGGAGTTTTGTTTTTCTGACTTTAATGTTCCTTAAATGTACACAGTACAGCCCAGAAAGCATTTGGGGCTTAGGTATAAACACGAAGCTACAAGGGCTGCAGATTCACCATCAGCAGACCTCAGACTTGACCCTCATGGCTTTTCTACCTTTGCTGGCCCCCTTGGGCAGGTGCCTTTGCTGCCAGGCACATGAGCTGGTTCTTGAAGGGAGGGTGTGGGGTGCATTGCCCTGCGTGGCCTGGTACATTGTGGGCTCCCAGCAAATGTTTGAATTGAATAGATTTTCTTTAGCTTGATTGTTTGGGCTACTGTAGACACACAGCCTACAGATTTTGTTCTGTGGGTTTCCTAAGGAGGTGGTAGACTGCTCTGAGGGAGGAGAACTTTGGGTTCTCCTGGTCCAGCCCCATGGCATGGGAGAGGAGGGCTGGGCTTGGGCAAGGGGAGGCTGAGCCTCCCAAGGTGTTGCCCATCCTTAACGATTTCCTTCCACCTGTTTGCCACACTGGAGTTAGGTGAGCCTACAGTGGCATTTTGTTTTGTTGTTTTGTTTTGTTCTGAGACAGGGCGTGGCTCTGTTGCCCCAGCTGGACTGCAGGGGTATGATCACGGCTCACTGCAGCCTCGACCTCCCAGGTTCAGGTGATCCTCCCACCTTAGCCTCCTGAGTTGCTGGGACTCCAGGCACCCACCACCACAACGTCTGGCTAATTTTTTATATTTTTAGTAGAGATGGGGTTTTGCCATGTTGCCCAGGCTGGCCTCAAACTCCTGGGCTCAAACAATCCTCCTGCCTTGGCCTCCCAACGTGCTGGGATTACAGGCGTGAGCCATTGCACCCAGCCCTGTGGTGTTTCTGAAAGAGATTTTTAGTTGCCAAAGGTCTAGCACCAAGAAACAGTGTCCCTGGGAGCAGCGATTGGACATTCCTTTCGCCTCACCCCCCTGGGCATCTGCCTGGCCCCCACACCCCACTCCTCCTGCCTCTCCATGATGAGCGACCCTCATCTCCAGGCCCCGCTGTCCTCCCCGGGAAGCCACAGTGTTTTATCAGCACATGAGGCCCTTCCAAGTGTGGTTCTCTGTCTCCCCCTTTGGGAGGAAAGGCAGTCTTCAGAGGAGCAGCATGGAGCTTGTTGGTTTTCCAGTTGTAATGTGCGTCCAAGGTTTACAGGTCTGTGCCTGTCTGCGTCGCCGAGGAGGTGGGGTCTGTGGCGTGGCCCTGCAGTGATTTGGAATTTTGTTGGGGAGGTGCCTCTGCTCTTGTGCCCAGACAAGAAGCCTGACCTGGGCATCCATTCAACATTACAGGAAAAGTAGCAATCTCTTGGGCCCCAGAATGTGGTTAAAATATTCTTCACAGCAAATCTATCTGAAACCAAATTTATAAATTAGATAAATAAGCTTTTAAAGAAACATAGCACCTACAATGTAAGGCATTATTCTACTTTAAATACATTTTCATAAGCAAAACATCATGATTATTCTAAAAACAAAGAATTAGCTAAAAAAAAAAAGAACCCTGAATAGTATAAATAAGAAAATGAACATTACTCTGAGAAAATGCTTGTTAACACCGTAGTTTATTTCCTACTGACCTTTTTTATATGTGTCTGTTTACATGCACATAAATATATGTGCTTTTCAATACTTGTATGCACAGTCTGATTCCATCCAAAAGATGTTTGGATGAGACTCAGCATTTATGAAGCCTAGAATATCTTCCCAGCCGTTATTTGCCTTCAGATCAAGAAGGTATCTCTTAGTGAAAGTCATGTCTTGGTTCAGAGGCTAGGGAGGGCTTTTTTGGAAATAGGTCAGATCTATCATCATGCATTTGTTTTTTGTTTTTTTTTTATTTATTATTATTATACTTTAAATTCTAGGGTACATGTGCACAATGTGCAGGTTAGTTACATATGTATACATGTGCCATGCTGGTGTGCTGCACCCACTAACTCGTCATCTAGCATTAGGTATATCTCCCAATGCTATCCCTCCCCCCTCCCCCCACCCCACAACAGTTCCCAGAGTGTGATGTTCCCCTTCCTGTGTCCATGTGTTCTCATTGTTCGATTCCCACCTATGAGTGAGAATATGCGGTGTTTGGTTTTTTGATCTTGCAATAGTTTACTGAGAATGATGATTTCCAATTTCATCCATGTCCCTACAAAGGACATGAACTCATCATTTTTTATGGCTGCATAGTATTCCATGGTGTATATGTGCCACATTTTCTTAATCCAGTCTATCATTGTTGGACATTTGGGTTGGTTCCAAGTCTTTGCTATTGTGAATAATGCCGCAATAAACATACGTGTGCATGTGTCTTTATAGCAGCATGATTTATAGTCCTTTGGGTATATACCCAGTAATGGGATGGCTGGGTCAAATGGTATTTCTAGTTCTAGATCCCTGAGGAATCCCCACACTGACTTCCACAATGGTTGAACTAGTTTACAGTCCCACCAACAGTGTAAAAGTGTTCCTATTTCTCCACATCCTCTCCAGCACCTGTTGTTTCCTGACTTTTTAATGATTGCCATTCTAACTGGTGTGAAATGGTATCTCATTGTGGTTTTGATTTGCATTTCTCCAATGGCCAGTGATGGTGAGCATTTTTTCATGTGTTTTTTTGGCTACATAACTGTCTTCTTTTGAGAAGTGTCTGTTCATGTCCTTCGCCCACTTTTTGATGGGGTTGTTTGTTTTTTTCTTGTAAATTTGTTTGAGTTCATTGTAGATTCTGGATATTAGCCCTTTGTCAGATGAGTAGGTTGTGAAAATTTTCTCCCATTTTGTAGGTTGCCTATTCACTCTGATGGTAGTTTCTTTTGCTGTGCAGAAGCTCTTTAGTTAAATTAGATCCCATTTGTCAATTTTGGCTTTTGTTGCCATTGCTTTTGGTGTTTTAGACATGAAGTCCTTGCCCATGCCTATGTCCTGAATGGTAATGCCTAGGTTTTCTTCTAGGGTTTTTATGGTTTTAGGTCTAACGTTTAAGTCTTTAATCCATCTTGAATTGATTTTTGTATAAGGTGTAAGGAAGGGATCCAGTTTCAGCTTTCTACATATGGCTAGCCAGTTTTCCCAGCACCATTTATTAAATAGGGAATCCTTTCCCCATTGCTTGTTTTTCTCAGGTTTGTCAAAGATCAGATAGTTGCAGATATGCGGTGTTATTTCTGAGGGCTCTGTTCTGTTCCATTGATCTATATCTCTGTTTTGGTACCAGTACCATGCTGTTTTGGTTACTGTAGCCTTGTAGTATAGTTTGAAACCAGGTAGTGTGATGCCTCCAGCTTTGTTCTTTTGGCTTAGGATTGACTTGGCGATGCAGGCTCTTTTTTGGTTCCGTATGAACTTTAAAGTAGTTTTTTCCAATTCTGTGAAGAAAGTCATTGGTAGCTTGATGGGGATGGCATTGAATCTGTAAATTACCTTGGGCAGTATGGCCATTTTCACGATATTGATTCTTCCTACCCATGAGCATGGAATGTTCTTCCATTTGTTTGTATCCTCTTTTATTTCCTTGAGTAGTGGTTTGTAGTTCTCCTTGAAGAGGTCCTTCACATCCCTTGTAAGTTGGATTCCTAAGTATTTTATTCTCTTTGAAGCAATTGTGAATGGGAGTTCACTCATGATTTGGCTCTCTGTCTGTTGTTGGTGTATAAGAATGCTTGTGATTTTTGTACATTGATTTTGTATCCTGAGACTTTGCTGAAGTTGCTTATCAGCTTAAGGAGATTTTGGGCTGAGACAATGGGGTTTTCTAGATATACCATCATGTCATCTGCAAACAGGGACAATTTGACTTCCTCTTTTCCTAATTGAATACCCTTTATTTCCTTCTCCTGCCTAATTGCCCCGGCCAGCACTTCCAACACTGTGTTGAATATGAGTGGTGAGAGAGGGCATCCCTGTCTTCTGCCAGTTTTCAAAGGGAATGCTTCCAGTTTTTGCCCATTCAGTATGATATTGGCTGTGGGTTTGTCATAGATAGCTCTTATTATTTTGAGATGTGTCCCATCAATACCGAATTTATTGAGAGTTTTTAGCATGAAGGGTTGTTGAATTTTGTCAGAGGCCTTTTCTGCATCTATTGAGATAATCATGTGGTTTTTGTCTTTGGTTCTGTTTATATGCTGGATTACATTTATTGATTTGCGTATATTGAACCAACCTTGCATCCCAGGGATGAAACCCACTTGATCATGGTGGATATGCTTTTTGATGTGCTGCTGGATTAGGTTTGCCAGTATTTTATTGAGGATTTTTGCATCAATGTTCATCAAGGATATTGGTCTAAAATTCTCTTTTTTGGTTGTGTCTCTGCCCGGCTTTGGTATCAGGATGATGCTGGCCTCATAAAATGAGTTAGGGAGGATTCCCTCTTTTTCTGTTGATTGGAATAGTTTCAGAAGGAATGGTACCAGTTCCTCCTTGTACCTCTGGTAGAATTCAGCTGTGAATCCATCTGGTCCTGGACTCTGTTAGGTTGGTAAGCTATTGATTATTGCCACAATTTCAGCTCCTGTTATTGGTCTATTCAGAGATTGAATTTCTTCCTGGTTTAGTCTTCGGAGGGTGTATGTGTCGAGGAATATATCCATTTCTTCTAGATTTTCTAGTTTATTTTCATAGAGGTGTTTGTAATGTTCTCTGATGGTAGTTTGTATTTCTGTGGGATCAGTGGTGATATCCCCTTTATCGTTTTTTATTGCGTCTATTTGATTCTTCTCTCTTTTCTTCTTTATTAGTCTTGCTAGTGGTCTATCAATTTTGTTGATCCTTTCGAAAAACCAGCTCCTGGATTCATTAATTTTTTGAAGGGTTGTTTGTGTCTCTATTTCCTGCAGTTCTGCTCTGATTTTAGTTATTTCTTGCCTTCTGCTAGCTTTTGAATGTGTTTGCTCTTGCTTTTCTAGTTCTTTTAATTGTGATGTTAGGGTGTCAATTTTGGATCTTTCCTGCTTTCTCTTGTGGGTATTTAGTGCTATAAATTTCCCTCTACACACTGCTTTGAATGTGTCCCAGAGATTCTGGTATGTTGTGTCTTTGTTCTCGTTGGTTTCAAAGAACATCTTTATTTCTGCCTTCATTTTGTTATGTACCCAGTAGTCATTCAGGAGCAGGTTGTTCAGTTTCCATGTAGTTGAGCTGTTTTGAGTGAGTTTCTTAATCCTGAGTTCTAGTTTGATTGCACTGTGGTCTGAGAGATAGTTTATTATAATTTCTGTTCTTTTACATTTGCTGAGGAGAGCTTTACTTCCAAGGATGTGGTCAATTTTGGAATAGGTGTGGTGTGGTGCTGAAAAAAATGTATATTCTGTTGATTTGGGGTGGAGAGTTCTGTAGATGTCTATTAGGTCTTCTTGGTGCAGAGCTGAGTTCAATTCCTGGGTATCCTTGTTGACTTTCTGTCTCGTTGATCTGTCTAATGTTGACAGTGGGTTGTTAAAGTCTCCCATTATTAATGTGTGGGAGTCTAAGTCTCTTTGTAGGTCACTCAGGACTTGCTTTATGAATCTGGGTGCTCCTGTATTGGGTGCATATATATTTAGGATAGTTAGCTCTTCTTGTTGAATTGATCCCTTTACCATTAAGTAATGGCCTTCTTTGTCTCTTTTGATCTTTGTTGGTTTAAAGTCTGTTTTATCAGAGACTAGGATTGCAACCCCTGCCTTTTTTTGTTTTCCATTTGCTTGGTAGATCTTCCTCCATCCTTTTATTTTGAACCTATGTGTGTCTCTGCACGTGAGATGGGTTTCCTGAATACAGCACACTGATGGGTCTTGACTCTTTATCCAATTTGCCAGTCTGTGTCTTTTAATTGGAGCATTTAGTCCATTTACATTCAAAGTTAATATTGTTATATGTGAATTTGATCCTGTCATTATGATGTTAGCTGGTTATTTTGCTCATTAGTTGATGCAGTTTCTTCCTAGTCTCGATGGTCTTTACATTTTGGCATGATTTTGCAGTGGCTGGTACCGGTTTTTCCTTTCCATGTTTAGCGCATCCTTCAGGAGGTCTTTTAGGGCAGGCCTGGTGGTGACACAATCTCTCAGCATTTGCTTGTCTGTAAAGTATTTTATTTTTCCTTCACTTATGAAGCTTAGTTTGGCTGGATGTGAAATTCTGGGTTGAAAATTCTTTTCTTTAAGAATGTTGAATATTGGCCCCCACTCTCTTCTGGCTTGTAGAGTTTCTGCCGAGAGGTCTGCTTTTAGTCTGATGGGCTTCCCTTTGAGGGTAACCTGACCTTTCTCTCTTGCTGCCCTTAACATTTTTTCCTTCATTTCAACTTTCGTGAATCTGACAATTATGTGTCTTGGTGTTGCTCTTCTCGAGGAGTATCTTTGTGGCGTTCTCTGTATTTCCTGAATCTGAATGTTGGCCTGCCTTGCTAGATTGGGGAAGTTCTCCTGGGTAATATCCTGCAGAGTGTTTTCCAACTTGGTTCCATTCTCCCCGTCACTTTCAGGTACACCAATCAGACGTAGATTTGGTCTTTTCACATAGTCCCATATTTCTTGGAGGCTTTACTCGTTTCTTTTTATTCTTTTTTCTCTAAACTTCCCTTCTTGCTTCATTTCATCTTCCATCACTGATACCCTTTCTTCCAGTTGATCGCATTGGCTCCTGAGGTTTCTGCATTCTTCACGTAGTTCTCGAGCCTTGGTTTTCAGCTCCATCAGCTCCTTTAAGCACTTCTCTGTATTGGTTATTCTAGTTATACATTCTTCTAAATTTTTTTCCAAGTTTTCAACTTCTTTGCCTTTGGTTTGAATGTCCTCCCGTAGCTTGGAGTAATTTGATCGTCTGAAGCCTTCTTCTCTCAGCTAGTCAAAGTCATTCTCCGTCCAGCTTTGTTCCGTTGCTGGTGAGGAACTGCGTTCCTTTGGAGGAGGAGAGGCGCTCTGCTTTATAGAGTTTCCAGTTTTTCTGCTCTTTTTTTTCCCCATCTTTGTGGTTTTATCTACTTTTGGTCTTTGATGATGGTGATGTACAGATGGGTTTTTGGTGTGGATGTCCTTTCTGTTTGTTAGTTTTCCTTCTAACAGACAGGACCCTCAGCTGCAGGTCTGTTGGAGTACCCAGCCGTGTGAGGTGTCAGTCTGCCCTTGCTGGGGGTTGCCTCCCAGTTAGGCTGCTCGGGGGTCAGGGGTCAGGGACCCGCTTGAGGAGGCATTCTGCCCGTTCTCAGATCTCCAGGTGCGTGCTGGGAGAACCACCGCTCTCTTCAGAGCTGTCAGACAGGGACATTTAAGTCTGCAGAGGTTACTGCTGTCTTTTTCTTTGTCTGTGCCCTGCCCCCAGAGGTGGAGCCTACAGAGGCAGGCAGACCTCCTTGAGCTGTGGTGGGCTCCACCCAGTTTGAGCTTCCTGGCTGCTTTGTTTACCTAAGCAAGCCTGGGCAATGGCGGGCGCCCCTCCCCAAGCCTCGCTGCTGCCTTGCAGTTTGATCTCAGACTGCTGTGCTAGCAATCAGCGAGACTCCGTGGGCGTAGGACCCTCCGAGCCATGTGCGGGATATAATCTCCTGTTGTGCCGTTTTTTAAGCCAGTCGGAAAAGCACAGTATTCGGGTGGGAGTGACCCGATTTTCCAGGTGCCGTCTGTCACCACTTTCTTTGACTAGGAAAGGGAACTCCCTGACCCCTTGCGCTTCCCGAGTGAGGCAATGCCTTGCCCTGCTTTGGCTTGCGCACGGTGCGCGTACCCACTGACCTGCGCCCACTGTCTGGCACTCCCTAGTGAGATGAACCTGGTACCTCAGATGGAAATGCAGAAATCACCCGTCTTCTGTGTCGCTCACGCTGGGAGCTGTAGACTGGAGCTGTTCCTATTTGGCCATCTTGGCTCCTCCCTCAACACAATTCCATGCATTTGTTTTTAAAGCAAAGGGCCAGCTTCCTCTTTTTCCTTCCCCTGAGCAGTCCCTGTTGACTCCTGTTACCTTTCTTTTCTTATCCCCTTTTTTCATACGGAAGGTCCTGTAAGCCTGCATCAGGTAATTGGAATTTGATAAAACCCAAATAACCAACCCAGGCTTTCCCTTGACACCACACCTCTTATGGCTGCCGGTATCAAGGCTGCTCTGTTACTCACAGTGATTGGAATGAGACTTAGCCCCCTGTTCAGACCCTCAGCACTCAAAGACCATCACAGCTCAGTAAGTTTCAGCCTTTCCCGCAACAAATATTTTGCAGGTGAGCTAAAAGAAGTATGACAGAGCAGGTCGTTTTCCATTCACTCACATTCTCACTTCTTCACCCTCCACGGCACCCATGTGTGCAGGATCCATTCTCCATCCTGCCCGTTGATGTTTGTGGTTGCTGGTACATGATGACGTGACTGGAGGGTGGACAATGAAAACTGGGGGGTGGACAGTGAAAACTGGGGGAAGCAGGAGCAGCCAGAGGCCTCAGTCCCAGCAGCCCTGTGGGCCTTGTTTGCCCATGGTGCGGGGGCCTGTATGAGGAGCTCCCGGTTCAGAAGAGCCTGCGAGAGGGAGCCATGAGAGAGTTGGACCTCAATGGTGGAGCATGAAGGGGCGCACCGCCCAGGCCACTCCTGTGGGGCTGCCACAGGGCTTAGCACTCTGTCCCCACCCCAGGCCTGTGGATGAAGCAGGGGCCTGGGCAGGGTGGACTCCAGCCAGCATGCTGGAGTCACGGGGGCCACAAAGAGTCAGTGGCCAAGGGTGATCTGACCACGTGGGAGGCCAGAGGGTCCTGGCACTCGCCTGGCACTGGCCTGCAGGAGTGAGCCAGCAGTGCTTCTGGCCCTGGGTGGATCCTGTGACCCTGCGCACGCCAACCCGTCTCACCACTCATCTCACTTTGAGGCATTTCTGCTCATTTAGAGTAATACTGGCCACGGGGTTCCTACAGCCACCCCGCTCTGGGGCTGTGTGATCCCTGGGACCAACCAAGCTCCATGCCTCCCATGCCACTTGATGCTGGTTGGAGGTGCTGCTGTGGAAGAGAAGGTGCCAGGCAGCATCTGGGGGATGCTTTTCATGGAGAGTAGTCACTGTGCCTCCTTTTCATGGTTGTTTCTAAAATGAGTAAAAGTGAACTGGAAGACTGGCTTCCTGGAATGAGGCCATCCTGGAGTAGAATTTGGGTTCCTAGTTCTTAGATTTCTTGGGCTTGGAAGTTTTCTGGATTAGCTGCTAATCCTTGTAAAATACTTTTCAGTGGCCAGGGAATGCTCTCAGAACTCTTGGACAGTTTGTGTTCCAAGAGCTTGGCATTCTTCTGCAGACACAGAACTGAGTGAGGCCTGAAGCGGAGCCAGTGGAAGCCCAGTGTCCTCGGCCCTCAGTGGTGCCCACTCCCCATCTGTCAGAGTCAGGGCTGGTTCCAGCGTCAGAGGCAGGATTTGGCTGAGTGGGTCTAGATGTGGGATGGGCACTGGGCCCCAGGTGTGGATATTCAGAGTTGTATTGAGGAGGCTACCCCCGCTCCCAGCTGTCAGATTATAGACTTGCACCCTGGGCTGCAGCTCTCAGGCTCCCAAAGTGTGTGGTGAATTCCCAGGATGAGGTGGCAGGAGTGGGCCCTAGAGTCTGAAGTGGACTCACTTTCCCACTCCAGATCCTGAAGTGGACCCACTTTCCAGGCATTCCTCTGGTCGGGAGCCTTCTCCGGGTCCCATTGCCAGGATAAAATCTAAATTCTTGTATGGCTGTGTTCTTTTTTTTTTTTTTCCAGGAGACTGGCGTTTTGTTATTACTCAAATCACTCTCCCGTAGCATTCAGGGATCAGAGTTTTTAAGGACAACTTGGTGGGTGTGGGGAAGCCAGTGAGCTGGAAGTGCTGATGGTCAGGTCAGAGATGAAATCATAGGGAGTCAAAGCTGTCTTCTTGCGCTGAGTCGGTTCTTGGGTGGGGGCCACAAGATCAGATGAGCTAGTTTATCAATCTGGATGGTGCCAGCTGGTCCATCAAGTTGAGGGTCTGCAAAATATCTCAAGCACTGGTCTTAGGTTTTACAATAGTGATTTTATCACCAGGAGCAATTTGGGGAGGGTCAGAATCTTGTAGCCTCCAGCTTCATGACTCCTAAACCACAACAATTTCCAATCTTGTGGCCAAAATGTTAGTCCTATAAAGGCAGTCTAGTCCCCAGGCAAGGAGGTTTGTTTCCAGAAAAGGGTATCATCTTCGCTTTAAACTATAAACTAAGTTCCTCCCAAAATTAGTTTAGCCTATGCCCAGGAGTAAACAAGGACAGCATGGAGGTTAGAAGCTAGATGGAGTCAGTTAGGTCAGATCTCTTTCACTGTCTCAGTTATAGTTTTGCAATGGTAGTTTCAATCCCTCCCTTTCTTTTTTTTTTTTTTTGAGACGGAGTCTTGTTCTGTCGCCCGGACTGAAGTGCAATGGCGTGATCTCAGCTCACTGCAATCTCTGACTCCCGGGTTCAAGCAATTCTCTTGCCTCAGGCTCCCGAGTAGCTGGGACTACAGGCACTCACCACCATGCCCGGCTAATTTTTGTATTTTTAGTAGAGACAGGGTTTCACTATGTTGGCCAGGCTGGTCTCAAACTCCTGACCTCGTGATCTGCCCACCTCGGCCTCCCAAAGTGCTGGGATTATAGGCATGCGCCACCGCGCCTGGCACCCCTTTGGGTTTCATAACACCTTAATCTTAAGGCATTAGCTAATGAAGATGGAGAAAGGGCAAAGACAGCTCTAACTTCTTCCTGCTGGCCAGGGGTGTAGTGGGGGTAGGTGTTTACCCCAAGGTGAAAGGAATGGAACCACTTTGCAACATTCTGGGCATACTCACACAGGCATGGCTGGGGATCCACGGCTTGCATGGCAAAGGCATTACTATTGTCATCTATAGTTTTAGCACTGCATTTAAGGGAACAGTGTACTATAAGGTTAATAATGGGGACTAAGGTAAGGAGTGCAATTCCCAATTTTAAAAGTAAAAATTGGAATGCATTAGTTTGGTGACTTGTAGCCCACAAAGAATTTAAGATTTAGTCCTTCCAAACTGCAGGAAAAATACAAGAACAGCTAACAACAGGTATACCATAGTTGTTGTTGTTGTTTTTTTTTGAAGCATAATTTTTCTCTCTCCAGTCCCCATGTTTATTAAAAAACAAATCATTATAGGACTGATTTGTTTGCAAAATAAACTTTAGTCTTATTATATACTTGGCCTGATTATTTGCATAAAGTGCAACACAAGTAATTATTTTTTACATAGGCTTCTAGAATTGGCTTTGATAGAACTCTGTTCCATAAGGAATCTCAGATAAGACTTTTTAAAAGCTGAGTCCAGCCATGGGTTTCTATCCTCAAATACCTATGAGTTTGGTAAATTCCTCTCCTCTTGAGGTCCTAAAATAACTTGGGCCTCCTGGGCCTATTAGAAAGTGACATTCTTTACCACAGGTCAGGAGCCCTGTATGGGGACTGTATAGACAAGTTATGAGGCCAGTTTTACCCACGGGGCTTTTATTGGCGCTATAAGTCCTTTGAATCCTTAAAGGAAAGCAGGCCATTCCAGTCAAAGCCTTGGTAAAATAACCAGTTTCTTCAATTGTTTCCTGTTGCAGAAGAGCCTTCCTTGCTTTCCTTTCTTTCCTTTCTTTCCCTCCCCCCACTCCCTCCCTACCTCTCTCCCTTCCTTCCTTCCTCTCTCTTCTCTTTCTTCCCTTCCCTTCCCTCCCCTCCCCTCCCCTTCACTTCTTTCCTTTCTTTTTTCTTTTCTTTTTTTTTTTTTGGACAGAGTCTCACTCTTTCATCAAGGCTGGAGTGAAGTGGCATGATCTCAGCTCACTGCAACCTCCTCTTCCCGGGTTCAAGCCATTCTCCTGCCTCAGGCTCCCAAGTAGCTGGGATTATAGGTGCACACCACCACGCCTGGCTAATTTTTATATTTTTAGTAGAGACGGGGTTTTGCCATGTTGGCCAGGCTGGTCTCGAACTCCTGACCTCAGGTGATCCACCTGCCTCGGCCTCCCAAAGTGCTAGGTTTACAGGCATGAGTCACCACGCCTGGCTGGCTGCATTTATTTCTTAGGGCCGCTCAAACAAACCTGCAAACTGAGTGGCTTAAAATAAATGTATCCTCTCATGGTTGTGGAGGCTGGGAGTCTGAGGTCGAGGTGTGGGTGGGCCCAGCTCCTCCTGAGATGCTGAGGTGGACCCTTCTTGCCTGTCTGTCTGGCAGCATTCCCGGCTTGGAGAAGCTTCCCTCAAATCTCTGCCTCCATCTTCTCCATCTTCTTGGTCATCTTCTCATGGTCTTCCCTCTGTCTCTGTGTCTAAATGTCCCCATTTTATAAGGATACCAGTCATGTTGGGTTAGTATCCACCCAGTGACCTCATTTGAGCTTGATTACCTCCATAAAGACACTGTTTCCAAGTAAGGTCACACTCTTAGGTACTGGGGGTGAGGCCTTGAACATAGTCTTTTTTGGGGAGCACAACTCAGCCCATAACAGGGCAGGCGGGCCTCCCAGGCCTCTCAGGGGCCAGGCTCATTACCTCCCTGACTTCCTGTCCAGCCAGCCAGGAGGCAGGGCTGTGCAGCCGGGCTGCCGGGTTCAAAGCCAGTTCTTTTTTTTTTTTTTTTTTTTTTTTTTTGAAACAGGGTCTCTCTGTCACTCAGGCTGGAGTACAGTGGTACAACCTTGGCTTACTGCAGCCTTGACCTCCTGGGCTCAAGTGATTCTCCCTCCTCAGCCTCACAAGTGGCTGGGATCACAGGTGCATGTCACCTTACCTGGGTAATTTTTATATTTTTTGTAGAGGTGGGGTTTTGCCGTGTTGCCCAGGCTGGTATCAAAAAATCCAGCTCCGTCATGTGAGCTGGCAATCTAATAGGAGCCATCAGATGGTGATGGTGGTGGCTTGCCTCAGAGACTGTGCAGCCTGGCTCAGCTGGAGCTAATGGGGATGTGGATCATCTCCTTTGCCATTTTTTATTTTGAGAGAAACTTCTTACTAAAATTTTGAAGATGTATCTGCTTCCTGGGAAAGAGATGGAGTAAGAAGGTGGGGTATGAACAGCAGCCCTGGTGGTAGGAACTGTCTCCCCACATGGTCTGGGACAGACGCTCAGGGAGTTTCTGGGAAGGAGTGTGTATGTCCCCATGTCCTCGTGAGTCCAGCCTGGTGACATTTGAGGAAGTGAGGCTAGATGTGCAATGTGCCACATGGACATGGGAGTCACGCAACCCCTGTCTTCACCAGAGACAGCTGTCAGCAGCAGAGCTTCCCCGGGGGCAGGACCCACCAGAGGGAAGCCAGGCCCACACTGCTCTCTGTCATTGCCTCTTTTGGGAGTTGCCATTTTATAAAGCAGGCAAATCCCACCTCAGGGTTCATGCGTTTATTTTAAATTTTTTGTTTTTCAGTTAAACTTATTTTAAAGTTGTGTTCACCAAAAGCAGTAAGACTACAATGGTATATAAGGAAAAAATTGCCCCCATTCTCCCCACACACACACTTTGAAGCTGTGTGAGCAGCCTGGCTTCTGTCTTTCTGTATATCCTCCCAGCCACATGTGGAGGTCGTGTTTCATTTGCATGTTTTTACAATAACAAAGTGGGGCTACCGCACCCGCACCCACAGTCACCTTGCTCCTCTCATCTGCCCGCAGGTCCTGGAGGTTCCTCCAGGTCTAAGGGCCCCATGGTCTTCCACAGTGTGAGGTGCTGGTTAATTCACTCGCTGTCCTGCTGGCAGATGACCTGGTAGATGCAGGACTTCTGCTGGGCCATTGCACTGACTTCATTCTGCTCTGCATGGGTCCTATGGATTCATCCCCCTCGCTGCCCCACACCTCACCTTCTGCTGTCTTTTCTGTGTTAGGCAGCAGTCCTGGAAACTTTGGAATCCCCTTTACCTTGTTTGCCACCCAACGTTCCGTTGGTCATCAGGTCCTGCAGCGCCATCCCCTTTCCTGCTGTCCTTCCCACTCCACCAGGCACCTGAGTTATTCGCAGGCTCAGCCTCCCCAGCCTCCCTCCTGGCTGGCCCATCCTTCAGACCTGTTGGGGATCTTTCCTTCCCTCATTTGCATCTTCTCACACCTAGAATGACCTTAGACCTTAGCGTTCCAGTCTCTACACAGACCTTGCCCTCACTGCAGTCTCTGTCCCTGCCCATGCTGGCTGGCCTCAGCCCATACCCTGCCTGAGGCTGGGCCTGCAGGTCTGGCACCATTGTAAGATTGCACAGGAAAAGGACTTGGTGCTTTCTGAGAGCTTCTGCAGTGTGTGCATGTGGGTGTGCATGTGTGTGTGTGCACGTGTGGATGCATATCTGTGCACGTGTGTGAGTATGCATGTTTGTGTGTACATGTGTGTATTCATCCACCAGTAATCCTAATTTCCATCTCTTTATTTCCTACAGTAAGAGTTCCCTATTTCATTGATTTGAAAAAACCACAGGATCAAGGTTTGAATCACACGTGTAACTACTACCTGCAGCCAGAGGAAGACGTGACCATTGGAGTCTGGTGAGTGCCAGTGAGCTCTGCAGCCCCTCCAGCAGCAGGAAAGGACCCTACATGACTGAGCTGGTGCTGTCTTTGACATTGGCCTCTGAAATGTTGTTCATTTTTATCTTCACCTCTTCCTTTCCTAAAGGAAAGATCTCAGTACATTTGATCCATCCTAATGTTGAGGGATTCAATGGCTTTAAACTCTATTCCCAGCCTTTCAAAACAGCAAAGGCTTTGTGAACAGATTATTATTTTTAGAGAGACTTGTTTCTAGGAAAAACGAAAAGCAAACAAAGAAGCTAGAAACAGGATATAAGTGGCCGGCACAGTGGCTCACACCTGTAATCCCAGCACTTTGGGAGGCTGAGGCAAGTGGATCACTTGAGTCCAGGAGTTTGAGACCAGCCTTGGCGACAAGGTGAAACCCCATCTCTACTAAAAATACAAAAATTAGCCAGGCATGGTGGTGCACACCTGTAATCCCAGCTACTTGGGAGGCTGAGGCAGGAGGATCACTTGACTCCAGGAGGCAGAAGTTGCAGTGAGCTGAGTTCACGCCACTGCACTCCAGCCTGGATGACAGAGCAAGACTCTGTGTCCAAAAAAAAGAGAATATAAGGGAAGAATCACAAACACTGGTTTGAATATATCTTCCATCCAGGCGCGGTGGCTCACGCCTGTAATCCCAGCACTTTGGGAGGCCGAGACGGGTGGATCACTTGAGATCAGGAGTTCGAGACCACCCTAAACAACATGGTGAAACCCCGTCTCTACTGAAAAAAAAATACAAAAATTAGCTGGGCATGGTGGCACGCGCCTGTAGTCCCAGCTACCCGGGAGTTTGAGGCAAGAGAATTGCTTGAACGCAGGAGGCAGAGGCTGCAGTGAGCTGAGATTATGCCACTGCACTCCAGCCTGGGCAACAGAGCGAGACTCTTGTCTCAAAAAAAAAAAAAAATATATATATATATATATATCTTTTCCAAGAGGTGAACATCTAGATACTGAAAACAGCTTGATTTCTTTTCACATATAGCTTCGCACCAGCTGATGATGATGGTGTTGGCTGTCTTCTGAGTATTTACTTTTTTAAGCCATAAGTTTACACTGGACATAAGCCTTGTGACTTCTCTGTGTCTCCTTGGAATACATTTTAATGTTTTCTTCTGTACACAAGTGGTGCTTCTGAACAGCTGAATTAAAATTGACCAACCTCACTGTAGCATTTCCGTTTTTCTCTGAGAAGTGAGCCTGAATCACAGCCCTTTTATCTAGCTGAATTTATTTTTCAGTAGCCATAACGTCGCTTTCCACTGTCTCAGAAAACCACTGTGTATGTGAGAAGCTTCTAAATGAAATGCTGTGAGTAGCTTCCCAGTGTGGATGAGAGAACATTCAGACATTTCTAACAGTGGTCCTTGGTAAAGAACATAAAACAAGAAGGGAGATTTTTGTTCTTAGTAGTTGGTGCTGGGATTAAAGTCTTTTGTCACTTCCTGATTTGATTTAATCTAGCATTTACTGACCAATGTGTGACTGTGGGACTCCTCAGGTTTCTGTCTGAAGCATGACTTGTTTTGCACAGAGCTGCTGAGTGGGACTTGGTCAGCCCTCTTCTTGGTTAACATGAGTCTGTCCTATTGCAGGAGGGTGTTTATGGTGGTGAGACTTAGGCTGGAAGTACTAACAACTCCTGCATACATTATCAGCTACCAGAAAAGGTTTTGTTTAGTGATGTCAGTGGCAAGTGTCAAGGCAGTGACAGCCACGCTGTGTGTTGCTGTGTGTTGGTGGGTGCGTGTTGGTGAGTGCGGCTGCTGCCCACTCTCATGCCCTAGGCAGTCACAATGACATTGGGCCCTCAGGCAGCAGCAGGCCCAGCTCACCAACTGCCCCCACCATCGCTTCATCAGACCCTCCCACCAGCTTCCTGAAAGGAGGGCCTCAAGGCCTAGAGTGGAGCCTGGGGGCCATTCCTGGCCATGCCTGGCCATCGCCTGTCTGCTGAGAGGAGAGGCCCAGGAATGGGTTTCTCTGCTGGCTAGGAGTTCCCTGGCTCTTTGTCAGGAGCCCAGGTTTGGGGCGGCTGGCTACTGGAAGCACATCTGCTCCCAGCACCTTCAAAATGTGACGTCCTATCCCTCAAATTTATAACTGTATGGGAGTGATGATCATAGTGACTAGAACCATCCCAAAAGTGATCCTTTTGAACGGATCAGAGAGAGACGTTAGAAATGAGATGCTGAAGCTTAAGATCTAGAAAATAAGAAGTTGGCCATTAAATTTTTTTAAAGATTCTTGTCACTGGTATCCAGAATGAATTTGAATAAGCTTTACAGAAAAGTGATTAATTTGGACCCTCCCCAGTGATTAACAGTATTCGATGTGGCCTGAGTTAAAATTAACCTCAGTATCTCTCTGAAGGAGGGTTTGGCTAGATAGACCAGCAGCTTCAGAGTGCCCAGCCAGGTGTGGACCATGAGCAGACTGGGAAGGTGGTGCATACTTGACATTAGAAATGGCGTCAGCGATGGCCCGGTTTCTAGTCTGGCTCACAAACATTGGTGTTGCTGAATTAGCAAATGTGACAGCATGTACTGTTTAAAATCCATTGTGAGTTAAACTGTGGACAATTTAAGCATGGGGTTAACTGGGATGTGGGGCACGTATGAGGAAAATGCTATTACTCAAGATGGACTAAGTGCTGCTTCTCTGCCAGGCCCCAGTGGTAACTGGCACATTGCAAGCCTTTGTGGCCCAGAGGAGGCTGGCCTGCCAGTCAGGGAACGCTCCTGCTGAAGCTGTCAGTGCCATCCACACAGCCTGCAGTTCCGTGGTTATTGATTCTAGTGATGGGGATAGTTTTCTACCACCCACCCCCATCTGTTCCCCTGTAGTTAGATGGGGTCTGCAGCTCCCTGCTGTCTGGACTTGAGCTGATTAAGTAACACCACGTGCAGTCGCCAGGATGAGGACAGAAGGGACATCTGATCCTGCGCTCCCCTCTGCTTCTGTCTGCAGGCACACCGTCCCTGCAGTCTGGTGGAAGAACGCCCAAGGCAAAGACCAGATGTGGTATGAGGATGCCTTGGCTTCCAGCCACCCTATCATTCTGTACCTGCATGGGAACGCAGGTACCAGGTGAGGGAGAGGAGCCCATCATCTTTGCTGTGGAGCATGGCTCCTTTTTGGGGTGGGAATGTCCTGGCCCGGTCTGCCGGAAACCAGCAGGAGCAACCTGCGGTCCCACAAAATTGGGTGTACTGACCCACTGCAATGAGGGAGAGCCTCCCAAGAACGAAGGGAAAGGCAGAGTTCTGAAGGGGTTGAGGGAAGGCGGAGTTTAGGTGACGTTTACATGAAGCAGGGTTCCCACAGGCTGAGGCCAGCACGGCTGTGTTCCGTGGGGACCAAGTGTGGGAAGCTGTGTGCAGACCGTCCCCTATCTGGAGCTGCAGCCTGGATTGGGATGAAGGAGGCTGAGTCTCAGTCAGGAGCTGAGCTCCCCAGCCAGAGGGGCATGTTTTTTTCTCCTTGTTGTAATCTCAAAGGTCACAGCATCTGCTGGTATGTGATTTGGGGAGCAGGGTTTCTTGGAGAGTGAGGGCTTTGGGGTCCCTCCGAGGAGGGGTCATAGTGGCACTTGGCTGTGGGTGCCTCGCGCTCTTGGGAATGGGCGGCTTCAGCTCACTGGCAGCTTGTTTTCTCTATATCTGTCATGCTGCCTGAAGTGGCAGGCAGATCTTTGTTACCTGTAAGATAGCTCCAGGTGGCAGACAGGTGAAGCCGGAGCCAGGGCAGCCCTGGAGGAGGTGGCACACTTCCTGGAAAAAAGTGGCAGGTGCTGAGAAGGGGCAGGAGGGAGAGGCTGAAAGCACCAGGTGCTGGGGTCTTTGCAGGCCACCCTACAGTGTGAGCTCTCTGCTCACCCTAACGGGCTGTTGCTGAAGTTCATGCACTCTTTGGTTAATCAGCCCTGCCCAGTTTTATCTCAGATGCTTTTCCTGAGTGGGTCTAATGGCTTGTCCTTTCCACTGGCTGCCCTGGAGTTGGCCTCCCTGCCTTAAAAGGGTGCTCCTTCCACACCATGTGATTGCTGTTCAGAAGAGCCTCTGTGGGAGAACCCAGGGTGGGTGCGGAGGGGATACATTTTCTGAACAAAGCATTGTTTGAAAACCACCAAGGTCTTCGTGTGTGAGAGAGGCAGCCAGGAGCCAGCACAGAGGCAGACCCAGCACGGAGACAGGGCTGCTGCGGGGCCAGGGCCGAGGTCCCGTGTGGCACCAGGGTATGTCAGGGCTGGGGGCAAACATTTTATAGGCAGAGCCAGCAAGGAGAGCTGTGCTGGGCCCTTCTGGAAGGGAAAGCAGGCCTAGGTGGGGTCTGCATGGTGGAACCCTGCAGAGAGCATTGCTGAAAGAGCCTGGCGGCATGGCCCGTGAAGCGGTTTCTGTGTCAGGGATGGCGTGTCTAGCTACAGAATCATGCATGTGCTGCACAGTTTCCTTTCTTCTTTGTCTGGGACAAGCTGCAGAGGGTTTCTCTTCTGCTTTTCAAAGAGCAAGTGGCTACAAACAGCTCTTGCAGCATCTTTTTATAAATGACAGAACTGTGGTTGGCTGTGAATAAGGTTCAGTTCTGCAGTGCCCATCACATGGTTAAAAAAAAAAAAAAAAGATCCTGCCTATAACTTTAGGTTAGAAAGGGATGCCGTGACTTTCAGTGTTTGCTGCCCCCTCCCAATCCTGCAGAGACTGCCTGGCTGCAGTCCTCGCCACCCCCACGTTGCCTGCTTTCTTTGTCCTGTGCATCCCACTGGGGTTTCGCTGGTCTGCGGGATCCACCACCCGGGTCCCCCTGAGGTCCAGACCCCCTGGATTCCCAGCAACTGTTCCTTTTTTGCTTAATGTAGGAAATTTTAGAAACTTAGAGCCACTGTGAACTCTTACAATGATAACTGAAAATATTTTGCAGTGTTTCCTCCTTGCCTTGAAACTCATTCCTTTATTTTTTATTTTAATTTTTGAGACAGAGTCTCACTCTGTTGCCCAGGCTGGAGTGCAGTGGCACAATCCTGACTCACTGCAACCTCAGCCTCCTGAGTTCAAGTGACTCTCCTGCCTCGGTCTCCCGAGTAGCTGGGATTACAGTCACCCACCACCATGGCCAGCTAATTTTTGTATTTTTAGTAGAGACGGGTTTCACCATTTGACCAGGCTGGTCTCAAACTCCTGAGCTCAAGTGATCTGCTCACCTCGGCCTCCCAAAGTGCTGGGATTACAGGTGTGAACCACCGCACCTGACCCTTTATATTTTTGTTTCTGTACTTTATTGGCTTCCTCCTCCATCTCATCCTGGTGTCCAACCAGCAACACTCCCGCCCCCATACCTGAAATGTTGAGACCGCTCCTGAGGAAGGAGGAGCACGGCTAGGGAGTGTGGAGAGTGTGGACCCGCCCTCCTCCCAGGTGGCCCATGTCCCTGCTGTGGGGTCGGTCCAGGTTAACAGCTGGCCAACAACTGGAAAGAAAGAGGGAAGGGAGCCTAGACAGGCCTCAGACAAGGAAGTACAAATGGGAGGGTGTGTGCCGAGCCCACTTAGTCTCAGTAGCGACATGCACGGTGAAGCTGTAGTTGGCTGTGAGGGGCGGGAGGCAGCCGTTCCGGCACTTCAGGGCCTCCCTGGGGAGATTCTAGGAGCATATCCCATGTGCAGAGCACACACATGTGAAGGGCTGTAAGGCAGGGTGGCCACAGCAGCAAACAGAAGTTAGTGCCAGGTGGGAAACAGTCAAGATGACCATGAGAGGCCAGGGTGGTGTGGCTAAGCAGAGTTCTGAAGGTCGGCTGAGACGTGCGGAGCAAGAAGTGAGGGCAGAAGTCGCCCATACGGGTCCTGTTGGAGCACAGCCTCTGTCTACACAGGGTGTCCTTGGCACAGGGAAGCTGGGAGGGTCTGGGGTGTGGTGGATGAGGCCTTGCTGTGTTTCCTTTAGTGTCTTTCTAGTTTGGGGCTGTAGGTGTGCATTACCTACTGAAAAATAAAAGCAGTCATTAAGAAATCTCCCCCAAAGTGCTAAGACCATCTCCCCCTTGGCACAGCACTGCCAGAGGCGAGTGTGGGGCTACTTAGGGGGACCCAAGGAAGAGGTTCTGCCCTCTTTCATTGGCCTCCCCCTGGTTTGGGGTATGGAGGACAAGTTGACCTGGGGCCCAACTCTGAGAAGATGTGCTCACACCATGTCCTGTTTTCTTCTCCAGAGGAGGCGACCACCGCGTGGAGCTTTACAAGGTGAGTGCAGGCAGCACCCACACCTGTTCCCTGGGCTGTTCTTTCCAGGGCAGGAAGTGAAGGGAGTCACCAGACTCACAGCTTGAGAGTTAACTATTGCTGGGCTGTTTGTGTGTGTGAGACAGGGTCCTCCTCCTCTGTTGCCCAGGCTGGAGTGCAGTGGTACAGTCACAGCGCACTGCAGCGTCGACCTCCTGGGCTCAAACTATCCTCCTGCTTCAGCCTCCTGAGACTGCAGGTGCATGCCGCCACCACGCCCAGCTAATTTTTGTTTGTTTTTTTGTAGAAATGAGGTCTCCCTATGTTGCTCAGGCTGGTCTCGAACTCCTGGGCCTCCCACCTTGGCCTCCCAAAGTGTTGGGATGACAGGCGTGTTGAGCTTTTTAACACTGCCTTTGGATGGGCGTGCTGGAAGGTAGGGCCTTGGCTGCCTCTGCTGTGACTGCCCATCACACTGCTTCTAGGCCTGGGCCCCAACATCAGAATGTATGGGCTTTGTAGACCAAGTGCAGATATTGGCAGACTACATAAGCAGCACTGGAAATTGTTTTTCAATGTTACGTTACTTGTGTATAAAATGAAAAGAGACGGCTGGGTGTGGTGGCTCACGCCTGTAATCCCAGCACTTTGGGAGGCCAAGATGGGTGGATCACAAGGTCAGGAGTTCAAGACCAGCCGGCCAGGATGGTGAAACCCCGTCTCTACTAAAAATACAAAAAAAATTAGCCAGGCGTGGTGGCGGGCGCCTGTAATCCCAGCTACTCAGGAGGCTGAGGCAGAGAATTGCTTAAACCTGGGAGGCGGAGGTTGCAGTGAGCCAAGATGGCACCACTGCACTCTAGCCTGGGCAACAGAGCAAGACTCCGTCTCAAAAAACAAAAAAAAAGGAAAAGAGAAACCAGGTGCTCCAGGTGCTACACTGACTGCCAGGTCGTAGGCTCACCCCAGCAAGGGCTGCAGGTGGGACTTGAATCAGCTTCCAGGCACACAGTGGGAGCGCCTGCAGGTCTCCCCACATGCAGGGGGTGCCTAGGGCAGGGCGTGCAGACCTTCACTTGTGCTTGGTTGCTTGGTTTTGTTCTTCATCTGGTTGTCTGGGTCTTGGAGCCCAAGAGATACTGTTGAAACAGCCTCACTCTCCTCCCCTCAGAGGGCCATCTGCACTGGCCCACAGGGCAGAAGGGAACACAGACAGAGGCAGGGGCACAGACAGAGGCGGGGGCACACCCAGCTCTGAGCTATTGGAGGATTTTACCCGTGGAGTACATTGCATTAAGTCAGGAAAGGTGGGGAGAGTTTGAGAAGTGATTGGTCCTTTTTTCAGTTTTCTGTTAAAAGAAATGATTCATCCTGCTGAGGTCAACAGGGCTGGAGCAGGTTGGCTCTGGTTATAGCCTCTGCGGTGGCTAGGAGCTGGCAAGGAAGTGCAGGCTGCCCTGGGGAAGCACCCAACAACCCCCCCAAAGAAGGGAGCTGTGATTCTGGGTGACATGATGGTGCGGCAGCCTCCCATGTTGCTCTGGGCACACCCCAGCAAGGGCACAGGGGTGGGTGTTTGAGGAGTGAGCTAAATGAAAGAGGTCAGCTAGTCTGTAGGGATTAAAAAAAAATAACAGAAAAAAAAATTGACAAGAGCTTAAAATCCAAGAAATACTGGGTTGCAGCAAGGGTCCCCAGATGGGGTCTCTGCACAGTGTAGCCCTCCTCCTGGGGGTCTACCATCACACTGCAGCACCGAGAGCTGTCTGCCTCCAGAGGAGGCCGCCCCAGAGGCTGCCCTGCAGCACGAGTGGAGCTGCGGCCGGACACTGCTCCTGGCCCCCTAGCGTCTAAGCAGGAGGAAGGGAGAGCCTTCCTGCGCTCCCAGGCAGGGATGTCAGCAAGTCCTGCAGTGGCAGTTGGCATCTTGGTTTCATAAAACCCAGCCAGGAGTCAGGCAGCATGTCACAGTCTTTATGAAGCTGCCACTACGTACAAGGCAGAGGAGAGAAAGTTGGATGAGTTTAGTAAGCGGCAAGCTGCCCTCAATACAGATGCTTGGATTTGTTGCCAAAGATGTTTATTTTTCACTTTACAGGTGCTGAGTTCCCTTGGTTACCATGTGGTCACCTTTGACTACAGAGGTGAGATTTCTTTTGCAAGAGCATCTGAGCACAATTCCACTGCTTGCTGGCGGTATCCCATGGGCAGGCCTCACTCGAAGAGGCTCGGAGCAAGGCCAGCGCCTGCTTTGCCTGTGCTGTGATGGTGTCCTGGGTCCTGACAAAGACCCTGATGGAGCTGTCAGGAGAGCCCCTTCTGGTAGGGGAGGCTCAGCACCTGGAGCCCCCAGCAGATGCCCTGTCAGCAACTTTTTTTTTTTTTTTTTTAAGATAGGATCTCACTTTGTCACCCAACCTGGAGTACAGTAGCATGATTGTAGCTCACTGCAGCCTTGAACTCCTTGGCTCAAGGGATCCTTCTGCCTTAGGCTCTCGAGTAGCTGTGACTGCAGGAATGCGACACCACACCCGCTGTTTTGTTTTTGTTTTTAGTAGAAATGGGGTATCGCTGTGTTGCCTAGGCTAGTCTCAGACTCCTGGCCTCAAGCGATCCTCCTGCCTCAGCCTTCCAGAGTGTTGGGATTACAGGCAGGAGTCACTGCACCCAACCTGCAGCATTTTAAATTAGAAGATACTGTCTTTTTTAGACTGCAGAGCTGGACGTCAGACATGGTTTATGCTCATCAAAGCTTGTCTTGTTAAAGTTACGAAGACAGTAAGAAGTGTTAAGAGAGGCTGAGCATGGTGGTTCACACCTGTAATCCCAGCACTTTGGGAGGCTGAGGCAGGCGGATCACTTGAGGTCAGGAGTTCGTGACCAGCCTGGCCAACATGGTGAAACCCCATCTCTACTGAAAATACAAAAATTAACCGGGCGTAATGGCTCGCACCTGTAGTCCCAGCTATTCGAGAGGCTGAGGCAGGAGAAGCGCTTGAACCTGGGAGGCAGAGCTTGCAGTGAGCCGAGACTGCACCACTGTACTCCAGCCTTGGCGACAAGCAAGACTCCATGTCAAAAAAAAAAAAGAACTGTTAAGAGAGAAGATAGATTCTTCTGCACCTCAGCATTTCTGCTTTTTTGAATGAACCAGGGCTTGCCACTGAACAAATCAAGAATCCATAGTTTGATATATACCAAGGACACTGTGGCTTAATAGGCAACAGAAATACTTGGTGTTAACAATGAGCGACTGGTTTGTTTTGGTTTTGGTTTTGGTTTTGCTTTGAGACAGGGTCTCACTCTGTCACCCAGCTGGATTGCAGTGATGTGATCTCAGCTCACTGCAACCTCTGCCTCCCGGGTTCAAGTGATCTTCCCAACTCAGCCTCCCTAGTAGCTGGGACCACAGGCACACACCACTACACCTGGCTAATGTTATTTTATTTTATTTTATTTTATTTTATTTTATTTTATTTTATTTTATTTTTATTGATCATTCTTGGGTGTTCCTCTGAGGGGGATTTGGCAGGGTCATAGGACAATAGTGGAGGGAAGGTCAGCAGATAAACAAGTGAACAAAGGTCTCTGGTTTTCCTAGGCAGAGGACCCTGCGGCCTTCCGCAGTGTTTGTGTCCCTGGGTACTTGAGATTAGGGAGTGGTGATGACTCTTAATGAGCATGCTGCCTTCAAGCATCTGTTTAACAAAGCACATCTTGCACCGCCCTTAATCCATTTAACCCTGAGTGGACACAGCACATGTTTCAGAGAGCACCAGGTTGGGGGTAAGGTCATAGATCAACAGCATCCCAAGGCAGAAGAATTTTTCTTAGTACAGAACAAAATGGAGTCTCCTATGTCTACTTCTTTCTACACAGACACAGCAACAATCTGATTTCTCTATCTTTTCCCCACATTTCCCCCTTTTCTATTCGACAAAACCGCCATCGTCATCATGGCCCGTTCTCAATGAGCTGTTGGGTACACCTCCCAGACGGGGTGGCAGCCGGGCAGAGGGGCTCCTCACTTCCCAGAAGGGGCAGCCGGGCAGAGGCGCCCCCCACCTCCCAGACGGGGTGGCTGGCCGGTCGGGGGCTGGCCCCCACCTCCCTCCCGGATGGGGCGGGTGGAGACGCTCCTCACTTCCCAGATGGGGCGGCTGCCGGGCGGAGGGGCTCCGCACTTCTCAGACGGGGCGGCTGCCGGGCGGAGACGCTCCTCACCTCCCAGACGGGGTCGCGGCCGGGCAGAGGCGCTCCTCACATCCCAGACGGGGCGGCGGGGCAGAGGCGCTCCCCACATCTCAGACGATGGGCGGCCGGGCAGAGACGCTTCTCACTTCCTAGATGGGATGGCGGCCGGGAAGAGGCGCTCCTCACTTCCCAGACTGGGCAGCCAGGCAGAGGGGCTCCTCACATCCCAGACGATGGGCGGCCAGGCGGAGACGCTCCTCACTTCCCAGACGGGGTGGCGGCCGGGCAGAGGCTGCAATCTCGGCACTTTGGGAGGCCAAAGCAGGCGGCTGGGAGGTGGAGGTTGTAGTGAGCCGAGATCACGCCACTGCACTCCAGCCTGGGCAACATTGAGCACTGAGTGAACGAGACTCCGTCTGCAATCCCGGCACCTGTGGAGGCCGATGCTGGCAGATCACTCGCGGTTAGGAGCTGAAGACCAGCCTGGCCAACACAGCGAAACCCCGTCTCCACCAAAAAAATACGAAAACCAGTCAGGCATGGCAGCGCGCTGCTGCAATCACAGGCACTCGGCAGGCTGAGGCAGGAGAATCAGGCAGGGAGGTTGCAGTGAGCCGAGATGGCGGCAGTACAGTCCAGCTTCGGCTTGGCATCAGAGAGAGACCGTGGAAAGAGAGGGAGAGGGAGACCGTGGGGAGAGGGAGAGCTATTTTATTTTTTTTAAGAGAGGGTTTCGCCATGTTGCCCAGGCTGGTCTTGAACTACTGGGTTCAAGCAGTCTGCCCACCTTGGCCTCCCGAAGTGTTGGGATTACAGGTGTGAGTGAGCCATTGCAACTGACTGCGAGACTGTTTTAAAGTGTATTCTGGCTGGGCACGGTGGCTCACGCCTGTAATCCCAGCACTTTGGGAGGCTGAGGTGGGCAGATTGCTTGAAACCAGGAGTTCGAGATAAGCCTGGGCAGCGTGGCAAAACCCCGCCTCTACTAAAAATACAAAAAAAAGTAGCTGAGCCTGGTGGCAGGTGCCTGTAATCCCAGCTACTCAGGAGGCTGAGGTGGGAGGAAAGCTTGAGCCCAGGAGGCGGAGGTTGCAGTGAGCCAAGATCATGCCACCGCACTCCAGCCTGAGTGACAGAGCGAGACCCTGTCTCAAAAATTTCAAAAAGTGTATTCCACCATGTAGTCCTCAGCTGGAGAGATTAAAGAGTTGATGGCAACGTGGCTGGCTGCCTTCACCTTCTTGTGGGGGCAGGTGGCGTGTCTATCCTCAGACCAAGAGGAGATATGGGAGGGACAAAGGAGAGAGGCTGTCACCTGGATGTGGGGGTTGTGTTAATTCTCTCTTGCTGCTATAACATGTTACCACAAACAGTGCTTTAAACCAGCACACATGTAGCGTCTTGCAGTTCTGGAGGTCAGAAATTCAGAATCTGCAGCCCCCAGGCTGGAATCAGGGTGGGAGCAGGGCTCTCAGGGAGAATGCCTGGCTGCCCTTTCCAGCCACCTGTGTTCCTTGGCTCACAGCCCTTCTGTGATTGAGTCCCAGGTCATCTGGCTCTGACCCTGACTCCTCTCCCTTTTTCTCTGATGAGGACCCTTGTGGTTATTTTGGGCCCACCCAGCTTGTCCAGGATCACCCCCATCTCAAGGCAAGCAGTTAGTAGCTTTCATTCCTTCCATACCTTTCATTCCCCAGCCATGTGACCCAACGCGTTCACAAGTTCCAGGGATTAGGTCATGGACACTTTTGGGGGCCACCATGCTGCCAACCACAGGGAAGAAAGTTCCATCAGGATGACAGTTGTGGGCTGGGAAAAACTCCAGAATGAGGAGCAAGGAAGTGGTTTGCCCTCTCCTTCTCTCCATGTTGACACTGGTTCTCTTCTGCTGCATGCTAGAGACCTTAGGAGAGGGAGAATGAGTGGCTTCTTCCCATTCATCTCCCCGCACTTCTGTCAGGAAATGAAATCCCACGCAGCACTTTCTGTTTCAGTTCTCGTGGAGTCTACGTTTCTAATTGGCACCAAGACTGCCAGCTCCATCTCCGACTGTCCCTCTGTCTCTCTCACTGCATCTGCCTCTTTGTCCGCATCCTTCTGCCTCCTGTCCCTGTCTCTGTGCCTGTCTGTCTGTCCCTGTCAGTCTTCTTGCCTGTCTCTGTGCCTCTCTGTTCCTGTCTCTCAGTCTTCCTGTCTGTCTCTGTCTCCTGTCCCTGTCTCTGTTCTTTTCTTTCTGTCTCATGTCCCCATACCCCTGCCTCCCAGCCTGGCCCTAGCCCTCTGCATGGCCTCCTCCCTCCTCTAGTGTCTGAGTCGGGAAACAGCAAGTTCTGCACTAACTGTTTGCTTACACTGCACAACCTGCTCTTTCTGACCTTTGTGGTGCTTTCAGATCATCTGATGATGACTCACTGCTGGGCTGCTGGAAAGATAATTGCACTCCACCTTTGCTGGAGACTGGGGGAGGGACCCTTGGGAGGTTGTAATTTTGGGGGGCAGAGATGGTAGTGTTTTCTGTTATGGAAACAAGATGCTAATTAGACCCTAAGGGGAAACAGCCCCTTTCCCCTTCCTGGGTCATGGTTGCCTTGAACCCAGAAATGCCCTCCCTGTTCTGGGAGCCTCCGGACTCCACTCCCTGTCCTGCCCCTGACCAAGCCTTCGGCGTTGAGGAGGTTGGTGTCCAGCCAGCGGCCCCGGGGGCTGCTCATCTGACCACGCCATCTGCACTGCTGCTCGTCAGGGCTCGGAGTGGGACACATGGATGCTGCTGGGGGATGGGGGAGAAGTGTAGAGCTGAGGATGGTGGTGGCAGAGGCTTTCACTGCCTTAGACCTCACTAGCTTGCCTGTTAAGAAAGAGAGAGGGAGAAGTGAGCTCACTCCCCTGCCCAAGAGGGTGGGGCAAGTCCCAGCCCTGGCCTGAGGATGCCGGTGCCAGCTCTGAAGCTCTGTGATCTGTTCTGTTAACTCAGCTTGCTGTTAGTTGCCATTCAAATGTGCAGCTCACCAACTTAGAGTGACCCTGTGAGGGGATGTCTGGTTTGTGCAGTCAGCAGGGGCAGGGCAGGGTTGCTGCTGGGCTGCCTTCCCCAGGGCTGGTGGGGATGTGGGGTTGTGCCCGTTCTCCCCACTGCTTGCTCTGCCCAGTGGCCTGGGTGGGTCTGTGGACTCTGGAAGGGTGGGCCAAGCGGGCCCCTCCCTGTCTCCTCCTGGCCCTGGGCCCCCTTGGGGAGGTGTGTTTGTCCAGGTTTTGTGAGCTGCCTTTGACCTCCCCGTCCTGCCGTTTCTCCCTCCCAGGTTGGGGTGACTCAGTGGGAACGCCATCTGAGCGGGGCATGACCTATGACGCACTCCACGTTTTTGACTGGATCAAAGCAAGAAGTGGTGACAACCCCGTGTACATCTGGGGCCACTCTCTGGGCACTGGGTAAGGGACCCCAGCAGGAGGCAGCCTTTAGTGGGAGTCAGTATTCCTGGTGACTCCCATGCCTGGATCTAGAGAGTCCACCATCCCTGCAAACCCTGTGGCACCATTAGTCCCGACCAGCCTCGCTCCCATCCCCATGGCAGAGGCAGGAGGGGAAGTTACAAAGAGACTCCAAAGGATCTGAGCTCCTCGTCCAGGAAGTGGCTCAGGACAGACATAGGCAGTGGAGGTCGAGGGGTCTCCCTAGGGAGACTTGGCTCTGAGGAAGAAGCGTCTTCAGAGCTGAGGGAGGGCACAGTGGGTGGTTTGCTTCTCACAGAGGCCAGGACAGGAGGTACTTCCACACTCCCTTTGTGGGCAGCCTGAGTCATCTCTGCTGATGCGAGGTCCACGTCTCTGCGGGAACCTCTGCTCTCAGGGCCCCAGTCCCCAGACCTTCACTGCCATTCCCTTTCTGCTGCCTTTCCCTTCGGGGCAGCCCTTCTCCCAACACCTGAATGGCCTCTTGTAGGCTGGGAAGCATCAGGAGAGGAGTGGGTGGGGGGCACCAGCCATCCCTTTGGCCGTCTGCGTGGTCCACCAGGTGTGGTCCTGGGATGGCAAGAGGCCCTGGGTGTGGTGGGCTCCAGGAGAGGTGCAGGCAGACGCTGGCCACCCCCAGCCGACAGGCGGCCCGGCCAATGGGAGTGTACGGGCAGTGAGAGGCAGCAGGACACACCTCGGGGACAAGCTGACTGGCTGTGGGTACAGCCCTCATTGCAGGGGTCAGCTGATGGTGGGGCAGCCAGGTCACCCCCAGTGCTAGAGGGATCTCCATTTCCCCCACTCTGTCCTGAAACTCCAGTAGCTTCACAGACCCCATGGCTCCTCTGAGCACTTTCCAGCATAAGGCCCATATCATCTCAAACAATTTTATCATAACTCAACTAAGCTGTTTTTCTTTTTTCCTAGCGTGGCGACAAATCTGGTGCGGCGCCTCTGTGAGCGAGGTGAGTGCCTTGTTGGGCCCCAGCCGTGGCAGTGAGCATTCAGGGTGCTCCCCAGTCCCGGCCCTGCTGCAAGTGCTCAGCGTCCTCATGGAGCAGCATGAGCTGCACATTCTGGGGGGCCCGGGGCTGACCAGCCACCCTTCCCATGATACACCTGAGGAGCTGGGGAGCCTCACACACACAGGTCTGGCCCCAGAGCCGCATCAGCAAGTCTGCTTTTTAGGAGTGACCAGAGCCATCTCTGTTCCCCTGGCGGGCACCCCTGGTGCTATCTGAGGCCTGCCGAGGTGGTTGCCTGGTGGGAGGCGCTGTGGTCTCCTTGTGCTTTCTGGGGGCCCCTCAGAGCCCCACAGGCCACATGTATGTCGCTGGCTTCCTGCCTACCTCTCAGTTCCCTGTTTGTTTATCTAGAGACGCCTCCAGATGCCCTTATATTGGAATCTCCATTCACTAATATCCGCGAAGAAGCTAAGAGCCATCCATTTTCAGTGGCAAGTACAGATTTTATTAAAAATTAACTTTTCATTATTAAGATAAATTATAGAAATAACTAATTACAGGATACATTATAATAATTATTAAAAATTGTTATTTAAATATTCTAATGAATACAGATTTCATTAAAAATTAATACTAGTTTTGGCCACAGAGCTGCCCAAGAAGTATAACCTGCAGCCAGGTGAAATGACAGGTCATAATTGGGTCATTTGAGGGCAGCTGGACACAGTGGAGGCCGGGCTCACGTGGTGTCATCGACTGCATTGTATTGACAGCCCTGCCTTCCTGTTCAGGAGTGGAGCTGGGGGTGCCCCCCTCTCTGTGTATGAGACAGTGCTTGGGGGGCTGGACTGTGTGGACCAGGGAGTCTGGCCTTCCAGTTTTATCTTGGGGAAAGGCCCAGGTGAACCCCAGTGGGAATTCTGGGTAAGCCAGGCCCCACCCAACCTGTGCCCTCCCCAGCTGGGAATGGAACCTTGGACCTTCCCTTAAAACCTAGCCAGTTATTTTCCCCTCCTTCTCACTCTGGTTTGTGATCCCTGTGCTCCCCACTGGCCATGGATTCTCGGGCCTGTGTCAGCCCATGCTGGCCTCATGCTGTTCTGTTACCAACCAGAAGAGCCTTTTATCTTATCTTACTTTTTGGTGCTGCTTTTCTTAAATTGTGTGAGGAAACTGTCCATAGACCCCACTTTCTCAGGGGTGGCGGCCCTGGTGTCTGCGGGAAGACTGGTTTCTGGGGTGGATTCTGGCCTGGCTGGGAGGTGCGGGAGCCCCATTTGCAGGGCAGCCCCTGCCATGCCAGTCTGTGGGGCCTGGCGGGTGATTCTTCTGTTCCTAGCAGCAAAGCCAGGACACGGCCAGGGCAGAAGGTGCCAGGGCACAGCTCTGGTGGCCCCTTGGCAATGTCACCCCTGCTCCCTTAGGTAGGGTAGTTATGGGCAACGCCTTATAGATTTCTGAACTTAAACTGTCTGCACCCTTGACCTGTGCCTGGATATCTTAACCAACGCTTCTGAAAATGGTTTCCATCTTGTCTCCAGATATATCGATACTTCCCTGGGTTTGACTGGTTCTTCCTTGATCCTATTACAAGTAGTGGAATTAAATTTGCAAATGATGAAAAGTGAGTATTATGGGACAGGAACTAATTTTCCTATTTAGAAAAACTCTGAGAACCTCTGGATGAGCCTCTTTAGTCACAGTAATCAAATAGGATGGAATTCAGTGTATTTAGGGTCATTCTCTAGCAAACAGGTCTTTAAAAAGGGAAAGCCTGCTAGGGACCGTGGTTCACACCTGTAATCCCAGCACTTTGGGAAGCTGAGGAAGGCAGATCGCTTGATCCTAGGAGTTTGAGACCAGCCTGGGCAACATAGCAGGGCCCTGTCTCTACAAAAAATCCAAAAATTGACCAGGTATGGTGGCATCGTGTACCTGTGGTCCCAGCTACATGGGAGGCTGAGTTAGGAGGATCACCTGAGCCTGGGGAGGTCAAGACTGCAGTGAACCGTGATTGCACCACTGCACTCCAGCCTGGGTGACAGAGTGAGACCTTGTCTCAAAACAAAACAAAAAAAATTGTGGGCCAGGGGGCAAGTAAAGAACTGTAACAGAAAGAAATAAGAAATCTGAAAAGATTATAGAAGTAAAGCAATATTAAAATAACATAGTTTTTGTCCATAGAGTTGTTTTATTTCAAAATGGTTTGTGAAAACCAAAACACATATTAAAACAGTGATATTAACTGGTTGATTTTTCTTCTTTTTTTTTTTTTTGTTTTTGTTTTTTTGAGACGGAGTCTTGCTCTGTCACCCAGGTTGTAGTGCAGTGGCGTGATCTCAGCTCACTGCAACCTCTGCCTCCTGGATTCAAGTGATTATCCCACCTCAGCCTCCCGAGTACCTGGGATTACAGGTACCCGCCATCATGCCCCACTAATTTTTTTGTATTTTTGTAGAGACGGGGTTTCACCATGTTGGCCGGGCTGGTCTCGAACTCCTGATCTCGGGTGATCTGCTCGCCTTGGCCTCCCAAAGTGCTGGGATTACAGGCGTGAGCCACTGAGCCCTGCTGATACTGACTTAATCAGAAAATGACTTTGCCTCAGCCATTTGATTTGTGTTTGGTTATAGAAATATATTACAAAGTTTATTGTTAAAAATCTATTAGGTAAACCAAAAGTTAAGTATTCTAGTTAAGGGTTCTTTTTTTAAACCTTTTTCAGATTGTATTGATATTGTCTTTGTGACATTTTTATATCATGAATTTTGATTTCTTTAAAAAAAGAGGGAAGTAGGCTGGGCGTGGTGGCTCATGCCTGTAATCCCAGCACTTTGGGAAGTTGAGGTGGGCAGATCACATGGTCAGGAGATCGAGACCATCCTGGCTAACACAGTGAAACCCTGTCTCTACTAAAAATACAAAAATTAGCCGGGTGTGGTGGCTCGTGCCTGTAGTCCCAGCTAATCAGGAGGCTGAGGCAGGAGAATCGCTTGAACCCGGGAGGCAGAGGTTGTAGTGGGCCGAGATCGCGCCACTGCACTCCAGCCTGGGCGACAGAGCGAGACTCCGTCTCAAAAAAAAAAAAAGAGGGAAAGTAAAACACCCTATAAATATTTAATTTAATTTGAAACAGAATATGAAAAAAAATGGAGTATTTTTTCCCATCAAGTATGTTTTGGTTCTAAAAATAAAAATAGAACAAATTAAAAGTTGAACAAATATTTTAAGCAACAAACCCTGCTTGTTTGTAAATACTACTGTTTTGGAACTTGAAAAAGAATTATCTGGGCTGGGTGCAGTGGCTCACGCCTGTAATCCCAGCACTTTGAGAGGCTGAGGCAGGTGGATTACCTGAGGTCAGGAGTTCAAGATCACCCTAACATGGTGAACCCCGTCTCAACTGAAAATGCAAAATTAGCCAGGTGTGGTGGCACATGCCTGTAATCCCAGCTACTCGGGAGGCTGAGGCAGGAGGCGGAGGTTGCAGTGAGCCAAGATCATGCCATTGCACTCCAGCCTGGGCAACAAAGAAAAGAAAAAAAGAATTATCTGAATGAACTGGATTCCTTCTTAAAAAGCAAGGTTGTGACTGGGTGTGGTGGCTCACCACTGTAATCCCAACATTTTGGGAGGCTGAGGCAGGCAGATCACGAGGTCAGGAGTTTGAGACCATCCTGGCCAATATGGTGAAACCCTGTCTCTACTAAAATACAAAACAATTAGCCAGGCGTGGTGGTGCACGCCTGTAGTCCCAGCTACTCGGGAGGCTGAAGCAGGAGAATCACTTGAACCCAGGAGGCAGAGGTTGCAGTGAGCTGAGATCGCACCACTGCACTCCAGCCTGGTGAAAGAGCAAGACTCATCTCAAAATAAAAAATAAAAACAAACAAAAAAAGCAAGTTTGAGTACCGTGCCCCTGAAGCTGCCTTTGGCCTTGACCCTCCCAGCTGAGCCAGATGGAGTACAGGTGACCCTGGGTGAGACCCCCACCCTCAGCTCATTGGAAGTCAGGGGCACAGCTCTGAGGGCAGGAGGGGCTTTCCTGAGCTCAGGTGGGCCGTGGTCTGGGAAATCCCAAGTACTGCCGCTTCCTCCAGAGCCTCTGGTGAGAGGGACTCGCACATCAGACAAGCCTTACTGGGAAGCAAGAGTGTGTGCCTCCTGCCAGCAGCACAGACAGGGCGGGGGCTCCCCACCGGGTCCTGCTCCAGGTGCCAGGAGTGCACCAGCGCTGCCCTCACGGAGCACACAGCCCTGTTGGGGATAAAGGAGACTTGGGTCAGGCACCACCTCAGTGAGGGCCGCACAGGAGAGCCCAGGCTCCGCCGGTCCTGGCAGCCCATGCTTCTGTTATGTGGTTTGCTGAAGGATTTGGATCTATCAAACCTACTGAAAATCCTAAATCACTTCTAAGTGTTTAGAGTTGGAGTGACCATAAATGTCACTTACACAGATAAATTAGAGAACATTGACTTTTTTTACCAACAGATTCCTAGTAACATTCATTTACACTAAGTTTCTTGGCCCACCTGAATTATTCCGCTTAAAAATATATATATCTGGTGGAAAAATAATCATTTTCAATTTTCAGAAGACATTCCGAGGGCCAGTTATATAGCTGTGATTGACACCTGTCATCTAGCTGTAATAGATGTTCATAGAGATAATGAAGAGTTAACTTTCAGTTGTCTAGTAAAAAGAAATCCAGCAGAAATCAGGCTGTTTCCCAAAACACACCCTGAACCCAGATCCCTGCCATGGACAGAGGGTCTGGGCAACTCTGCCCTTTCCCTGGTCTTGGTCTAGCCCCTTCTCCCTCCTACAGCGTGAAGCACATCTCCTGTCCCCTGCTCATCCTGCACGCTGAGGACGACCCGGTGGTGCCCTTCCAGCTTGGCAGAAAGGTGGGTCCTGGCCTCTGCCTCTGGTGTAGCTGGCATCTTGCACACTCAGCCAGTGTGGGTGGACCAGGCTGGGAGTGGGCAGGCGGGAAGGCAGCCCCTGCATGCTGCATCACGGGCTGCGCACCAGCCACGTCAGGCTCAGGAGGCCACCTCATCCTCCCTGCGTCACCTCCAGGCTGCTTCGGAAGGACATGGGAGGTCTGGTGTAAAGGTTGGGGCAGGGGCCCACTGATGCTGTCTCCAAGAATATGAAAAATAAGCAGATAGTTCCCAGTCCTCACACAGGGGTTATCAGAGTGGGCTGCCTATGTTATCAGAGCCCAGGCCAACCTGGGAACTCAGCTGGAAGGGCTCATCAGTTATGGGCTGAAGGCAAAGAACCCCTTGATGAGGATCTCCCAAGCCCATTGCAGGGGTCACAGTCAAAATTGATAGAGAAACTTCTAGCCTGTTTCCTTGCCTTTGGAATTGCGCTGATACCAGAACCAGACCATGCTGTCTGTGGGGCCTCAGTGTTTGCTTTTGCTGAATTTGCTTTGACTGTCAGCAAGTTGGATTGGATTTGTGGCTCAGAGTAGGGTAAGAGAAGGCAGCCTGGGTCTTGGTAATGGCAGGGCAAACTAGTTGGGTGTGTGCAGGCCTCGTCCACGGATTCAGCCCAGGGCTGGGAGCACTTCCTGCTCTGACAGCCCCCATGCAGTCAGGCTCCATAAGGCACACAGATGACGGAGCCACACAGGGCAGGGGCAGAATGCAGAGCCGCCCAGCAGCGCACAGCTCAGGCCCACCTACCCTTGCCGAAATGAGAGGGGGAGGGGGCTGAGATGGGTACATCAAGCCCATCTTAGCTAAGCCTGAGGCACATACCTTTTGTCCCAGCTCCCCAAGACTGTGCCATCCCTGCCATCAGAGCCTCCCAGGCACCTGGTCTGGCTCATCCACCTAGCCACTCCCCAGAGGAAGGGTAGTCTATAAGGTGTGAGGACAGTATCTTGAGTGGTGTGTGCCCAGGAGCCAAGCCTGGGGCCTGGCTCCTCCCAGCCCACCCCCGGGCCTCCTGGTCGTGACCGGCTGTGGCAACAAGCAGTGTATGTGGGACTCTGGACTGGTTTCTATTGAAGGGGAGGCTGCCAAGCTGGTGTTCCTCAGGCTGGGACCCCCATGCCAGGCCACTGCCTCAGGCTCTGACCCCTCTCTCCCCAGCTCTATAGCATCGCCGCACCAGCTCGAAGCTTCCGAGATTTCAAAGTTCAGTTTGTGCCCTTTCATTCAGACCTTGGCTACAGGCACAAATACATTTACAAGAGCCCTGAGCTGCCACGGATACTGAGGTGAGACATTCTCTTCCCACCCAGGGGCTTCGTCTGGGCAGCACTGGCTCACACCTAACGTGCAGCAGGTGGCAGCTGCTGAAGCTGCTCAGGGGGCCTCAGTGGGGCCAAGAGTCACAGTGATTTGGGAGCCTTCCATTTCCTTGGCAGAGGGGTTTGAGGGAGTGCCTCTCTCCTGCTCCAGGACTGTTCACATGATCATGCAGGGTGAGCCGCCTCCATGTTGTAAAGGATGTACAGACCCACACGGGGGGGCACACACGCTCACAGGTGGCCATGTTTGGGAACACTCAGACACAGACACCCCAGCCACTTGCAGGCCTCGGATCTCTTCCACACACCTCTCAAGACGTACACAGCTCCTCAAAAGCCTCTTTGTCCCCAGCTGCTTCTTGAAGGGACGTGGTGCTCCTGACTGCCCTGCACTGGCAGGACATGGGCGCCAGCCCAGAGAGCCATGAGTACCCACCTGGGCCTGAGTGCAGAGCCCAAGCCTGAGGGTGAGGCCTTGGCAGTAGTGACAAGGGCAGTGTGTGGAATGGACCAACCCCCGGCCTCCTCTGTACTGCCCTGGGCCCTATGCAGGTTGCTGCCCAGACTCGCCTACCTGCCTGTCAGAGGACACAGGCCCCCACCCCACTGCCTGGCTGTGTGGCCTTGGGCAAGATGCTAACCCTCCCTGTGCATGGGACAAGGCTTCTGAGCCGAGGAGGGCATGTGGTACTTCGACCCTAAGCACTGGACCCACGGAGGGGCTGCTGCTAATGGTGATAGAGTTTTTTGTTGTGTTGTGCCAGTCAGCTCCAAAAAGTAGGTCAAGGTGCCAGTTTCTCCCTGCAGGGGACTGAAATTGGTGGCCTGAATTGCCTCCCAGTGCTGTATATCCCGTGAGTAATTCTACTGCAAACTTCTGCTTTTCTCCAGTTGCCTTTGGAAGTTCCAGAGGCAAAACTGTGTCCCTTTAGCACAGGTACCTGGGTTGCTAAGGGGGCAGTGGGCTCAGAGTATGGGTTTGCTTTGCGGTTATAATTTTCCCCATTATAAAAGGAAGATATGTGTAGAAAATTTAGACCAGAGAATAGCTCTGAAGTTGAGGGTCAAGAATCAGAGACCTTGTCTCCATGCCTGTGTGTTGGGCTTTGACTTGGCACCACACTGCTTGTTCCCTGCCTAACTCACTGAGTGCTGCTCTGGGCTACAGCGCATCCTCATGGGGCTCTTGGCTGCCTCCTCTCTGCACAGCCTCTGCTTCCTTAGATAGCAGTGTGAGGACTGTGGAGAAGGATCTTTGGTCTGAGCTCAAATGATTGGCTCCTGATTGTCCTGTGGTCTAGGGAATTCCTGGGGAAGTCGGAGCCTGAGCACCAGCACTGAGCCTGGCCGTGGGAAGGAAGCATGAAGACCTCTGCCCTCCTCCCGTTTTCCTCCAGTCAGCAGCCCGGTATCCTGAAGCCCCGGGGGGCCGGCACCTGCAATGCTCAGGAGCCCAGCTCGCACCTGGAGAGCACCTCAGATCCCAGGCGGGGAGGCCCCTGCAGGCCTGCAGTGCCCGGAGGCCTGAGCATGGCTGTGTGGAAAGCGTGGGTGGCAGGCATGTGGCTCTCCTTGCCGCCCCTCAACCTGAGATCTTGTTGGGAGACTTAATGGCAGCAGGCAGCCATCACTGCCTGCTTGATGCTGCACTGAGCTGGACAGGGGGAGTCCGGGCAGGGGACTCTTGGGGCTCGGGACCATGCTGAGCTTTTTGGCACCACCCACAGAGAACGTGGGGTCCAGGTTCTTTCTGCACCTTCCCAGCACATGCAGAATGACTCCAGTGGTTCCATCGTCCCCTCCTGCCCTGTGTACCTGCTTGCCTTTCTCAGCTGCCCCACCTCCCCTGGGCTGGCCCACTCACCCACAGTGGAAGTGCCCGGGATCTGCACTTCCTCCCCTTTCACCTACCTGTACACCTAACCTGGCCTTAGACTGAGCTTTATTTAAGAATAAAATCGTGGTGGTGGTCCTTTTGTCTCTCTGCAGCGCGAGAAGGGTCAATGTTGCCTCCTCCATGCCCCAGAGCCGCCCACAGCCTAGCCTCTAGCCGCTTTGGAGCCACTCCATGACTCAGCCTCAGACTATGAAATTTTCTAGTCCCAGCAGCTCAGAAATTTGCCAGGAGTAGGAAGTTTTGTTCACCTGCTCGCCCCTTTCTCCAAGTTGCAGTCCCAGCATCAGCAGCTGTGGGCTGGCAGGGAGCCCAGAGGTCCTCGCGGTTACACTCCTTCACTGGGGTACCCTGAGCTACCTATAGCGGTTCTCAGATCTACAAAACACTTTTCCTACGCAGGGGAGCAGCTGAGTAGACATTACTTCTGAGGTCAGTTCATGAGAACACTGGTCCCCCTCCTGGCCAGGGTGTGCCCCAGCTCCTGGTCCCTAATTAGGGTGTCATTTCTGTTCCACCCACCCACGGCCCCAGAGACACCACCTGCCCCAGGGTTGGGATCTCCTTGCATGGCCATCTGAGCCGGGGACCCACGTGGCATCCTAGAATGTCTTTGTGAGGCTATAGGAACCCCTAGGGGAGCCAGGCAGCCCCTTCTTTAGGACATAGGTTTACTCCAGCACAGAGCCCAAGGCTGGTCTCCTGGCCTCGTCGCACACTTCAGCTCCTGACCACGAAGCAGAGGTGACCCACTCTACCTGGGCTGGCCTTCATCTTTTCCTCATTTTTTTTTTTTTTGGTCTATGTAAGCTACTTGGGATACTTGGCTGGGGGACTGAGGCAAGATAGATACAAACTAAAAATACAAGCTCCTGGTGGGTTTTTTGTTTTTTTGAGACAGTCTCACTCTGTTGCCCAGGCTGGAGTGCAGTGGCACAATCATAGCTCACAGCAACTTCACCTCCTGGGCTCAAGCAGTTCTCCCACCTCAGCCTGCCTCCCAAGTAGGTGGGACTACAGGCACGTGCCACCACGCCCAGCTAATTCTTGTATGTTTTGTAAAGATGGGGTTTTGCCATGTTGCCCAGGCTGGTCTCGAACTCCTGAGCAATCCTCCTGCCTTGGCCTCTCAAAGTGCTGGGATTATAGGCATGAGCCATTGCACTCAGCCAAGCTACTAGTGTCTTTTTTACAAAACTGAGATGATGCAGATAAGAGCGAGAAGGGTGCACTGTGTGGCAGCTGCTCCACCATCACCTGTCAGCTCATTACATCCAAGTGCCCTACCCAGGGTGCTGAGCTCAGTTGTCCAAGCAACTAATCCCTGGGAGGGCACCCCACAGACCTGGGGAGGCAGAGACTCCCAGGGCACCACCTTGGTGCCGCCCGCCCAGATGCATGGTGGGTGTGGGGATGAGGACAACCTGGCAGCACCAACCCCTGCACGACCAGGTCTGAGGCCAAGGAGGCCCATGGCACTCCAGCATCCCAGTTCTTGGGTCTTCAGGGTAGCACAGAGCCCTAGGCTCATTTCTCCTGATTTCTTAATCTGCAACTGTACAATTGATGGGCGATGCTTTGGTCCCCAGGGCCAGGAGTGGGAGACAAAAGTTGCAGGTGCAAAGGGACCAGCACAAGTCACACCAGAAAGGTGTGTGTGTTTCTTATCCCCAGATAGCATGTTTAGTAATGGCTGGATTTGATTGATTGATAGAATTTTTAGAAAATAGCTAGCTTGGCCAGGAACAGTGGTTCACAACTGTAATCTCAGCACTTTCGGAGGCTGAGGCGGGCGGATCACCTGAGGTCAGGAGTTTGAGACCAGCCTGGCCAACATGGCAAAACTAAAAATACACAAATTAGCCGGGTGTGGTGGTGGGCGCCTGTAATGCCAGCTACTCGGGAGGCTGAGGCAGGAGAATTGCTTGAACCCAGGAGGCGGAGGTTGCAGCGAGCCAAGACCGTGCCACTGCACTCCAGCCTGGGCAACAAAAGCAAAACTCCATCTCAAAAACAAAAAAACAAAACTAGCCGTTCAGGCACACATGACCCCGGGTTCCACACCTAGTGGAGATGCAAACTTTTCTGCCCTCAATCCCAGAATGATGGGGTGTAATTCAGCCCCGGCTCTAGTTTCAGACGGGGGACCTGTGGCCCACTTGCAGGTCTCATCCCTGCACTGGCACCACCCTGGGCCTCAGGCCTGTGTTCTCTGCTTCCCACAGTCTCATACCACCACCTGCAGTTAGTTAGTTAGTTAGTGAAACACAGACCCCATGTCAGCCAACCACAGCCACAAAGGTTTAATCAGTTTTTATCTCACAAGGCAGTAACAATGAGGGGCACAGTGGTGGTCAGGGTGGTGGCCCCAGTGGCCAACTAGGGGAGTATGGCCTCCTCCACAGAGCCGCTGCCTGGGGAAGATGCTGTCAGGGCACGACCACAGCCCAGCACTTGCCCCACTCAATAAAAGGCTGTAGTGCTCTGGTGGGCTGTGCACCGTGCGCAGATCCTCCTGGTGGGCACTGGAGGCCAGGGAGAAAAAGAGCCTCCCCGCAGCCCAGATCCAGCATGCAAGGTGCTAGATTTCTCGGCAATTCCACAGGGAAGGACAGTAGCCTGTTCCCTGCCCTCTCTCTTGGGCAATGGGAGGCAGGTTGCCAGCCTTGGGGAGGGGCAAGGCTGTGAGGGGCTCACCCCCACCTCCCAGTGCCAGGCCTGCTGTCCAAGCAGAGCACAAATGGGTTCCTCCGGGACCCCTGGTCCTTTTTCCAGACGAGGCTGTGGCACTGGTGGAAAGGGAGGGAGAATGGAGCCTGGCCCTTGTGTGTACAACAGGAAATGCACCTCAGGACACAGCAGGAGTCAGCGGGAGGGCACAGACCTGCCCCCTGCCAGGCAGAAAATGGGCCTCCTCAAGCACAAAAGTGACCAAGTACAATTTTCAGTTGCTAAAACAAGAAAAGGCTTCAGCTAGTTTCATTTCCATGTGTAGTTATTTTCTCTTTTGAATAAGCAAAACCAAGCTAAGCTGTGTCAGCCAACTTCATCCTGACCAAGGCCTCTGAGACAGCAGACACAAGCACCCACTCCAGTGTCCCCCTCAGTCATCCCGGGTTCCAAGCACCCACACAATGCCCATTGGATGGCTACAAAGGGAAAGCCCCATCTGGGTCCATGACCCATATACCAGGTGCAGAGCCAGGACAGAGGGCAGGGGGCAGGGGGCTGTGAAGGCGATGCCTAGAGGATCCGACCCCTCCCGGCATGGCCAGGAGGCAGGGCTGGGCAGGATGACTGGGGCTACATGGGGCTTGGCCCTTCCCTGTGGCTGGCAGCCCAGATGCTGCAGTAACACTCATTCCCAGGCTTCACTATGGCCACTGGCCCAGACCCCAGAATCCAGAGGCTCAACACTAAAGACATCGGCTAATACATAGCAAGATGTGTGCAAAGTTCTGGGGGAGCCCAGCAGGTGGCTCCACCTGACTCCCACTCTGGGTGGGGCAGGTGCTGAAGCTGCAGGGCTGGCCACGACCCTTTGTACTGTCAACTCTGGCTTCCTTTACAAGAAACTAGGAGCACTTCTAGCACATTCCTTCCTTACCCTGCTCTCTCAAAACCACCCTGACCCCCATGGCCCCTCCTGGAAACATGGTACTCAGAAAAGCAGGGACCACCAGTGGCTGGCAAAGTGTTTGGGGAAAAAAGGAGGTGCAAAGTCAGCAAGAAAACAAATGCCCGCTGGTCCCGCCAAGGCAGGGTGTGCCTAGTCCCGGGGGATGTTGGGGGGCGGGATCTGCAGGTCGGAGGGCTCCACACCCCAGATCTCCCGTGCATACTCCGTGATGGTCCGGTCACTGGAGAACTTGCCCGAGCAGGCGATGTTCCTGATGACCTTCTTGGTCCACTCCTTGGGGTTCTGCAGGGAAGGAGATGAAATTAGTCTCTGGCGTCACAGGGCTTGGGGCTGCTAAAAACATGGGATTCCAGAACTTTAGGACTGTTTCCAAATGAGCTCCGAGCCTTGGGGCCATCCGCTGGAAGAGGAGGACATTACAATCACTTGTTCGTTGAAAAGGGGACCCCACGGACCAGGAAAGCTACCGCATTCTAGATCTAGGGAGCAAGGAGCTGGAGAGAAGGTCCCAGCCTCGAAAATTCCTGCTAGGGCATGGCCCCCAGGACGACGATAGGGATAGCACCAGGTAAGAACTGCCCAGGCAGATCCAGTGCCAGGGGACATGCCCAGGCAGTCTCCTTCCACCAGGGAGCCTCACAGCTGCCACAAGCTGCAGGTCACACCAGGCCAGCCTTTCCTCGAGGCCAGCCCTGACTGAGGGAAGAGAAGGTCCCTCCCAGGGCCCTGCCCGTCACTCAGTTTCCAGGCCGCACATTCCTTTCTTGGCCATTAGGAGCTGTTTTTTTCAACGGAGGGAGTGACATTGACAGTGACAGCTTCCCTAAAGGCAGGCACAGCCGACTGATGACAGATCAGAATCACAAACCCCTCTGGCCCAGGCCAAGAATCTACTCAGCTTGGGAAATAAACAATCTGACCCAACACGTCTACATGGACCCACCCAGCTGCTCCCCTAGCCTCTGGACCCAGGAGCCTCACCCGGTACAGCTGGTCCACCTGTGCCTGGCACTGCATGTAGGCTTCATAGTCTGCAAACACCTTGAACCTGGAATGGGAGAAAGGAGGCTGGGCCAGGGCAGCAGGGAGCCCTGCCCACACTGTCCCGAGGGGAGAGTCCCAGGGCAGGAGGCCAGGCACCATCCACCTGGTCCTGTCTGGAGCGAAGGGGCCCACCCACGCAGCTGGTCAGAGCCAGGCTGCACCAGGCCCATTTGGCCACAGGGCTTCTCTGTGAGCAACACTTATGTCCTGGGACAATATTTTAGAAAAACCTTATTTCAACCCAACACTCCTTTAAATAAACTGGCATTTAAAACGTGTCTTCCACACGCAGGGCAGTTAGAGCTGCACATGGGAGAGGCCTCCTGGGCAGACAGTGGAGAGCCCATGGCGCCGCCTCAGGGCAGGGGGCACTTGCTGGGGAACGGCATCTCCATTTGCCGTCTTAAGTCTAACTGGGATTTGCCTACACAGGAAATACTGACTTGCAGTTCCTGATGTGCTGAACAAAAATGCCAGATTTATGAATCTACAAATGCATTTCTGTTCACTATCGAGTCAGAAGCACACTTCACGAAATGCAGAGTTCACAATTTTAAAAGCACTTCCTTTATCACAGACCTCAGCAGGGCCCAGGTTCCAGCCCAGATCCCAGCATGTGGTCAGAGCTGGTGTGACTGAAGCCAACAGGTGACACGGTCATCGAAGAGCAGCAGACAAAACTAAAACTAACCCAAAGGCAGCTGAAAGTGGAGGGCAGGTGAATTCCCAGCCCTCGCCGGATTCAACTTTTGCCAACGGTGAAGAACTGCCCTGAGCTGCAAACCTTACAAAGTCTGTAACTCTAGATAAACCATACCATGTGCTAACTGCACTGAAATAAAACACTAACTACATTATAATGTCACATCGTTGCAAGTGAAATCCATTTTCACCACTGCCTGTCACTGGCACTGACGCCTGCCGCGGTTCCGCAGCCCTTGTGCGCCCCCTACCCCACCCCAGGGAGTTTTGGGCCCATGCTCCCTCTACTGGCCTGCTGGGACACGGCTGCCCCTGGGACCTCCAACCAGCAGAGGACACCCCCTCCTGCTCAGCACATTGGTCCACAAGGCCTGGGGGCTGGACTGTGCTGCTGTGTCTCGCTGCCCAGGGCCCCCTGGCATTGCCAGAGGCCATCGCAAACTCCCAGCTGGGGTCTAAGGCTCTGCCCAGTAAGGTCTCATGGGCACAGTGGAGAAGACGTCCTGAAAGCACGGGTTTTGCTCTCCAAACAAGGTGGAATATCCAACCCACGAAGAGGACCCCTCCCTCCCTCCCTCCCTCCCAGCCACCCAACCAGGGAAGTCGGTCCCACCTGTCATGGTGCATCAGCATGTTCACGATGTCCTTGAAGCAGTCTGGCTCCTTGGGAGAAAAAAAGCCACTGCTGATCTGGTCCACGGCCTGCTTCAGCTCGGGCAGGTGGTCGTAGTACTCCCTGGCATTGTACCTGTGAGGCGATGGGCCAGGAGTCAGCAGCCAGCGCCCCAGGTGGGCCACCTTGGAGAACAAGCCATGTTGGTGCCTGGCACAGCCCCTGCCCCAGGATGGCCCTGGGAGCTCAAGGCCTGCACGGTCCAGGGCAGCAGCCAGTGGCCATGGGTGGTTACGAGGCCCTTGAGCAGGGACCTGCTCGAGCAGAGATGTGAAGTCAGTCTAAAGCCAATCCCACCTGCTCCTTTGACTGTTAAAGAAATGTCATCACTAGCAGATCTGCTAGGACATAGTGGCTGATGCCACATTCCTAGTGGAGAGGGCCACTCAGAACTTGGCTCACTGTGAAATCCTGGGCAGAGCTTTTGAAAAACAGACGGCCGGAGGGGCAGGAAGTGAAATGGAGCACCTTGGCTGGGACCTCGAAGATGGAAAAGGAAAAACGCAAGCAAGACCAGACAGGACAAGGCAGAGCTAAGTGGGAGAGGGACGGACGGGCAGACATGGGCATCCCAGGACGGGGCCCGGGCAGAAGAAGCTGTGTGAGGGCGCAGAAAGGGAGCACAGGCCTCTGTGCTCGGGCCAGCAAGGCACAGCTCTGACTTCAGATGGCATGTGTGGTTTCACCTGACCCTACTTAAGGCCTCACAGGCTCCCCAGTGCTTCAAGGCAATCAGGCAACACTGCCTTTTCTTTGTAATTATCGCTTGGAATCAGGCCCGTGCTGGATTCCTCATGACGTCCAGATCATGAAGAACAAGGAAAAACTGAGAAGCTGTCACAGACCAAATGACACTGGGGAGACCTGACGGCCACACACAGTGGAGTGCCCTGATGGGATCCTGGGATGGGAAAGACAGTAACAGAACCCCGGTGGAGTTGGAATGGAGTGTGGGCTGCAGGAGGGCCAGTGCTCTGAGCTCAGTGCAGCCAACGGAGGGGCGCGGGGATAAGGTGGATGAAGCTCTGGGTGCTGTCTTCAGGATTCCCTCCTCCCCTCTGCCACCCCCCAACCCCCCCATCCCCCCCACTCCCCCACCCCCCCCGACCCTGGCCTACACATTTAAAATGTTTCCAAAATACTATTTTTAAACAATTTTAACAGTTACAACTTAGACCAGGGAACCTCAACAGCAGGCAAGCCCCAAATCAGCAGAGTGCTCCCGGCAGAGCGCCCCTGGCAGTGGGGTCCTGCCCAGCCCCAGCCCATTTCTGTGGGGCTGCCTGTGCCCAGGGGGTGTCCCTCTAGGAGACCCTCCCCAGGGGAAAAGGCCTTTCCTGGAGGAGGAGCCCCTGGTCTGGACTCCGCAGATTCAGCCTCAGAGCCGAGACAGGAGCAGCCCAGCACCCCCACGTGGGCCTCGCCCGCAGCCCGGACCCCGTCCATTCCATGCACCTGGAAATGGTCACCCCTGCAGGCAGGCACACAGCCCTGGGTGGGCACTGACCCTAGCACACAGTGGCCTGGCCCCAAGAGCCCAGTCCAGCCAATGCCCCCAGCCCAACACCCTTCATTCTCCATCCTCACGGTGCCAGGTGCCCAGGGGCACAGGCTCGCACCCTTTCCGGTCCAAGGCCTCGACATCCTCCACCCGCAGGCCGAAGATGAAGAGGTTCTCGGCCCCGGCCTCCTCGGCCATCTCCACGTTGGCGCCGTCCATGGTGCCGATGGTGAGGGCCCCGTTGAGCATGAACTTCATGTTGCCTGTGCCTGAGGCCTCGGTGCCTGCAGTGGAGATCTGCTGCGACAGATCAGCGGCCGGGATCACTGTGGAGGGGAGCCCGTGGAGGGGATCACTGTGAGGACCCCAATGTCCTCAGCCGCAAGGCTCACTGCAGGACAAGCCGGCCCATCCACCCGGGGCTGGGTCGTGGAGGGACCAATGCTGTGGCCCCGCTCCAGCCCCCACTCCCGCTCCCACAGGGGCCCAGGCTGGACACGGCCACCCGCCTCTGCAGGGCTCCCCTTCGTGACTGGGGCATCCTTGAGGCAGAAGGTCCAAGATGGGGGCTCCTCAGGAGCCAGGTGGCATAGGATCTGTGCACCAAAACCTTCCCCAAAACCAGGCCTAGCCAAGGAGCCAGTCCTGGCTCGCTGACAATGTCGTTCCCTGGATCACCGCGACCTTGATCAGCCCCAGCGGCTCCCTGGATCCTTTCAGGAGGAATGTAGACCAGAATAGAGCCAGAAGGCTGGAGCGGCTGAGGGGTGGCGACCTCCTGGGCGCCAGCAGCTGCCAGATGCCACGGCCCTGCGCTTTCTCTGTGCCTGTCCCTCAGGACTGGTCACCGCTCCCAGACACGCTGTGAGTGCACACACTGACTATACAACCTGCTCTCCACCCTCACCTCAGGCTGCAGCCCAGTCAGCCACAGCAACACTGCCGGGGAGAACGGGGCCCTGACGCCAGCACCGAGACTCCAGACCAGGTGCCTGAAGGCCTGCTCTAAAGATGAGCAGGAGTCAGCTGGCCCCAAAACACATAGGAGGAGGGGAGCCTCAGGCAGCACGGGGGAGAGGAGATGCTTCGGTCAGAGGAGCAGGGAAGGACGAGCCACAGTTCCTGGCCAAGCCGGAGGCAAGCCGGCCCGTGAGTGCCTCAAGGGACCTCGCCTGCCAGGCACCACTAAAGAGGGGGAGCGACATGGACACCAAGGCAGCAGCCAGGCCACAGGGACGGTGCCCAGGGATCCCCCCCTGCACCACGGAGCTTGCAGAACAACAGCAGATCAGCCCTCTCACCTGCGGCAGCCTGGGAAGCCCAGGCGGCCTGAACTAGGGGGGGCCCTTGGCCCTCGGCGGCAGGAGGGGAGCACGAGAAGGCCAGGCTCAGATCTCCCACCATCTGGTGGGCAAATCACTTTCCTGCCCAGTAGAGCCCACAGGGGTGGGAACTGATGGGCTCCAGGGCACATGGCAGCACATCCCAGGGTCTCCCCAGGACTGGCCCAGGCTGCCCTCAGGAAGCACAGATGAGGCAGGTGCTGCCACCTGAGATCACTGGTGGGCCCAAGAGCAGGCAGGCAGTGAGGAGCAAGGATGTGGGCGGAGGAGGGGCAGTGGAGTTGGGGGAAGCTGGGGGCCCACAACCCCACTGGCCTGGTGCATGTCCTGCCAGCAGAGGGGCCCAGGGCAGAAGACACGGCTGAGGGGCAGGAGGAGAGGGCAGGGGAGGGAGGGTACAGAGGGCAGGCCAGGCAGGTCCTGCCAGCAGAGGGGCCCAGGGCAGAAGGCACGGCTGAGGGGCAGGAGGAGAGGGCAGGGGAGGGAGGATACAGAGGGCAGGCCAGGCAGGCGCGGCAGTAAGGGTGCCCTGTTGGGGGATGACACTGCCTGTGACATGCAAGGCGCCCCGGGACGCACTGTGAGTCCTCCGCACTGCACGGGGAGCACTCCCTAAAGCCGTTCCCTGCTCGCCTGCAGCCCGGCTGGCTAGGTCTGGGTGTCCAGGCAGAGCTGAACTGGCTGAGGATGAAAGGCCCGGGGCCAGTACAACGCCCGTTCCCCGGCAGGAGTGAGTTTTCTGTCCAACACAGGCTTCCAGGGTTACCTTTCTCAGCCAAGGACACACGGTAGTTCTCCAGGAAGATCACTTTCAACCTGTCACCCACAACTGGGTCATGATTGACGACGTCGCCGATGGAGGTGACCAACTTGATGATCAGCTTGGCCATGTGGTAACCGGGCGCTGCCTGGAAGGAGAGGGTGAAGGTTTTTAGCACAAAAATGCCTTGTTCAGGCCCTTGGAGGCGCTCCTGGTTCCTGGGGTCTGTAGGGGGGTGAGGCTAGAGCCACAGGAACCTGCCGTCGGGACGGTCAGTAGAGGAGCTAGGGAGGCTCCCCGGCCCCAAGGCCCCAGCTCTGCTGCGCACTCACGATGGTGGCCACCTCGCCACATCCAGAAACGTGTCCGCCTCAAGTCTGGTTTTCTGGTTGTTGTTAGGTTTTCAGAAATTACAAGGTAAAAGAGACCAGGATTTCTAGAGCTGCCGACTGACAGGAAACAGAGAACTGTCCCTAGGGACATACTGGGACACACTGGAGGGACACATTCGGAAAGAGCCAGGCTACGGCGGACAGACAACCCGATGTCTGTAACAGACAGACTGTGGGGAAAACCTACAGAGAACTGAGACACCACGGCCAGTCCAAGGTGAGGACTCACTGGGCCCTCACTCAGACCAACTTTTAGAAATGTCTGTTACTTTACAAAGACAACTGGGCAGGGGACCCATGAAGTACCCGAGTGAACATTTCAGGACACGGAGGACTCCTGTCCAATGCTTTAGGTGTGACGGATGGTGGTACTGTGTGGTGATGTTTCAGTCTACTCCCATTGTGGTTCTGGTGGAAAACATCATTTTATGAAAAGGAATGCTGACGTATGTAAGAGTGAAGAGCTAGAGTGTCTGCAGTTTACTGTGAAATGCTTCAGCTAGTCTGGGTGACAGGTTTATGGTTTTGCTACAATTCTTCCTGCTTTTCTCCAGGTTCAAATGTTTCCTTCTTTTTTTTTTCTTTTTTTTGCTGAGACAGGGTCTGGCTCTGCTGCCCACACTGGAGTGCAGTAGTGCAATCACAGCTCACTATAGCCTCAATCACCCAGGACAATCGATCCTCCTACTCAGCCTCCCAAGTAACTGGGACTACAGACATGAACCACCACGCCCAGCTAATTTTTGCACTTTTTTGTAGAGATGGGGTTTCACCACACTGCTCAGGCTGGTCTCGAACTCCTGGGCTCATGCGATCCACCCGCCTTGGCTCCCAAAGTGCTGGGATTACAGACGTGAGACACCGTGCCCAGCCTAAAATTTTCATAATAACATTTAAAACTTTTTCGAACTCCGTATCTCTATGGACTTTACATACTGAAATACTGACAAATAAAATGACACAATTCCAAAATTTGCTTCAAAAACAGCAGGTGACAGGAGTGGACAGAGACCAAATGGGGTGTGCCAGGAGGTGGCGGAGCCCAGAGGAGTGCCCACCCCTCTGACCAGCTTCCCACTCGCTGAAGGCAGCAAGAGGGCAGCCTTCAGGCTGCACACAGGCACCAGCACCCCCAGGCCCCGGCCTTGCCGTGGAGGGCTGGGGTGCCTCACACAGTCCAGACTCACTTAGGGCCACTGCTCCAGCAGGACCCTCCTAAGGACGCTGCACCCCACAGCAGCCTCACAGTTCTGGATAAAGACCAAGCTACTAGGGAAACATGGCAGGAGGTGGGGACACTGGCCGCAGAGGGCTGATGAGTGTGACGATGTGACCTGGGACTCGATGACAGCACATCTAGGACTCTGAAAGTATGTGTCATAGTAAATAAAGTGAACTGAAACCAGGCAATGCTCAGGGCATGTGCAGGTGATGAAGCAGCCACAACGCCCTGTGCCCACTGGGCACAAAGAGAAAGGACACTGCCCTCTCTGAGGTGGGCACCAGCAAGCCCACTGGGGACTGGCCCTCTAGGCTGGGGACCCCTCCAGTGAGCTGGGCAGGCAGGAGGCTTCCATCCCATTCTGACTCTCTACAGGGTCCCCACCCCCACAGGCATACCAGAGGGGCCGGTGACCGCTGGGCATCCGGTTCCCGAGTATGGATGTGGTGGCACCATGAGAAGCGTGCAGGCTGCCCACCCACTATCCCCAGACCAAACACCACAGAGAGGACTGCAGAGGAAGTCACTCACCTTGCCCCCAATCATAACAGTCCTGGGCACAAAAGCCTTGGCCGGGTCTCTCTTGATTCCTGCAGGACACACGGAAGAGACTCACACAAGGCACCGCGAGCCGGACGAGCCCCTGCTGGGGCCCAGCAGCATCAGAGGCCGACCCTGAGGCAGGACAGGCACGCTCCGCCATGTACTTCAAGCCCCAGAGACACGGGTGACAGTGGCACAGGGCCACTGGCCACCCACCTGCCCACCCACCAGGAACCTGCCACTTACAAGGGAGTGAGGCCACCCTGAGGTCTGCACTTAGGTTCCCCGCTGGTGAGGAAGGCCAGCCAGGACCATGGACGAACCCAGCAGCTGACTCGAGCAAAGATGCTATTCCCCGGGGCTCAGAGGAAAAGCTGCACCTCAGTTTCCAGAAAAGCCCAACACAGGAGCCTCCTTGGGTCTGGTCACCAGTGTTCAAGGCCCCTGTACATGAAGGGCACACTTGTGGGTTTTGTTTGGTTTTGTTTCTTGAGACAGCAGCTCACTCTGTCGCCCAGGCTGGAGTGCGGTGGTGTAAGCGTAGCTCACTGCAGCCTCTACCTTCCAGGTTCAAGCAATCCTCCCACCTCAGCCTCCTGAGTAGCTGGGATCCTAGGCACGTGCCACTGCGCCCAGCTAATTTTTTAATTTTTTGTAGAGATGAGGGTTTCTCTACATTGCCCAGGCTGGTTTCAAACTCCCACGCTCAAGCAACCCTTCCGCCTCAGCCTCCCAAAGTGCAGGGATTATAGGCGTGAGCTACCGCGCCTCGCACTCTACCACTCTTGGGTTTTTTTTGTTGTTGTTTGTTTTTGTTTTTAAGAGTTAAGGTTTAGCTCTGCCACCCAGGCTGGAGTACTGTGGTGTAATCCGGGTTCACAGCAGCCACAGACTCCTGGACTCAAGTGATCTTCCCCTCCTTAGCCTCCCAAGTAGATGCGACTACAGGCACCGACAGGTTACCACATGCAGCTAATTTTTTCACTTTTAGTACAGATGGGGTTTCACTTTTTTGCCCAGACCAGTCTCAAACTCCTGGCATCAAACAGTCATCAGGCCTCAGCCTCCCAAATCACTGGGATTACAGGGGTGAGCCACCACACTGGCCTTAAATTGTGTTTTAAACACATTGTTTGGATGACACAAAGAAAAAGTGGCAACCTCAGCCTTGTGGCTGTGGTGCCATCAGCCTGCAGGGGCGCTGGGTGAGACCTTGTGTCTCCCCTCTGCCTCACTGGGACAGCGGGTGAGGGCCCCCAAAGTTCTTCACAGAAGTGGATGGAGGGTCAAGCCATGACGGCCGGCTCACTGCCAGCCCAGCAAACAGGCTGTCCTCGCCAGGTCATTTGTTTGCAGATTTCACGGGAGGTTCCTACAAAAAGGGGATGAGCGGCCACCCTGGACAGGCGTTCACCAGCGAGCCGGGCCTGGGTGAGGCAGCAGGGAGTCGGGCTGATGTGTACCACCCAGCCCCAGGCTCCAGGAGGAATGCAGCTGCCCCTTAAATGCTGGATCTTGTCACTTCTGGAAATCAGCAGAGAACAGGAAAAACGAAACACACAAGTGATGATTTCACCACAACTAGGAAAGAAGGAAACCATGCAAACCCCAGGTCACAGTGGGCAGGGGACAGGGTCATGGGAGTCCTAACCTCTGGGGAGGGGCACTCTGGGCAGAGAGCTCCAGTCCTGGGGGCCACCAAGGAGCCCCCGGGGAACAGCAGGTTTGGGCAAGCGCCTCTCCCACAAGGGCACCCTCACAAGGCAGGTCCTGGCCTCCAGAGGAGCCTCCCGCCCAGGTGAGACCCGGAGAGACAGCAGAGGCGCAGCCACAGGCTGGGGAAGCATGGCCTTGGCCCAGCAGAGGAGCTGCCTTGGAGGGCTGAGAAGCCTATTCCGAATAGCCCCAGGTGATCCAGCTCACACCAACGTAGCAATGGAAGTCAGCACCCAGCCCCGCCACAGGCCACAGGAGGGGAGTGAACCCCTTCGCAAATCACATACCCTTGGTGACCACCAACTTGGAAAGACATGGAGCCAAATGCCAAGTCCTCAGGGAGGGGGGCAGAGAGCAGAGGAGAGGAGCAGAGGGCACGGGAGGAGAGTGCAGCCGGCAGAGACTCCAGAGAGCAGTGCCACTCCACAGGACAAGGACAAACCAAGTCCTGAGAGAAGTAGGCACCAAGGAAGAAGGCCAGAGAAAGCCACCTCACGCCACACTGCAGCCCAGAAGCAGAAAACCAAACAGAACCAAACACACGTTTCAAACAGACAACTTCCCTGAAGTCCAGCAACACGTTCAACAAGCACCCGGAGTATTGGCGAAAATGCCCTGTAACGGCCAACACCAAGACACGGCAATGACAGTGAGTCACTGATGAGATCGAGAACTCAGACATCGCCAGACTTCTGCACACACACCCACCCTCCAGACAGTGCCCGGTAGGGCCCTAAAAAGCACTGGGGGAAGGAAGTGGAGTTAAGACTGGCATCTTCAGCCAAACCGACCTTCATGGTGAAGGGTCCAGGCCGTTTTGAACAAGCAAGAACTCGGGAAGGTTGTTCCCATGAGCCAGTCATGAACTAGACACAAAGTGGCCAGCAGGGCTGGGCAGCACTTTGCAGAAGGACCGTGAGAAGCAGTGAACATACTCACCACCAGACTCAAACTGATACAGCTGGGGACAGGAGGAAGGGCAAAGTATTGATGCTGTGAGCTCTGACAGTGGGGGAAGGAGACGCAGGTCCACCACAGGTACATGCACAGACACAAGCACACATGTTTACAGGCATGCACACATATACATTTATGCGTGCACACACAGACATGGAGCAAGGGGGAAGACCAGTGGGAGCGAGCACCAGCCTGTTGGCTGCCTCCTGTGAACGGCTGGAAATCACAGCGTGTCGTTCAAAACGAATGAACCAACCAAGCAGAAGTGGAGCATCTGGAAAGCCTGAAGGCCAACAATAGAAGACGATGCAACAACTGACGACTGGGGGTGGCGGAGCGGGAGGAGGAAAGCCTGAAGGCCAACACTAAAAGACGATGCAGCAACTGACTGTGGGGGTGGTGGAGCGGGAGGAAGGGAGGGGGTGACCCGCGAGTCTCACTGCCGCTCATCAATAGGACCAAGCGTTGTGCAAGCGGAGGACTCCGGGTCACCACCAGGGGAACACAGAGCATCACAACTGCAGGAGGAAAATGGGGCAAGGAAAGATGATGCAAAGTTCCCGTGCACCATCTCGGAGCCGGGAAGCCACAGCCCCGGGAAGCACCTCCCGTGGTGCCCACACGGCAGAGGGGTCCTCAGCGGGGGTGGCCTCTAGCCTCTGTCCTACCATGTGTGTCTCAAACGCACCCAGATCCTCCACCCCATCGAGGCTTACTCATTGGGAATAGGAGATCTATTCCCGGGAGGAGCTTTGTATCGGAAAGGAGGATGTGTGGTTCCTTTGGTTTTTAAAATACCTACTTTATTAAATTACAAAATTTTAGAAACCTAGTTTTTCCTTAAGGTTTCATTATCTATTAAACCTAGCAAATATTCACATTGACCTTTGGGGGTCTCTGTTTCATGTTTGTCTCATAATTAAATGTCCTTAGACATATAAGATGCATGTGTAAATTTAACACATACTATCTTAATTTTTGTAAGTATACTTTAAATGCCTCTAATAAGCATAATCTTTCTAAATAAGATTAGTCTCACAAAGATAATAACTAAATTTAAAATAAAAACTGAAGGCCCGGTACAGTGGCTCATGCCTATAACCCCAGCCTTTTGGGAGGCAGAAGTGGGTAGATCACTTGAGGCCAGGAGTTCGAGACCAGCCTTGGCAACATAGTGAAACCCTGTCTCTACAAAAAATACAAGGGCATAGTGGCGTGCGCCTGTAGTCCCAGCTACTTGGGGGACTGAGGTGGGAGGATTTCCTGGGCCCTTGGAGGTCAAGACTGCAGTGAGCCGTGATGGCACCACTGCACTCCAGCCTGGGCCTTTCGGGTGTCTAACTGTTCACCTGCTCACGTGAGGCCTGGCATGGGGCACACAGAAAAACATGGCTTTTGCTTAAAATAAACGTGCCACATCACACATGCACACGCCTATACACACACAGCCCCCACCATGACAGAGGCCCAGGGTCTGTGCACAGCTGGCGGGCAAGGGCAAGCCTTGGGCCCCACAGCGCGGTCATGCAGGTGATGCCGGCACTCACGATTGTACAGGGTGACGACGTGCAGGCAGTTGAGCAGCTGCCGCTTGTACTCGTGGATCCTCTTCACATGCACATCGAACATGGAGGAGGGGTTGATCTTCACCTTGTACTCCTTCTCCAGGAAGGCCGAGAACTTGAGCTTGTTCTCCTGGGAGGGTGAAAGGGAAAGATGGCTGGAGACTTCACCAGGACTCCATCCACTGACCCTGCGGCTTCCTGCTTCAAGTGCCCTGTGAAGAGTGCCGCAGGGAGGGGGCAGGGGTATACAGGCTGGAGCTGAGGGGCAGAGATTGCACCAGGGGTCTTCTCATGGGAAAAGGGGAGAGGGGGATGCTGAAGGTGGGTCCACACCAAGAGTAGGGGATAAGTGAGGAGCCGGCCCAGGAGCACGCCTGGAGCCAAGCAGAAGACACTGCAGAGCCAGGCGTGCAGGCGGCGGAGCAGCGCGGGAGCGGGACGGCTGAAAGGACTACAAGGAGAACTAGTTCTGGCCTCTATGAGGAGGCCAAGCTCGACAGGCTGTGTAGATGGGCCTCCAGCCCGCTGAGGTTTGAAGGCTGCCGTGACTGGCCCTGGTCTAGCCGAGAGGCTGCTGCCGGTGCAGACAGCTCGTGCACCTGCACAGCTCTCCAGGGGCAAAGAGGGTACCACGCTGGAATCGGCTTCTAGAGGCTTCCATACAGAACTGACCTGTGGCAGAGGGTCGAGGCACGGGCAGGGCTGGCCTGGGGTCTGCACTCACCTATCTGCCATGTGACCTGTCCTCCTCGGGGCCCTCATCTGAAAGGCTGAGTGGGGTGGAGAGACCTCAGGCAACCCTAACAGCCTCACCCTCAGTCCTGTTCTGAGTCCCCACTAAAGCCCCAGTGGGTACCCCAGGACCTGTGCTGGGCCTGTAGGAGGGCTAGGGCCAGGGCCTACCTGCCTGGTTGTGGGAGGGCTGGGGTCGGGGCTGGGGCCAGGGCCATGCCTACCTGTTTGACCTTGGCCACGTCCCTGATGAACACCTCGTCACTGACCAGCGGCAGCAGCTTCTTCAGCTGGCTCAGGTCAGTCAGGAACTCCTCCCCAATTTTCTGGAGAACGTAAAGGTTCCGCTCACTGTGGGCCTCAGCCTCCTGAGGCTGGGCCCCCTAGCCACCTGCCCTCCTCCCATTGTTGCCCACGCCCCTGCTTTCCCCTGGGATCTGCTTGTCCGGCCCCTCCGGGCATCCCACCTCTCAGGCCACAGGGTTACCCCAGCAGCCCCTCCTTCCTCTTCTGAGAGGGCTCTGCGAGATGGCCCAGTCCCACCAGTTCAAACGTCCACAGGAAACACACGACCCTCCCTCAGCCACCGATCCCAGGGTTCTCTGACATTGAACATCCCATCACCACCCAAAACCCAAAGCCATCCTCCCGCTGCCCTCCACCAGCACCTTCCCTGCCTGAAGCAGGCGGTCCCCTCAAAGCCAGCACCTCACCCAGGTGCTGCCTGCAAACACTCGGCCACCTCTCCTCACTGTACCCAGGCCCATCTCAGACTGCACAGGAGCCACGCTGCTTTCCAGGTCCCAGGGGCCCGTCCCCCAGCACAGGGCATTGAACCAGTTTGCCCCAGAGCACTGCTCACTCTCTCTTCATTCCCTCTTCAGACCTCAGCTTTCCTGGGAAGGCTTCCCTGACCATAGCCCCAGGTGGGCGGTCCCACCCTCCCAGCGGCTGGTCCTTGCCTGTAGCGCAGGGCCTGACACCTCAGCACTCATTTCCTCAGGGAGCTTGCATAGGAGCCAACATACAAACAGGAAATAGGTGCCCAGCCTAGCTGGCAGTCAGCTGCCTCTTGACTCTTTTGCAGTGGCCCCGTGGCTGCACTCAGCCACACCCCAGCCCTCCCTAAAGCTCGGCTTCTGAACTCGCACACAGGACCCGCCAGGCCCAATGGGTGACTGCCCAGCTCAGCGCCCATGTTCAGGGGCTCAGCCCTCATGTCCAGAAGCCTGCAGGTCAACACGTGAGGGACAGACTCCTGCCTACTCAGCAACCGCTCAGCAGGGGCTGATGACATGGCCCGCGGTTCTCAGCCCAGGCATCTCCACAGGCACGGGTGGGGCCCGGGACTCACCTCCACGATGGTATCGGCCAGCCCCGGGTTGCACAGCAGCAGCCACCGGCGGGGGGTGATGCCATTGGTCTTATTCTGGAACTTCTCTGGCTCCAGTTCATAAAAATCCTTAAAGCTGCAAACACAGAGAACAGGGAACTGTCACAAATGCTGTGCCCTGCACCAGGTGAGCAACAGACCTTAAAGTCCTTTTAAGGAGGTCCCAGGAGCCCTCAAGCTCAGTGGTTCTGTTCTGTTTTCTAAGGAGAACAGAGTGACCGCGGCAGCTGCAGGCTCTGGGAGCCATACGAAGGCAGCACCTGCACCCCGGGGCATCTGTGGCTGGCTGTGCGGTTTGCCCAACCACAACCTTGCAGGCATTAGAGCCTGGCCATTCTCCAGAGCGGTCCGTGCGGAAACAGGTGTCCAAGTCATGACAGCCGAGACCGCAGGACTTCAGGGCTTGAGAAGCTGCGCTCGGTTTCCTCATAGCTACTGGGGAGGGGCCCGACACGAAGCTTGCTGCGGGCGCCACGCACAGAGCCTGCAGCCCAGCCCCGGGCACAGCCTCCGCTCCCGCCGGCTGCTGCCTGCTCAGTACTCACAGTAGGTGCTCAGCACATGCTACGTGAAAGAGTGGGAGTAATTCCTAGATCACGCCCCACCTAAGAGGGGCAAGAACAAGATCTGACCTAAGAATCCCACCTTCAAGCCCTGTCCAAGCCCTGCCAGCGGCAGGTGGACCAGTGGTGCAGAGCCTCCGACTGGACCCCCAGGAAGGCAGGGGCGCAGGAGAGCAACAGGAGACAAAGCCGTCTCCCCGTTGCCCGCAGAGCCAGAGCCCTCCAGAGGCCCCCGTGTGCTGGTCGGTGAACGCACAACAAGGCGTGACCCTGACAGGGTGTTCTGGGCAGCTCTGTCATTCCTATGGAGGCAGGGGCCTAGTGGCACAGGTTGTATGCTATATAGCTGGGTCCATGTGTTTGGTGGATGGTCCTAGACGCAGGCCTGGGTGTCAGACAGAGCTGGCCCCGCTCGGGCAAGCGCCCCACTCACACCGACTGTTTCACGATCTCCGAGTGGATCCTCGCCACACCATTGACAGCATGGGACCCAATCACACACAGGTGGGCCATGTTGATCCGCTTGCAGTCCCCCTCCTCGATCACAGACATCCTGCGCAGGCGGTCCACATCGCCGGGAAACAGCGCGGCCACGTGCTGGTGCCAAAACACAGAGGCAGGTGGGTGGGCACAGGAGGCCCCACGGAGACCCAGCACTCCCCATGACCAGGGGACACTCCATGACCACCCATGGGAAGCTCTGCTGCCTCCAGGGAAGTTCTGGGGCTGTGACAGCCAGACCTCCCTCAAGTGCTCCCAGACCCAGCAGGCACCTCCAAGGCATCTCACAAGAGCCCAGGCCCAGCTTGAGGAGGAGGCTCTCGCTCACCCAACTCCCCAGCCCAGGAAAGGGCCCAGCCCGGCCCAGGGACCCACAGGGCTGCTGTCTGAGGAAGATGGGTCTGAGGGAGAGGACGTGCAATTTAATTTACAAAGAGGAACCTGAGGCTGTGGGCCAGGCGTGGGGATCAGCCAATAGCTCTGCCAAGGGACAGCCCCCAGCCCCAAGCATCCTCTGCTGAACAGAGGGTGCCTCGTTCAAGGAGCAAAGCACCTCCTCTCCCAGGCCAGGTGGGGGGCCGTTGGCATGGGTGTAGCCGCCACCCTACACGGCCAGCTGGGCCCACACTCACGTCCAGGTGCCGCTGGTTGATGGCATAGATTATCTCCAGGTGCCGCGGCAGCAGCTTCTCAAACATGGACACGGGCCAGCGCTCCAAGGCCTCAGGCAGCACAGTGTGGTTGGTGTATGCACAGGTCTTCTTCGTGATTTCCCAGGCCTAGGCCATTAGAGAATGTTCCCATGTGTTTGTTTAGAAACAAGCAGCTCTCTGGCCAGTTGCCTAGGCAGGGTGAGCGTCCAGGATCCCAGGCAGATGCTGGGTACCCCAGGAAGGGCCACCGTCCCCTCTGCTCTCCAAGGTGGATCTGGAGCCCTCTGAAAGCCTGACACGCAGCCCAGAGCCCTCACTCTGCTGACGCAACCCACTGAAGTGTGACATTATGGTCCAGTGCGTGACACACACACAAATAAGACACAATCGCCTGCTACCTGGAGTCACCTTCACACTCTGCCGTCACTGGTAAACGGACAGACCATTGAGCAGTTTTCTATTTATTTCCACTAAAGTGGCCAGACATGGTGGGGAGGACACTGGTTACTACACAGACCTGCCCTATGCTGGCCAGAACTGGGGTACCCACAACAGGTACAGCCTCACCTGGAGTGCACACACCCCAAGACCAGAGAGGGGCTTGGGTTTCTACAAAACGGAGTTAAAAAAAATCGTTTTATGGTTTCTTTTGGTTTTATTTTTCTGGGTGTGTGCTGCCACACCTGGCTTTTTTTTTAGAGGTGGGGTCTTGCTGTATTGCCCAGGCTGGTCTCTAACTTCCGGCCTCAAGCAACCCTCCTGCCTTGGCTTCCCGAAGCACTAGGATTACGGGTGTGAGTCACCACATTGGCCTGTTTTATGGTTCCACATGTTGATTTGGTAACGGTTAGATTAAGAAAATCCTACCACACAAACATATTTAAGTCCAAAATACACTGAATCGCGAGGGCAGGTGCATGAATAGAGCACAGACCTCTAAACACTTAACGCTTTGGGGAGCTGTCACCAAATTTCAAGATGAGAATGCACCAACGGGAAACCCTGAGAAGTGTCACAGCCCTATCCTTATCATCTCCCCCGCGCCCTGACCCCATACTCTGGCCCCCGGAACCTCCGTCTCCTGGAACCAGACCCCTCCCACAGCTCGCGTCTCTCCTGGGCATGATGACCACACAGCTCTCCCAAGGCCAGGGAAGAGGCCCCCCAGCTCAGCTCCTTGTAGCCCTGGTCTGCACGGGCTCCAGGCTCTGGGGAGGTGCCGCCCTTTTCCTCCATGCTCACCTTGTCCCAGTCCACCTTCTCCACGTCCACCAGGATCCGCATGAGCTCAGGGATGGAGAGGGCGGGGTGGGTGTCGTTCAGCTGGATGGCCACCTGAAGGTCGCACAAGGGGTGCCATTCAGTCATTTCATCCCACGTGGGCACCCACGGTTGTTGGCATACGAAGCTCCCCAAGTGAAGGAGCCAGCCCAGCCCACCCCACCCCCGAGAAGCCTGGAGAACAGGGAGGGGTTCTGTGGAGGGAGCAGGGAGGACAGTCGGGCTCGCACTGTGGCAGGTGTGCGCTGTGCCCGATGTGCCTGCTGGTGAGTGCCCTACAGCTGTGTGCTCTGCTGCGGGTATGTGCTGCAGCCGGAGGGGAGGAGCCGTGGCCACCGGGGCTGGGGGCTCTCTCACTGGAACTATAGGGCTTTGTTTGGAATAACCCCATTTAGCCTGCCCAGCACATCTGACTTTGCACAGGAGCCTTTCACCATGTCCCTTGCTGACCTGACTCCTAACAAGGCCGGTGGCCCTTGTTCTGGAAGGGAGGGCCCAGGTGGGATCCTGGCCCAGAATGACGAGACCCCAAGACAAGGGGCATGTACCATTCCACTCTAGCCCCTTTTGGGACATGAGAAAGCAACCTCAAGAGCCTGAAGGCGCCCAGCCCCTGGCACTGAGATCCCTCCCAGGGCCACCATGCACCTTGTCTGGGAACGTCTCGAAACAGGTTCTCACAGGGTCCCGGCAGCCGAACTTGGACGACTTGAAGCGGCGGATGATGTCCTGGAGCGTGGCGGCCACCACGAAGTACTCCTGCTTCAGCCGCAGCTCCTTCCCCTCAAAGAACTGCACACAGCAGAGCAAGCTGGAGGGTGCAGGCTGGGCCATTCTCCTCCCCCAGGAAGCCCAGGTCAGCGACCTGGCTCAAAGGTGCAGGCAGAAGGCCGAGAGGAGCCCAGCCCAGCTGCCTGACACTGGGGCCTGCCTGTGTGCCCTCAGGTCACTGAGGAAGGTAACCCCGCCTGTGGGACACACCCCGGGACACAGTGTCCATCCGTCAGAAGTACAGTGCCAGCGCTGCTCAGGAGCTGCACTGTCCAAGCACAGGCCTTCTGGAACATTCTGTACCTGGGGCTTGGGGTCTGCCAACAGTCTCATGGGGACAGGGGAGTGCACTCTTTGATGAGCCTTCCGGCACCCAGGCCTTTGCTCCTGTGTGCACAGGTTACTTTCATAAAACAAAAAGCTCACTTTTAAACATGCTCTGCCCACTAGGGCATCTTCTAAGGACTTGTCAGGCAACAACAACAAAAAGAAAGCCACTGGGCACTAAATGCAGGTGGCAGTGGGGAACATGGCTGCGACACCATCACCTAGTATGGGAAGGGCATGTGCCAAGGACCTTTCAAATGTCCCCAGGCATCAATGCCAAGTAGGCGCTACGGTCCCCTGGACAGACAGATCACCTGCTTGGGGAAGTGGCACTGCAGGCTAGAACAGCACACAGACTGGAGGGCTGACGGGCTCCAGCTGGCCCCAAGGAGCGGCTGTGTGTTTATGAGGGGAGTGGATAAGAGGGGAAGGTGGCAGAGAGTGTCCTCGGAGAGAGGACCACAGAGCTGCCAAGAGGCACACGAAGAGCCGCTTGGGCTTTATGGAGGACAGTGCACCCTCTCCTCCCCAAGGGCATCGTGTGTGCACCTAAGGCGAGAGGGCCACCAGGTGGCTGCTTGCCAAGGCCAACAGCAGGCCCCACTGGGGAGCCCGGCCAGCCAGCCCACCTCTCTATGCCAGAAAGCGATACGGCCTGAGCAAGAGTGCCCAGGCCAGCTACTCACGTTATCATTTGGATACAGGACCCTGGAGATGTTCTCAGCCAAGTTCCGGTCCAGGACCGCCTCGATGTAGTCTCCCACGTTGACTAAGAAGAAATGGAGCGGGGTCAACACACACATGCCTCCTGGCACCAGCACTGCAACCGCTCAGGGGCCTACTTGCAAAGGCCAAGGAAACTCGCTCGAGCACAGGACTCCCCCAGCCGCTGCATTACTTCCCCTCACCCCCATCCCTGGAGGTAAACGTGATCCCTCCTGCAGCTCCCCTATGTACCGCACACAACTCCATCCCCCTCACTCCTCCCCAGGGGCACATGATCTGCACAAGGTGACCCTGGGTGCCCAGGGCCCAGGTGTCTTGGTCGCTCTGCCTGTAGGCCCTTCCCGGGCAGGCCCCACACACAGGTAAGCTGCACCAGCCTCGCTCTTCACTGGGACGCAGGGACACCCTAGAGGAGGGCCGCGCGGCCTCCAGGACAGTGAGCCACAGGGCGCGGTAAAGGCTGTGGGCGAGGGTGTCTGGGACCAGCCACCCACATGGACACAAGGGTGCCAAGAACCACGGAACGTACAGTCCTGCAGCTTGAAGTCGTTGGGAGCCTTGGCGGACCACAGCCGCATGGTGTTGACGGTGTTGTTCTTGTAGCCGGGCACTGGGGTGTCGTAGGGCATGGCCAGCACCACCTGGCCACAAAACGGGTTGCTCAGGACGGAGTGGCAAGGGCCCCCGCCGGCCCCTGTGCCTCTCCCCGGCCCAGCCTCCTCCTGGGCACCTGGCGCCCTGCTGGCCCCCCACCGTCTCCCCCTTCTGCCCAAACACATCCACCCAGCCCATGCTCGGCACCACAGTCTCCGTCCACGCCCTCCCCTGTGGTGCCCACATTGTCATCCTGAGAGGACCACCCGTCCCACCACCCTCCCCAGACCAGACCTATCTTCTCACTTGACCTTCCTCAGGAATGGCTTTGACTGAAGAATCATCCCCATCCCGACTCCCTGAGGTGCTGCAGCACCAACCCCCACCTCCCTCCTTACCCTCTGCCCTCCGCGCCTCCCCTCCTCAGTCAACTCTGCTCTAGCAACTCCAACACGCAGATGCTTGCCCCGCAGATCACCTCTCTCAGCTCCACCTGCGGGAAGGTTGCTCCTGCAGCTGCCTTGCCTGCTACCCTCCATGTTCCCAGCCCCCCAGCACAAGCCCAGCTGCGCTCCCTCCACCCCAGCCTGGCTCCCTCTCTCCTTGACAAGCCCCCAGGTTCCCCTGCATCCAGAGACATCAGCTCCGCTACCACCAAGGGCAGGAGGGGGCTCACAAAGCTGAGGCTCACCTGTGGTCCCAGCTCCCCGGCAGGCGCACTCAGGGATGCTTGGGTTCATCCCGGCACACACGTGCCTGTGGCACTGCCAGTCAGCTCTGACAGCCACACAGGCGGCGCACCGGGGCCACCAAGACTAAAACCCCAGTATCCCTTTCCCTTCCTCTCTCCTGTCAACCCTTGCCCCTGCCCCACAAGGCGACACCCAAGTGAGCGACAAGTCCCCGCCAAGGCATTCTAGCCCCTTCCATCCTGGCCAGGCCTCGGGGCTAAGCCCATCTTCACAGCCTGCCTGGAATGTCCCGGTTCTCCAGCATCCCCACTCACACTGACATGCTCATCCACAAACACATCTACAGCGCCGGTCCCCTACCCTGCTCTTGCAAGTTAAATACAACTTTTCAGGGCATTTTCAGCCTCCATGGCATGGCCCCAGCCACTCGAAGCCCATGTATTTGATTTAAAACTGTGTCCTACAAAGTCAAGACAACTCCCTCTGCACACCAGTGACCACCCAGCCTCCAGGCTCTCCTGTTATTGCCCGTCCTTCTCCATCACAGGTGGCTGAGTCTCACCGATGCCCCCACGTTCTCCTGCAGCCTCTCCTGCCAGCCCCTGCCCTGCCCCAGTCATCCCGGCTTACAGCTGCCCGGAGCCTGGACTGGGTGCTCCCTCACGTGGCCTCTGCGTGCCTGGCACCCGTCGCTGCCGAGCACTCTAGGCTCTTGCCCTGATTCCCCATCAGCACCCTGCTGGGCAGGAGGGCCTGGCCCCATCCCCGGATGTCACCCAGGCCTCGCACACACTCCAGGGGCTCTGACAGTTGACGCTTTGAGAGCCATGGGCCACGTATGGCGCCAGGAGGCCAAGCGAGCTTGTCGTGTGCTCCACAGAGATAGTGGGAGCTGTTTTCGCCCACCCTGGGGGTCCGTGCCCCCATCCCATCAGAACACCCTCCTGCCTGCCCTTAAGCAGCGGGGTTCTCGTGAGCATCTGGCTGTGAGTGGACGCCCAGCTGCATTCTTAGCCCCAACACACAGCTCCTGCCCAGCGGGGCTTCCCCCATGGAGTCTCGCTGCTGTGCTCAGCGCTTCCACTGTTTGGGAAGCTCCCATCAAAGTGTAAGAGACTGGGGAGTGAGGAGAATAAACCTCCCCCGGCTTTTACCTTAAGTCCTCCAGGGAGGCAGCAAGCCCCCCAAGCCAAAAGAAGCTGAGCTGTCTACAAATGAGCCGCAGCAGCCCCCTCACCTGGCTCCAGCCTTGCCCGCAGACATTTCAGCCCAGGTACCTGTGTGTCCAGCCACTTCACGCCGTCGGGGGTGTGCTCCACGCGTCCGTAGAAGTGCACGGGAAGCATATACTCAGGCCGCGCTTTCTCCCAGGGGTTGCCGTAGCGCAGCCAGTCATCGGCCTCCTCTACCTGGAAAGAAGCCAGCTGTGAGGGCACCCTCAGCGCAGATGTCCCAGGCCACCGCCCTGTCCTGGACCCAGCAGACCGTGCGGTCGAGATCACACAGTGCCTGGCACTGAAATTTACCTACAGCCACTTACCAGGTCGGGATTCCCACTTCTGGCGAAGCCCACGTGGGTAAAATGAACACAGTGGACACTAAAGTAACAAACTCAAAATTTAGAAACACGTGCCCAAAAAGAAAGACACTAAGAACCACTGACTGACACATGCTCCGATCTGGATGGAGCTTGAAAAACCTACACTCAGTGAAAGAGGACAGACAAAAATACCACGCATCACACGAGGCTATTTACAGGAAAATGTTCAGAACAAGCACCTGCACAGAGACAGAAAGCGGGTGAGAGGCTGTCAGGGGCTGGGTGTGACTGCAAATTGGTGCAGGGCTTCTTTCTGGAGGGATGAAAATGTTCTCAAGATAGACAGTGGGGACGGTTATCCAACTCTGAATATACTGAAATCGACTCTCTATTTCAATAAAGCTGTTATAGAAGAATCACTAGAAGACATTGCTTTGACGGGGACACACTGGCCAGGCGGAGGCTCACGCCTACAGTCCCAGCACTCTGGGAAGCCAGGGTGGGAGGATCGCTTCAGCCCACAAGGTCGAAGCTGCAGTGAGCTATGACTGTACCACTGCACTCCAGCCTGGGCGACAGGGCAGGACCTATCTCTAAAAAAAAATTATTAAATTAAAATTAAAAAAGAAAGAAAGTGACACTGCAAATCCGCAAGTGCTGGGGCCAAGTTGGCAGCTGGCAGTGAGGACGCCCTGGATGCACCCAGGAAGACAAGCTGTTCCGGGAGGGCTTCCAAGAAGAAGCTTATTCCCAGAATCTGTGCCCAGTGGCACTAGAGACGAGTAACTACATGAAACCAACCCCCACACTAAAAGCGGCCCTGCAGATTCGAGCCACCCTTGCACAGAAGCACTAGGGGGCTGCTTTACCACCACGTGACAGAGTAACTCCATCTGGTACAGCAGCAAGGGCGGATTCTGAAGTCTCAATTACTAAAACTGAAATGAGATCAAGTCTCTTCTCTTCAGAATGAACAGGCAGCCCTAGTATGCTACACTGAGGGATTTCCTCTTCATGGTTCCTACACAGACGCCAAGAGTCACGAGCAAGACTGTCTGGGCTGTGCTCTTCCGGAGGCCCCTCCGCACAGCAGGCCCCTCCGCACAGCAGGCACCTCCCCATGGTACTCCCAGCAAGACCCTTCTGGTGGCGTCTCCTTGTCCGCTGTGAGATTCCCCAACACCAGGGCCTGGCCATCTGCAGAGTTAGTCCAGGAGTCGTCGGCAGAAGCAACAGCTTCCCACATACAAAGGCAGCCTGAGTCTCCCTTGCAGGGCCTCCCTGCCCCCTTGGCCAGGGTGCCAAGCAGGCTGGCCTGCGGCCCCTCTGGCCACATGCTGCTGGCCAACCCTGCCTGTATTTACTTCTTCCATGGCTAAAGCCAACTAAAAACCCACTGAATCTGAACAGTTCCCATGAAAAGGGGATGGGAGGAGGGGTGAGCTTCACTTACTGATCATCCTAAACTATCACACAAAGTTGCAAGAGTTACAGGAACGAGGACCACCAGAAGGAAAAATGTCTCCCTGGTAAAACAAAAACCACCACCAATACCTTCCTGCTGGAAACCCTAACACCAGCTAGGCGAAGGGGAGCCTCTGAGCTTCTGCCTTATAAACCCACACGTGACATGGGGACTGCTGGGGGCCAGAATGAATCAGAGCATCAACATGTGCATGGACTGGACTGCCCTGGAGCTCAGGCACGCGGAGGGCTGGGGCAGAGCTGTCCGGAGGCAGTGGAGAAAGGCGCCTTTCTAAGGTTGCAGAGGGCATCTCCACAAATCAAGCAATGGATCCGAGTCCGTTTTAGGTTACTTTTAGCCATTTCTTTTCTTTACCAACATTTTATTATGAGCGTTTTCAAACATGCAGAAACATTATGCACCCACACCTAGGTGCTGTAAATGGTCTGTTGTTTCTCCGTCCACCAATCCATTGATTTTGGGGTGCATTTAAAGCAAGCTGCAGATATGAGTCCACATTCCCACTAAACGCATCGCTGTGCGTGTCATGGACAGCAGCTCCTTGCGTTTATGTTTTGGGTTAATTTCTCCATGGTGAGATACATGAGTCTTACAGACGCCATGGACGAGCCCTGGAGGCTGCACCTGCCGTTGAGGCCCAACCCCCCTTGCCACTCCCACCCCAAGGATATCTCTACTACCCGTCATGCACACATTCATTGGGGTTGTACATTCTGATGCTACAAATCTTTTGATTCTAATCCCAGACCAGCTTTATTTGTGACTTTTAGGCCCCAAATGATATTAAATAAACCATTTTCTAACCGAATGGAATAGTGGTGACTTTCATTCTGAGGCACATGGGAAGGGAGCTGCTCGCCAGGGAGGAGGAGGTTGCATTTTAAGACCACGCCCTCCTCCCGGCCATGGTCTCAACCATCTCACTTAGCTGTAGTGTGAGGCTTCAAGATCGAGGCTCACTCCTTCCAAGGGCCACTGTACTATGCAGAGTCCAGCCTCTAACCCCAAGGACACTGTCCCCTCACTGGGGTCAGGGAGTGAAGGGAGAAGGTGGGAGCAAAAGCTACAACTGCTCTTCTAACTACTTAGGGCCAACATCCCACTGAGGCTGACCCCGAAAGTACCACCCTGCACTCTGCATTTTGGTGCAGAGGGTCACCAGAGTGACCCTCACTGCCCGGCTGCTACTGGCCCTGTCTGGGAGCTGCTGTAAGGCTCACCCAGGATTCTGTGTCCTGCACGCCCCAACTTCCCTGTCACCAGGCAGAGGCAGCTGGCAAAAAGCTCACACAGGGCCCAGGCTCTCCCAGGCCATGTGGACCAAGAAGCCGGAGCAAGGATGCTACCCTGACCTGCTCCACATTGCCCTGGCCGGCCTGCAGTCCCCTGGCGGGGGCGTGGGAAGTATAAAAAGACAAACTGCAAGTGCTGCCATTTTATTGTGTGAACGAGAGCTGGAAACCAGTGAAGAAATGAAATCTCACCCACCTGCCAGCCATTGACAATCTTCTGGTTAAAAATCCCAAATTCATAGCGGATTCCATAGCCGTATGCTGCCAGGCCCAAGGTAGCCATTGAGTCAAGGAAACACGCTGAAAAAATCAATCACAAATCAGTCAGAATCAAAGGCACGGCACCAAGGTCCCATGCGGAGGCAGCCCACAGGGCGCAAGGCAGAAATTCAGAGGGGATCACACTGACTTCAGGCTTCACTGAGAGGAAAACTGGAGCCCTCAGCCTCTCCATGAGAGCCTGGGGCCACAGGCAGAAGACATCAACGTGGTGGCTACTCGAAGGGCGTGGGAGGATGGGGGGGGATGAAGAATCCTAGAGAACTCGGCCAGGCCTGGAACCTCTCCAAGCACGAAGCCCCCCACTGCCCCACTCTCAGACATCCCAGTTGAGGCTGAGGCCTCGCCAATCCCTTGCACGTTCCACTGAAACCCAGGCTGTTCTGACAGCAGGGACACATCAACACATCAAGCCTCACCCTACTCCTGAGTGAAGCCGGCACAGCAGTGGCAGCTGGCTGCATACAAATCAATGTCCACCTGTGCAAACACCGCAGTACCAGGGGCCCCAAGGCGCTATAGCACGTGTCATTAAATCCAGCCCTTGTTCCAATCAAAACGTCTTGAAAGAAAAACAAAACAAAACAATGTTTTGAATAAAGATTTAGAGGCCAGGAGTGGTGGCTCACACCTGTGATCCCAGCACTTTGGGAAGCCGAGGTGGGAGGATCGCTTGAGTCCAGGAGTTTGAGACCAGCCTGGGCAACATAGTGAGACCCTGTCTCTATAAAAAATACAATTAGCTGTGCATAGTGACGCATGCCTGTGGTCCCAGCTACTCGGGAGGCTGGGGTTGGGGGATTGCTTGAGCCCAAGAGGTTGAGGCTGCAGTGAGCCAAGATTGTGCCAGTGCACTCCAGCCTGGGCACAGTGAGATGCAACCTTATTAAAACTTCAGGATTGGCTGGGCGTGGTGGCTCATGCCTGTAATCCCAACACTTTAGGAGGCTGAGGCGGGCAGATCACGAGGTCAGGAGATTGAGACCATCCTGGCTAATACGGTGAAACCCCGTCTCTACTAAAAATACAAAAAATTAGCCAGGCATGGTGGCGGGCACCTGTAGTCCCAGCTACTTGGGGAGGCTGAGGCAGGAGAATGGCGTGAAACCGGGAGGCGGAGCTTGCAGTGAGCCGAGATCACCCACTGCACTCCAGCCTGGCCGACGGAGTGAGACTCCATCTCAAAAAAAAAAAAAACAAAACAAAACAAAAAAAACTTCAGGATTAAAAAAATCAAAAAAACACCCACCTGGAACACTAGTAACTAAAATAAAATGCCCAATCCAGGGAACACACAGATGCCTGTCAGGCCCTCTGCTGAGGGAGAGGGATGATGGAGCCTCGCGGACTCTTGTTCTGGGGACTCGCCTGCAGCAGGGAAGCACATCAAGCCATGGCGGGCTCAGTGCTGCCTGGGTCTGTGGGTACAGGACCCTGTGGGCAGAAGGCAAAGGCTCTACTCATATCTGGCCATGGAGAAGGATGGAGGGAGAAGGCAAGGGGCAGGCAAGGTGACTGGGAAAGCCCAAGGACCTGGAACACCCCAAAAGGAAGCAGGTCTCGGGGCCGGGGAGGGAGCAGTCCACAGTCTCCAGCTTGGAGATGAGATGTGCGGTGAATGGCCACCCCTGGGGCTGTCAGGAGATGGGGACAAAAGAGGCTGGAGCTTCCCTTGAGCGTAGGAAGCCCAGTTTTGCATTTGATGAAAAGGGACCTCACAGGAAGACAGTGGTGACCCATCACATGTCACAAAGGCCGGGAGGTGGAGAGGGCTGAAGACCCTCAAAGCCCTGTTATTTCAAGGCAATCTGCTGACTGTATCAGAGTTGAAACTGCCTGCTGCAAGCAGGGCCACGTTCAGAAATCATCTTTCCATCCTTTGGGCTGTCTGCCAATCACTGGCTCTTGTGCCCTGGAAAGTGGTCAGCATATCGGGAGCCCCTCCCAGCACCAGCTTACTCCATGCTGGCAAGATTGGTCTTCGTGATAATGATGACACGTCCCTTGTGTGAAAGAAAACATACATTTTCCCCCTTTCCCCCCACTAGTGGCAAGATTTCAATCTGAAGAACACACTGGCCCATCCACTCAAAGCCAATTTACCCTGAGGCCAATTTACCTGACCCTGGCCTCACCACGTGGCCTCCAACCAAGCCAACGGGTCCGAGAGAGCTCCTCCTGGATGGGGCAACTTACCTGCCAGCCTCCCCAGGCCTCCATTCCCAAGGCCAGCATCTTCTTCTATCTCCTCGAGTTCCTCCAAGTCTAACCCCAACTGCAAACAAAAACACAGGCAGCATTTTAATGTTACTCAATATTTTCCCTTGAATGACAGGCTGAAAGATGTGTAAGTCTTGTGAGCTTATGCTAAAAGTTAGAGTCTGGGTTCTGTTAGACTTGAAAATTCAATGTTAAAATTTGATGTTAAATCAATGCATGGAAATGAAAGTTTCCAAATATTTCAAAAACATTTATTGCCAGGTAGTTAACCTATTAACAGTGAACAAATTATAACATGTATCCTAAAAATGAAACTAATGGTTCTGTCATTCTCTAATTTCACATGGGCGATATTTACGTGACATATTTTTAAACTAAAACCTAAAAGCACTTTTCCTGTGGTGATTCCAATTGTATTCAAACAATGTTGTGAAACAGATACGTTATGCTAAAAATTAGAGAAAAAGCAATAAAATCACGATTGACACTTAAAGCCATTCCAGAAGCCAAACTCAGTACTCTCATTATGGCATATGGATAAATATTCCATTAATCTGGCTTTAGTGCACGAACTTGACAAATTGCTCACATTACCTGGACTGGTAGACTTTAAACTTTTTGGTCTCAGAAGGATCCAAAGAGCTTTTGTTGATTTGAATTACATATATTGATATTTATCAAATTACAAATTAAAATGCAGACCTTTTTAAAGTATACATATGAATTCATTTAAAAATAATAAACCCAATACATGTTTATGAACATAAACAACAAAGTTTAATTAAAAAAAAAAAGGACATTTTTGAAACCAAAAAAATATCCATTGAGAAGAGTGGTAGTGTTTTAAATAACAACAGCAAAGTTACAAATGATTTAGTATACACTAAGTCAACTGAATGATATTGACACATACAGTAATTTGATTCAGGGTAAAATTTCAAATTACTGTGACTTGAACTTAATTCGTAAAGCAATTTCAAAGGGTACATTCCACCAACAATATTTTGGATATGGGGGGGGGGCGGGTGCTAGGATTTACTCAATAATGCATTACTGGCTCAAAGTTAAGAAATAAGTTTAACTACAACATAACCGACCAGAAAACTTCTAAGTTTATGGTCTAAACTTAACCAACCATAAAACCTCTTGTTCATAAAAAATCTATTAAATTCAAAAATCCATTAAATTTTTAAAAAATCTCTACATATTTTTCTAAAGATAGGCTACGAGTCAACATAATCAAAGATGTTTAGTTCCTTCCTGTTTTTAAATTGAGTGCCTACAGCACACTCTTCCTACCTAGGAGGGCAAATGTCACCTTGATTTTGTGAGCATTCGAGAAAGACATAAAAAGGCTGGGTGCGGTGGCTCAAGCCTGTCATCCCAACACTTTAGGAGGCCAAGGTGGGAGGATCGTTTGAGCTTAGAAGTTCAAGACCAGCCTGGGCAACATAATGAGATGTCTCTACTAAAAATAAAAAATAAATTAGCTGGGTACGGTGGTGCACGCCTACAGTCCCAGCTACTCGGGAGGCTGAGGCGGAAGGATGGCTTGAGCCCGGGAGGTTGAGGCTACAGTGAGCCGTGATCGTATCATTGCACTCCAGCCTGGGTGACAGAGCAAGACCCTGTCTCAACAACAACAACAATGACACAAAAAGTAGCTGACAAAGTCCAAAACTCTGCTGCAGTGGGCTTCTGAACTGAAGACAGAAAAAGAGCACTGCAGTACACCCAATAACCTTTATCTCTTTATTGAGATATAATTCATTAACCGTAAAATTCGCCTTTTAGAAGTGTATGTTCACAGAGTTGTGCAACCATCACCACTAATTCCAAACCATCATACCAAAAAGCAGCCCCGTGCCCATCAGCAGTCATAACCTATTTCCCCCACCTCTGTCAATCACTGATCTACTCTCCATCTCTATGGATCTACCTATTTTGGATATTTCATGGCTTCTTCCAATAAGCATGTTTTCAAGCTTCATCCATGTTGTGCCATGTGTCAGCCCTTCCCGTCTTTGTACTGCTGTGTACTATTCCATTGTATGGCTAGCCCACATTTTGTTTACCTACCCTATCAATTGATAAACATTTGGATGTTTCCACTTTTGGCTGTTATGAATAATGCTGCTGTGAAATTCATATACAGCTTTTCATGTAGACATATGTTTTCATTTCTCTGAGACCTGTACCGTGGAATGGAATTGCTAGGCTACATGAGAATTCTATGCTTAACTTTTTTAGTAACTAGCAGACTATTTTCCAAAGTGACTGCAAGATTTGACAGTCACACCAACTGCTCTATATCCTCACCAACACTTGTTCTCTGTGTTTATGATTATAGCCATTCTTGTGGGAATACAGCGGCGTCTCATTGTGGTTTTGATTTGCATTTCCCTCATAGCTAATCACATTTAGCATCTTTTTGTGCTATGTGGATATCATCTTTGGAGAAACATCCAAGTCTTTTTGTCCATTTTTCAATTGGGTTGTCTTTTTGTGGTTGTCAGAGTTCTTTACATATATTCTGGATACTAGACTCTTATCAGATTTAGGATTTATAAATATTTTCTCTCATTTTGTAGGTTGTCTTTATTTAATGCACAAAAGTTTTTAATTTTGATGAAGTCCAATGTATCTATTTTTTCTTTCGTTGCTTGGGTTTTTGGTGTCATATCTAAGAAATCATTCTAATCCAAGGTCATGAAGATTGATCCCTATATATTTTTCTAAAAGTTGTATTCTTTTAGCTCTTATATTTAGGTCTTTGAGCCATTTTGAGCTAATTTTTGTATGTAATGTGAGGTAGGGGTTCGATTTCATTTATTTGCATGTAGATATCCAAATATCCCAATACCATTTGTTGAAAAGACATCGTTCTCCACTGAATTGTTTTGGTACCTATTTCCTTTAAAAAAAAAAAAATCAATTGATCTATATGACACCAAACTTACAGGCAACAAAAGGAAAAATAGACAAACTAGACTTAATAAAATTAAAAACTTTTGTGAATCAAAAGATACTATCAGCCAGGCGCAGTGGCACACGCCTGAAATCCCAGCACTTTGGGAGGCCAAGGCAGGCAGATAACTTGAGGTCAGGAGTTTGAGAACAGCCTGACCAACATGGTGAAACCTCATCTTTATATATAGAGTAATATATACTATCAACACAGTAAAAAGACAAGCCATAGAATGGGAGAAAATATCCACAAATCACATATCTGATACGCTATTAATATCTAGGACAAATAGAGAATTCTTAAAATTCAACAACAAAAATCGGCCGGGCATGGTGGCTCACGCCTGTAATCCCAGCACTTTGGAAGGCCAAGGCGGGTGGATCACAAGGTCAGGAGATCAAGACCATCCTGGCTAACATGGTGAAACCCTGTCTCTACTAAAAATACAAAAAAATTAGCCGGGCGTGGTGGCAGGTGCCTGCAGTCCCAGCTACTCGGGAGACTGAGGTAAGAGAATGGTGTGAACCCGGGAGGTGAAGCCTGCAGTGAGCCGAGATCACGCCACTGCCCTCCAGCCTGGGCGACAGAGCAAGACTCCATTTCAAAAAAAAAAAAAAAAAAAATTCAACAACAAGAAAACAAACAACCTGATTTAAAATGAGTAAATGAATTGAATAGGCTTTTCTTCAAACAAGATATACAAATGGCCCACAAGCACGTGAAAAGATGCTCAGCATCATTAGTTATCAGGAACATGCAAATAAAAACTATAACATACCATTTTACACCCATTTAGAATGACTACTGTCAAAAAACAGAGAAGAAGCATTGGTGAGGATGTAGAGAAACTGGAACTCTTGTGTCCTTTTGGTAGGAATGTAAAATGGTGCTACTGCTGTGGCAAACATTTTGGTGGTTCCAAAAAAAAAATTAAGAATGGAACTGCCATATGATCCAGCAATTCCATTTCTAGGTATCTCAGCTTTCTACATATGGCTAGCCAGTTTTCCCAGCACCATTTATTAAATAGGGACTCCTTTCCCCATTGCTTGCTTTTGTCAGGTTTGTCAAAGATCAGATGGTTGTAGATGTGTGGTATTATTTCTGAGGGCTCTACTCTGTTCCATTGGTCTATATCTCTGTTTTGGTACCAGTACCATGCTGTTTTGGTTACTGTAGCCTTGTAGTATAGTTTGAAGTCAGGTAGCATGATGCCTCCAGCTTTCTTCTTTTGGCTTAGGATTGTCTTGGCGATGCGGGCTCTTTTTTGGTTCCATATGAACTTTAAAGTAGTTTTTTCCAGTTCTGTGAAGAAAGTCATTGGTAGCTTGATGGGGATGGCGTTGAATCTATAAATTACCTTGGGCAGTAGGACCATTTTCAAGATATTGATTCTTCCTATCCATGAGCATGGAATGTTCTTCCATTTGTTTGTGTCGTCCTTTATTTCCCTGAACAGTGGTTTGTAGTTCTCCTTGAAGAGGTCCTTCACATCCCTTGTAAGTTGGATTCCTAGGTATTTTATTCTCTTTGAAGCAATTGTGAATGGGAGTTCACTCATGATTTGGCCCTCTGTTTGTCTGTTTATTGGTGTATAGGAATGCTTGTGATTTTTGCACATTGATTTTGTATCCTGAGACTTTGCTGAAGTTGCTTATCAGCTTAAGGAGATTTGGGGCTGAGATGATGGGGTTTTCTAAATATACAAATATGTCATCAGCAAACAGGGACAATTTGACTTCCTCTTTTCCTCACTGAATACCCTTTATTTCTTTCTCCTGCCTGAATGCCCTGGCCCGAACTTCCAACACTATGTTGAATAGGAGTAGTGAGAGAGGGCATCCGTCTTCTGCCAGTTTTCAAAGGGGATGCTTGCAGTTTTTGCCCATTCACTATGATATTGGCTGTGGGTATGTCATAAATAGCTCTTATTATTTTGAGATATGTTCCATCAATACCTAGTTTATTGAGAGTTTTTGGCATGAAGTGCTGTTGAATTTTGTTGAAGGCCTTTTCTGCATCAATTGAGATAATCATATGGTTTGTCTTTGATTCTGTTTATATGATGGATTACGTTTGTTGATTTGCATATGTTGAACCAGCCTTGCATCCCAGGGATGAACCCCACTTGATCATGGTGGATAAGCTTTTTGATGTGCTGCTGGATTTGGTTTGCCAGTATTTTACTATGATTTTTGCATCAATGTTCATCAGGGATATTGGTCTAAAATTCTCTTTTTTGGTTGTCTCTGCCAGGCTTTGGTATCAGGATGATGCTGGACTCATAAAATGAGTTAGGGAGGATTCTCTCTTTTTCTATTGATTGGAATAGTTTCAGAAGGAATGGTAGCAGCTCCTCCTTGTACCTCTGGTAGAATTCAGCTGTGAATCCCTCTGGTCCTGGACTTTTTTTGGTTGCTAGGCTATTAATTATTGCCTCAATTTCAAAGCCTGTTATTGGTCTATTCAGGAATTCAACTTCTTCCTGGTTTAGTCTTGGGAGGGTGTATGTGTCCAGGAATTTATCCATTTCCTCTAGATTTTCTAGTTTATTTGCATAGAGGTGTTTATAGTATTCTCTGATGGTAGTTTGTATTTCTGTGGCATCAGTGGTGACATCCCCTTTATCATATTTTATTGCATCTATTTGATTCTTCTCTCTTTTCCTCTTTATTAGTCTTGCTACCGGTCTATCAATTTTGTTGATCTTTTCAAAAAACCAGCTCCTGGAGTCTTCGATTTTTTTAAGAGTTTTTTGTGTCTCTATCTCCTTCAGTTCTGCTCTTAGTTACTATTTCTTGCCTTCTGCTAGCTTTTGAATGTTTGCTCTTGCTTCTCTAGTTCTTTTGTGATTATTCAGGAGCAGGTTGTTCAGTTTCCATGTAGTTGTGTGGTTTTGAGTGAGTGTCTTAATCCTGAGTTCTAGTTTGATTGCACTGTGGTCTGAGAGACAGTTTGTTATAATTTCTGTTCTTTTACATTTGCTGAGGAGTGCTTTACTTCCAACTATGTGGTCAATTTTGGAATAAGTGCGATGTGGTGCTGAGAAGAATGTATATTTTGTTGATTTGGGGTGGAGAGTTCTGTAGATATCTATTAGGTCCGCTTGGTGCAGAGCTGAGTTCAATTCCTGGGTATCCTTGTTAACTTTCTGTCTCGTTGATCTGTCTAATGTTGACAGTGGGGTGTTAAAGTCTCCCATTATTATTGTGTGGGAGTCTAAGTCTCTTTGTAGGTCTCTAAGGACTTGCTTTATGAATCTGGGTGCTCCTGTATTGGGTGCATATGTATTTAGAATAGTTAGCTCTTCTTGTTGAATTGATCCCTTTACCATTAAGTAATGGCCTTCTTTGTCTCTTTTGATCTTTGTTGGTTTAAAGTCTGTTTTATCAGAGACTAGGATTGCAACCCCTGCTTTTTTTTGTTTTCCATTTGCTTGGTAGATCTTCCTCCATCCCTTTATTTTGAGCCTATGTGTGTCTCCGCATGTGAGATGGGTCTCCTGAATACAGCACACTGATGGGTCTTGACTCTTTATCCAGTCAAGTCAAAATGGAGCATTTTGCCCATTTACATTTAAGGTTAATATTGTTATATGTGAATTTGATCCTGTCATTATGATGTTAGCTGGTTATTCTGCCCGGTAGCTGATACAGTTTCTTCCTAGCTTTGATGGTCTTTACAATTTGGCATGTTTTTGCAGTGGCTGGTACCGGCTGTTCCTTTCCATGTTTAGTGCTTCCTTCAGGAGCTCTTTTAGAGCAGGCCTGGTGGTGACAAAATCTCTCAGCATTTGCTGGTCTGTAAAGGATTTTATTTCTCCTTCACTTATGAAGCTTAGTTTGGCTGGATATGAAATTCTGGGTTGAAAATTCTTTTCTTTAAGAATGCTGAACATTGGCCCCCACTCTCTTCTGGCTTGCAGTTTCTGCGAAGAGATCCGCTGTTAATCTGATGGGCTTCCCTTTGCGGGTAATCCAACCTTTCTCTCTGGTTGCCCTTAACATTTTCTCCTTCATTTCAACTTTGGTGAATCTGACAATTATGAGCCTTGGAGTTGCTCTTCTCGAGGAGTATCTTTGTGGCGTTTTCTGTATTTCCTGTATTTGAGTGTTGGCCTGCCTTGCTAGGTTGGGGAAGTTCTCCTGGATAATATCCTGAAGAGTGTTTTCCAACTTGGTGCCATTCTCCCCATCACTTTCAGATACATCAATCAGCCGTAGATTGGTCTCTTCACATAGTCCCATATTTCTTGGAGGCTTTGTTCATTTCTTTTTACTCTGTTTTCTCTGAACTTCTCTTCTCACTTCATGTCATTCATTTGATCTTCAATCACTGATACCCTTTTTTCCAGTTGATCGAATTGGCTACTGAAGCTTGTGCATGCATCATGTAGTTCTCGTGCCATGGTTTTCAGCTCCGTCAGGTCATTTAAGGACTTCTCTGCACTGGTTATTCTAGTTAGCCATTCGTCTAATCTTTTTTCAAGGTTTTTAGCTTCTTTGTGATGGGTTCGATCATCCTCCTTTAGCTCGGAGAAGTTTGATCGTCTGAAGCCTTCTCCTCTCAACTCATCAAAGTCATCCTCCGTCCAGCTTTGTTCTATTGCTGGCGAGGAGCTGCGTTCCTTTGGAGGAGAAGAGGCACTCTGATTTTTAGAATTTTCAGCTTTTCTGCTCTGGTTTCTCCCCATCTTTGTGGTTTTATCTACCTTTGGTCTTTGATGATGGTGACGTACAGACGGGGTTTTGGTGTGGATGTCCTTTCTGTTTGTTAGTTTTCCTTCTAACAGTCAGGACCTTCAGCTGCAGGTCTGCTGGAGTTTGCTGGAGGTCCACTCCAGACCCTGTTTGCCTGGGTATCACCAGCAGAGGCTGCAGAACAGTGAATACTGCAGAACAGCAAACGTTGCTGCCTGATCGTTCCTCTGGAAGCTTCGTCTCAGAGGGGCACCCGGCTGTGTGAGGTGTCAGTCGGCCCCTACTGGGAGGTGCCTCCCAGTTAGGTAGGCTACTCGGGGGTCAGGGACCCACTTGTGGAAGCAGTCTGTCCATTCTCAGATCTCAAACTCTGTACTGGGAGAAACACTACTCTCTTCAAAGATGTCACACAGAGACATTTGTCTGCAGAAGTTTCTGCTGCCTTTTGTTCAGCTATGCCCTGCCCCCAGAGGTGGAGTCTACAGAGGCAGGCAGGCCTACTTGAGCTGTGGTGGGCTCCACCCAGTTCAAGCTTCCCGGCTGCTCTGTTTACCTACTCAAGCCTCAGCAATGGCGGACGCCCCTCCCCAAGCCTCACTGCCGCCTTGCAGTTCAATCTCATACTGTTGTGCTAGCAATGAGTGAGGCTCCGTGGGCGTGGGACCCTCTGAGCCTGGTGCGGGATATAATTTCCTCGTGTGCCGTTTGCTAAGACCGTTGGAAAAGTGGAATATTAGGGTGGGAGTGATCTGATTCTCCAGGTGCCATTGGTCACAGCTTCCCTTGGCTAGGAAAGGGAATTCCCTGATCCCTTGTGCTTCCCGGGTGAGGCAATGCCTCGCCCTGCTTTAGCTCATGCTCTCACGCTCGGTGGGCTACACCCACAGTCCGACAAGCCCCAGTGAGATGAACCCAGTACCTCAGTTGGAAATGCAGAAATCACCCATCTTCTGCATCACTCACGCTGAGAGCTGTAGACTGGAGCTGTTCCTATTCAGCCATCTTGGAACCTCCCATCAAGTATACAAAGTTTAAAAGGATACATGCTTGCCCGCAATTTCTAAATTTTTATAATTAACATTCATTTTCTGTGAATAAAAATTAGAAACATATTGCATGTTTATGAGGCAAACTATTCCCTAAAATTTTTACTATATGTAAGAACTGCAGAAAGTGTTTCAAAAAAGAAAATGCATTCTATAATGGTAAAATCCAAAGACAAGACTAAGATATTACATGTTCTGTACTTCTTACAGACATGCCCTAATGTTAACACTCAGTAAACAGACGTAAATGACAAGTCACCTGCCAGGGTAACCTTTAGCACCATTAGCTAATTTCGAACATGCGGAGTGAAGTTTTTGTTGCATTTTGTTGAGCACAGACACTGCTATGAGGTCCTGCAGGGGGAGACGGAGCCCCAGGCAATGTTGAGCCGCCTCCCAGCCATGCAAGACATTTGCCCCCAACAAAACACCCCCACTCCTCCCACACACATCCAAACCCAAGCAAAGCAAAGGCGGTGGCAGGGCGCTGAGGTGGAGGGGCCCCACCATGAAGGCACCCATCTATGCGCAGGTAAAAGGTTATACTCTAGAGACTCAGCTGGGAAGGGAAGCGAAGACAGACCAAAAAGCCAATGGCTGCTCTGCTCTAAAACCACAAAGGAACTGTGAAAGGATTAAGTTCAAAGTGAACAAGTGCTAATGAAGAACTCTCAAGAAAAGGCAGGTTTTGTTTTTAGGGGAGAAATAGTGCTTTTACAACTAGACAACTAGGGTGAGCTCCGGAGGTCATCTCAGGGGTGGAGGGAGGGAAACCAGACATGGGTTAGCAGTTTGATGAAGTCAAAATGGAATAATACCAACCACTGGTGCAGTGCTCTAAATCCGCCCCGGAGGTGGGGTGGGGTGTGGGATGGCCTCTAGAACCTCCACACCTTCGCATCCCAATTCAACCCCACGCTTGCGGTCCGTTCGATTCTTACTTTCTACTCTCAAAAACAGAGAGCAGCCCCGCCAACCCATTCCTTCCAGGAGGGGAGAACAGGCCGTAAATCTCCCGATTCCCAGATAGCTGCTAGTCTTAACATCAGGGCTCACCTCTGTGGGAAAATGGATTCAGACCTCAAAGCACCACGAGGGGCCACCCAGAAGCCCGGCCATGAGGCTCTGTACCTGATAGATGGCTTCATCGCAGGCATTCTGAAGGCCCAGGTTCACCATCGTGTTCTGCAGCGTGCGACCCATGTAGAATTCCAGGGAAAGATAATAAATGCGCTGAGGAAGCAGAAGAAAGAATAAGATTTCTCATTCCATTCTACACTTTAGGAAGGTTACAGAGATGACACGACCCATGAAGCCAAGCCCCCACTCGGGATTTCATTTATGTCAACCCCATGCACAAAAACTGGGCTTGCTCTGTCAGGCAGCCTGCTGACCGCAGCCCCCAAAAGCAGCCCACCCAGGAGACCCCTCCTCAACACGGCCTTCTCTTCCCTGACCCTCCAGTCCCTGGATGAACACACACTAACTTTCCATGATGTGTGGGGAGGCAGGGCAGGTTGGTGGTTGGGGCCAAGGCACCCAGAACTGGACAGACCCAGGTCTGCACTTAGCTCAGCCTCTTACCAGCCATGTGCCCTTGGGCAAGTTACTTCACATCTCTAACACAGATGTAACACAGGCCATGTCTTCAAGTACTCAATGGAAAGCCCTGAGCACAACTTCTAGCACCCACGTGAAGCACCAATGAACGCAGCACAGACGGCTGAATGGATGCATCCATGTTCCCCAGCAGAAGTCTCTTGGCTGATGCCTGCTGGCTGGCTGGCTTGGGGTTGCCACATGAGCCAGCTCTATGCCAGTGAGGTGCTGTATCAAGGACGGCCACCCATGCAGTGCCTCCTGGGCCCTGAGCGGGGTTCTAGGTGCCCTACTTTCTCTACCGAGTACTTCTCATGGCCATCCACGGGCCTGCAGCGGCCAGGGCTGAATGCTAAGATCAGTGGGCACAACTCCAAGGACTAACAGGATATGTGCACAGCCAACATCTCCCCTGAAATATTTACTAATTGCTTTGGTGGTTTTAACCAGGGGCCAAACACTTTCTGATATTCTTCACTCCAGGAGGAGGAGCTTACTTCCCTGTCTGCCACCTTGAGGGTGGGGTGGATGTAGCGACACCCTGCTGAGGAGCACAGAAAGGAAACGGCAGCAACTTGACAGTGGAGATAGCTGACCACGCTGACCGGCACCATGTAGTGATTCCCTGGAATTCTACATGGGTCGTCGGTGAGGTCCATAAAGTTTTTAATACATAACTTAAGAATACTCTATAAATACCTAAATCTACAAATTGAAAGAACACACACACACAAATGATAGCTCTGTCTTCAATGGCCTGTTTTTACTTTTTTGATCATTTGAATATAGGCTTCTACATTACTGTATAAATTCCAAAGTCCTTTACGTCACAGGAATTACAGCAGCATAATTAATGAGTCCTCATAGCCGCTATAAGTACAACTACTGCTGCTGTCACTCACAGTCAGGCCTCTTGTGGACTTTCATCATGCTGGATTTTATTTACACTACATTTGAACGAACTTAATATTCTATGGGGTTTCCATAGCACCTGCCTCCCCCCTCTGGCAGAGGAAGCCACAGGCACTGTCCAGGCAGGGTTTATTAACCAGTGCGAAATCATACTGAGCCCAACTAGACCCTGGCTATCTGAGAAAATACTGTGGGTCAAGTATTAACAAGAGGTTTTATAAAAAGCTGACAGGCCAGGAACATGACCAGAATGTTTTTACTTTGCCTTTAACTAAAAATGTATATTTTTTTTTAAGAGATGACGGTCTCACTATGTTGCCCAGGCTGGCTGCAAACTCCTGGCCTCAAGTGATCCTCGCGTCTCAGCCTCCCAAGCAGCTGGCACTACAGGTGCATGCCACCACACCTGGCTAAAATGTGGATTTTTAGGTTGTAGTTTGCTCTCTCTGCAAAAGTTCCTAACTTCTACTTAGAACTTTTCTACTGTGGGGAAAAAGTTTACCAGTTATGTCCCAAGAGCTTGATTATCTCTGTTTGTAAGGGACAGGACTGACACGGGAAGTGCTGGGCCTAGACTCGAAGCCTGTGCGTCTCCAATTGTCCAGGTTGCATGCAGACATCGAGGGTTCTGCAGCCTCCTGCTGAAGCACAGCCCCCAAGGCACTGCCCAGGGCCTGCCGGGCCACAGGCTCTGTCCTTGGGGACTGCAATGTGTTTTGCTGCTTTGAGGTTTTTCTGCAACTTGTTTCAATTTAAGAACTTTCATCATTTGCTGAGATGTGTCTATTTTGCTTTTACCTTAATATGGTTCAGAGTGAAAACCATGAAACTGAAAAGAGGCTTGCTGGAGGAGCTGGCCAAGAAAATGCAGACTTGAATGGTACAGGCTGGGGTCTCATCCCAGCTCCCTGCCCTGGCTAGCTGGGTGACCTGGGCAAGTCACTCAGCCTCTGAGAGGACCACATTCACCTGTGGGCTCGCACAGGGCTAGGCTAGGACTCAGGCAAGGCTGGTTCCCCTCACCATACCAGACTTTTCAAGGAGAAATGCAAAGCCTAGAAAGTTGCCAAGTGGCAGTTCTGAAAAAAACCATGTAAAGGCATAGGCTTTGTCCAAGCAACAGCCTAGGGACCTAGCTCTTCCATGACCCCAAATCCTGCTGCTGCAGGACAGCCTCTTTCCACTCACTCCCCTCTGGCTCCTCTTGTGCAACCATGAACAGGGCTTCCCTGCTCAGGGAGCGCTGGTTGGAGAACTGGACTCACCTGCTTCAGCCTGAAAATGCCAACACGATCCCTTAACCTCCCTGCTCAGCAGCTCTGCTCTAAGGAGGCCCTGCCGCCTGGGATTGAACTGGGCCATTGATCTTTCTACCATGGTCCCTTCTTGCAATATGACATAACAAGTGTTAAGTAGCCTAAAGCCAGCCTGTTTTTTGTTTTTGTTTTTGTTTTTTTTTTTTTGAGACAGAGTTTCGCTCTGTTGCCCAGGCTGGAATGCAATGGTGCAATCTTGGCTCACTGCAACCTCCACCTCCTGGGTTCAAGCCAGGCCCTCCACTTTTTTTTTTTTAACAGAGTTTATCACATGCAAAGCCTACACAACCAGGCAAATAATAGAAAAACATAAAGCTCAAAAATAGATGAAAATATGATCAACACGAACAGTACACCAAATACCAATCACCTAAAGACACCTTAGGAGTTAACAGACTCTGAAAAGAGAGTGTAACACCAACTGGCAGAGCCTCATTTTGTTCTTTACAGACAGAGATTCACAGAATTGGGCCTGTGGAGACCACCAATTTTTTCTCCCTTTTCTGAAGGGATTTTTAACTAGAGTCTTCATTTAACGTTAGTGTCTTAATACTCTGGTGGAAAAAGAAAGAACTTTCCCAACATTCAGGGAAACAAAAGAAAGAGCTGGAGCCAGGTGTGATGGCTCATGCCTATAATCCCAGCACTTTGGGAGGCTGAGGCAGGTATATCACTTGAGGTCAGGAGCTCAAGACCAGCCTGGCCAACATGATGAAACCCCGTCTCTACTAAAAATACAAAACTAGCTGGGCGTGGTGGTGCACACCTGTAATCCCACCTATTCGGAAGGCTGAGGCAGGAGAATCGCCTGAACCCGGGAGGCGGAGGTTGCAGTGAGTAGAGATCGCGCCACTGCACTCCAGCCTGGGCAACAAGAGCAAAACTCCACCTCAAAAAAAAAAAAAAGAGTTGGGCGGCTGCTTTCACCAAGATGAAGAGCCTCATTCTACAGGCAGATCTGGTCTGAAACCGGTCCCCTCCTGTCCCCAGGAAAGCACAGCAACTCTCCTTTTGTGTATTCGATTCTGTCGGTGCCAGCATGCCTCAGACCAGCCGCCCTCTACTGGTTCCTACATGGGCACAGAGTGACTCACAGGGCAGAGTGTCCCTCCCTGCCACCCAGGCACTATGGACAGAGCTGGCCCTGATAAGACACAGGAACACAGGCCACTGAGCCAGCCAGAGGCCAGTGGGCACCACGTTCCACCAGCCAGGCCTTGGAGCGGGGGCTCCCAGCCCCTCCAGACACAAAGGGGCCACCTCCCTGGGCTGGACCTGCTGGCTCCTGCTGGTGAGCTGAGCAGTCTCAGATACCATCCAGGGGAACCGAGGTCCTGTGGGAGGAGAGATGTTGAGGGGCCTCCCACCTGCCAGACGCTGAGGTTGGTCTTTGGTTTCCTTGACAGTGTCACAGTGTCCACTCCACTGTGTCTGAGGGGGCTTCTGGGGAGTTGCTCACAGAGCAATCTGATAATCCACTACTGTATCTGCTGTAAGGATGTGAGGATTAGCTAGCACATCTCTCAAGCTCCCAGCCTGTGATGTCACACGGTACTTTCTTAATGAATTAACTGCCAGGGAAACTTGGCTTCCCATGAACAGTGGGCAGGCTTCTCAACGTGGATCGTGGATTTCCTTCTCACTCCAGTACCTACGACTCAAACACAGGTCTGTTTGCTCAATTTTGAAAATGTCAAATGTAAAAGAATTATAGAACTTTAGAACTTATGGGGATCTTAAGAGATCACTTGGTTCTGTAGTAAACAAATTCCTTCTACACTCCATGACACACATTGCCACAAGTCACTGTCTCCCGCCTTCTATGCAATTAAGCTCCACAAAAAGTCTATTCAGTACTAATCCAGAGCCAGAAAGCGATGGGAGCCTTCTCCTTATCACTGACAGAGCCTAATCAACTTACACTAAGTGATCTGGACCGTGTCAAACTATATTTATACCTAGTGAGCTACCAGTCATCGTTTTTAAACACTACTTTAATCTTTCATTTTAACTGTTTGTAGGCCGAGAAATGCCACTTACCTATACCTAAAATTACATGTCATTCCTACTCAAGGTACTGTTGAAGACACTGTTAACCGAACTTCTCTTACTGTCCAATTACCTTTCTAAATCTGTGTTCACTTCTCTTCCCTTCACCGTATCCTAAGAATGCCATTCTGCATGGGTGAGAAAAAGCCAGCTCCTATCTCCTGCGGTTATTTGCTGCATGTCTTAGGATGCTTTGAATTTCCAAATGGCTTAAAGCTTTGATCCGTTTAATAATAATAATAATAAAAGATATAATCTGAAAAGACTTCTAAAGTTCTCCCAATTATTTATTTGTATTTTTTACAATTGTATTATTGCATTTTATTTGTATTTATTAAGCAGGACAGCTGGTGACACTGAAAAGATTTGCAGACAACAGCACTGTGTTGATTAAAATGTCCAGAGTTTAACTGCTCTACTGTGGGTGTGTAGGAGAGCTTCCCTGTTTTTCCGGAGTACTCACTGCCGTTTTTGGGGGTGAAGGGGCAACAAGGCTATGACTCAGTTTTTTTTTTTTTTTTTGAGACAGAGTCTCGCTCCGTTGCCCAGGCTGGAATGCAGTGGCGTGATCTCAGCTCACTGCAACCTGCTCCTCCCAGGTTCAAGCAATCCTCCTGCCTCAGTCCCCCAAGTACCTGGGACTACAGGCGCCCACCACCATGCCTGGCTAATTTTTGTATTTTTAGTAAAGAAGGGGTTTCACCTTGTTGGTCAGGCTGGTTCTTACTTTCAAATGATTCGGAGAAAAATGAACTTACAGCGACAAAATGACCTAACAAGTGTGTTGCAATGTTTAACATCTGGGGAATCCGGATGAAGCGTCAACAGGAATTACAAGAAATCTCTGTATTATTCTTGCAACTTTTTAAGGGTCTGAAATCACATAAAGTTTAAAAGGAAATATGGCTGAGATGTGGAGGTGAGGTCGGTTACCTTATTTTATTTTATTTTATTTTATTTTATTTTATTTAGGCAGAGTTGCCCAGGCTGGAGTGCAATGGCGCAGTCTTGGCTCCCTGGTTCAAGCAATTCTCCTGTCTCAGCCTCCCGAATAGCTGGGACTGCAGATGTCCACCACCACGCCCGGCTAATTTTTGTATTTTTAATAGAGACCAGGTTTCACCATATTGGTCAGGCTGGTCTCGAACTTTTGACCTCAGGTGATCCACCTGCCTCAGCCTCCCAAAGTGCTGGGATTACAGGTGTGAGTCACCACGCCCGGCCATATTTTATAAAGCCACCACGGCCCCTGTGGATTAGTCAGGGTTCTCCAGAGACACAGAACAGTAAGGTATGTGTAGAGAGAGACAGATTTAAGAAATTGGCTCAAGTGATTCTGAAGTGCAAGGCCACAACCTACAGAGTGGGGTGGGCCAGCAGGCTGGAGACCCAGGCAAGCTGCAGCTCTGGTGCAAGGTAGCTGGTGGCAGGGTTTGTTCTGCAAGGCCTTCCCCCATGGGAGGCTGTGAAACTGTGATGTAATGAGATATACTTATTTGTTCTTCCTGGCCTGTGCTCCTAACACCCTTGTAATTTCCTAAGTGATAAGAGCAATAAAAATGAAAGAAGTGTCTTTTGTTATTCATAACAAGTCCCTTTCAACCACGCCTGATGTGGTCACCAAAAGGTGACTTTTGGCAAGCCCCTCAGGGCAGAGGCTGGCTGCCAGGGGAACCAGCTCTAATTAGAGGGTTGGAAGTTTCAGGCCCACCCCTCCCGCCAGCCCCAACCTCCAGTGAAGGGAGAGGGGCTAAAGGCTGAGCTCATCACCAATGGCCAATAATCACACTAGGTAACTGCGGCCTCCATAAAATCCCCAACTGAAGGGGATGGAAGAGCTTCCTTCCAGTTCAGTGAATCCTGGAGGTGCTGGGACAGTGGCACCTGCAGAGGGAATGGAAGCCCCTGCACCCTCCCTCAGACCTGCCCTCTGCATATCTTCTATCTGGCTGTTCCTGGGTTGTATTCCTTGTAAGTAATTGGTAAACGCAAGTGAAGTGTTTCCCTGAGTTTCATGAGCCATTCTGGCAAATCATCAAACCTGAGGAGGCTGTCGGTCAGAGGTCAGAAGGGAGGTCCTGATGTGCAACTGACATCTGGGGTGGAGAAGTCTTGTGGGACTGAGCCTTTAGCCTGTGGGATCCGAGGCTACATCTAGGTAGACAGCATCAGAACGGAACTGAATTGTAAGATGCTCAGTCAGTGTGGGAAACACCACCCCCCGACCCCCCCAGAGGGACATCCACGTTACTATCTAGGCACAACAGCCAAGTTGACACATAAAACCAGCCACCACAGCCTGCAAGGGCAGAGGCCAGGCTGTCTTCTGCAGAAAATGAAGGCACACACTGTAGGCTTCTCCATCTGCTAAAATGACAGCTGAGGCCTACCTTCCAAGTGGCTAGCTGTCAGCAACACAAAACAGCACCCACCATCAGCTACTGGTCAGAGAAAATGACTTTGAGCGATCTGCTGTCAGGGAAGCCTGCCCAGGAGATGCAAGCTCAACTTCACACATAAAAGTGGAAATACATCAGAAAAATTGGGAGTGTTAGGATTCCGGAGGCTGGTACCACAACTGACTAATTAAAACAAATCCCAGAAGTGGGGATCACAGAGCAGAAGGGTCTGCAAAACACTTCTCTAGATCATCTTCTTTAACTCCTGGGTCCAGCCAAACCAAAAGATTAATCGTATTTCATTGTGTTTATCTCATTAGGAATATTTAGGACAGCAGTGTGGGCCCCAAGGTAGAGCTGCTTTTCCTTAATCTGTGTTGTAGTCATGCCAGGAGCTTATGGGAAGAGTCTCAAAAACTGATTGTTACATCCACTGCAGGGGTGCTGCAGGTCAGTGGCTCAGCACATCGACAACACAGCTTCACAAAGGCCCACAGAATAAACCGTGCAACTGTCCTTTCAGGATGTTATAGAAGGGATCCCGTGACTCTCATAACTGGGCATGGGCTGCTTTCACTGCCAGGATCCTGGTCTGTGTTTTGTGTCCTGACCCTCACTGTCCCACCCCAACCCTCACTCTGAGGCCTTCTAATGTGAACCTTTTGTGCTGTATCTAGCATAAGCATCCTCAAATTCTCTCTGGATAGAGATGGAATGTCAATTCAATATGAAATAGAAACATTTTAACTCTAACATTTCAGAATGGCAACAGACTTCGGAAACATCACCAGCTTGATTCCCCTCATTTTAAAGATGAGAAAACTGAGGCCAATAATGGCAAAGAAATCCGCCCAAGCCCACAGTTGCACAGACCGAATGGAAAGGCCAGGATGAAAAGGAGCGTGGAATCACGCACACCCTTTCTTCTCCATGCAGCGCAATCCCAGGCTCTGCAGCTTCAGGTTGGACTCTCCTTGCCACCTTGCCACCACTTCAGAGAATCCATTAAATGTCTTCATGACCAACCGCCACCTCTTGCCAAGCACAAAGCTCTCCATGTTAGCCAGATGTTTTGACGTGCTGATTTGCCAAGCATGGCAAAGCTTGACAAATCTTCCTCTGAACACCCCAACTTCTACTCTTTCGCTATGTACCACAAATAAAGTGCTAAGAGTTATGAAACAATAGGTTCAGTATAATGTTATTTTATGTATTAAAAACAAGTTTCTGCCAATACGGAAAAAACAATGTAGAACACAAAATATTTACAGCACAAAGTGGGCGATAGAAGTGGGTTACAGGATTACAGTTAATTTTTTTCCTTCTGGCTTATCTATATTTTCTAATTTTTCCTCCAGTAATAATTTTTCCTTCAGGACTTGCATAATTTAAAAAAAGACAAAAATAACAATAAAAGCGTTCTATTTAGGAGCTCTAGAGTGTCACATTACCACAGTCTGCAGTGTGCCGGTGAATGTCTGAGGTCATTTCTGGCTGAGGGGGAGGCACAGCAGTTATTTTCTTGGGAGCACACCTCCTCTCATTGGCTCTGGTGGGACTGGTTGCTGGTCCATCACCAGCAAGCATGTAACTTTTCCAAAGAAAGGATTGCAAGCTTATTTTCATCATGAATTAGCGAAAGAAGCAGTTAAATCCCAATTTTCCATGTCCTTCCTATTCAGAATAGGCACACAGCTTATTTACACACTGTGAGATCTAAAAGTTTACAACTTTACGACTTACAGACTGTGCGGTTTAAGAGAAAGGTTTCCACCCAGAGCCACCACACGTAGACAATCAAAAGAGATCTCACGGAGGATCAAAAAACCTGTTTTGTTGCAGGGACTATCTTGTTCATGAAGGTCATTTCCGTAATCCCTGAGCCCATCGCTGGCCTCTCCAGGATGTGATTATACATAAATACTCCAATGGGCACCCTAAGGTGTAGAGCTGAGTCCTGGTCCAGCTCCAAGGAAATGCCCTTGAATGTGAAGGCAGAGCTATGTCCTTGCCATCCGCCACTTAGACAATAAAAATGATGTTGCGGGTCGGGTGCGTTGGCTCACGCCTGTAACTCCTGCACTTTGGGAGGCCGAGGCGGGCGGATCACGAGGTCAGGAGTTTGAGACCAGCCTGGCCAACATGGTGAAACCCCGTCTCTACTAAAGATACAAAAAATTAGCCGGGCGTGGTGGTAGGCGCCTGTAATCCCAGCTACTTGGGAGGCTAAGGCAGGAGAATTGCTTGAACCCGGGAGGCGGAGGTTGCACTGAGCCGAGATCGCGCCACTGCACTCTAGCTTCACGCTACAGGGCAAGACTCAGAATTAAAAAAAAAAAAAAAATGGTGCTGTGCATCAGAACTCTCCCAACAGCAGGGAATTCTGGGGGAGCCACTGCTTCTTGGCTGCTTTTCCTGGCAAAGTCATCCCAAGCCCTTGTTATAACCTGTTTTGGCCATTCGTTGCCACTTCTATGTTTTGCATACCAAATATGAAGAGCCCCAGTTGGTATTCTAACAAATCTGTCCCTTTTACCATCTCCATTTTAGAAAAAAGAATGTCCCAGAATAAGTTTGGAAAAGCAGTCAATCTCTTAGCAATTACCGTATTAAACATATCTTAATGCCCTACAAAAATATTCTAAAATACCATCCATAAAGCAAGTGCTCACTGCCTAGATGTACACTGCAAGTAAAATCTTTGCCAAGTGGCTTCAGGTCTGGAAGTGTGTCTTTTCCTCACCAGTTCTCCCTCTACGTTAGTGTAGTAGAAAGACAATTCTCCATGGTCAAGAGTTTAAAAGCAAACGACAACAACAAAAAACTGGCAACAGGGGGCTGTGCAAGACTACCATGTACCTATCAAACTGAAAACTACCATCCTATCCATTGACCTGCAAAGCTGTTTATCAGTGAAAAAGTTACAAATGTTTACGAATGAAACAGAAAATCTAAAAAACTGTATGTGCATTATACTTTTTAAAAATGTGTATGTATATTTAGGAATACCAAAAACACAGCAAGAACACAGGCCCATAGTAAACATGGTTAAGAGTAACGGGGACAATCAGTGACTTTGTTTCACTACTCAAACAAATTTTTGCAAGATATAAAAAGTAACAATTAGTAAGATGATCTCTGTCAACTTCAACCCAAGCAAATTTCTCCAAGGGAGGTGTGGGAACCTCTAAGACAGAGCCTTCTTCGAGGGCTCCATCTCCATCTCTGAGCTTCGTACCCCTCCCTGCGTGAAGCAGGCATCTTCAGTGATTTTCTTCTAAGCAGCGTACACAAAAAAAAGTCTCACAATTCCCTGCAGATTACCGAGCTCACCCCATTCCAACCCACAAGGCTGCCCAGGCCTGGTTCCAGTCCCATTTTCTCCCACAGGCTGCTGCAGGAAAACAAAGAGTGGCTGGAGGCAGGGGCGGGGAGCACCGGCTCTGCAGCCAGCGCGGAAGCGCACGGCCAGAAAGAGACCGGGAACGTCCGCCAGGCTCCCGGGCTCAGCATCATCTGCGGGGGACGGCGGACCCCGCCAGGCGCGGGCTCCCAGTGGGGCGGACCCGTGGCCGCGGCCCTGCGCAGGGGACGCCCGGGCCCCGCCGACTGCGGCTTCCAGGCGACTCCCCAGTCGGCTGTGCCTGGCCGCCGGCCGGCTAGGGGCGCAGGTAACGCCCGACGGGCCGCCCCGCAGAGACCCCCGCTGGCGCGGCTCCGGGACCGGCGCCCTCTCAGCGGGCACGGGCGCACAGGGCGGGGCAGCGCCTCACCTTGGGGTCGCGCTCGTAGTAGTGCTGCTGCGTGCGGATCCAGCGGCCCACGAGGTGGTCGCGCACCGTGTGCGCCAGCGCGAAGAAGTAGTCGCGGGGCGTGGCCACATTGCGGTCCTTGACCAGCGTGAAGTGCAAGTGCCGGTTGAAGCTCTTCCGCACCTCGGCCACGTCGCCTAGCCCCGCCAGGCCGCGCACGCTGATCTGCTTCCGCTTCTCGCTGTCCGTCAGCGGCTTCGCCATCGCGCCGGCGGAGGCGGAGGAAAAGAGATGGAGGAGGAAAGCGGCGGCACACGCGAACGCCGGGATGGTGCAGCTGCTCTGGCGCCGCTGCTCTGGCGCCCGGCACTGCGGCTCTGCGGGCGGGATGGACCGCGCCTGCGCGCCGCGCCGGGGCGGGGCCTCGGGGGGCGGGGCGGGGCCTCGGGAGGGCGGGGCGGGCGTCCAGGCTCATAGCTGAGATCTCTGGTGTAGTCCGAGGCGGCAGCGACCTGTCCACGCCACCTGAGCGTGGTGTTTGCCCCCTCGTTGGGCAAGCCCGGCAGAAAGTGGGAGCGACTGGAGGGGGCAAGGGACCCGGGGCCTCGGAGCGTGCCGTCGTGGCCGCTCCTGCCAGCCCGGGGACGGTGCGGGAAGGGGGCCCTGCCCTCCGGCCCTCGGGTTCCTGGGACCGGCCCTCCCGCCCTGCACCGGGTCACCAGGTGCCCCGCGGGAGCGCGCTGGGCTCGGGCTGTGGCCGAGACCTGGTACACGTTCGGGGAAACTGATTACAGCTTGAAAGGCATCCACCAACGCCTGCTGGGCCCGGTCTTCTCTGTCCGGGGCAGGGCGGCTCTGAAAATACCAGCTATTTGCTTGCCACTCCAGGCCGATGACAGACGTGGAGAAAACCAGCTGCCAGCGAGCTGGAGACGCCCGTTCCCGAGGGCGCGAGGCAGCCACAGCCAAATGCCACCACGACCCCGCCTCGGAGGGACCGCAGCCCCCTAGCCCTCGGAGAAACCCTGTTCCCGAAACCACCTGGCAGACGCTGTCCGCTTTGAGATTACAGCAGGGAGAAGGAAACATGCCCGTCTGGCCGGGGAGCTCAGCCACTAACCGAGACTTAGCCTCTGTCATCCCAATCCAGGCTGCAGCTCCAGATAGGGGGCGTCTGCACACAGCTTCCCACACTTGGCCCCGCGGAACACAGTCCTGCTGGCCTCAGCCTGTGGGAACCCTGCTTCATGTAAAGGTCACCTAAACTCTGCCTTCCCTCAACCCCTTCAAACTCTGCCTTTCCCTTCGTTCTTGGGAGGCGCTCCCTCATTGCAGTGGGTCAGTACACCCGATTTTGTGGACCACAGGTTTGCTCCTGGTGGTCTTGGGCTGAAGGGGCTGCAAAGGTTACTGAATTTCGTGGAGGTAAAAATTGCCCGCAGGAAATGTCATGAAAGTCCAGGTGCAGTAGGTTTCCTGGTGTGATGCTTCAAAGTTATCTTCTTACCTGGAGCCCCTTCCAGCTGCAGACTTCAGAGGTCGGAGGTTAATCAATCTGGAATGACCCCACAGCCCACCCAGCTCCAGCTCGGGATTCACTCCTGCACTATGTCCTAGGGATTCTGGAGCCAACAAGATCGAACTTCGGGCACAGATGGCAGGGCTGTGGGGTCGAGCTTGGCTGCAAGCTCCGAACACTGATGCAATCTCTCTGAGGGTGATCTGGCAATTCAGAAGTCATAAAAATGATAGTGCCCTATGACCACTTCTACCACTCTGGGGAATTGAGTTCAAGGAAAGCTTAAGAAGACAAAAAGCAAGTTATGCAAATATGTTATCTGCTGTGGTGTGGTAAAGTTTAATCCCCCAGCTGTGGTGCACACCTGGCAAAGAATGGAGGCGCTGACACTTATTGATCATTACTTGCAGTGTACACGTATTAACTCCTGATCCCTGCAAATAGCCTGCTATTACCCCCGCTTGACAATGGAGAAGGTGAGCCACAGAGAAGTTAACTCTTCCCTAAGCCCACACAGCTAATAAGGGAAACAGCCAAGGTTCACCCCAGCCAAGCCCTGCTCCACTGCACAAGCCCAGAAAAATGTATCTGTGCTCAAAGTTAATATCATAAACCATTGTGCTGCTAAAAGGAATGACTGTTTTAATAGCTAGCTAGGAAGGTGTGATTGATGACACAATACTGATAAATGAAACACAAAAATAAGGATGTAATGCAGAAATGACAGTAATGATTTGAATATTACTTTCATTTAGTCAATTTAAATTTAAATTAAATAACCACATGTGGCTAGGGACTACTGTGTTAGAAACACAGGTGTATATCCAAACCTAAACACTGGTTATTTCTGAATGGAAGAATTATCAGGGGGGTTATCTTATTTTCTCCATACATTTTGTATTTCCTGTTTTTTCCACAATATTTCTTTTGTAAGTGGAGTAAGTTTTAGTAAGAAAAACTAGAGGCCACAGACTTCACTAATGGATGCTGATTTAAGGCCTATATATTCTCTTACTGGATTGACTTTTAATTCTTTGTTACTCTGGTTAAATAAATTTTAAGTCCTTTCTTTCATAGCTACACTTTATTAAATTTTCCATGATCCTGACAAAAATTCTTTGACCAAACTCTAGTCAGGCTTCTGAGCCTTGTAGGGCCATCATACACTTCCCTGTGACATCTGTTTTAGCAATCCCTGCTTTGTCAATTTAGCAGGATTCCCTGCCCCTGATGTCTGATCCCCCTTGGTGACATCTGATCAGGCTCCCCATGCTCCACCATCCCCCATGCTGTCCAATCACCCTGGCCTGCCTTCAACAGGAATCCTATGAGGTGGTTTAGACACAATCACCTGGACCCCTGAAGTGTCCTCTTAGTAACTGTCCATCCACTGACCCCTCCCCCAGTCCTTGGCTATAAATGCCCACTTGCCCATGCTGTTTTCGGAGTTGAGCCCAATCTCTCTCCCCTGCTGCAAGATCCCGTTGCAGTGGTCCCTGTACCTATCATGATGGTTGTGAATAAAGTCTGGTACCATGCTTTAACAAATGCTATTGATTATTTTTTTTCTTTAACAGTTATCTTACCCAGATGTCATTTCCTCTTCCTGGGAGCTGCCATGGTCCTTCCCCTCTCCTGCAGCACTTAGTCCAATACTGAATCTTCATGATGTGACTCTTCATAATGCGCATGGTTGACGCAGGAAGGAGCCCTCTCACCATCATGTCTCCTCACCTCCTCTGGCCGCTAATATTGCTGAAGTGGCTAAATGAGTCCCAGTATTAATTATCTCAGCCATTTTCAGGTAATTTATTTATTTATTTATTATTAATGTTTTTGAGATGGAGTCTTGCTCTGTCACCCAGGCTGGAGTGCAGTGGTGCAATCTCCGCTCACTGCAACCTCCGCCTCCTGGGTTCAAGCAATTCTCCTGCCTCAGCCTCCCATGTAGCTGGGATTATAGGCACTCACTACCATGCCCAGCTAATTTTTGTATTTTTAGTGGAGACAGGATTTCACCATGTTTCTGGGCTGGTCTTTAACTCCTGACCTCAGGTGATCCGCCCGCCTCAGCCCCCCAAAGTGCTGGGATTACAGGCGTAAGCCACCGCACCTGGCCATCATTTTCAAATAAATAATTTTTAGATAGTTTTAAGTGTTGTAAAGAAAAGCAGGTTGAGCTGTTAGTTACAGGAGGTGATATCTCAGCTGAGACTAAAAAAAAAAAATGAAAGAATGGACCAGGTGCAGTGGCTCACACCTGTAATCTCAGCACTTTGGGAGGCCAGGGTGGGTGGATCACTTGAAGTCACGAGTTCAAGACCGGCCTGGCCAACATGATGAAACCCCGTCTCTACCAAAAATACAAAAGTTAGCTGGGCGTGGTGGCGCATGCCTGTAATCCCAGCACTTGGGAGTCTGAGGTATGAGAATCGCTTGAACCCGGAGGTGGAGGTTGCAGTGAGCCGAGATTGCAGTCTGGGCGACAGGGCAAGACTCCATCTAAAAAAAAAAAAAGGCATGAATGAATCTGGGGGAATAGCAAATGCAAAGGTCCTGAGGTGGGCATCCACTTGGACAGTTCACAAAAGAGGCATCTGAGGGGCATTGGGATACACCACCCCAAAATATGCCTCTTCGCATGTGGATTATTTTGAATTAAAGGCCATTAAGAACCAGCAGACCACAGGAAAGGCTCTAAAAACCATTTTCATTTTGTAAAAAAAATTCACATTTATTATAAAGGAAATTTCCACGTCTCCCTCTTCCATGCAAGGAAGAGGATATCTTGTAACAACTCTTATCAGTGGAAGAAAGTACTGACTTAAGTCTGCATAACAAACCTTCCTAAACAACCCTTGTTTACCATACTTTTCCTGGGCACCTTCTGCTGAGGTTTGAATATACCCTCCAAAACTCATGTTGAAATTTAATTGCCATTGTATAAGAGGTAGGACTGTTCAGAGGTGATTAGGCCATGAGGCCTCCACCCTCAAGGATAGATTAATGCCATTGTGGGAGTGGGTTGTTATAAAAATGAGTTTGACCCTCTCTTGTTCTGTCTCTTTCACCCTCTCTTGTACTTCCACCCTCCTTCCATGGGACAATGTAGCATAAAGGCCCTCACCAGATGCCAATGCCATGCTCTTGGACTTCCCAGTCTTCAGAACCATGAGCCAGATAAGCCACTTTTCTTTATAAATTACACAGTCTGTGGCATTCTGTTACAGCAGCACAAATAGACCAAGACACCTTCCCACTACATGCCTCCCCTGCCCAGAAGCTCCAGGCCTTTTCCTTTATGTCAGCCTAAGATGATAGATGAACCCAAGTCCTGACCACACTTTGGGTTATTCATTGCCAGGTACTGCCACATGTAAGTGCAATGCACATGCCAATAAACTTGTTTTTTTCTTGCCTGATTGAATTGTCTTTGGCTGGTGTAATTAGAGGCCCCCTAGCTGGAGACCCTAACATGGGCTGGGGAAAAGATTTTTTTCCTTCTGTAAATAACCAAGAGTTGGATTCAGCTTCATCTTCCATTTTAGCAACAAAACTGCCAGGCTTCAGAACAGGCAAAATGGAAAGAAATTGGGCTATGCTTTTATTTTATATAAAGCTGAAAAGCAGTTTTGCCCTTCTAAGAGAAAGGATTGTTCTGGCAGCCTGGATCAGAGCAGTGATCAGGCCAGAGCATCTGCTAACCTCAGCATCAGGGAATCCCTGTTTTAGACTGTCCTCTACGTCTCTGTCTTCTCCTTTTGGGAGGTAATTTTTAAAAAATCACTAAGAAGGGATGGATGCTGGTTCTGGTTTCGTTACTGTTGTAGGGAGCTATTCTGTGTTGCTGGAGATAATACATTACCTTTAAAGTTCTTTTATCTTTTTGTTTTTGAGACAGGGTTTCATGGTGTTGCCCAGGCTGGAATGCCATGGTGTGATCACGGCTCACTGCAGCCTCGATCTCCCAGGCTCAGGTTATCCTCCCACCCCAGCCTCCCAAGTAGTTGGAACTACAGGTGCATGCCACCACGCCCAGCTAATTTTTGTATTTATTATAGAGATGAGCTTTCTCTATGTTGCCTAGGCTGGTCTTGAACTCATAGGCTCAAGCCATCCACCCAACTCGGTCTCCCTAAAGTGTTGGGATTACAGGCATGAGCCACTGTGCCCAGCCTGAAGTTCTTTAAATAGGTATTTAAGATTCTGTCTGTAGCAAGTCCCCTGTCATCTGCCTCAGAAAAAGAGATGAAAGATGTCTTGTGAATGGAAGAAGATGCTGTGGGACTTAGAAGCGGGGTGTGGAAAACAGACATTTTTGGTCGGCTAGGCTTAAGCTTCTTGAGGACCTGAAGAGTGTCTCATTGATCGCTGGTGAAATGAGTGACTCAGAAGCACCGCCGGCCCTTGAGACCGCAGGTGCGGAGGGAAAATCTCTCTGGGATCCCAGCAACGCCACTGGCAGATCTGTGCTGGTCAATTTCGTGTTTGCAAATGAACACAGACCCAGGCTTTCAGGAAACAGAGATAAATAACAAATGCATTATTTTTGAGAGGCTGGTAATTATAAAGCTCGAGGGAATAAAGAGCCCACCAGCTGGAATGACACTGTGGAACTGATGCCCTCCCTCCACTGGGGTGTGTCAACAGATATTCTTAGTGACATTAATGATTTTAACACACTGACATTAAAGGAAAAAGAATCTATTGAAGGGCTGGGTTGCCCCTCCACACCTGTGGGTATTTCTCGTTAGGTGGAACGAGAGACTTGGAAAAGAAAAAGACACAGAGACAAAGTATAGAGAAAGAAATAAGGGGGCCCAGGGGACCAGCGTTCAGCATATGGAGGATCCTGCCAGCCTCTGAGTTCCCTTAGTATTTATTGATCATTATTGGGTGTTTCTCGGAGAGGGGGATGTGGCAGGGTCACAGGATAATAGTGGAGAGAAGGTCAGCAGATAAACACATGAACAAAGGTCTCTGCATCATAGACAAGGTAAAGAATTAAGTGCTGTGCTTTAGATATGCATACACATAAACATCTCAATGTCTTACAGAGCAGTATTGTTGCCCGCATGTCCCACCTCCAGCCCTAAGGCAGTTTACCCCATCTCAGTAGATGGAACATACAATCGGGTTTTATACCGAGACATTCCATTGCCCAGGGAGGGGCAGGAGACAGATGCCTTCCTCTTGTCTCAACTGCAAAGAAGCATTCCTTCCTCTTTTACTAATCCTCCTCAGCACAGACCCTTTATGGGCGTCGGGCTGGGGGACGGTCAGGTCTTTCCCTTCCCACGAGGCCATATTTCAGACTATCACATGGGGAGAAACTTTGGACAATACCTGACTTTCCTAGGTGGACGTCCCTGCGGCGGCCTTCCGCAGTGTTTGTGTCCCTGGGTACTTGAGATTAGGGAGTGGTGATGACTCTTAATGAGCATGCTGCCTTCAAGCATCTGTTTAACAAAGCACATCTTACACAGCCCTTAATCCATTTAACCCTGAGTTGACACAGCACATGTTTCAGAGAGCATAGGGTTGGGGGTAAGGTTATAGATTAACAGCATCTCAAGGCAGAAGAATTTTTCTTAGTACAGAACAAAATGGAGTCTCCTATGTCTACTTCTTTCTACACAGACACAGTAACAATCTGATCTCTCTTTCTTTTCCCCACAATCTATGAGACCAGAGTGATACTGAGAAGAAATGAAATGGAGATAGGGAAGAAGGAAGCCGCTCCTCTCTACAGGATGCCAAATCAATGCAGGAGGAGATTCTGAGAACTACTGGACAACGGCCACAGGGGAACAGGGGATTCATTCCATCTCAAAGCCTCACCCTACACATTATCTTTATTAGCTATAAAAGGGAAAAGGGATTTGCAATGGAGAGTTATGGCAGACTCCAGCCTCATGAAGTGACACAACTTAGCATTGCCACCCAGGGGACAAACCCACACTATGAGTCTGATTCAGTGCACCAAGAAGGACAAACATCACTTACTCTGCTATAACATAACGCAGTATATTATACACTAACATATGTAGTATATTACATTACATAATAACATAGTACAGGCTTCTAGGACACAGTTTATAGAAGTGCAGATAATACTTGAGGCAGTTTCCCAAACTTGCAAATAAAAACTCTCCACAGGGCTTGTGACTAGCACATTCCCAAAGCCCCAAACCCAGAATTCCACCTGCTTAGTGAGCACCTCCAGAGCACTTTTTTTTTTTTTTTTTTTTGAGACGGAGTTTTGCTCTTGTTGCCCAGGCTGGAGTGCAATGGCAGGATCTCGGCTCACTGCAACCTCCACCTCCCAGGTTCAAGCGATTCTCGTGCCTCAGCCTCCTGAGCAGCTGGGATTACAGGCACCCACCTAATTTTTGTATTTTTAGTAGAGATGGAGTTTCACCATGTTGGTCAGGCTGGTCTTGAACTCCCAACCTCAGGTGATCCACCCACCTTGGCCTCCCAAAGTGCTAGGATTACAGGCACGAGCCACTGCGCTCGGCCATCTCTAGGGCATATTTTTACTGTGCAATGTGGGAATCTCTGCCATAGGGTGGGCTGCCTTTCTAACCCAGTGGCCCGGTTCTAGCAGGACTTCCCCAGTATGTGGATGGGGGCACAGGGACTCTTGGGGGGGCCTCAAGGCATCTGTGAGCTAGGCCTAACCACCGCTACTGAATGACTGCGAGATGAGTCCCAGAGCTGGGACGAGAGTGGGCCTGGTACCCTGCCCCAGCCCTCCCCTGACAGGAGTTAGTAAGGGACAGGTTAGCATGCTAAAGAGATAGCAAGCTGGTCACAGCCTAGGGCCACCACCCTTCTGTCTTACAAGTCAGAAACATGTCCTGACTTTGGGGGAGAGGGTATATGTTAAACGGGCCCACCCTGGGAGCTGTAGTGGTCACTGTGGAGCTGAGCACTGGGCTGCACTCCTCGCTGCCCCAGAGTGACCAGGTGGGTGGTTTCATCCAAGAGGCAGGGCTCAGAAGGCCAGGCTGAGCCACCGATATGCATGTCTGCACCCCACCACTTCCTGCTCAGTCTGTATCAGGCCCGGGATGAAATCGTCACTTAGACGCTCAGGGGTCCTCCCACCCATCTGGCCAACACAAACCTGCCAGCATAGCACTGAGTGGAAGGTTCCAGTGCACCCACAGGCCTGGCTGTTAAAATGTCCGGCCTCTCCAGAGGACAGGTTAAGTTCACACTGAGAAAGCCTGGCTCTCTCCAGCTAGCCTGAATTAAAGTGAGAAGGATGAGCACAGCACCTGTGGAAATGGCGCTGGAAAGCAAGTGTACCTAGGAACTGCCTCTGGGCCACCGAAGTGCGCCGGCCCAGTGTTCTCAGACAACCCAGGAGGAGTCCTCCATCTGGCCACTTCCCACCCGTTAGGCCCCGAGGGGACACCAGGTTGGTGAGACCCGGACCCCACCAGCAAAGGACCCTTCCTTCATTCATCACACACTGGCTCCATCTGCACTGCACCTACTGCCAGCCAGGCACTGAGCTTCACATCCGCACAAAACACAAAGACCTCTGATACGGTTTGGGTCTGTGTTCCCACCTAAACCTCGTGGTGAATTGTGATTATGTTGAGTTGTTTTGGAGGTAGGGCCTGGTGAGAAGTGACTCGATGATGGGGTGGATTTCTCATGAATGGTTTAGCACCATCTCCTTGATGCTGTTCTTAAGATAGTGAGTTTTCACGAAATCTGGTTGTTTAAAAGTGTGCGCCCCACCCCTTGCTTCTGCTCTGGCCATGTGATCTGCCTGCCTTCCCCTTCGCCTTCCACCATGATTGTAAGATTCCTGAGGCCTCCCCAGAGGCTGAGCAGATATCGGTACTACGCTTGCTATACAGCCTGCAGAACTATGAGCCAATTAAACCTCTTTTCTTTATAAATTACCCAGTCTCAAGTATTTAGAGCAATGCAAAAATGGACTACTACAACCTCACGGTTCTGGAGGCTGAAAAGTCTAAGGATGGAGTGTCCTTCTCAGTGTGCAGTCAAGATGCCGGCAGGTTTGGGGCCTGGTGAGGCTCTTTGCTTCTTCCATGGTGTCTTTTGCACGGTGCGTCCTCCGGAGGGGAGGAAGGCTGCATGCTTACATGGCAGAAGGTGAAAAGCCAAGAGAGAACCCACTCCCAAAGCCCTCTCAGTAAGGCATTAAACCCACCATAAGGGTGCAGCTCTCATGGCTTAATCGCCTCTTAAAGGCGCCACCTCCCAATACCATTACACCAGCAATCGAAATTCAACACGAGTTCTGGAGGGGAAGGCATTCAAACCCTTGCCCCTTCTCTGAACCGGTGGGACTTGCCCAGCATGCCAGACTGCCTGGGCTCTGACTCCTTCCTCAGCCTGTGTCACTACGGCCCACAGTTGCATCAAAGCATGCTGCTCTCCATCTCCAGACTCCCAGCCTGGCATTTCCAATATTCTCCCCTTTCACAGCCCCTCAAATCCAAATCCTACAGCAAATGCCGGAGATTCTATTTCAGTCCTTTCTTGTCAGGACTGACAGTGTCAGCTGGAGCCCCTGTCCTTTGGGACACCTGTGAAATGGTCCTGAACACCTCAAGTTGGACCCCCTCAATATCAGTTTGGGGGTGTCCCTGATGTCACCCACTAACCCTAATGTGCTTCTCAGCGCCTTCAGTTTCCACATCAACACAACTCCTTATAGGTTAGTACAATCCCTTTGAAAAACTGGCAGTGTTCACTGAACAAATGCCTCCCTATGACCCAGCAATTCTACTCCAAAGAAAACACCCAACAGAAATGAATACTTATGCTCACCCCAAGGCAAGTACAAGAACGTTCAGAACAGCCCTATTCAGAACAGTCCCAAACTGGAAATGATGCAAACGTCTGTCATCACTGGAATGGATAAATACACTGTGGCATATTCACACCAACACAAGGATGAGTCACCTACGACTTCGCTCTCCCACATGGATGAGTAATGCTGTGTGAGGGACCAGCCCAAAAGAGCACATCCTGTTCCCCAAAGCCCTCAGGCGTCAGACCTCTACCCTGTTAGGAAGGACAGTGGCTGAACCTCCCGCTGCATGCAACTGGAGGGGCTGTGAGGAGTGGGGTCTGGAGAAGCTCTTCATTGCAGTCTGGTGTATGCAAGTGTGACAGTGTACTATGGGCACACTTGGCAACCACCACCTGTGGGCAGCATCTGTGGGTGTGACAGACCTCCCTGGACCTGGGCCATGGGCCTGCGGGGTCCCACATCCCACGGTCATGGGCCGTCCACCATCTTCCTCCCTACCTTATCTAATGCCTCCTGGCCCTCCCCACACCCAACAGGGCTCTAGGTCCTTCGTTAAGGCCAGTGGTACCAGCGACACCCAGGCCTTCTCCACAAGCTACAAGGAATCTGCCCAGCAGCCAGTCTTCCCAGGAGGAGGCCGGGGGCCACCGGCTCAGGACTTGCCTTGCATTTTTTTTTTTTTTGGCATGATCTAGGCTCATTGCGACCTCCACCTCCCAGGTTCAAGCGGTTCTCCTGCCTCAGCTTCCTGAGTAGCTGGAATTGCAGGCACCCACCACTGCACCTGGCTAATTTTTTGTATTTTTAGTAGAGACGGGGTTTCATCATGTTGGCCAGGCTGGTCTCAAACTCCTGACCTCAGGTGATCCACCCACCTCAGCCTCCCAAAGTGCAGGGATTACAGGCATGAGCCACCGCGCCCAGCCATTGTGTTTTGTTCCTTGTGGGGATGCACATCCCTCTTCCAACCTGTGGCTACTGCTCTTGGGGTCCTGTTGCTGGGGGCCCTGCAGTAGACTCCACACAGGTCCTCCTGCCTCCTGGGCCCTCCTCAGAGCCTCCACAGGCTGCAGACTCCACTCCCCAGATGGAGGTCTGAGCCCGGCACCCTTCCTGCAAACCACTACCTCACAAAAAAGACAAGAATCCTACACCCCCAACCCAGACCCCTTCCTGGCAGGTCCTCAGGCTGGGCATGGGCAGAGCAAAGACAGACTTGAGGAGGTAACCAGGGTGAAGGCAAACACTGGGCCAAAACCAGTGGGCATCCTGATGTGTGGATTCCAAAGGGACCAGGCGAGCAGGGAGCAGTACTGATGTCAGGGAGGCCGGAGGGAGACAGAGGAAGCCCGTAATCAGGGAGCTTGGGAGCTGCCTGCTGGGCAGGGAGGAGCTGTGGACACCAATCGGGCACTCTCAAGCCCTTCCCAGCCTGGCTGTCTCCCTCCTCTGGCCCTTCGGTGTTTCCCTTGGGAGTGGTGTGGGTCCCTACCTGGACTCATCCTGAGGAAGCTGCCTCCTGGAGCAGGCAGGATGCTGGAGCTCCGTGTGGCCGGCCCTGGTTCTCTGCGAAGCCGCTCCTGAGAGCCTGCCTAGTGCAGAAGTGCCCCGAGCTGGCTGCTCTTCCTGCCTAAAACGGGGCACTGAGCACAGGAGCCTCTGGATCTGATCCCCTGCCTGTTTTTGTACGGCTCTCAAGCTAGGAATACCTTTTACATTTTTAAATGATTGAAAAAAAAATCCAAGTAATCATGGTGTTAAAATGATATGAAATTTGAATTTCAGTGTCCATAAATCAAGTTGGGACACAGCTTCTCTCATTCATTTACAGTTGTCTAAGTTTCTGTCACTCTTCGGCAGCAGAGGTGAGCAGCCAAAACAGAGACTGCATGGCCTGCAAAGCCTGAAATATTTACCGGCTGCTCTTTACAGAAAGAGTTGGCCGTTCACTACCCTGGAGTGTGGACCTCTGGGCGAGGAACCTGTATCCGTAGCGCTGCCTTGCACGTCCAGGCTCACAGGTGAGTCCTCAGGAAGGAGTCCCGTTGGTTCTCTATGCAGCATGCCAGGCAACAGGGTGCTTGGGAGGGGAGGCAGGCTGGCCTGGGCAGGAGGATTCTTGGAGGCTCCTTTAAAATTCACTGCCTCACTCAGGGTGATGCACATTAAAACTCCATGGAGCCAGGTGTGGTGGCATGCACCTGTAGTTCCAGCTACTCCGAAGCTGAGGTGGGAGAATCACTTGAGCTCAGGAGTTTGAGTCCAGCCTGGGCAACTTAGTGAGACCCTATCTGTTCAAAAAATGACAACAGCATAATAGGACAGCAGTACTCCCCCCAGAACAGTTAATATTAAAATTACGGACAGTACCAAGTGCTAGCATGGATGTGGAGCAACTGGAATCCTCACACACTGCTAATGGGAGAGTAAAATGTTACAGCCATGTTGGTAGGTTTTTTTTTTTTGGAGACGGAGTTTCGCTCTGTCGCCCAGGCTGGAGTGCAGTGGCACCATCTCAGCTCACTGCAAGCTCTGCTTACCAGGTTCACACCATTCTCCTGCCTCAGCCTCCCGAGCAGCTCGGACTACAGGCGCCCGCCACCACGCCCAGCTAATTTTTTTGTATTTTTAGTAGAGACGTGGTTTCACTGTGTTAGCCAGGATGGTCTCGATATGCTGACCTCGTGATCCGCCCACCTCAGCCTCCCAAAGTGCTGGGATTACAGGCGTGAGGCACCGCGCCCGGCCATTAGTAGGTTCTTATAACCGGTTATAACTGGTTGGTAGGTTCTTATAAAGTTAAACATTCACATGACATATGACCCAGCCATTCTGCCTTTAGATATTCATCCAAAAGAAATAAAAATATATGCCTATAAAAGCCTTGCACAAGAATGGACACAGAAGACTTATTCATTAAAGCTCCAAAGAGGAAACGGCCCAGGGGAATATCAACAGGCAAATGAAGAAACAAAGTGTGGTATGTTGAAATAATTGATTACTATTCAACAATGAAAAGGAATGAGCTGCATGCATCCACCTGCATGAATCTCACAAACATCATGCTTAGCTGAAGACCAGACACACAAGAGCAGACACTGGATGATGCCATTTACATAATGTTCCAGAACGGGTGACAGTAATACGTCATGACGGACATCAGATAGGGGCTGCTAGAGTCCAGGGGCAGGGTACTCTCAGAGTTTTCTGGGGTAATAGCAATGTTCTCTATTTTGATGGGGGTGTGAGCCACATGGGTGCATGCATTTGCCAAAATGATTTGAACTGTACACCTAAGATCTGTGTGTCCTATTATGTGAGGAAAAGAGAGATCAGATTGTTACTGTGTCTGTGTAGAAAGAAGTAGACATAGGAGACTCCATTTTGTTCTGTACTAAGAAAAATTCTTCTGCCTTGAGATTCTGTTAATCTGTAACCTTACCCCCAACTCTGTGCTCCTTGAAACATGTGCTGTGTCAACTCAGGGTTAAATGGATTAAGGGCTGTGCAAGATGTGCTTTGTTAAACAGATGCTTGAAGGCAGCATGCTCCTTAAGAGTCATCACCACTCCCTAATCTCAAGTATCCAGGGACACAAAACACTGGGGAAGGCCGCAGGGACCTCTGCCTAGGAAAGCCAGGTATTGTCCAAGGTTTCTCCCCATGTGATAGCCTGAGATATGGCCTCATGGGAAGGGAAAGACCTGACCATCCCCCAGCCCGACACCCATAAAGGGTCTGTGCTGAGGAGGATTAGTAAAAGAGGAAAGAACGCCTCTTTGCAGTTGAGACAAGAGGAAGGCATCTGTCTCCTGCTCGTCCCTGGGCAATGGAATGTCTTGGTGTAAAACCCGATTGTATAGTCCATCTACTGAGATAGGGGAAAACCGCCTTAGGGCTGGAGGTGGGACATGAGGGCAGCAATACTGCTTTTTAAGGCATTGAGATGTTTATGTGTATGTATATCTAAAGCACAGCACTTAATTCTTTACCTTGTTCATGATGCAGAGACCATTGTTCACGTGTTTACCTGCTGACCTTCTCTCCACTATTATCCTATGACCCTGCCACATCCCCCTCTCCGAGAAACACCCAAGAATGATCAATAAATACTAAGGGAACTCAGAGGCTGGTGGGATCTTCCGTATGCTGAACGCTGGTCCCCTGGGCCCCCTTTTTTCTTTCTCTCTACTTTGTCTCTGTGTCTCTTTCTTTTCCAAGTCTCTTGTTCCACCTAATGAGAAACACCCACAGGTGTGGAGGGGCAACCCACCCCTTCACTATTATATGAAAATGATACCTCAATAATAAAATATTCTTAGAAAAACATTCACTAGGTCAAGGTAAAACCCAGAGAGAGCTAGTGACTCAAGACCCCATCAGGCAGGGGATGTGGCCACTCTGGGCCTCACAGCAGCAGGAGGAATTCCAGTGGAGGCTTTAAGCCCAGTGTGATTTGTCCAAGGGGAAGTAAAGCAAGGCTCCTGGCAAAAGCCTGTTTGCTCTGCCCAACCATTTCACCTCGGCTGTTTGGCTTGGGTGGAGTCCAGGCCAGGCACACCCACTGAGAAAACAGGAGGATCGCTGGCTGCACTAGGAAATGCCGGGGTGGGGGTGTGGAGGAGGACCAATATCCCCAGTGTGAGGATTTCAATTCCTCTCCTTTTTAGAGGCAACCTCCCGTCACTCAACAGGTGGCTGAGGGACCCCCGCACCAGGGCAGCACCTGCTGGACTTGGGTTCACCAGCGAACGAGCAGGTCTGATGCTCCTCTCAGGGTCTAAGGTGAGGCAAGGACAACACTGAAGTCTAAGGTTTGAAAAGACAAGAGAAGGTCATCTGCTCTCAGACTAGAATGAGCTTTACCTCAGCGGAACTTTCTGGAGGAAACCTATTGTTTTCAGACTGTTGCCTTCTAGAGTTCGAGTCTTCATTTTTCAAACTGCTTTACTGAGATGTAATTTTTATACCAGAAAGCTGCCTGTTTAAGTGCACAAGTCCATGGTTTACAGTATATTTATGGAGTTGTGTGAGCAGCACCATAATCTAAGTGTTAAACTTTTTCAAAAGCCCTGCGCACCAGTCAGTCAGTTACTCTTCCTTCTCCCAACCCCAGCTCCTGGCAACCACCAATCTGTCTCTGTGGACGGGCCATTTCACATAAATGGAATCATAGACTACAGAGTCCTTTGTGTCTAGCTTTTTTCACCTTAGCATAATGTTTCCAAGGTTCACCATGTTGCAGCATGGGTCAGAAATTCAATTCTTTTTTTCTGAGTCTCGCTCTGTCGCCCAGGCTGGAGTGTGGTGGCGCAATCTCGGCTCACCACTACCTCCGCCTACTGGGTTCAAGCGATTCTCCTGCCTCAGCCTCCCAAGTAGCTGGGACTACAGGCGTGTGCCACCACGCCCAGCTAATTTTTTTTTTTTTTTTTTTTTTATGACGGAGTCTCGCCCTGTTGTCTAGGCTGGAGTGCAATGGCGCAATCTCAGCTCACTGCAACATCTGCATCCCGGGTTCAAGTGATTCTGCTGACTCAGTTTCCCGAGTAGCTAGGATTACAGGTGCTCACCACCATACCCAGCTAATTTTATTTTTGTATTTTTAGTAGAGACGTGGTTTCACCATGTTGGCCAGGCTGGTCTTGAACTCCTGACCTTGTGATCCACCCACCTCAGCCTCCCAAAGTGCTGGGATTACAGGTGTGAGCCATGGCACCTGGCTAGAAATTCAGTTCTTTTTAAGGCTGAATACTATGCCAATGTCTGGAGAGTCAGTAAAAAAAGTCCTCTGAAATCTCTTAATTTATAGAAAGCTGAAAACCCTAGTTTATATTATACAGGAACTCTCACACACTGCTAATGGGAGTGTAAAATGTTACAGGCGTGTTGGAAAATGGTTTGGTAGGTTTTTTTTTTTTTTTTTGAGATGGAGTCTCACTCTGTTGCCAGGATGGAGTGCAGTGGCACAATCTTGGCTCACTGCAACCTCCGCCTCCCGGGTTCAAGCGATTATCCTGCCTCAGCCTCCTGAGTAGCTGGGGCTACAGGCACACGTCACCACACCCAGCCAATTTTTGTATTTTTAGTAGAGACAGGGTTTCACCATGTTGGCCAGGATGGTCTTGATCTCTTTACCTCGTTTTCATGCGCGTCCCTGTGAAGAGATCACCAAACAGGCTTTGTGTGAGCAACATGGCTGTTTATTTCACCTGGGTGCAGGCGGGCTGAGCCCGAAAAGAGAGTCAGCAAAGGGTGGTGGATTATCATTAGTTCTTATAGGTTTTGGGATAGGCGGTGAAGTTAAGAGCAATGTTTTGCGGGCTGGGGTGGATCTCACAAAGTACATTCTCAAGGGTTGGGAGAATTACAAAGAACCTTCTTAAGGGTGGGGGAAATTATAAAGAATCTTCTTAAGGGTGGTGGAGATTACAAAGTACATTGATCAGTGAGGGTGGGGCAGAAACAAATCACAATGGTGGAATGTCATCAGTTAAGGCTATTTTTACTTCTTTTGTGGATCTTCAGTTACTTCAGGCCATCTGGATGTATACGTGCAAGTCACAGGGGATGCGATGGCTTGGCTTGGGCTCAGAGGCCTGACACTCGTGATCTGCCTGCCTCGGCCTCCCAAAGTGCTGGGATTACAGGCGCGAGCCACCGCGCCGAGCCCAGTAGGTTCTTATAAAGTTAAACATTCACATGCCATATGACCCAGCCATTCTGCCTTTAGATATTCATCCAAATGAAATAAAAACCTATGCCTATAAAAAGACTTGCACAAGAATGTTCACAGAAGCCTTATTCATAAAGCTCCAAACAGGAAACAGCCCAGGTGACTATCAACAGGAAAACTCTCCCTGTTTTTTTGTTTTTTTGAGAGTCTTGCTTTGCCCCCTAGGTTGGAGTGCAGCAGCACAATCTTGGCTTACTGCAACCTCCGCCTCCCAGGTTCAAGTGATTCTTGTGCCTCAGCCTCTCAAGTAGCTGGGATTACAGGCATGGGCCATCATGCCTGGCTAATTTTTATATTTTTAATGGAGACATGGTTTCACTATGTTGGCCAGGTTGGTCTTGAACTCCTGACCTTGTGATCTGCCTGCCTTGGCCTCCTAAAGTGCTGGGATTACAAGCATGAGCCACTGCATCCAGACTCTCCTTGTTGCCTTATTTATTTGAGACGCAGTCTCGCTCTGTCGCCCAGGCTGGAGTGCAGTGGCTTGATCTCGGCTCACTGCAACCTCCGCCTCCTGGGTTCAAGCCATTCTCCTGCCTCAGCCTCCCAGGTAGCTGGGACTACAGGCGCCTGCCACCATGCCTGGCTAATATTTGTATTTTTAGTAGAGATGGGGTTTCACCATATTGGCCAGGCTGGTCTCGAACTCCTGACCTTGTGATCTGCCAACCTCAGCCTTCCAAAGTGCTGGGATTATAGTTGTGAGCCACCGCACCTGGCCTGCCTGTTGCTTTAAGGTAAGTCCTTGCAGGCCTCTGAGCTTGGGCATTTTAATTTACAAAACCATGCGATCCCTGGCTGTCCTCCCTGGTAGGTCTGCAGGAACTACAGCTCTGTGCCAGCTGAGCACTCGACCCTCTCGGAAGCCGTATTTAGAGCCATCCTACCACCCTGTGCTGTGCCATAAAACTTGGCTGTGGGCTCTTCTGACCTCTAGAGAGGCTTCTTGAAACAGGAGGCCTTATAGGGGGATGTCTGCTTCTGAACTATGTAAATCATGTGGCAGGTACTAAGATTCACAAGGCTGCACTTAAGCTCTTAAACGGAAACCTTTATCCACTGAATCAATAACAGGAAAATAATCAGAGGCTGTCAAAATGATAAAGCAGCAGTGAGGCCTAGAGGGAATTATTATTTCTCTCAACTGTGTAACTATTTTTGTAAGCATTACAAGCACACTGTTATGGAGATGGCTGATTCTTCAGTGGAGAGACCTGCCTTTGATAATGAGCACACGGCCTGATGTGATCAGTAAACATTCCTCTGGAAACACTTGCCACTTTGGGAGGTAAGGCAGCCCACTGTTTGGGTGTAGGAAGCCTGCAGAACCGCATCTGAGTGGGTCCAGGTAAGTCCCCAAGCTCCTGCAGGCCTGCTTCTCTCTCGGCGGCAGGGCGGAGATGCACGGTACCTACTTTGAGGCTGAGGATTCAATCTCTGACCACACAACGCACAGTCCAGTCCGCATCATGCCTGACACACAGCAAGCACTCCATAAACACGACTACCGTTATTCATTTACAATTAAGGAAGAAAGAGGTAAGTATGCTTACCTGACCATGATTTTCAAAATCATTTTCAAGCCGAATCCAAGAATCTGATGAGTGTGAAGACACTGGAAGAACCTGATCACGCAGGCTCCTTTCTCAAGCACCCCGATGCCCGCAGGTGAAGGGGCACATGCCAAGGACAAGCCCGCCTCAGCCCTGGACATCGTTCATCGCGCGAGTGAGCAATGCTTGAGTGAGAAACCTGACAGCGGTGTCCCCATAACTTCCACCGCCTCTGGAGCCACCCGGCAAAAGCCAGCGTCTGACAATCCTTCAGTAATAGTGAAGACACCTGTTATATTGCTGTCCAGCCAAAAGCTCCTTGTTGCAGGATGAACAGCCCCAGTTGTTTCAAACATGCCCCACATCTCATGGCCTCCACACAGGTCGTATTAAACACCTCTAACAGAGACTGCACGCCAAGTGTGGCTCCTCAAAGACCTTGCCTGGGGACTCTGCCACTGATGGCTGCGACCTGCACACTCCTGAGAGCTCCTTCCTGGAACTGCCTCATTTCTCTCATCATCCTTGATTTTTTGAGATGGAGTCTCAGTCTTGCTCTGTCACCCAGGCTGGAGTGCAGTGGTGCGATCTCTGCTCACTGCAACCTTCACCTCCCGGGTTCAAGTGATTCTCCTGCCTCAGCCTCTGGAGTAGCTGGGACTACAGGCATGCACCACCAGGCCCAGCTAATTTTTTGTATTTTTAGTAGAGACGAGGTTTCACCATGTTGGTAGGGCTGGTCTCGAACTCCTGACCTCGTGATCCACCCGCCTCAGCCTCCCAAAGTGCTGGGATTACAGGCATGAGCCACCACACCCGGCCATCATCCTTGATTTTATCCAAAAATGGTATTACCCTAGTCTGAATATCACATTTACCTTTTTTTTTTTTAATGAGATGGAGTCTCACTGTTGCCCAGGCTGGAGTGCAGTGGCGCGATCTCGGCTCACTGCAACCTCTGCCTCCTGGGTTCAAGCAACTCTCGTACCTCAGCCTCCCTAGTAGCTGGGATTATAGAAGCCTACCACTATGCCCGGCTTTTTTTTTCTTTCTTTTTTTGGTATGTTTATTAGAGACGGGGTTTCGCCATGTTGGCCAGGGTGGTCTCGTACTCCTGACCTCAAGTGATCCACTTGCCTCGGTCTCCAAAGTGTTGGGATTACAGGCGTGAGCCACCATGCCTGGCCACATTTGCCTTCTGATGACTCTGAAATGGTTCTAAAAATAAAATTCACCCTGCAACAATGATTTGTTGTGCCTGAACGTATTTAAAAATGTTAAGGTAGGGCATGGTGGCTCATACCTGTAATCCTAGCACTTTGGGAGGCCCAGATGGGCAGATCACCTGGTCAGGAGTTCAAAACCAGCCTGGCCAAGATGGCAAAACCCCATCTCTACTAAAGATACAAAAATCAGCCGGGCACAGTAGCGGGTGCCTGTAATCCCAGCTACTCAGGAGGATGATGCAGGACAACTGCTTGAACCTGGGAGGTGGAGGCTGCAGTGAGCCCAGATTGCACCACTGCACTCCAGCCTGGGTGACAAAGGGAGATTCTATCTCAAAAATAAATAAATAAAGTAATTAATTAATTAAAAAACAAGGCCAGGCACGTTTAGTTTCTTAACAAAAGTTAAGAAACTAAAATATAAAAATACCTTTTGGTTAACTTTTAAAACTATCTCTGTGGAGAAGCCTTCCTAATTATGACATGAAACCTAGAAGTCACAAAAAGATAAATTTTTGGACACGTTCTATCATAATGGGATAATTTCCTTAATAAATAAAGATCTACAATTAACAAAAAAATGATGACAATCTTATAGAAAATCGGCAAGGGATATGAACAGATGTTTCACGGAAATACAACTTAGATATACCCGATGAATTAGATCCATGCATATTAAAACTACCAGTTATCATTTTTTTAAATCTGCCAGAATGGCAAAGATTAAACTGGCTGTAGCTGTTAGGACATGGGGGAGGCCAGCACCGATGCTTGTCCAGTAGGATTGAAGGCAACGTGGCAACGTCTGCTTATGCCCTGAAACTCACTGCCCTGGGATCCTGCCATCCAAACACGGGGACTGCAGGACTGAGGCAGCTCAGTGGGCAGCAATGGGTGCTAAGTGATGTGGGGTACGCGGGCTGGGGTGGCATGTGGGGCGTGTGAGACCTGTCTGAGCTTGTCAATGCACACATCCTGAGGGAACAGAATTTTCAAGCAACCCTAGTTTGCTTCTTTTACGATGTGCACGTGTAGCTATTTTTGACAAATGAGAGCCTACTTCATTATCACAAAAGACACTCAGAGAGAAATGACTTGCATACTTTGCCGGGCCCAGAAATATTCCATGACTTATTTGGTGCACTTTTGGAAAACTTCCAGTTGTTTGCCTTTTTCAGGCATGAGGTCACCGACCTTCTTTAAATGGACCAAATTGATTTTGGCTTTACCTTCATGCGTCTGATTCTCAGCCTCCGGAGTTCTTTAAATATTTAAGCTGGTGGATATTATGGAAGTAAAGGCGCTGGTGGGGACCCAGCCCAGGCGGGAGGGAGGAAACTGTTCCTCTTTTTGTCTTTTGTCCTTTCCTGCTCTGTGCAGGCCTCCACCACGTGGCTCCATCAGCATTCGCTGCAGCCCTGGGAGGCCCTAGGGCCAGATCCTGTCCTCCTGTGACAGTTGGTTGGGGGGGGCTTCAGGCACAAGCACTCGGGATGTGGGCTGGTCTGCAGTTTCCCTGGCATGCGACACCTTTGGGACGCTTCCAGACCAAAACCAGATCCTTGCTGAACAGAATGACATGGGGACTTGCAGCTCACTCGAGGTTATGTGCCCAGGCCTCACCTGGCCGTGCTGTGGGCTGCTGGCCTGGCACAGGAGGAGCTGTGCTCAACAGACGCTGGGAGGGCCGGGGCCACCAGCCAGACCCTTCACCAGCCCCAGCCCCCAGGGGCCCTCCACTGCTGTGTCCTCGAGAGGGATGTCGACAGGACTGGAAATACGCCACCCCCTTTGGCAGCTTTTCTAAGGTTTAGTAAACAGGGATCTCAGGTGCCAGGTGGGCAAATGCTACTGTCGCTCAACGAGAGGAATCCCAGAGAAGGAGAAGCCCCTGTCAACCTTTTATTGGGAGTGGAACACATGAGGTTCAGCTCGTGCCGGGCACTGTACATTCACTGAAGCAGCTCAAGGGGCTCAGCCCCGACACTGACGCCACACTGAGCAGGATGCACGGCCCGGGGCTCACACTGTCCATGGAGGAGGTGGGGTCAGCCCGAGGTGGGCGGATGGTGGCCCGAGACACCGAGAGCTTGGTTCTGGGACTGTGGCTCAGCTGACCCGTGGCACAGCTGCACCTAAGACATGGCCCTGGCTAGGCGGGAACAGCTCACAGTAGCGATACATTCACAGGACACAGTTGGTGTCCAGAAAAGGGGGCTCAGAACACAGTTTCTACACAAGCACTTGGCACCCACACGACAGAGACGTCACTCAAGCAGCACAGCCACAAATAGTTTACAGCAGCTCATGCCCGGCATCCGCCCATGCTGGGAGACTCCCTGAAAGGTGGGCACCTGCCGTCTATGAGGAGGTGTCTCCCTCCATCATTAACCCCAAACCACACAATGTGTGAGGAGAGCAGGCCTCTGGGTGAACTCACACATTCATACCCAAGGAAGAGGCAAACACACTCAAGTCCAGAGTTCCCAGTGGTGCCGCCCAGACCTACTGTCCCGGGGGTGTTATGGCTGTCCCTCGGCTTCCCCAGAGCAGCCAGGACAGCCTGCACCGCCTCCCAGACTCTTGCAGGAAGGGGAGCTCTGCCCTGGGGAGGAAACTGACAGGCTGGGAGACAAGACTCCCATCGCAGGGACATGCACAGCAGCAGCCACAGCCCCGCGGACGGGGCATGGGGATGGGACAGGCAGGGAGCCACACTGCCCCCTCAGTGTGTGCCTGTGGTTCTGTCCTGGTCCTGCCCACTTGGAGCCCAGGCAGACAGGTGGCATTGAGCAGGGCCCAGGTCCAGACAGCCCTCTGGCCAGATGTGACTGGAAGAGGCTGATGCCAGGGCAGCACCAGGCCTTCTGCAAGTCCCAGAGCCAGTGTGCAGAAAGTGCCAGCACGGCCTGTGCTGTGGCTCCTCAGGATGAAGTCACGTCCAGGACAGGAGGGTTTATGCAGACACACAGACACTGCTGACGGGGACAGGGATGGCTCGGCCACTATGAGGCTGGACTCTTCTGTCTGTTCAGGGAGTCGATGTAATGAAAAATGGCCCCCAGAGCCCAGCTGGTCTCAACATTGTCAATTTTCCGAGTGAGCTTGAAAAGACAGAGAGGGAGAGGGGACCATCACACAGACAGGAAAGCCTTGTGCATCAGGAGGCTGTGGCTCCTTGGAAGCCAGGGATGGGCTGGGGGACATGACCCCAGCAACTGGAGAAGTGGTTCTAGGCCCCTCACTCCATAAAGGGGCTGGGGCGTGACCTGAGGGCACCCTTACCTTCAGCACTTTGCTCCTGGGAAAGCCGAACTCCTGGAGTAGCAGGCTGACGTAGGTGAGGTCCATGCATGAGAAGGGGCTGCTCTGCGGCTGTGTCTCCAGGGTCCGACACACTGGGGATGAGACACGTCCCTTCACGCTCCAGGTGACTCCCACCTGGGGGCGGAGGGGCAAGTGCAGACCCCAATTCCACCCACTACAGGCACCCGCTGGCTCCGCACTCCGGATTCACAGACAAGGCCGCAGCTGAGCGCAGAAGGCACCCAGTGCACAGCACAGGCAGGTGGGCGGCAACCCCGGCTGCCACTGGGTCTGGGCTCCAAGGGGATTTGCACGCCTGGTGTTAGGGTCATGGGCCAATGTCTCCCAAGCCACATTTCTACATCTAAGACCCTGGACACCTCTCCCAGGTGTCAAGCTGCATAAAACCTAAGCTTTCTGGGGAAAGAAAACACCAAAGCCAGCTCAGAACAATCCACTCCTGCTCTTGAGGAAGGACAAATCCACCAAGAGCTGTCCTGGGATTCTGCTCAAAGCCTTTTCCTGCTGTAGTTGTGGATACCCAGTGTCCATGGGCACAAATGGGAAAATGACACAAAAGCTTTAAAAAAGCCACTTTTGGGGGAGGGGAAGGGTAGTACTTTTTCTGGAAAGATGTACAAATTTGAGCTCTTTGGACCCACACATTGGGAAGGGCAACCAAGAGCAGGACATGTTCACCAAGGCTTGGCTGCTGGGCCAGGCGTGAAGGAGACAGTGGAGAGGCATAGTGTGTGGCACAGGGTCTGCTGGGCTGGTCACCTGCGACCCCGGGGACAGCCCTCCACCCCACATCCCAGGCTCCATTCTGTAGGGCCTTGGCTTCTTAAGGGTTGTGTGACAATCATGAACTTACTGGGACATCCCAGGGGAAATCACTCTTGGGGTTACCCTAGTAGCAGTAAAATGGCATCTGAGGAAGTGGAATCGAGGGACCCAGTTCCTCACGACCCCATGAGGGTGGGACAAGGACGGTGGTCCTTTCTCAGCTGGGGCCGAGGCCCCTGCCTGTGGCCATTGTTTAGGAGGGGCTACACCCAGGAGAGTCAGGGCCAGCGCCTGCGTCACGAGCATCACGGGGCGCCTGCCCCTGCTGAGATGGCCCCTGCAGCATCACTCACCGTACTTGGCTGCGATCTCGAAGTCCCCCACCACCAGGCTGCCTCCCTTCTCCGCATCTGTGGGAGACACAACACCCAGTCTGCAGGAGCACTGTGAGGTTGGCGATGCCACTGAGACGTGAGGCTGGCACGGGGAACGCCAGCCCAAGAGCCCCAAGGCACTGACTGGCTTCTGAGGCAGGCCCTCCAGCTGTAGGCGGCACTCACGTGCTCTGAGGACGGCTTCTGGGTGATGTGGTGTGGGGTGGGTTTGGGGGCTGAGAGGGTCACCCCACAACCCAACCCTGCAGTGTCCCCCGAGAAAGCTCACCAGGAACCCAGGACCCCAAATTGAGTAAAATTTTAAGTTAAGAAAAATAAAAGTAGAGAAATTGAAATGTTTCCTGAAGCCATAGAACTGAGCTCAGCAACAGTATTCTGGTATCAGTTTCCTAAATGTAAAAAAAAAAAAAAAAAAGTTCTTGAAAAATACACTGAGGGGTGGTTTATTGGTGGCCTTCCACCTTGACCACCCACCTTCCACCCAGGCCCAGTCAGTGGTAGCTTTGTCAGCACAGAGACCCGCCGGAGGCTGCAGGGCCCAGAGAGCCGGCACCGTGTCAGCTTATTTAAAACAGTAGTGTTCTTATCCGTACCACAGGCCATACATTCTGATGATCTCACCATGATAGTGACTCTGCAACCCCCTCCAGAGTTCCCACACAGCCTGACCACCACTAGCCTCAGCAAACTCTGAATACCTTTTTCCGCCCTAATCTGGCTTCCTGGGCTGTGCAGGGTGAGTCAGAGAGACTCCACATTCAGTGAGCTGATCCCTCCCATGGGTACAGGGCAGCCACCTGCAGGTCACAGGAGGCCTCCTGTAGCCAGGGCTGCAGGGTAGGGCAGAGTGGCTGAGTCTGAGACAACGTGGGCCAGTGCAAGGCAGGACCTGCCTTCCAGCAGGAACTGGAATCAACAGCAAGTCACCAGCCACGAGGTTTTACTGAAGGGCTCAAAGAACTGATCTTTTCCTACTCAGGATGAGACGCCTTCTCAAATCTGCTTCTGGCCTCCTGCAGGGATGTGACAACAGGGTTGCTTGCCTGCCACCAGCCCTCTGCCTCGGGGAGCACACGCCCTCCACCCCCGCCCCCTGCCGCCCCGACCTTCCTGCTCAGCCCATCCGGGCCCCCTTACCTATGAGGCCCACACCAGCTGCAAGGTCGTAATAGTAGGAGAAAGCATAGAAGTCCACATGCTTCACTTCCTCCGTCCTGTGCACTCTGTTTTGAAGGACCTCTGACACTCTGGCAGCACACAGCTCGTGCAGGCTTGCCGCTGGGGACAAGCACAAGGCTAGCGGTCAGTGGGCTCCGAGCACCCAGGCCTCACAGCTGCTTGGGGCCCCTCCCAGGGGACTTGAGACTCTGACCTGAATTGTCAGGAAAAGGCAGGTCCAGAAGCCTGTAAGACCCCACCCCAAGTTGGGGCTGCTCCCCGCACAGGTCAAAAGCAGCCCTCAGGAGCCAGGGCATTGTTGGTCCCGGCGCAGGGAGTGAAGACCGTGGGCACGAAGGCAGCGGCAGACCTGGACTCTGAGGAGGAAGCTGCTGATGCCTGACACCAGTGGCCTCTGGCCTGTTGGGACCATCTGCCCTACATTCCCCCTCCGCCAGCCCGGAGTCCCACCTCCTCAGGGGGCCTGCACCCTCCCTATGTCATAGATAAGGAAGTGGAGGCCCAGCTCACTTGCCAAGCTCCCATGGCTTGAGGGAGAACAGGAACAGAGGACCCCGGAGGCCAATGGACCGTGTGGACATCTGAGGGCGCCTCTACACCCCACACCTTGACCCAGCTTCCCGGCTTTCCCAGTCCTCCTCCACCAGGCCCCATCCTTCCGAGTGCTTCCAGGGTTCCCACGGTCCACAGACCCATGCTCCAACCCTTCGATCTCATTTCCTCCTGGTGTCCCCCACCAAGCCACACCACCTCCTCCTCGTTCATTAAACACAGCAGCTGACAGAGGGCCCCGGTGTGTGCTGCTTGTGCGGCCTGGGGTGCTGCTGCTTCAGATCTGCGCAGTTTCTTGAAACCTCCTCCTGTCTTAGATCCCATGTTACCCCACGAGGCCGTCCTTGGCTGTCCTAGTTACAGCTGCGATCGCCCTCTCAGATCCCCGCCCCGTGTTATTTCTCTTGGAAGGCTTTCCCGATGAGCTTCACTGTCTGGCTCCTCCTGTGGGACACAGCTGTGCAGTCCTGCTGTGCCTGATGCGGCCCCCCGGTACACGCACCAGTGGGTGATTGACTTGGAAGGACCTGAACGGTTCGCGAAGGCATGCACCCCTCATGCCGAGTGCCCAGTCTGGGAATGGCGTTTGAACATTTCTCTCAGAAGAAACTGCAAGGGTGCAGAGCACTAGAGCCTGCCCAGGGCCAGCGGGCTCCATAGCCTCGAGCAGGATGGGTGGAAGCAGACCCTCCCTCTATTCCCGCCCAGCACAGCACAGAGTGCCTGGGCTCCCAGTCCCAGCCCTGCATCTCAGCCCCAAGCTGGTCCAGTCCTTCCTCCCTGCAGGCCTGTTAGGAAATCAGCCCTCAGGAGGAAGCTTCTGGTGACAGTCAGGGGAATGTTGAACAGAGGCAGAGGGAAGGAGCTGGCTCTCAGCACAGACACAGGCCCCTGCAGCCAAACCACCTTCACTTCCAGGGCAGGTACAGGCTCTTCAAAGAGAGGTCAGGAGCCTCCCGTGGAACGTCCCATGGGATGTGGGAAAGGCAAGGGGGAGAGGAGGCCACCACTCTCACCCGCAGAAACCAACAGGCAGCAACCCTCCCCGTACCTGCTTTCTGCCCTGAAACCCTGTACGTGACTTCTGCGTGTTCCCACTCTCCTTTGAAACTGGGAGACAAGCAAGGGCTGACCAACTCCTTTCCATCCTTAGCTGAAACAGAGATTAAAAAGGAAAGAGAAAGGAAGGTATATCACCGCCATGGACTAGGGCTGAGCTAGGAGTCGCGGAGGCCCTGGCTTGACACAGGATGGGGGAAGCTGAGTGGCTTCCAGGTCCACTGGGAAGGCAACACCTCCCTGGGAAGTGGCAGCAAAGCCTCGTTGGCCAGGAAGCACACCGCTACCAGGACCATGCCCAGCTCACGGCCCTGGGCACGCCGGGTGCCAGGCACTGGGCCAAGGGCTGTTCAGTGAAGTGTGACGACAGTCCTTTTAGGAGGGGAGCCATCATTACCCAGTTTTATAGGTGACTGAGGCTGTGAGTAGCTGGTAGGTTGGTGGCAGGGCCAGAACAAGTGCCACCAGGTGCCACCATGCCTTGAATGGAATCTGCTGCTCCAATACACACAAGCTGGGGGCTCAAAACCAGCAAAGGAAGCGTATTGGTCCCAGGGCTGGCCCCAGTATCACCTTTCGAGGATGGCAGGCTGCTGTCCCACCGAAAGGTGCTGGTCCCATCCCTGGACTCTGGCCTGGACCTGCTTTCCTTGATGGAATGGGCAGGAAATGGTGGCATCAGGGTAGCCTTCCTTTTTTGAAGCCACCACAAAAGTGTCCCAGGCTGCTCTGCTGGGGCGAGGCCATGTGGAAGAGCGCCCAGGTCTAGACAGCCGCCCAGCGACAGGCACGTGCACAGACCCTCAGGACCCCAGCGGGGGATTTAGACAGCTGCCACAGCCACAGGCATGTGCACAGACCCCCAGGACCCCAGCAGGGAGTCTAGACAGCTGCCCCAGCCATATGCACCTGCACAGACCCCCAGAACCCCAGCAGGGGGCGTCTAGACAGCTGCCACAGCCACATGCACCTGCACAGAACCCCAGGACCCCAGCGGGAGGGTCTAGACAGCTGCCACAGCCACATGCAGCTGCACAGATCCCCAGGACCCCAGCGGAGGTGCTGCCCAGATGAGCCTGTGTGGTCTGCTGTGAGATTCCAGCCGCGACTGCTGTTTGCTGTTCTTTCACTCTACTTGGGGGGTCTGTTACGCAATAACCGGTAACAAAACAGAGACTCATTCTCCTGGGTCCTCACAGCCCCCAAATGTCTAAAACAGGCACTTTGTACAGCCTGACGAGGAGACCATGAGACCTTCTTGCTGCTCTGCTGGGTGTGAGAGGACTCAGGGTCTGAGCCACGACTCCCTGGGAACCACAAAGGGCAAAGAGGTACCTGCCTTTTCTCATTGGCTAAATAATAGGTGTTTTTTGGCCCCAGAATAAGGGCTGCAGCTGTTTCTGAGACATAGACATGGTTTTTGTTTGCAACAAAAGGAATACCATTATGAAGATAAACACCAGGATTTGAAAGAAAGAACTGAAGTAGGGCATGCACAGGAGAATGAAAATTCCAGTTGAACATCCTACCCTGTCAGATACCAGGCCCTCGGAAGAAGTGGGCAGGGGTGCTGGGCCAATGGGGCGCTGGGGGCTGAGGTAAGGGCATTTGGCTGGAGCACACGTAGGTGCTGGTGAGCGCCTCATACACACATCAGACACTAAGGCCTTGGGAAGGCCTCTGTGGCCTGGCCAGTTCCATCAGGGAAGAGAGGCACCACCAGCCTCAGGGCCGTGCCCCAGCCCCTGAAGCAGACCATGGCAATCCTGAGATCTCCTAAGAGTCCATGCCCGCTGTGATGCCCATTATAAGGAGCAGAGGCCCTGGCCCTGATGCAGGCTGTGTCCCCAGGTCAACTCCATGTCTCAGGAAGGGCCAAGCCCACATTTCATGACCCTTCGCAGAGCAAGGGAGGAGGGATGTTCTTGCAAGGCTGGAATCATGAGCGAGAGAGAAAACCTTTCCCTGACGGCAAGAACCCAGCACCCCCCACAGCCCTCCTGTGCTGTCTGTACAAGGTTCTGTCTTCACATCCCTAAAGCCAGCTCCCAATGTAGGGGATGAGTGTGCAGTTCCCTGGTTCCCTCAGTTTCAGCTCAGTGCTTCAGAAGGGATTTCATCAGCATCTTTTAAAAAATAACTTGGGGCTGGGTGTCATGGCTCATGCCTGTAATCCCAGCACTTTGGAAGGCCAAGGCAGGCAATCATTTGAAGGTAGGATTTCGAGACCATACTGGCCAACATGGTGAAACCCCGTCTCTACTAAAAACACAAAAATTAGCTGGGCGTGGTGGTACACATCTGTAGTCCCAGCTACTGGGGAGGCGGAGGTATGAAAATTGCTGGAACCCGGCAGGCAGAGGCTGCAGTGAGCTGGGATCATGCTAGTGCACTCCAGCCTGGGTGACAGAGCAAGTGAGACACTGTCTCAAAATAAAGAAAGAAATACCTTGGAAGGTGGACAGGTACAACACCACCCTGGGTTCCTGCCCCATCAGGGTGCCACCAACAAGATCTGCAGCACACCCCTCCACTCGCATGCCCTGGCCTGGCTGGGTGCCCAGCATGCAGCGGGACAGCAGTGGGGTGGGAGGGGCAGAGGGACCTCTCCTGCAGGGCCAAGCTGGTGCCCTCCCGAGGGGCTCCTCGTTCCCACTGAGAATGGAGGGCAGAGGCTGTGAAAGTGGGCCCGGGGCAACATGTCCACTCACCAGGCTGCCCCTCCACGCCGCCCAGGATCGCCAGGCGTGCCGACATCAGCCCGAGCCCGAGGTAGCTGTGGGAATGACACCTCAGTGAGGGCAGCTGCCATGGCAGGTACAGGTCATGGCAGGCTCACCTCTGAGACCCAGCCCGAGTGGGGAAGGGGGAGCTTGCAGCAAGGCAGTTAGTGAGCTTCTCTGCTCCTTCTAAAAGCCTGTTTCTGTAGAGTTGAGGAAACTTAGCTAATTAATTCAACACACGAGGGCCTATCATATGGCAGGAGCTCATCCAGGAGCTGCAGACACTGTGGTGAGTGGGACCGACTCGACACCAGTCTGGGATGCTCCTGCTTTATAACAAGAATCGACTGAAGACTGCACGTGGCAATAGGTGGCCCGGAACACTCCTGTGTGGCCCATGGTCCCTCCCACTTCTCAAACCTTCTCCAAAGTAGAGCAGAATAAGCACACATGGAGGAATGTGCACAAGGAGGAATGTGCGTATACTGTAGACACATTAAAGGATGAAGGAGAAGGACAGAGGAGGCGGGAGGAGGAGGAGGAGAGAGAGGTCTGGGTGAATGTGCGTATACTGTAGACACATTAAAGGATGAAGGAGGAGGACAGAGGAGGTGGGAGGAGGAGGAGGAGAGAGAGGTCTGGGTTAATGTGTGTATACTGTAGACACATTAAAGGATGAAGGAGGAGGACAGAGGAGGCGGGAGGAGGAGGAGGAGAGAGAGGTCTGGGTTAATGTGCGTATACTATAGATAAAGGATGAAGGAGAAGGACCAGAGGAGGTGGGAGGAGGAGGAGGAGAGAGAGGTCTGGGTGAATGTGCGTATACTGTAGACACATTAAAGGATGAAGGAGGAGGGCAGAGGAGGCGGGAGAAGGAGGAGGAGGAGAGAGAGGTCTGGGTGGATTCCCAGCACAGGGATTCCCAGATCTGCCATCCATGACCTCAAGAGGGCCATGCGAGGCCCTGGGAGCTGCATACCCACCCCATGGCGCCTCCCCACGCCTGTTCCCGAAAGCAGACCTGTAGGAATAGAGCTTGTAGGTCCTGTTAAACATCCGCAGTGCCGTCAGGTAGCCGGGTGGGGAGGCCTGCAGGGTGCCCTGGAGAAGAACGAGGGTAACTATGTTTCCTGCTGGTCTTTCTAGAAAATTCTCCTCCACCCACTGAATTCATTTGAAAGAAAGGGGATGGTCAGGTGCAGCCAATTAAATGAGCTGTTCACTAGGTCGCTGGCTGCGAGACAGGAGCAGGCAATAAGGAGCCAATATCCCAGTGAAGAACGGTGCTTCGTTCCCACAGGCAACCTCTCCCATGCTGACAAACACGGCCCAGACATGACGACGATCATATCAGTACCTATGAGCCCACCCTTCCATGGAAAACTACCCATAACAGGAGGATGAGTGGGTGAGGAGGGAACTGTTTTTAAAGCAGCAGGTGCCTCAATGGGAAGTGTTTTCATCTCCTTTAGGATATTTATCTTGAAAAGGCTGGAAGCTTCCTCCCAACCTATGAACTGGACAAAATCTTTCTGCTCTTGTTCCTTTCGGAACCCTGAAGGGGAGAGAGGCAGCACTTCATATCCTCTGGCCCAAACGTTTCCAGTTATTCCCTAATTTATCACCCCTCTAAAGACCAAATTTCTGTTTTTGGCTTTTTTCCTGGTGGAATTAAAACTCCAAGCCAGAAGCATCATCTGTGAGTGAGTCCAGCTCTCAGAAGAGGAAATGACCGCAGGGGTCCAGAGACCTGGCCAACCCCACCCCCCACCCCACCCCGCAGCACCTCAGCAGGCCCCACCCTGCACCCCCATGGCGGTGTGGCCTCGGGGTGGAAAGAGCGCTGTGGTCGGCAGGGCTTGTTACCTCCACGCGTGGCAGGAAGGCGATCTGAGTGGATCCTCCGCCCAAGTCCAGCATGCCCACGCTGCTCCCTCCTGGAGTTTTCAAGCTGCCTGGAGCACAGCAAGCAAAAACAGCACAGGGGCATTAGTAAGATCGCGAGAACAGCAGAAAAGCCAGGGTGAAAGCCAGGCCCTCAGGGGAAAGAAAAGACAGAGAAGTAGCTCAGCTATTGACAAATCTCCATTTAAGGGTACACTATATATCTAAGGGACAAGAGTAATGGCTCCACCAGCTGTGGTTTAATTTGGATCCTGATGGGACAGCATGAACCTTCAGGGGAGATACTGAAACTGCCGTATCAGCTGGGAGGGAGGCCGCTGGCTTAGCTCCCAGGAAGAGCTGGGCCCTGCTCTGATCAGCCCATCTCCACTCCCCAGAGCATCTCAGGCGGAGGCTCCCAACCCATCTCCTAACATTTCTATCCCCCAAAGTGGCAAATGGGCAAACCTGACAGGAAACTTCTTTCCTTTTTTGTCTGTACATCAGAAACACTGCTCTTTCCCATAATTCCAGCAAAGGGACAAAAAATCCACATGCACTAAGAAAAATGACTCCTTGTCACTTGTTTCTAAAAACAGATGTTTCTGTTCCCTGTTCCACCTACAGCAGAGGAATCCAATTAGAAGGTGAATAGCATTCACATCACATTCAATATTGGAAGATATGACTGGTTTGATTCGTTACTTCTCTTAGAAATGAGAGGATGGGGGTCCTGGTGGATGTTCTGCAGGGGACAGGGCAGGGGCTGTGCTGGGAGAAAAATGCCCCAGACCTGCAGAGAAGCACCCCACTCCTAGCATCTACACCTGTGAGACAGGTGGGTGACCCCACCCATCCCCAACACCCTATGGTCAGTCAGCAACACTGCCAAACCCTGAGGGGTTATCTTAAAGAGCAGAAATGAGGCTCCTGCTCTCGAAAGGCCCAGTCGAGCCCTCCGCAGGTGTCTGTGATCGGCTAGCCTCTGTGATGCAGTGTGCACACACCTGTCAGGAAGTTGATGGTGATCCACGCCGAAACGCCTGCAAGAGAGTGTCACAGGCATTATTTTAATCACTTGAGATGCTGAAAGCATAACACACAGGACCGTTAAATGACTATTTGCAGATCTGGGGAGCATAAAGGGATCACTTCCGCACTACACCCAGCCTTCAGATCATCGGCAGAGAGGAGCATTTCTCATAAATGAATCCAGCAGCTATGGCCGACTGTCCTGAGACACAGCATGCTGAATCCTAAAGTACTTCACCAAATGCTGCGTCTCTCCTCTGGTTATTACTGGCCTCCTCTTTTTGGAAGAAGCAGAAAAAGAACCCAGTGCTCCCCTTCCTCCTCCATACACACTCACTCTCAAGGTCATACTGAAGACCTATCAGGAGCTAGTGAGGAACCTTAAATGTCTCTTAGAATTAACAACGCAACAACATTCTAAATGTGGTGGCAACTGGAGATTCTCTCCAAATGTTCTTAAAACTAAAAACACAATGTTTTTAGAAGCTTCATTCATGCCAGGTTTGGGGTTGGTCAAGATGATAATCTGTCTCTGACACTGACCCCAAAAAGATCCTTTTGTGACATGTCAATTGTGAATCAGAACGGGGCTGTAACAGCCATGATTCTTTACTTGAGCATCGGACGGGGGAGGAGGCTCCCACATGGGGCGGGGAGGGGTGGCGGATGGTTAGAAGCAGCAGGATTGCTCCCACCCACCTCACTGCACAGCCCCACTGTACAGAGGTGCTTCCAGCCATTTACCTTCATCTGTTCCGTTCATGATGGAAACACAGTCATCCCCTACAAGGAAAGGCGATGCTTTAAATACTTTTTTCACCTAAATGTAAAGAGAGATGTTACTTCATCCTTTAGAATGAATGAATGAATATATTTATTTATTTAGCTAGCTAGCTAGTCAAGTGAAGCAGTGTGGGTGGAGAAGAACGAAAAAATCTGTAACTGGTTGTGATCAATTAGTTGTAAATACCACTGCACTCAGACCGGCTTTCTTCATCCTTTAGAATTTATGGTTAAGGGTTTTGCATCATGCTATTGGCAGGCAGTAACGAAACCCCAGGGGCACCTGCCATGTTCTGTGAGTGTGTTCAGGCCTCTCTAATCCATTGCAAGTTAATCCACCGCCCGGGCTCGTTGAGGCCCATGCTGCCCTGGAGACCCTGTCCTAAGCCCGCTGGGGCTTAGAAGGGCTCTGGGGGCTGCATAGACTGGGGGAAGCTGGGGCACACTGGGCCTGCTGGGCTCCAAACACTGCCCTGCTTTGGGATGTGAGATAAAGGAGCCGGAAGCCCTCTAAGGCAGACGGCCACCTTCACCAGGGCCCTGGCCTCGGGGGGTATTTCCTTGCCCACCTTTCAGCAAGATCTACCCACAGAAGCTTCAGCACCTCTGCACACCCCACCTGCACGCGTGCACAATCCAACCCTGTGAGGGACCCTGACAGGCGTGCCCTGTGCCCTCCTCCTGCAGGTAAATGAGTGGAGGCAGCACGGAGGGTGAGGAGGACCCACTGCGGAATGCTGGGCAGCTGGAGACACATTGGCCCTGACGTGCTGGGACTGGGAGAGGCCACAGGGTCCCTTCGACAGTCACGTCTGAGCATCGGACCAGGAGCAGGATGAGCAGCTGCCATGGGGAACAAACGGGCTTCAGCTGCAGCACCGGGGCTCAGCACACACAAACTTCTGACCAGGATCAAGTCCCTTGAAGGCACCATGCGCTTTTATTTATTTTTTTGAGACAAGGTCTTGTTCTGCTGCCCAGGCTAGAGTTCAGTGGCATAATCACAGTTCAGTGCAGCTTTGACCTCCTGGGCTCAATCGATCCTCCCGCCTCAGCTTCCTAAGTAACTGGGATGACAGGCATGCGCCACAATGCCCAGCTAATTTTTGTGTTTTTGGTAGAGATGGGGTCTTGCTATGTTGGCCAGGCTGGCCTTGAACTCCTGGGCTCAAATGATTCGCCCGCCTTGGCCTCCCAGATTACTGGGAGTACAGGCATGAGCCACCATGCCCGGCCCACAGTACACTTCTAAAATCAAGTTGCTTTCCTTATTATAAAACACAGATTCACTCCAGAAAACATGAATAACCTTAAATGTCACAAGGAACAAAGCATCATCTGCCCACCATCCCTCCACCTAAAAGTGATGCTGCAAACTTTTCTTCAGAAGCATCTGTGTCCTGCCTGATGGTGCGGCACTGGTGAGACAGCAGTTGTTTTCAGTCATCAGTTGCCCCTGAGGGCTGGCTAATGGCACTGGGGAATGGCCAGGCTCACCTTCTGCAGTAACTTCTGGGCCTTTTCTCCAGGTAACAGGCGTAAGCCAGCTGTGGCCTTGAGGACCAGAGGGGTGGCCTTCCAGAAGTCGAACGGAATGTCCTGTTTAGCAACATCCAGTAGTTCCCGGATTCCCTGAGCGCTCTGTGAACGTGGTAAGAGCAAAGCAGGGTCTGTCAAGTGCAGCATACAGGGTCACACGTGCTGCTTCCACCCTTTTGGGTTTTTTTGGTTTCTGGAGACAGAGTCTCACTGTGTTGCCCAGGCTAGAGTGAAGTGGCTTGATCACAGCTCATTTGCAGCCTTGAATTCCTGGGCTCAAGTGATCCTCCTTCCTCAGCCTCCCAAGTAGCTGGGACAAGGGCGTGAGCCACCATGCCCGACTAATTTTTAAAAACTTCTGGCCGGGCACGGTGGCTTACGCCTGTAATCTCAGCACTTTGGGAGGCCAAGGCAGGCGGATCACAAGGTCAGGAGATCAAGACCATCTTGGCTAACAGGGTGAAACCACGTTTCTACTAAAAATACAAAAAATTAGCCGGGCGTGGTGGTGGGAGCCTATAGTCCCAGCTACTCGGGAGGCTGAGGCAGGAGAATGGCATGAACCCAGGAGGTGGAGCTTGCAGTGAGCCGAGATGGCACCACTGCACTCCAGCCTGGGTGACAGAGTGAGACTCCATCCCAAAAAAACAAATCAAAACAAAAAAAAACTTCTTATAGAGACGCTGTGTCTCTGTGTTACCCATGTTGGTCTTGAACTCCTGGCCTCAAGCCATTTCCTGCCTCAGCCTCCCAAAGTGCTATGATTAGAGGTGTCAGCCACCATCCCTGGCCTTTGCTTCTATAAATATTTTTTTTCTGATTTTCAAAATCTGCAGGAAACAGTGATGCAAGTGGTACTGGCAGGTGTGTGGGAACACAGGGACCAGGTGAAACATGGCAGGGGGAGGACAGGTCAGGAGAATAAGCCTGCTGTTCTACTGCAGCCTGGTGACCCAAGCCCACATCCAGACCTGTGCCAATCCTCACGGGCGATCTCAGGTGCGCCTCAGCTCCGCTGGACATTGCAAAGGTGTGGCACTAGGCAATTCTGGGGTCCCTCCTGGCACTAAACCCCATGATAACTACAACGAGGAGCCACTTCACCTGCCAGAGTGCTGGATCCAGAACCCAAGGCTGGATAAGGTCCTATGTCAGTGTGTGCATGAAAGTGAAGGTCTGGGAATGTGGCTGGTTGTTGTAGACAGGTGTGATTCTGTGGGGACACGTGGGTTGCATCTGTCCAAGGGAAAAACACGTTCCTCCTATCCAGAAATTCCACTCCAGTAATTCATCTTGGGAGGCCGAGGTGGCAGGATTACTTGAGCCCAGGAGGTCAAGACCACCCTGGGCAACACAGCAAGATGTCCATCTCTACAAAACATTTAAACATTAGCTGGGCATTGCGGTGTGCATCTATGGTCCCGGTTACTTGGGAGGCTGAGGTGGCAGGATCATTTGAGCCTGGGAGGCAGAGGTTGCAGTGAGCTGTGATTGTGCCACTGCACTCCAGCCTGGGTGATAGAGAGAGACCTCATCTCGGGGAAAAAAAATAGAGACTTCATCTGAGCGATGCCCCTTGCATGTGTGGGTAATGAAGTATGTGTCAGGTGCAGCCTTTTTCTACTGTCAAGAGAGAAAGATTGGACATTATCTAAATGTCCTTCAGAAGAGGACTGGTTCCATGAGGTAAGTGTGCAGCATCCATGCAATAACATTCAGCCAAAAAAACTAAGGAGGCTCTGCACATGCCGACATAAACGCTCTCTAATTATCCTGCTCAGCAGCAAAGCCAAAGGCCTCGGTGTGGACACCACCGTGGGTGTGAAGTAAAAATGGGGAGAAGAATACAGATGACTCTGTTTACATACACATCAACCAGCCTCAAAGGATGCTAAGAGAGCCAGGACGTGGGCCTCCGAGGCAGCCTGGAGTAGGAGGGACATCTGTGCTACTACCCTGGGGAGCGTGGACATTTGTCCCACTTGAATGTGTGTCACCTACTCAAACAAGTAAGGCCTTAAAAATCCTAGGAGCTTATTCTAAATTTATCTAATTTAATCAGGTTTAACTGTAAGGTCACTCTAGAATCACTAATTTCAATTTCTTTTTTAACTAAGCTACAGGAAAGCAAGGCTTGAACTACATTGTCTGAGACCATGACACGTTTGTGGACAAGAGCAATGTACTAGCTCATGACTTAAGAAATGCTTGAACCAAATGGAAGTTACAACTCTCTCCATAGCCCATTTTGTGAGTGCCTTGGTAGAAAACCAGGCATCCTGTATTAGTGCAGCTGTAAGCTTTAAGGACTTTAGATAGAAGTAGCAATGCTACAAACTTACATAAATCATTATTTGACAATTTTAATTAAATTTCGATTTATTTGGTTTTGTGGATTTTGCATAATACATTTCTTTTGGATGGGGTCAGAGTCTCACTCTGTCCCCCAGGCTGGAGTACAGTGGCGCAATCTCAGCTTACTGCAACCTCTGCTTCCCATGTTCAAGTGATTCTCCTGCCTCAGCCTCCTGAGTAGCTGGAATTTCAGGCGTGCGCCACCATGCCTGGCTAATTTTTGTATTTTTAGTAGAGACAAGGTTTCACCATGTTGACCAGCTTGGTCTCGAACTCCTGACCTCAGGTGATCCACCCGCGTCAGCCTCCCAAAGTGCTGGGATTACAGGCGTGAGCCACTGTGCCTGGCCTGTAATACGTTTTTAACTTTTTTCTTTAAATATAAGGTCTCACTCTGTCACCTGTGGCACAATCATGGCTCACTGTAGCCTTGACCTCCCAGGCCCAAGTGATCCTCCCACCTCAGTCTCCCAAGTAGCTGGGATGACAGGTGTGTACCACCATGCCTAGCTAATTTTTAAATTTTGTAGAAATAGGGTTCTCACTCTGTTGCCCAGGCTGGTCTTCAACTCCTGGGCTCAAGAGATCCTCTTGCCCCAGCCTCCCAAAGTGCTGGGATTGCAAGTGTGAGCCACCATGCCTGGCCAACACTAATTTTTTTTTTTCAGTCAATGTTTGCTATCTTCGATCAGAAACCACAACAAAAAATTAAAAATGTATTATGCAAAATTCACAAGACTAAATTAGCGTAAAAATTTGAATAAGCAAACTATCAAATAATGATTTTTGTAAGTTTGCAGGATTTGTGCTTCTGACCTGTACCAAGACCTCGGGACCCCCACGTTGGAGAAGTGAGCGCTGGCACGGTGGAGTCAGAGGATGGGGCCGGGTGGGGGCGCGTTCTCCTCTGGGCTCGCGCGCTGCACACCTTCTCTCTTCTGACCATCCCAAATGGCATGAAATGCCCAGGCAGCACTGTCAAAGCCCCCTTCCTTTGTGAAGACAGCCTACCACATTCAAAGGAAAAGAACTGGCTTGAACACATTCTGCAGTTGAACAGGGAGACACGGGAGAGGATCCTTACCTTTTCAACATCATCAGCATAGGCAGAAAGACCTGGCTTCAGTGCTTTGAAGGTTTCGTGGGTTAACGTGGGAGTTTCTAAGGGGAAAACATGTTGAAAAGGGTACAACTATGAATACACACAGGAGAACACATACAATCATGACTAGCCACACTTTTTAAAGACAGACACTAACACAGACCAATCCCCAAGTGGCAGGGGCCCTTCAGCTATTCCTTGTCTAAATTCTGACTCTTTGTTCATCAGAACAAGATGAGTATAATACCTAATGTCTTGGCCAGAACATTACTTCTTAATTAATTATTTTTTTAAAATTATTATTTATTATAATTATTTTTTAAAGATTATATTTATTATAATTATTTTTTTTTAAAGAGAAGGGCTCTTGCTATGTTGCCCAGGCTGGTCTTGAACTTTTGGGCTCAAGCAATCCTCCCATCTCAGCCTCCTGAGTAGCTGGGACTACAGGTGCAAGCTATGTGCCCTGCATTTTACCTTTTAAGAATCCAACTTTACGGCCAGGCACGGTGGCTCACGCCTGTAATCCCAGCACTTTGGGAGGCCAAGGTGAGCAGATCACGAGGTCAGGAGTTCGAGACCATCCTGGCGAATATGGTGAAACCCCATCTCTACTAAAAATACAAAAAAACTAGCTGGGCGTGGTGGCGGGCGCCTGTAGTCCCAGCTACTCGGGAGGCTGAGGCAGGAGAATGGCATGAACCCGGGGGGCGGAGCTTGCAGTGAGCGGAGATTGCACCACTGCACTCCAGCCTGGGCGACAGAGCGAGACTCCATCTCAAAAAAAAAAAATTAAATAAAAATAAATAAAAAAGAAAAAAAAAGTAGCCAGGTGTGGTGATGGGCATCTGTAGTCCCAGCTACTCAGGAGGCTGAGGCAGGAGAATCGCTTGAACCCAGGAGGCGGAGGTTGCAGTGAGCCAAGATCGCACCACTGTACTCCAGCCTGGGCAGCAGAGCGAGACTCCGTCTCAAAAAAAATAAAAATAAAATAAAAAATAAAAATCCAACTTTACTGAAGATAATTTACACACAAAACAACTGCATCAGTGTTAAATTTTAACATAGTTAATTCTTGCCAATTCAATAAACAGCGGAATAGGATAAGTGACTCCAAACTGAAAATAGGAACACCATTTCCTTGATTCTGAAATGAATTTATTAAAGGGTTCTCAAGATTAGGGTATTTTCTTCATTTTAAAAAATGGAGTGTTTTAAATTATTAGGAGTGGTATGAACTTGTGCTTACAATAAGGAGGCATACTAAATTCAGACGCGAAGACTGGACCAGAAAAAATCAGGGACAAAACTTTTTGCAAAGTCTTTTCTCTCCAAAGAGAAAACCCTGGGACATGGCTCCAAAAGCATCGCAGGCTGATGTCTGTTGCACACTTAGCTTTGAAGAAGCTTTACTTTTTAATTATTAATTTTTAAAAAGTTCCACTTAAAAAAAAATTTTTTGAGATCAAGTTTCACTCTTGTTGCCCAGGCTGCAGTGCAATGGTGTGATCTTGGCTCACTGCAAACTCCGCCTACCAGGTTCAAGCGATTCTCCTGCCTTAGCCTCCCACATAGCTGGGATTACAGGCTTCGAAGCCACTTTTAGAGATAAGCAGATATGGCATCTAAATATTTCACTACTGTAATAAGTTAAAAAATAACGCAGATGGAGTCAAAAGTAAATAAAATACACCACTCAGCTTTGGAGACAGCAGCTAGAAATGTCCAGCACCAGCAGAACCGTGCAATGCCAGGATGGTGTCTACCCCACAGGTTCCAGGTCAGCCAAGAAGAGCATGGGACACCCAGGGGACCTGCCTGACAGGGGCTGCAAACTCTCACTGGCTACAGCTAGAGAGACATGGAGGGCGAACCTCAGGGTCACGGGCACGAGAGGGGCATCAGGGAACCAAGGGAAGAGGGTGGTTGGAGAGCAGAGGAACCGGGTGGCGAGGGGGACCCCTCAAGAGAAGCCGCCCACCCCGGCCTGAGGCCCACCCTAGAAGCATAGCCAACGAAGCCCAGGCTCCAGCTCCCTTATCCAGCTGAGACCCCTCTCGGCTGTTGCCCCTGGCCATCTTGGCCCACCTGGCAGCTCCCGGTCAAGCCCAGGAGCCTTTATTATTTATCTGACTTTCCTGATTTTCTGGCTCCCATGGGACTGAATCTGGGGATACTTCCTGCCTGAACTCCCCACAAAGCCCCAAACACAACCACTGGCCTAAATCATGGTCCTAGCCACCTGACCTGCTGGTGAATGTGGGGAGGGGACAGGCCACCAAACACCTCAAGGTCTCAGCTGCCCTTCAGCATGGTCACCACTCACTAGTGTAAGAGTGATCTGGGACTCCCGGGAAATTCAGATGCTTGGACCCCAGCCCATACCAGCGTCAGCATCTCTGGGAAACTGCATTTAGACAAGCTCCCAGGTGAGTCTGTGGCAGGGGACCCGGCCAACACTGTAGCACAGGGGAGGAGATCCCGAGAGCCCTGCCATGAGAGGCGGGTACCTCTGGGGGGCCGGGTGAACTGGAAGACGTGTACTCGGGTGCCAGTGCTTCCTGCATCAAACATGATCCCGTAGAAGACCTCGTGCCCGTCTGCAGCTGTCCCCAGGGGGCTGTGGGCCTGCTGACCCCACCGGGCCCCCGGGGCTGCCCTGGTGATGCTGAAGAAGGCCTGGGTGGCGGTGGCCCGGTGCCACTTGATGTAGGCAACATAGATGAACACGCCCACACACAGCCCCAGGGGGTATGCCACCTTCGCCACCCGCAGGCTCCCGTGGTTGGATATTTTTCTCATCCTTGTTTGCCAAGGACCGTGCTGCGGCTGCTGGTGGGAAGGGGGGAGAGGCAGGAAAAGCACGTTAGGGTGCTAGGATCCAAGGAGAGTCAGACGTCCCCAGGCCCAGGGACAAAATGTTCAACCTGAAACTGCTCCGTGTTCCCCCCAGGAATCAGAAGCTTCATTTGAGCCTCATAATTATTCCAGAAGGTGTGATCCCCATCCTACAGAAGAGGAACTGAGGTTTATAAAGGCAGGACAGCCTGCTCAAGGTCGCACACATTGCAGCTGCTGACCTGGTGCACAGACCACAGTGGCTGGCTCCTCTAAGGGAGGGTCCCACCAGCTTGGGACACATGGCGATTTATGTAAAAGAAGCCACATGTAAATGGTGTTCCCAAACTGTTCATGGGAACAGAAGCGCGTATCTGATTCAGTCTTTCAATCCTCAGTTATACTTCTATTCAGGCAATTTACTTTTCGAAAGGTTTAAACTCCGTCCCTTGGGCAACTACTGAGAGCCCCAGACAAACCTGAAAAATGTAGCTCGTTTTTCTGGAAGTTTCATAACGGATACCTTTTTTCATTCACATAGCCCATTCCTGCCAAGGAGAAAATAATGTCTGTGTACTTCCAAAGCCTACAAAAATTCTACTAGAGTAGCAAAATAAATTCACTGGGTGCCATTGTTTTTGGTTCGATATACCCAAAATGAAAGCATTTGTTCAAGTTTCATTGGCTGCTCCAGTGCGAGGCAGCATGTGGGAACCTGAGGCTTCAAAGGACAAGAAGTGTGGGCCGACTCTAGGGCCCCCAACCTTGGGGAACGTCCATCAGCCTGTCCCTCCCTCACTCTCTCAGTCGGTCCTGGTGAGTGGCCACTCCTAGGGGAGCAGGGATCAGGAGGATGCCGGGCTGGAAGTGGCACCGGCTCTGCCCGCAGCTACGTGTGACAGTGGGCAACATGCCCCTCAAGGGGGCCAGTTTCATCTGCAAGGTGGGGCTGCTCATTGGAGAGCCCCTCGTGACTGTGGGGATTCAATGTGCTCAGAACAGGCTGCAGGGAAAGCACGTGCCACATGCGGGCTTTACAGAAGGGCAGCAGGAGGTGACATCTCTGTGGAACCAAGGACAGCATGGCTGCACTGCTGAGGAGGGGGCAGTAGCAGTCAAAGGAGCAAGCCCGCAGCGACCTGCGCTACCTGAGGCTGTTTGGGCACAGCAGAACGGAAGGACAGGGCCCGCGGGGCAAAGCACGGGGAGCAGGCCATTCCTGGCCCCTCCTTCCTGAGGTCCCGCCTGTGGCCACAGCTGGATATCCTCAGGCCCAGAGAGGTAAGACAAGCACTGCCACAGTGCCCCGTGCCGAGGGGAGAGGCCTCACCAGTGGCCTGGCCACCCACACTGGAGCAGGAGACAGGAAAAACCACCCTTCCCTGAGCATCTGCCACGGGCAGGGCTGCAAAAAGCCTCTCCTGGCAGGTGCCAACGTGCAGCCCCTCCCCAGCCCTATTCTGGGCCTGGGTCCCACCACACTCGGGGGCTTCCCACAGCTCTCAGGATCATGTTGCAGCCTCTGCCTGGGCCTGTCCCTGCCGGCCCCTGTCCCTGCTGGCCCCTGTGGCTTCATCGCACTCCTCTTTCGTCCTTGCCCACAGTGCTCTGAGAACAGTGCCTTCTTCTGCCCCTAGAACTCAGCCTCTCCCTGCCTCAGGCCCCTGGCACAGACTGATACGCATTCCCAGAATACTTGTCCCACCACACTGGCACCGTGTCTTCATTCTGAAACCTCCACTGAAATGTCACTGCCACCCCCTTCCCGGATGCCCCCAACCTGCACATGCCCCATCACGCACTCTCTGAGCTCCCTTTACCCACCACCAGCAGTGATGAAACCAGTATTCATAGACCTGATTCCTGTAGGTCTGTGTCTCCCCACTAGGCCATGAGCCCCCAGGGCAGGGACTCAGCTTGTCTTGTGCTGCTGCTGCCCAGCATGGCATCCAAGCCCTTCTCTAGAATGGAAGAGGCTGCTCCTCTACCCCCGCACCTTCTATAACGTCACCAGACACACAACAGAGTCCTGTAGAAAATCCATAAACAGGGAGAGGACACAGCAAGACGGCAAAAGAGGAAGCTCAAAGGCCCTTGTTCCCCCACAGAGAAACACTAAAAACAACTAGAGACTGGTTAAAATATTGCATAGGAGCTCTGCAAAACAGGCAACGATCTACAGCAACCAAGAGAATGCCCAGCCCAGAAGCAGCCACATTCAGGATGTCAGGAACTCTGAGGTGTTTCACTCACCCCTGCCCCAGGCCTCCCCAGCATGGCACCACCTGATGAATGCGGCAGCCCGGTTCCCAATTCCTTCCCTTGAACTGGAGGGAGCAGAGCGGACCTTTCTGCAACATCCTAATCTGTCTTGGGCTGCCTGAGGAACAGATCTCTGTTTCACCTGACTCTGAGCTCAGAGCCCAGATAGGAAGTCAGGGAAATGGTTATGGGCACTGCTAGGCAAAGCTGTAGGATGACTATAGCCCCACGCATACCTGGGGCAAGAATGACAGGTGAGAAATACAGTAGAACATCTGAGGCCCAAGGAGGGACTGGGGGAGACTTTGAGAAAGTAAGATATATATATATATATATAAAGCTTTGTAAAAGTTTAATGGAGCCAACAAGGCAAATAAATTGTGTTCCGGCAGACATTAAGACCTGCTTTCTCTTACCAAAAAATAAGGGCACACATTTTTATCAAAATTCGATAATTCAGAGTTAAGGGTACTGAGATTAAGCTTCAAAGCACCAACTTAAACCAAACAGCAATGAAAAATTGGTTATTCAACTTGGAAAGAGGAACTAAAACCAAGGCATAAAGGGGAGATTAAATATGTGTTCCTTGATCTCAAAGTCCTTTTAGGAGCAGGAGTTCTGGCCACATGTGAGCAACACATCACACCACCAAACCCCAATTCCAGAATCTAAATTTACAATGATAGAAAAACAAAGGTTACTCCAAATGCATTTCTTGGTATATTCCAAAGGGAAGCTTGAAAGTATTCATAATGAAAGTAAGAGATTTTGAAACAGCCACGAATATGGGGAAATTGAAAAAAACACATACACAGGCCCAGGGAAGATGCATCCTCAGAAGAAACCAGAGGAAACTTTGGCCTTCATCCAGAGCTGATCCCCACACTTAGGCAGATCCTGCTATTTGGTGGGGGCCATTCCCAATACAGAGTTAGTCTTCAAAGACTGGGACAAGGAGCTGTTTTTCAAATGCCCAATGTTCAGCAAAAAAATCACACGGCATACAAAGAAACAGGAAAACACAGCTCATTCAGAGGAAGAAAATGAAGTGGCAGAACCCATCCCTGAAGAAATGCAGGCACTGGATGTACTTGACCAAGACTAAAAATGACTGTCTTAAATATGCTAAAAGAGCTGAAGGAAAACAGATAAAGAATGAAAAGAAATCAAGAAAATAACATATGACAACAAAATGAGAAATTATAAAAAGGAATCAAACAGAAATTGTGGAGCTGAGAAATACAAAACTGAACTGAAAACTCTGACCAGAGGGATTTGAGTCGGTAGAAGAATCAGCAAACTTCAACATAGCACATTTGAAAATATCAAGTCAGAGGAACAAAAAGAATGAGGAAAGTGAGCAGAGCCTCAGGGACTTAGGGGCCTCCCTCACGTGCACCATGCACATTATGGAAATCTAAGAAAGAGAAGAGAGAATGGGGCAGAGAAATTATGTGAAGAAAGAATAGCTAAAAACCTCCCAAATTTGACTAAAGACATGAATATAAACATCCAAGAAGCTCAGTAAACCCCACGTAAGATAAACCCAAAGAGACCAACATGAAGACACAATATAATCAAACTGTGTAAAGACAAAGGCAGAATATTGAAAGCAGCAAAAGAATGGCTCATGATGTACAAAGAATCCTCAATAACACTGTTAGCCAATGTCTTAGCAGAAACCTCAGAGGCCAGAGGCAGTGGGAAGATACCCCCAAACTGCTAAAACAAACAAACAAAAAAATCTGTCAACAGAGAATTCTACATTCAGCAAAACTGTCCTTCACAAATGAGGGAGAAATTAAGACACTTCCAGATTAATAAAAGATGTGCGTGTTCATTGCCACTAGATCTGCCCTACCAGACTACTAAAGGGAGTCCTGAAAGTTAAAACAAAAGGGCACTAGACAGCAGCTAAAAGCTGTAAGAAAATACAAACATTTCCAGCAAAGGCAAATGGAGGGACAAATATAGAAACTAGTATTAGTGTACAATTGGTCTGCAACACTACTTAATATTTTCTTCAGGATTTAAAAGATATATGCATAAAAATAATTACAGGTTTATGTTAATGGGTACATACCCAATATATATAGATGTAATCTGTGACATCAATAACAAAGTGGGGGTAGATGGAATTGTAAAGGAGAGGTTACTGTGTCTGACTGAAATTAAGTTGATATCAATTTAAAATAGATTGCTATAACTTCAGGCTGTTATGTATGTAATCCCTATGGTTGTAACCACAATGGAAATGTCTGTAGCATATACACAAAAGGAACTGAGAAGGGAATCAAAAACGGAAACTACAAATAATCAACTAAATACAAAATAAGGTAGTAATGAAGGACAAAAAAAGCTATAAAATATATATAAATAACAAAACATCAAAAACAAGTCCTTCCCTATGAGTAATTACTTTAAATATAAATGGATTAACTCCTTAATCAAGAGACACAGATTGACAGAATAGATTAAAAAACAAGACCTGACTACAGCTGACCCTCAAACAACATGGGTTTGAACTGCACAGGTCTACTTATATCCAGATTTTCTTCCACTCCTGCCACCTCTGAGACAGCAAGATCAACCTTTCCTCTTTCACCTCCTCCTTAGCTTACTCAACATGAAGACAATGAAGATGAAGACCTTTATGATAATCCACTTCCACTTAATAAATAGCAAATACATTTTCTCTTTCTTATGATTTCTTATTATAATAACATTTTCTGTTCATTAGCTTACCTTATAGTAATATAACATACAAACTATGTGTTAATCAACTATTTATGTTATCAGTAAGGCTTCTTCAACAGTAGGCTACTAGTTTGGGAGGCGGAGGCGAGAGGATATCTTGAGCCCAGGAGTTTGAGACCAGCCTGGGCAGCATAGGGAGACACTGTCTCTACAAAAAATAAAAAAATTAGCTGGACATGGTGGTGTGCGCCTGTAGTCCCAAGCTCCTTGGGGAGGCTGAGGTGGGAGGATCACTTGAGCCTTGGAGTTCAAGGCTGCAGTAAGCCATGATTACACCACTGCATTCTAGACTGAAGTTACACTTGGATTTTCAACTGCAGGTGAGGGGTTGGTATCCCTAACCCATGTTGTTCAAAGGTCAGCTGTATATTCTATCTACAAGAAGCTCACTTTTGATCTAAGAACACATATGGGCTGAAAGTAAAAGAATGGAAAAGAGTCAATTCAAAGAGTGACCAAAGGAGAGCAGGGGTTGCTGTACCAATATCAGACAAAAGAGACTTTAAGTCAAAAACTGTCACAAGAGACAAAGAAGTACATTATATCATGATAAAATAGTCAATTCACCAGGAATATAAAACAATTATAAACATATACACAGTAAACATCAAAACCCCTAAATATATGAACCAGACACTGATAAAATTGAAGAGAAATAGACAACTATCAATAATAGTAATATTATTATACTAGGAGACTGAAATGTCCCACTTTGAATAATGGACAGAAAAATTAGACAGAAGATCAATATAGAAACAGAGGACTCAAACGACACTACAGAGCAAGAGTGTAACGGAGCGCCCTGCATGCAACGCCAGACGGTGGGCTACAAAACAGGCCTTAATGCATTTTAAACAATCCAAACCATACAAAGCATCTTTTCCAGTCACAATGGGGTGACACCAGAAATCAACAGCAGAAGGAAAACTGGATAATTCACAATTATGTGGAAATTCAGCACAGCCCAATCTTAAACAACTGAAGAGTCAAAGAAGAAGTCATAATGAAAATTAGAAAATACCTTGAGATAAGTGAAAACAAAAACACAACCTTCCAAAACTTATGGGATGCAGCAAAAACAGTGCCAATAGGGAAATGTACAGCTGTAAACACTTGCTTTAGAAAAGAAGAAAGGGCTCAAACAACCTAACTGTACACCTTAAGTAACTAGTAAAAGAACAAACTAAACATAAAGCTAGAAAAAGGAGGAGGAAAAAAGGAGGAGGAAAAAAGTAAAAAAGGAGGAGGAAAATAATAAAGATTACAGGAGGATAGAGAATAGAAAAATAGAGAAAATAAATGAAACTAAAATTTGATTCTTCAAAAATCAACAAAACTGTCAAACCTTTAGCTAGACTGACTAAGGAATAAAGAAAGAAGACTCAAATAGCTGTAATCTGGAATGAAAGAGGGGACATTACTACCTATTTTACAGAATAAAAATGATTATAAGAGAGTACTACGAACAACTGTATGCCTACAAACTGGATAACCTAGATGAAATGGACAAATTCTTGAACACAAAATCCACCAAGATAAATAATAAAGAATTTGGCAATGATTTCTTAGATACGACACCAAAAGCACAGGCAATAAAAGCAAAAATAAACAAATGGAATTACATTAACTAAATGGCTTCTACCCAGCAAAAGAAACAATCAACAAAATGAAAACACAACCTACAGAACAGGAGAAAACAGGTAAATAGTACATCTGCTCTGAAAGGGGTTAATAATTAGAATATATAAAGAACTCTTAAAAGTCAACCACAAAAATAGCAATCTGTTTAAAAAATAACAGATAAAAAGCATACAAAAAGAGGCTCAACATCATGAATCGTTAGCAAAATGCAAAATTGCAATGAGCTATCACATCATATATTAGGACAGCCACTATCAAACAAACAGAAAATAACAAGTATTAGTGAGGATGTGGAGAAACTGGAACCCTTGTGCGCTGCTGGTGGGAAAGTCAGATGGTGCAGCTGCCTTGGAAAACAGCATGGAGCTTCCTCCGAAAATCAAAGCTGGAACTACCATATGGTTCAGCAATCCCACTTCTAAAAGAGTTGAAATCAGGATCTTAAAGAGATATCTACACACTCACATTCACTGAAGCATTATTCACAACAGACAGGAGAGAAATAATCCAAACATCCATCGACAGATGGATACACAAAATTCAATTTAGAGCTGAACTGAATTTTGAATGAAATATTATTCAGTTTTAAAAAGGAAGTAAATTCTGACATGTGCTACAACATGGATGAGCCTTAAAGGCATTTCACTAAGTGAAATAAGCCAGTCACAAAAAGACAAATATTGTAGGATTCCACTTACATGAGTTACAGAGCTGTCAAATCACACAGACAGAGAGTAGAAGGGCAGGTGCTGAGGGCAGTGGGTGAGGAGGACTTATTGGGTAAAGAGTTTCAGTCAGGGAACATGAAAAAGTTCTGGAGACGGATGGTGATGGTGGTTGTGAATGTACTTAATGCCACAGAACTGTACATTTAAAAAGGATTATGTTGCTAATTTTTGTGTTATGTGTATTTTATGGCAACTTCTAAAATCCTTCAATGGCTAGGCCAGGCAGGTAACAGAAATAAGTTCTGTGGGTATCGGACTTAAGGCACTCTGTGGGGTGAGGGATGGGGATAAAGAGGGCAGGGCCCACCCACTGTGTCAAATACAAAACGTTTTACAATTCTGATCACACTCACGCCCTACTCTCTCAACGAAGGAGACAGATCATGCCTGACTAAGGTTCTTCCTGCTGAAATGTGCTGGCGGAGCTCCTCCCTTGTGCTGCTGGCTGCTCTGCCATTTCCACAGCACATGACATGTGCAGTTCTTCTAGGCCCCTCTGGCTCTGGTTAGATGACGCCTACTCCAGGAGTAGGGACCAGCCCCCATCCCAGAACCTCCAGCACCCAACACAAAACCAGATCCCAGCAGCTGCTCAGCCAGCACCTGTTGAAGGGGGTCTGCTGATGGCTCAGCAGTGTACTGAGGGGGAAAACGGGCAGTAGGAGGAAGATGCAGGCATCATAGATGCCACAGGACTGGGTGATGGCCATGAACTGAAACAGGTCATCTGGGAAGGGGCCATTTGGCAGGAGGCAGCAGTGATCAGGTTTTTGACATGCTGAGTTTGATATGCCAGCGGGACATCAGTGGGAAACAGGACAGGCCCTATGAGAGGTGACAGGTTTGGGGCTGGTCCAGAAATAGGACGGACCCTATGAGAGGTGACAGGCTTGGGGCTGGGAATGATGCACATTAAGGCAACGTCAGCTGAGACTGGGAGAAGAGACGTGGCACTAGGAATGTCCGTTCCAAAGTAGCACCTCCCATACCACAACAGCCCTCCCTTCCTTAGCAGACTATAACCCAAAGTTTCAGGTTTCTAAGTAATCATCAAATGTTTAATTAAATTACAATATTTCTAGAGAAAGTTCTGAAACACTCCAGGGATGAATAATGAGGACAAAAAGCAATAGTAACACCCTACAACTGTGAATACGTTTAATAAAATCCTCTTTATGTAATCAAGACTTTTTTTTTTTTGAGACAGAGTCTCACTCTCTCACCTATCACCTAGGCTGGAGTGAAGTAGCACAATCTCAGCTTACTGCAACCTCTGCCTCCCAGGTTAAGCAATTCTCCTGCCTCAGCCTCCCAAGTACCTGAGATTACAGGCATGCACCACCACGCCCAGCTAATTTTTGTATTTTTAGTACAGACGGTATTTCACCATGTTGGCCAGGCTGGTCTCGAACTCCTGACCTCAAATGATCTGCCCACCTCGGCCTCCCAAAGTGCTGAAATTACAGGTGTGAGACACCGCACCTGGCCCATAATCAAATCTTATCATGTCCTATGTTAGTCTAAGAACCATATTCTACATGATCAGATTCACAGGTGGTATATTAAATCTAGAGGCAAAGTTGCTCCTTATTTACTGTCTACCCATTTAAAAAAACCCTTTATGTGCCATGCCCTGTGTCCAGCACCCCACAAAGCCTGCCTCACAGCCCTGGGTTTCCCTAAGACAGCACCAAGGCCCTGGGAATGTGTGTAAACGGAACTGTCTGAGATTGCAGTCAGTGTGTGGTGGAGCACACAAGAGTCCCTGGCTTCAGTCCCCAAATTGAACGTGCTTTATCACGACTTTAGAGATCCAAAAAACACTCACATACATAGACATACCTTACATAGACATAATTACTGAAGTTACACACCAAGTTCAGGAAGACAAAAGCAAGAGTCCAACTAGAACACAGTACTGAGAGAGCACAGAACCAGGAACAGCCTTGCTCTTGCACAAGGGTGGGAAGAAGAGTTCTTATAATCATGTTCACCATCCCCTCTCCCCAAGGAACAGGTCATCTCCATGTACCTGTGTCCCAGATCTAAACAGCAATTTCATTCCACTAGGTTAAGGTGTTTGCCCATGGCTGAGACACCTGCCGGAGAGGAAATGGGGTTTCTGTGGGAACCACTAACACCACAGCGTGAATGTGTTGATCAGGTTCTCCCTGACAGACTCTTTGAGGAAAACAATGCCATCTCAGTCTGTTCTTTAAAGGAGAGACAGGGTGGGATGAGGCTGTAAGGAAGGTAGCGGGTGGGGACTGAGGGAAGGCAGGGGTAGGAAGTAGGGTGCACACAGGCAAACAGAGAGGTGTGGCTCCTGCTGAGGCCACCCTCCAGCAGGTGGAGGCAGGAGTCAGAGAAGAGAATCTGAGGGTAGAGCAGTGTTGTTGGTGGTAGGAGCTACCCTGTCCCCTGGTTGGCTTTCTAGATGGGGATGGCAGGTCACCTCTTGGAAATACAGGGGCCATCTGATGTGGATTGATGGCTGCCTAATCTGTTGGCCAGTTTCTTCAGGTTTTCAGTTCAAGTACACGGAAGGGTCATGAATGCAAATGCCTGCCATGCACGCTGTATCAAAAAATGAAGCACATTAGAAACTTCCACTCATCCTCCTGGTGGGTTTCAGTAGGTTTTTCTCTCCTTGGCAAAAACCGGTGCGTGAACCGCCCGTCAACACCACCTGCTGTTTCCTTTACACAGGAGGCGGTGGGAGGGGAGGCGCTTCCAGATCTCCTGACACAAAGGGCTGCCCACCTCCCTGGTCCTTTACCCGAACCTTCAGGAGGCAGACGACACACACACTAGCCAGCCACTCTCTCCAAGGCAAGGGGAGGGGGACAAAAAGCAATTTTGAGATTTGTACAGTGCTTGCCAGGTCCTTCAAAAATGACTACCGGCCGCCCATGGCTCTTGCACAGCGGGTGGGAGGAAGAGTCCTTGTAATCCACCTCTCCCAAGGAACTCCTGCGCGAGGTTTCAGATTCCCCGCCTGCAGGCTATGGCTGACTTCCCCGTATCCTGTGTGACGTGGGATGTGTGGCTTCGCGCAGGTAAGGCTGGAATACAGGTGCCTGGAGGGACACCCAGAGCTGCCCAGGCACTTCCCGGCGGCTGCTTCCTTTGCACTTTGCACTTACAGGTGCACTTATAATAAAAACACCCTCCCTTCCACGCTCCCCTGGGCCCTCCCATCTCTCCTTCCTCTTCCACGCTCTCCTGGCTGTTGAATGTTTTCCACTGAAGGAGTCTAGTCTGTCCACCTAGGGGGCTCTCCCTCCCTCGGTCCAGGGCATTCGCGGCTCACAGGTCAGCTCGGGCAGAACCGCCCTGACCACCTATGAGCTCCTCGGGACACCACCCCAATGCCAGGGTGAATCGTCCTTACACCCTCAGTCCTGTCCGAGCGGCCTGATCCTACCTGTTTCCCAGAAACTGCTACGCGAAGCTTCCCCGCCGGGCTCATCCAGGGCGGAGGGGTCTGTCCCTGACGCAGACTGGGGGCGGGTCCGCAAAAGCGGGCTGAATGAATGAACGCAGCAGGGCTGGGGCCCCCTGGGGCTACAGGCCCCTGCTATTTGGCCCGCCCTGTGGCCCAAAACACTGGACTTGCCCCCCACCGGTCAGCGGAGCCCAGACATCCAGGGAGCCCTAATGGAGCCTGGACAGGAAGGCAGCAGGAGGTGGGACCCGGGGTGCGAGTGACCCCGAGGCCGTCCTCCGGAGCGCAGCGCGCCCGCGTGGGGGAGGCCCGCCTACAGTCGGTGATCCCCGGCCGCCCCCGCCAGCGCCCCGGCCCGCCGCTTACCATGCACCGCGCGCTCCGCCACACCCACGGAGACGAGTGCCCTTTTCCGGGGAGCAGGCGGCAGCCGGTCTTTTGGGCTCCCCCGCCCCGGCCGGCGCCACCCCGGCCTCCACCCGCGGGATACGACCCCACGATTCCCTAGGGCCTGGGCTCCGCCCCATGCACGTGGCGTCACAGGCTGGGCGGGGGGGCGCACCCAGCCGCGCATGCGCAGGCGGGAGAGGAGGTGGGGGTCGGGGGACCCAGTTGCGCAGGCGCGGGCGGAGTATGGGTGCTCAGCTGCGTAGGCGCGATGGCCTTCTTTTCTTTCTGCAGGTGGCCTTGCGGTTTTCTCCAGTCCACAGCCGGGCTGGCGTCGGCCCAGAGAGGGGGGCTCGGCAGTCTGGTTCCCCGAGCGTCTCATGGCGGGCCCTCGCCAGATTCAAGGGGTTCCCTTGGCCAGTTTCCTTACGGCGCGGCGGAGCTGGCCCTCGTCGTCCCTGGTAGGGGGCAGCCTCACAGCCTGGACCGGCCTGTGCAATTTCCCCCATCCCTCCACGTCTACATTTTATTTTTTTCTTTTTCTTTTTTTAGGACAATGCATGATGGAAATGCAGCCACATCATAGCAGGCAGGTTCATGAAATCTGCCCTCCTCCCACCGTTTCTTGACCCCATTTTCTTATTTTTTTTTTTAACAGGTTCTCACCCAGGCTGGAGTGCAGTGATGTGGTCTCAGCTCACTGCAACCTCTGCCTCCCGGGTTCAAGCGATTCTGTTGCCTCAGCTTCCTGAGTAGCTGGGATTACAGGTGTGCGCCACCACGCCTGGCTAATTTTTGTACCTTTAGTAGTGACGAGGTTTCGCCCTGTTGGTCAGGCTGGTCTCGAACTCCTGACCTAAGGTGATCCGCCTGCCTCGGCCTCCCAAAGTGCTGGGTCTATAGGCATAAGCCACCACACCCGGCCCTTGACCCCATTTTCTGTCTTCCTAGAAATCACCAAGGTTGCAACTCCTGACTGTCCTGGCTCACAGGCTCCAGCTTACTTAAGGACCCCACGGTGGGGGCTGCCCACTTGCACACCTATGCTAGGCGCCCTCATTCCCGCAAGGGCCAGAGCCCCTTCCCGGCCCATGGCGTCTGGCCAAGGAGGTGTGGGTGCGCCCCAGCCAGGCCTGGTCCTAGAGGACGGCCCCACCTGCGCACTGGGGCATCTGGGAGAGCTATTAGTGGAAGAAGCCCAGGTTCCTGAAGCACCAAGTGGGCAAGAGTTTATTTTCAGGATGGGACGCTTTTGAGGGTGAATAAGTGCTAGCTGTATGGGATGCGGGGACAGTACACAGGCCCGGCCTGGCAGCCGGGCAATGCGGTGCCTGTTGGAAGGTCGCCCACAAGCACCTGGTTGGACACTGCCACTGAGATTTGGTTATTACAGAGGTTAGCCTATGCGGGCCTTCACTGATGGACCTTGAAGTGTTTCCCAGTTGCTTTGGGTTAGGAATAATGTGACTGGATCCCGTGGATTGTCTTTGTGCATGCATGTGGGTATATCTGTCAGAAATATTCTTAGAGGTGGAATTGGCTATGGTGGGATATGTCCTTTAAAATAATATATTAGCCAAACGTGGCTAAATTGCCCCCCTTAGACACTGTACTAATTTACACTCTGGCAAATAATGTGTAAGACTGTGGGTTTCCACACATCTTCACCAGTGGGGTCTTTCCAAACTTTTGGATCTTTCCCAATCCAATAATGACAAAACTATATCTCATGGTTTTAATTTACACTTCCTAGTATTTTGAGATCCTGTCGTGAAGTGGTGATGGCCCTGTTTCTGCCTGCTGCACTTGGCAACATGTGTTATCACTTCCTTTCTTTTCACCACTTTTTACTCTTAGAGTTTCTAGAATTTGTGAAAGTAAAATCTTTTTGCTGGCATGGGCTTTTGTGTGTATTATACACTGCTTGGAAAGGTCTTGCACCACATCTTCCCTTCGTAGATTGTTTCTCAATGTTTAATACTCAGCTCAAATGTCACCTCCTCAGACCATTTTATCTAGAATGGCCTCCTCTAGTTATTCTCTGTCACCTTTTATGTTATTTCCTTCATAGCACTCATCACACTGTAACCACCCAACAGCTTCTTCTTGCCTGTCGCCCAGATAGAGCCAATTTTTCAAGATGGGAATTGCAATAAAGAGTTCGATACACATAGAGCTGGCTAACCAGGAGAGCAGAGGCTTATTACTCCTCAAATCAGCCTCTCCTCAAATTCGGAGTCTAAGGAATTTTTTGGGGGGGGTTTGTTTTTGAGACAGTGTCTTGCTTTGTTGTCCAGGCTGGAGTGCAGTGGTGCAGTCTAGGCTTACTGCAACCTCCACCTCCTGTTCAAGCGATTCTCATGCCTCAGCCTTACAAGTAGCTGGGATTACAAGCGCACACCACCATGCCCAGCTAATTATTTGTATTTTTAGTAGAGACGGGGTTTCACCGTGTTGGCCAGGCTGGTCTCGAACTCCTGCTCTCAAGTGATTTGCCCTCCTTGGCCTCCCAAAGTGCTGGGATTGTGCCAGTCTGGAGGCTAGGGTTTTTAAAAGATAGTTTAGCAGTCAGGGGGCTAGGGAATGGTGAGTGCTGATTGGTTGGGTTAGGGATGAAATCCTGAAGAGATGAAGCTTTCGTCTTGCTCTGGGTTAGTTCCTGGGTTGGGGTCACAAGACGAGATAGCCAGTTTACCAGTCTGGGTGGCTAGTCCATCACAATGTGGGGTCTGAAAAATACCTTGAACACCAATCTTATGTTATATAATAGTAATATTATCTATTGGAGCAATTATGGAGGTTAGGAATCTTGTGGCTTCGGGCTGCATGACTCCTAAGCCATAATTTTTTTTTTTTTTTTTTTTTGAGATGAAGTCTTGCTCTTGTCCCCCAGGCTGGAGTGCAATGGTGTGATCTCGGCTCGCTGCAACCTCTGCCTCCCGGGTTCAAGCAATTATCCTGCCTCAGCCTCCTGAGTAGCTGGGATTACAGGCACCTGCCACCACGCCCGGCTAATTTTTATATTTTTAGTAGAGACAGGGTTTCACCATGTTGGCCAGGCTGGTCTTGAACTACTGACCTCAGGTGATCTGCCCACCCTGGCCTCCCAAAGTGCTGGGATTACAGGTGTGAGCCATCGCGCCCGGCCCATAAATTTTAATCTTGTGGCTAATTTGTTAGTTTCACAAAGGTGGTCTGGTCCCCAAGCAAGAAGGAGGTTTGTTTCAGGGGGGGGCTGTTATATTTGGTTTAAAGTGAAATTATAAACTAAGTTTCTCCACAGATTTGTTTGGCCTATGCCCAGGAATGTGCAAAGGCAGATTGGAGGTTAGAAGATGGAGTCGGTTAGGCCAGCTTTCTTTCACTGTTGTAATTTTCCTATGTCATATTTTTCTTATTGTCATAATTTTTGCAAAGACACAACACCCGTCATTACTTGTTTGCTGACTTGTTTATTGGTAAATTCTTTGTTCCACTACTGAAATGAAGCTCCATGAGAACAAATAAGTTGGTCTGTCCTGCTCACTGCTGCATGTCTGGCACTCTGTCTAGAACATGGTAGGTGCCTGTAGCATACATTATTGGTGCTAATGTCCCTTGCCTGCCTCTGCCGTCAGCTCTCTGATTGTTGTGGAGAGTTCCCCTGAATGCTGCCACCTCAAGCATCTCGTTGCTGTCCTCTTTAGGGCTTATCTTACGACTTTCTCCGGAAGCCTTGGGAGCAGGCGCAGCCTGGAATTCAGGGAAATTTAACATCCCCGGGGCAACTGCAGGGCAGTTTGGGTGGCCTTGGACAGACCCAGTCCCCTTTTTACCATGTAGTTCTCAGGAATAACTGCAGAATGTGCTAGGATTGCAGCATCTTGAGATAAGGGAGAACTGGCTGAACAGCCCAAGGTCAGTTCCAGTCTCCTGCTGAAAATAGGATGTCCTTCAACACTGCCCAGCAAATCACATTACCCTGGGATGTTAAACCCAGGGCAGGCTGCTCTCTGGCATTCCTCGTCTGTGGTGCAAGTGGGGCATGCCCAGTTGAGACTCCATTTGCCCTGAGCAGATTTCCTGAGCCTCAGGCAACCAGCTTGCAATGAATGCTCCTCTTGTCCCTTGCTGCCTGTCTGTAAGTAATAAATTTGCTTCATATAACTTATTGAGTATGAATGCGTTCTCTCTCACTGGACACAGACATGTTGGTAACCAATGCACAGTGAACCTCCTTCACAGCAACCCTTAATTAACTGGGGATATATACCTCAGCCTTCTGTCCCCAGAGGACCAATTCTGAGTCCTCAGTAGAAGTGAGCCTCAGTGACCCTTAGTGGTGATCAGCTCAGTAATGCCCCCTTGGGTTGGTCCTCCGATCTTTCTCGGTTCTCTCTCTCTCTCTCTCTCCTGCTTCTGGGAATCACCTCCCAGGTCAACTACCTGCATCTAAGCTCTTGACTCAAACTGCCTTTGGGTAAACTCAAATGAAGTCAACATATAAAATATTTCTTGAAGAAATGGATGGATTGATGAGGGTGCTTCTAATGTTTTCACTTGTCAGCCAGAAGCAGCTCAGCCCTGCAGGCAGAAGGTGAAGGAAGCCAATTGGCACCCGCCCTAGGAATGCAGGAGCAGATAACTGAGACATGGGCTCCAGCAGAACATGTATGCAAGTGTTCTGACAGCAGGGGGGAGTGCCTGGCCCTGCTTTTTGGGGGTGAGAATGTTTTAGAAGAGGTTGGTGAGTTACCAAGCTGCCTCAATTTACCTAACTTGAGTAATAGTGGAGGAAGCCCTCTATTGTGTGTGGCTTGCTCACATGTGTCCACCTACTCACAAAAGTCCAGGAGGACAGCTGCAAAGCTGTCTGCTCAGTGAAGGAACAGAACATGGACTGTGCAGTGTCTCTGTAGCAGAGGCTGCCAGGCCTCCTGCCTGTGTCTGTCCCACTGTGTGCTCCCGTGACTCTCCACAGCAGGGCCTTCTTTTGGCAGAGGAAGTGCCAGGAGGTAATGCTTCTGAGAGCAGTTTCAGCCCATGTCAGGTGCAAAGACCCTGGCTCCCTTTCCACTCAGGACAACTCTCCGGCATGTCTACTTGGCATTGAACACAGTGGTCCAGAGCGGTAACCCACACTGGCTTTCCTCCCTTCCCTGTCTCACTGCCCCACTCCTCTACTGGTTTTTCCTGGTGTCACCTCCTAAATAAACTACTTGCACTCAAATCATTCTTTAGAATTTGTTTTGGAAGAATTCAACCTAAGATACCATCACTCATAGGTCATTTGTTAATAATATCAAACAAAACATCTTAGCCACTGCTCTGATTTCTTCCTTTGGTTCCCTGAAATCTATAACCACAAATCACTGCTTTCTCTACCAAATATTTTTCCTGTAACTCACCAAAAAAGTCAGATCTTCCCTGCTCATGGCTAGCCTTCCATTTTCCAAAATCTACTACAAACAAGAAAAAATGTGAGGGAAACCCTACTCTTCCCCAAGAGAACTTGGCATTTATGATTCCTGCCTGCCACATGGGCCATTGTGTGGTCTCTTTTAGCTTCCCGATGGATGATCCAACAGATGTCATCTTGCACTGTAGTGATAGTCTTGTTGGGACCACATGAAGTGCAGCTGTAAAACAGGTAATACTGTTCTTGGCAATTGGTCGACTGTCCTGGTAGGGGGAGACTGGTGTGAACAGATTGTCCCATTTAGAGTAGCTGTTAATGGACTGTCTTCTCTCCATGAGGGCCTTTAGCATTTTACATTGTATAGGTTGTCGTCTACCAGATTAAGAAAATGTTCTTCTATTTCTAGTTTAAGAGTTTTAAAAAATCATTAATGAATGTTCAGTTTTATTTTGTGCATTTCCTTCATCTATACATGATATTATTATTTTTCTCCACTAATTTTCTTTTTTGTTTGAGATGGAGTTTCGCTCTGTCACCCAGGCTGGAGTGCAGTGGCATGATCTTGGCTCACTGCAACCTCCACCTCCCTGGTTCAAGCAATTCCCCTGCCTCAGCCTCCCAAGTAGCTGGGATTACAGGCACACGCTGGCATGCCCAGCTAATTCTTTTGTATTTTTAGTAGAGACGGGGTTTCACCATGTTGGCCAGACTGGTCTCGAACTCCTGACCTCAGGCAATCCACCTGCCTCAACCTTCCAAAGTGCTGGGATTACAGGCGTGAGCCACCGCGCCGGCCCACTAATTTGTTAATATGATAAGTTCTAACGTTGAATCATTCCCGCATTCCCAAATAAGCATACTTTTAAAATACATTGCTGGATTTGACTTGCTAACATTGTGTTTAGGTTCTTTGCTCCTACATTCACAAAAAGATTGGCTTCTAATGTTCTTTCTAATATAGTACTTGTTTAGAAACTATCAAGATTAAATTAGCCTTACAGAATGAGTTGGAGATTTTCTGCCTTTAAATCTTCTAAATGGGTTTAAGTTTTGAAGTTTCTATTTCTTGAATATTTGATGGAATATTTCTGTTTTCTGTGTGAAATATTTTAAACTGCTGATTCTATTTCTAATCAAGCTTTCTACTTCTTTCGCAGGCAGTTTTGGCATCTTTCTAAAGGAATCATCACATTTCACCTAAGTTTTCAGTGTTACTGGTATAACATTATTCACATCTTCTTAGCATTTGCAGCGATAGCCTCCATTTCACTCATAATAATTAATTTGTAAATTTTCCTTTTTTTCTTGGTCAGCATCTCCAGAAATGCCTAAGTTTTATTACTTCTCTTCCCCAAGAGCTAACTTTTGGCTTTGTGGAACTCCTCTGTATCTTTGTTTAATATTTTTAAATTTATTTCATCTTTATTATTTCTTTCTTTGTACTTAGAGTGTGTTGTTTTTTAAAATTTTCTAGTTTAAGCTGAACACATATTAATTTTTAGCCTATCTTCTTTTTTTAAATTAAAGACTAAAACTTTATTATTCTTATTTAAAATAAATGAAGCAAAAGAAGTTACAAGAGAACTTATGTCTAACCAAGAGGCAGGTGGGTGAGTGGGAAGGGAGGCTGTTCTCTGCTCACTGCAATGCTGCACATCATGGTGGAGAGTAGGTCATGCTGTGAGAAACAAACTCACTGGTCCAAACCCAAAGTTTGGGCTCAGAGACCCAGAGAACAGTGGAAGCGAGACTTTAATGACAATCTTGCAAGATCGGGTGTCTGATGGGCAGGCACACCCAGTACAGTTTCAAAAGCAATTTATCCCCTAGTGTGCAGGTCCCTCCCTTGGTTCCTCATAGGCTGAGTACTATGGGGTCACAGTCTTCCTGGACATTGCCTATTGGTTGTTGGGTAGGGGTTTTAGGCATTTTCTTTAGGATTGTTCTGCTGCATTTTGTTGCAGCCATAATACATTGCAATCCTAGTTAGCTCAAGGGCTCTTCAAGTACTTGACTTATGACCTAAGTATCTGGGCAGGCTGATAAGAACAGACAAAGTGAGCTATTTTGCAAGCTAGTAAACTTTCATCTTAGACTAAACTCCTTTGGTTTGGGTGAGGGCAACTAAGGCAGTGGGGTAGGGTGGAGGGTGGGGAGGCGACAAGCAGGCATTGGCTATCCAAGCAGGGGCCTAGTGTATCCTGTTTCTTCTGTAGTTTGCTGACCTAAACCAATTCAAGGCACTTTGTCTTGGAAATGGACCACTGTATATATTATTTCCTTCATGCTCAGTACAGATAGCTCTCTCAGGGTTATTGTTAACATTCAAGGGGTGATAAAACAAATGCTTCCTGCAGCCAATTCCATTATCTAAGAATCCAAGTCAAATTTTGTTTTGTTTTGTTGAGAAAGGGCATTGCAAAGGTTCAAAAAAATGAAGTCCAAATAGCACTGTATCATCAAGCATTTGCCTTTTTAAAGAATGTATGTATATTTTACAGCCCAGCACCTCACGCTCAGGAAGGGTGTTTCTGAAGACTGATAAAGCCCCTTCAGTGAATGGCGCCAGGGCACAGCTGTCCACGACAAAGTGAGGGTTAGTAACTGCAGCGAGGAAGCCACATCAGAGGCCTCCTGCCTTCAGCATGGGATAGACAGGATTGCGGAGAAGGGAGGAGTTCAGGTGAAGTTTAAAATGAAGCCGTTTCTGACAGGCTGAAAGCAGGGCTGTGGGTCACAGGGTGACACATCACACTGGGCTGAGAGGCTGACTTGGGGGCCCGAGCTCAAGACAAATGCACCATGTTGTATCTGGAAGCCCCTTATCTGAGGCTGTGAGCCAAGGTGAGAGCTCCAGGCTGCTTCTCTGTGTGGAGTGGCCTGCATGGCTGAGCATCTGCAGGCGACAGGATTCCAGACAGCAAGCTTTCTCAGGGCGGAGAAGTGGAGTACGAGATTTCTCAGCACAGAGGCTGAGGGAGCTGCCTCAGGCTGGCTATCTTTGTTCCTTAGCCCTGCTCTCCTATTACCTGGGGCCTGCCCCTCCTCCCACCTATCTCCTGGCTCCCAGTCTCCCAGGCTCCAGAATGCTTGGGCCAAGGTAGCTAGGTAACCAGAAGACACTCACCCTTGGTGCACTGGAAACAGTAACACCAGAGTGTCCTCCACATGACCCCAGAACTATGACAAGGTCCCCCTCAAAAACCATCCCTACTAGGGAGCCCCAAGCCAGGCTGCCCAGTGGGAGCTATGTGCTGCTGTCTTACTCGAAGTCAACTTTCAGCCTATCTTATAAGAAATGCAGTTAGAGCTTTGCATTTCCTATAAGCACCCTTGTAGCTCTGTCCCACACATTTGGCTGTATTGTATTTTTGTAATTGTCAGTTTGGAACATTTTCTAAAGTCCACTATTACAGTGTTTCTCTGTCCATGTGTTATTTAGAAATATTTTTGCTCTCTCCATTCCAAGATGGCCAGATAAGAATAGCTCCAGTCTGCAGCTCCCAGCATGATCCACGCAGAAGATGGGTGATTTCTGCATTTCCAACTGAGGTACCTGGTTCTTCTCATTGGGACTGGTTGGACAGTGGGTGCAGCCCACAGAGGGCGAGCCAAAGCAGGGTGGGGCATTGCCTCACCTGGGAACAACAAGGGGTTGGGGGATTTCCCTTTCCTAGCCAAAGGAAGCCGTGACAGACTGTACCTGGAAAAACGGGACACTCTCCCCCAAATACTGTGCTTTTCCAAAGGTCTTAGCAAATGGCACACCAGGAGATTATATCCCGCACATGGCTCGGTGGATCCCACGCCTATGGAGTCTTGCTCACTGCTAGTGCAGCAGTCTGAGATCAACCTGTGAGGCAGCAGCCTAGCAGGGGAAGGGGCGTCTGCCATTGCTGCAGCTTGAGTAGGTAAACAAAGCGGCTGGGGAAGCTTGAACTGGGCAGAGCCCACTGCAGCTCAGCAAGGCCTGCTGCCTTTGTAGTCTCTACTGCTGGGGGCAGGGCATAGCAGAACAAAAGGCAGCAGAAACTTCTGCAGACTTAAACATCCCTGTCTGACAGCTCTGAAGAGAGCAGTGGTTCTCCCAGCATGGTGTTTGAGCTCTGAGAATGAACAGACTGACTCCTCAAGTGGGTCTCTCACCCCCGTGTAGCCTGACTGGGAGACATCTCCCAGTAGGGGCCAACTGACATCTCATACAGGTGGGTGCCCCTCTGGGATGAAGCTTCCAGAGGAAGGATCAGGCAGCAATATTTACTGTTCTGCAATATTTGCTGTTTTGCAGCCTCCGCTGGTGATACCCAGGCAAACAGGGTCTGGCATGGACCTTCAGCAAACTCCAACCGACCTGCAGCTGAGGGACCTGTTAGAAGGAAAACTAACAAACAGAAAGGAATAGCATCAACATCAACAGAAAGGACATCCACACCAAAACCCCATCTGTAGGTCACTAACATCAAAGACCAAAGAGAGATAAAACCACAAAGGTGGGGAGAAACCAGAGCAGAAAAGCTGAAAATTCTAAAAACCAGAGCACCTCTTCTCCTTCAAAGGATCGCAGCTCCTCACCAGCAATGGAACAAAGCTGGATGGAGAATGATTTTGATGAGCTGAAGGCTTCAGAAGGTTGGTAATAACAAACTTCTCTGAGCTAAAGGAGGAGGATGTTTGAAACCATTACAAGGAAGCTAAACACCTTGAAAAAAGATTAGACGAAGGGCTAACTAGAATAAGCAGTGTAGAGAAGACCTTAAATGACGTGATGGAGCTGAAAACCATGGCATGAGAACTATGTGTTGCATGCACAAGTTTCAATAGCCAATTCGATCAAGTGGAACAAAGGGTATCAGTGATTGATGATCAAATTAATGAAATAAAGGGTGAAGAGAAGTTTAGAGAAAAAAGAGTAAAAAGAAATGAACAAAGCCTCCAAGAAATACAAGACTACGTGAAAAGACCAAATCTACATTTGATTGGTATACCTGAAAGTGATGGGGAGAATGGAACCAAGTTGGAAAACACTCTTCAGGATATTATCCAGGAGAACTTCCCCAACCTAGCAAGGCAGGTCAACATTCAAATTCAGGAAATACAGAGAACACCACAAAGATACTCCTTGAGAAGAGCAGCCTCAAGACACATAATCATCAGATTCACCAAGGTTGAAATGAAGGAAAAAATGTTAAGGCCAGCCAGAGAGAAAGGTCGGGTTACCCACAAAGGGAAGCCCATCAGATTAACAGGAGATCTCTCAGCAGAAACTCTACAAGCCAGAAGAGAGTGGGGGCCGATATTTAACATTCTTAAAGAAAAGAATTTTCAACCCAGAATCACATATCCAGCCAAACTAAGTTTCATAAGTGAAGGAGAAATAAAATCCTTTACAGACAAGCAAATGCTGAGAGATTTTGTCACCACCAGGCCTACCTTACAAGAGCTCCTGAAAGAAGCACTAAACATGGAAAGGAACAACCAGTACCAGCCACTGCAAAATCATGCCAAATTGTAAAGACCATCGATGCTAGGAAGAAACTATATCAACTAACGGGCAAAATAACCAGTTAACATCATAATGACAGGATCAAATTCACATATAATAATATTAACCTTAAAAGTAAATGGGCTAAATGCGCGAATTAAAAGACACAGACTGGCAAATTGGATAAAGAGTCAAGACCCATTAGTGTGCTGTATTCAGGAGACCCATCTCATGTGCAGAGACACACATAGGCTCAAAATAAAGGGATGGAGGGAGATCTACCAAGCAAATTGAAAGCAAAAAAAAAAAGCAGGGGTTGTAATCCTAGTCTCTGATGAAACAGACTTTAAACCAACAAAAGATCAAAAGAGACAAGGAAGGCCATTACGTAATGGTAAAGAGATCAATGCAACAAGAAGAGCTAACTATCCTAAATATATATGCAACAATACAGGAGCACCCAGATTCATACAGCAAGTCCTTAGAGACCTACAAAGAGACTTGGACTCCCACACAATAATAATGGGAGACTTTAACACCCACTGTCAATATTAGACAGATTAACAAGACAGAAGGTTAACAAGGATATCCAGGACTTGAACTCAGCTCTGCACCAAGCAGACCTAATAGACATCTACAGAACTCTCCACCCCAAATCAACAGAATATACATTCTTCTCAACACCACATAGCACTTATTCCAAAATTGACCACACAGTTGGAAGTAAAGCACTCCTCAGCAAATGTAAAAGAAAAGAAATCAGAACAAACTGTCTATCAGACCACAGTGCAATCAAATTAGAACTCAGGATTAAGAAACTTACTCAAAACCGCACAACTACATGGAAACTGAACAACCTGCTCCTGAGTGACTACTGGGTAAATAAAGAAATGAAGGCAGAAATAAAGATGTTCTTTGAAACCAATGAGAACAAAGACACAACATACCAGAATCTCCAGGACACATTTAAAGCAATGTGTAGAGGGAAATTTATAGCACTAAATGCCCACAAGAGAAAGCAGGAAAGAACTAAAATCAACACCTTAACATCACAATTAAAAGAACTAGAGAAGCAAGAGCAAACAAATTCAAAAGCTAGCAGAAAGCAAGAAATAACTAAGATCAGAGCAGAACTGAAGGAGATAGAGACACAAAAAACCCTTCAAAAAATCAATGAATCCAGGAGCGGGTTTTTTGAAAAGATCAACAAAACTGATAGATCACTAGCAAGATTAACAAAGAAGAAAAGAGAGAAGAATCAAATAGACGCAATAAAAAGTGATAAAGGGGATATTACTACTGATCCCACAGAAATACAAACTATCATCAGAGAATACTATAAACACCTCTATGCAAATAAACTAGAAAATCTAGAAGAAATGGATAAATTCCTGGATACATACACCATCCCAAGACTAAACCAGGAAGAAGTTGAATCTCTGAGTAGACCAATAACAGGCTGTGAAATTGAGGCACTAATTAATAGCCTACCAACCAAAAAAAGTCCAGGAACAGATGGATTCAAGGCTGAATTCTAACAGAGGGACAAAGAGGAGCTGCTACCCTTCCTTTTGAAACTATTCCAATCAATAGAAAAAGAGGGAATCCTCCGTAACTCATTTTATGAGGCCAGCATCATCCTGATACCAAAGCCTGGCAGAGACACAACAAAAAACAGAGAATTTTAGACCAATATCCCTGATGAATGTAGATGTGAAAATCATCAATAAAATACTGGCAAACCAAATCCAGCAGCACATCAAAAAGCTTATCCTCCATGATAAAGTCAGCTTCATACCTGGAATGCAAGGCTGGTTCAACATATGCAAATCAATAAACATAATCCATCACATAAATAGAACCAATGACAAAAACCACGTGATTATCTCAATAGGTGCAGAAAAGGCCTTCAACAAAATTCAACAGTGCTTCATGCCAAAAACTCTCAGTAAACTAGGTATTGATGGAGCGTATCTCAAAATAATAAGAGCTATTTTTGACAAACCCACAGCCAATATCATACTGAGTGGGCAAAAACTGGAAGCATTCCCTTTGAAAACTGGCACAAGACAGGGATGCCCTCTCTCACCACTCCTATTCAACATAGTGTTGGAAGTTCTGGCCAGGGCAATCAGGCAAGAGAAAGAAATAAAGGGTATTCAGTGAGGAAAAGAGGAAGTCAAATTGTCCCTGTTTGCAGATGACATGATGGTATATTTAGAAAACCCCATTGTCTCAGCCCAAAATCTCCTTAAGCTCATAAGCAACTTCAGCAAAGTCTCAGGATACAAAATCAATGTGCAAAAATCACAAGCATTCCTATACACCAATAAACAGACAAACAGAGAGCCAAATCATGAGTGAAGTCCCATTGACAGTTACTACAAAGAGAATAAAAAACCTAGGAATCCAACTTATAAGGGATATGAAGGACCTCTTCAAGGAGAACTACAAACCACTGCTCAAAGAAATAAAAGAGGACAAATGGAAGAACTTTCCATGCTCATGGATAGAAATAATCAATATAATGAAAATGGCTATACTGCCCAAGGTAATTTATAGATTCAATGCCATCCCCATCAAGCTACCAATGACTTTCTTCACAGAATTGGAAAAAACTAAAGTTCATATGGAACCAAAAAAGAGCCTGCATAGCCAAGAGAATACTAAGCAAAAAGAACAAAGCTGGAGGCATCACACTACCTGACTTCAAACTATACTACAGGGCTACAGTAACCAAAACAGCATGGTACTGGTACCAAAACAGAGATATAGATCAATGGAACAGAACAGAGGCCTCAGAAATAACACCACACATCTACAGCCATATGATCTTTGACAAACCTGACAAAAACAAGAAATGGGGAAAAGATTCTCTATTTAATAAATGGTGCTGGGAAAACTGGCTAGCCATATGTAGAAAGCTGAAACTGGGTCCCTTCCTTACACCTTATACAAAAAATTAATTCAAGATGGATTAAAGACTTAAATGTTAGACCTAAAACCATAAAAACCCTAGAAGAAAACCTAGGCAATACCATTCAGGACATAGGCATGGGCAAGGACTTCATGACTAAAACACCAAAAGCAATGACAACAAAAGCCAAAATTGACAAATGGGATCTAATTAAACTAAAGAGCTTCTGCACAGCAAAAGAAACTATTATCAGAGTGAACAGGCAACCTACAAAATGGGAGAAAATTTTTGTAATCTACCCATCTGACATATGGCTAATATCCAGAATCTACAAATAACTTAAACAAATTTACAAGAATAAAAACAAACTTATCAAAAAGTGGGCAAAGGATATGAACAGACACTTCTCAAAAGAAGACATTTATGCAACCAACAGACACATGAAAAAATGCTCATCATCACTGGTCATCAGAGAAATGCAAATCAAAACCACAATGAGATAACATCTCACACCTGTTAGAATGGCGATCATTAAAAAGTCAGGAAACAACAGATGCTGGAGAGGATGTGGAGAACTAGGAACACTTACACTGTTGGTAGGAGTGTAAGCTAGTTCAACCATTGTGGAAGACAGTGTGGCAATTCCTCAAGGATCTAGAACTAGAAATACCATTTGACTCAGCGATCCCATTACTGGGTATATACCCAAAGGATTATAAATCATGCTACTATAAAGACACATGCACACTTATGTTTATTGAGGCACTATTCACAATAGCAAAGACTTGGATCTAACCCAAATGTCCATCAATGATAGACTGGATTAAGAAAATGTGGCACATGTACACCATGGAATACTACGCAGCCATAAAAAATGATGAGTTCATGTCCTTTGCAGGCACATGGATGAAGCTGGAAACCATCATTCTGAGCAAACTATTGCAAGCACAGAAAACCAAACACCGCATGTTCTCACTCATAGGTGGGAAGTGAACAATGAGAACACTTGGATACAGGGTGGGGAACATCACACACTGGGACCTGTTGTGGGGAAGGGGGCAGGGAGAGGGATAGCATTAGGAGAAATACCTAATATAAATGACAAGTTAATGGGTGCAGCAAACCAACATGACACATGTATACCTATGTAACAAACCTGCACGTTGTGCACATGTACCCTAGAACTTAACGTATTAAAAAAACTTGCTATATCATAGTTTTATGTATTTTTGAGGTACATGTGATATTTTGATACATATGTACAATGTGTAATGATCAGATCAGGGTAACTAGGATATACATCACCTCAAACATTTAAGGACAGTTTTTGAAGAGAGAGTATGTCACAGTACGAGTTAGGAAGCACCTGTGCCATGGTCGTGTCCCCTTTCTCATAAGTAATTATTCACAGCTTCTTTCCTTCTATTCTGTTTACTCTAGTAACTGGGGTACTTCTTAGTGTGAGTACAAAGGGAGGTGGAGGTCAGGACCAACATGTACATACAGGTATGTCCTCAGTGTCTGCGTCTCAGGTAGCACTTTTCCAAAATGACATTCAAATAATTGTGAGGTTAAAATTCTATAATTTTTTTTTTGTTTCTTGGATTTTAAATCCTACATTTGGCCTACTATGAAGTTCATGACCATAAATGGAACTTGTATGTCCTAGAGATTAGCAAGTTAGTGGTTTCTTTAAGTCAAAAAAATAACCAGTATTTTTTTAGATTGCTAATAAACTTTAAAAAAAGATTAAAAAAGAAACATTTTTAAATTTTTGAATTAATTTCTAAATTTACCTTTTAATCAGTGAATTCTCACTTGATTGAGCTGTGGGCCAGGGAGTGTCATCTCTGATATCCACTCTGTGGAGGTTGTTGACATGAGCTTTGTATCCCTCTTTGTAACTTTTTGCAAGTTTTCCATGGTACTGGAGAAGAATGTGTGTGCTGCACCTGCTGGGTGAATAAAATGTCCCTTATATGCTGCTTGTGAAGTGTCATATTAATTAGGATAAGGCTGAAGTGCCCAAATAAAGAGGCCCAATGCAGGTCTGAAGCCCATGCATGCGATTGCTCCCCACGGCACTGACTCACGGCAGCAGGGCTGGGTGGGTGCCGCTCCACGTGGCCGGCCAGCCTAAGACCCAGGCCGTGGGCTCGGCCACCTTCACCATGCGGTGTCCCGGGCAGTCCTCTGAGCATCTCTGCTCCAGGAGGGTGGGAGCGTGTCTTCCTCACTGTTTTTCCTCCAAACAGTGCCCCCCTCACAGGAAGCATTCAGTAAGTATTTGTTAAGAACACTAATCAATGAATGAAGAAAAGATGGCCCCTTAGTCATCATAGCGTCAACATTTAATAAATGTTTTTTTAAGTTAAAAATTTTTTTCAATTAGCAGGACATTGTATGCCTCAAAATTTAAAAGATACAAAATAACGTCATCACCATCGTCATCACCATGATTTTGGTAGATTTCTCAGCCTGCCAGTTCCCTTTCCTGGAGGCATCTGCTGTTAACAGCTTATTTGTGTTCTCCAGATATACTTCATAAATGCACAAGCATACGTGCATATGTGCAGACTGGTTTCCAAAATGTTTTCCTATCACAATAAAATGTTTCAACTTCAACCTTGTTTATACAATTTCTGAATCCACGTGGAGAATGTATTTGGTGTCATTTGTTGAGAGGACATTAGGCGGCAGTATAGTATCACAAGGAGGAGGCTGGGGCTGTCTACACATTTTTTTTTTGGCCTGGCACCATGGCTCACGCCTGTAATCCCAGAAGTTTGGGAGGTCAAGGAGGAGGTTCACATGAGCCTAGGATTTCAAGACCGGCTGGGCAACATAGCAAGACCTCTAGCTACTGGAGAGGCTGAGGCTGGAGAAGCTGCAATGAGCTGTGATTGCACCACTGCACTCCAAAGGAAGAGAGAGGTGTTGTGTGGCTATTACATATCTTGCCATATATTTCCAAGTTTTTCTATTACAAATGATGACTCAATGCCTTGAGTCATAAGTCATAATGCTTTGAGCCTGAGGCAGGAGGGTGCTGGAGTGTTTATACACTGGGTCCTGTCAGTTATTGTTGAGTGCTATTCCCTCTGCATATCTGACCTGCTGCACACTCAAGTTCTTGAAAGAGCCTTCGGGCCCAGAGATGAGATACAGGCAGTTGGAGCTGACTGGAGTTGGTGCTGGAAAGCTAGGGTCTGAGGGCCACTGGGGGAGGGTCACTGACACCCTAACTCATGGAATCTTAGAGTTTTGGAGCAGAAAGGGAGCTCAGAGCATACTAGTCTACTCCCTCCCTTCTCTCATGGAGCTGGGATGTGTTTCCCTGAGCACTGCATTCCCATCGTGAAGAGGAGGCTCAGACAGGAAAACATTTTGCAGCTCGCATTTTCCTCACAAGTTCTGTCAAAAGTGAGAGACTGTGCCTTGACATAGTGCATTTTTAAGGTAAGTTTGGAAGCCTCTCACTTATGAATTAAATACAGAAAAGTCATTATTATATATATATATATTTTTTTTTTTTCTTTTTTCTTTTTTTTTCTTTTCCCTCAGAGATCGGGTCTTGCTCTGTTGCCCAGGTTGGAGTGTAATGGTGCCATCATGGCTGAATGCCTTGAACATATCTTGTCTTCTCACCTTTTCAGGCAAGCCCACACTCATCTCAAAGAAAATGCATTGAAGGTCACGTTAAACAGGGTCTTTCTGCTCTTACTACTTCTCCGTGTCATTTGTCTTTTTTCCACACACATTCCTTTTCCTCCTCTGCATTCCTGCGGTTGTTCTCATTTCACCAGTTGGCACAGAGCACCCCATCCTGTCCTTATCTGTGGGGAGCCCTCCAGCCACTCCTGCTGGAATGGGCACATTCTACAAAGGCCTGGGTCTGGGCCTCAGGTCCCTTTGCTTCCCTGTGCTTGGCACAGTGACTGGCAAATCCAGATCTCATTCAGTGTTGGATAAACAAACTTGCCTGCCAATATTTTAGACCTCCTAGGTGTTACAAATATGCAATGGCCCCAGGAATCAAGCATCTGTCTGCTGAGCAGTTAAGCAACAAGACTATCTATAATCATAGACTGTGTGGGGCAGACAGCAATTGCTCCAGAGTTTAATAACTACAGTTATTAACTGGGCCTGGCCCTCTCCCTCTGGAGAGTCCGTCTTCTTCCTAGGCTCCTACACTCCCCTACACAGCCACAGTCCCCTCATCAAAACCAGAAATTTAGCACTGACACAACACAGCCATCCAATCGATGCATCCAAAGTTTCACTGACTGTACCAGTCCTGTCTTTCAGAGCAAAAACAAAACAGAACCAAAAATTTCTTTCCTTTTCCCCCATCCTTTCTGCCCCAGGACTGCCTTCTGGATCCCACGCTGCATTTAGTTGTCTACAACGTGGAAGAGTTCCTCGGGTTTTCTGTATATGTCACGGCCTTGCCATTTTTGAAGAGTACGAGCCAGTTACTTTGTAGAATTCCTCTCAGTTTGAGTCTGTTTGATGTTTATTCATGATTAAATTCAGATTATACATTTTCGGTGGTAATGCCACAGAAGTAATGCATCTTGTCAGGAGGCCTGTGATGTCAATATGTCTCCTTGTTGGTGATGTTAACTTTGATCACTTAGTTAAGACAGTGTCTGCCAGGTTTCTTGACTTTGGTAACTGCACTATTTAAATCAATTCCTGAGATAATTATTATTATCTTCATTTTACAGATGAGAAGACTGAGGCACAAAAGACTTGCCAGGGCTGGACACGGTGTCTCATGCCTGTAATTCCAGCACTTTGGGAGGCCGAGGCAAGCAGATCGCCTGAGCTCAGGAGTTTGATACTAGTCTGGACAACACGGTGAAACCCTTTCTCTACCAAAAATATAAAAAATTAGCTAGGTGTGGTGGTGCTACGTGGGAGGCTGAGGTCCCTGCTACTTGGGAGGCTGAGGTGGGAGGATTGCTTAAGCCTTGGAAGTCGAGGCTGCAGTGAGCCGAGATCGCACAACTATACTTTAGCCTGGGTGACAAAGTGAGACCGTCTCAAAAAAAAAAAAAAAAAAAAAAAAAGACTTGCTGAAAGTCATACTCACAAGCCAGGATCCTAACCCAGTGGGCCTGGTTCCAGGCAAGTACTCCTAGTGACCGCATAGGAGGGAGAGTGCTGTGGCTGGGCCTGGAGGAGGTTGGCTTTGAAAGAGGGTTAACAGTGGGTAGGCAGAAATGTCAATGCGGAGCTGCTAAGCCTGGAGTTCCTCTGTCATGTCTGCTTGGGCATGGTGTACCCTGGACCCTGGCATTCCCACAGGGGTGACTTCTGCTGAGGATGGGTGTGAGATGTGGCTGGTGCTGACCTGGGCCTGGCCCTCTCCCTCTGGAGAGCCAGGGCTGGGTTGGCTTGAGGTTACTACAGCTCCGAGGTCCCATTTTGTGTCAAAGTTCCTTGTAACTTTTGAAAGGTCATGATGTGCCCCCAATTTTGAGCTTTGCCACACCTTAGATCATGAACAAAAAGGGATGATCTGTATTTCGGAATGTCATGTAATAAGAGCTGACCCTTGAGCCTCCGACTGGAGTCCCCTGCTCTTCCTGCACTGCTGACCCCACAGTTTGCCCAGACAGGGGCTGCCCTTGGCTGTGCCCTCCTCTTCCTGGCTTCACACAACTCTGCTCCTGCTTTCTGCTCAGTCACATTTCCTCTGCTTCACATAAACACTTCTGGATTCACACTGCCTTGGTTTGGATGTGGAGCCTGAGGCAGGAGGGAGCTGGGGTATTTATACACGGGGTCCTGTCAGTCATTGTTGAGTGTGAATCCCTCTGCATGTCTGACCTGCTGCATTTGCAGGTTCTGGCACAGAGATGAGATGCTGGTGGTTGGAGCTGATTGAAGTTGGTGCTGGAAAACTAGGGTCCGAAGGCCGTAGGGCAAAGAGTCACTGACATCCTAGCTCATGGAATCTTAAAGTTTTGGAGCAGAAAGGGAGCTCAGAGCTATTCTATCCTACTCCCTCCCTTCTCCCATCGGCCAGGATGTGCTTTGCTGAGCACTGCATTCCCATCATGAAGAGGAGGCTCAGACAGGAGAACATCCCGCAGCCCCCATTTTCCCTCCAAATCTGTCAAGAGGGAGAGACCCTGACATAAGTGCATTTTATTAGGTAAGTTTGGAAGCCTCTTGTTTATGAATTAAATGCAGAAAAGTTATTATTATAATTGATAGATCTTTTTGTTTGTTTGTTTTGTTTGTTTTGAGATAGGGTTTTCTCTGTCACCCAGGCTGGAGTATAGTGGTGGAATCACAGCTCACTGCAACCTTGAACTCCTGGGCTCAAGGAATCCTCTCACCTCAGCCTCCCAAGTATTAATAGATAGGACCACAGGCACATGCCACTATGCCTGGCTAATTTTTTTCATTTTTTGTAGATAGGGGTCTTGCTATGTTGCCCAGGCTGCTCTTGAACTCCTGGACTCAAGCAATCCTCCTGCCTCAGTCTCCCAAAGTGATTATAGGTGTGAGCTGCCATGCCCGGCCAATATATCTTAACTATTTACTCATACTCCATTATGACCCCAAATAATATGTTTTAAAAAATACTTCAAATTCAGGAAGAAGGTGACTCTCCTCATATGTAATAAATATCAGCATGTACACACACACACACACACACACACACTAACATGTGAATAACACGGCTCTTTCAGTAGGATATGTACTTAAATGTGCTCTGCTTCATGTTCTACCACTGTGCTTTAGCAGCTCTTTGATGGTGAGATGAAGCTCAATTTCTCTGAGCTTTACTTTTATCATGTGCAAAATGGGGATTAAAAACAATATCTACCCCATGAGTAGCAAAGAGTAAACAGTGAATGCTAGATGGTAGTTTAGGAGAAGGAAGTAGGCTTGTTGTACTAGTCAGCCATTGCCAAAACAGTGCTATACCAGCCCCAACTCATTGCCCCCTGGAGGTGCACTTCTGGAATGGTGGCATGAAGGGCTCTGTAGACCCTCTCCCAAGCAAAACAACCATCATTGGTGAAAATTATTGAAAAGAAACAGCCACATAAAATCTCTGGAAATTCTCCTAAGGGCATACTGCAAATGGAAAAGCATTTATTCAAGACTATTACTAAATATTGGTAAGAATGGTGGGGTATGTGGCACTGATCCATGATCTCCTTCCTTTCCCTCCTTGAAGTTTGACTCCAGGTGGATGTGGTCAACGAGATGGACTCCCTCCCTACCTGAGCTCCTGACTTTGGGCTATGGATTCACCATAGTAGATGGCATCTCACATCTCTCCCCAGCTCCATGTTGCAGAAGCTCTATTACAGACAAGTGTGGCCAAGAGATCCATGGCTCTTTTCCTACACATATGAGCACCACTGGAGTGCAGTGGATTAAACCTGACAGGGCCCATCTGGGGGCAAGTTTGAGCCTTGCCAGTTTGATATTGGGTGCTAAGTGGAGTGGCAAATCTGGTGTACTTTGTGCTATAAATTTGTCTTTCTGTATTGTCCTGTCATAAAGAGGAGTAACTTAGGATTGAACACAGGCTTAGGACCCCATAAGACTGCTGTACAAGCCAGCCCAGCAAACTGGTCAGTTACAAACCTTGATGCAGGTCTCTGAAAAAAAAAATACTGGATGAAGTTTCCCTCTCATCTTGTTTCATGTCCTTGGGAGCTTGACCTTGTAACCACGTGGCAGTATTTTCTCTTGCTCTCCACCATCCAGAGAACAGGAATTTTGGAATTCATGTCATAGTTGGCTCTAAAAATTATCCTAAGCAGTTAAAAGTCATTGCAAGCTCAAAACTGGCTACTCTAGGCCCCTTCTGGGAATAGCAGTGGAAACTGCCCAATGCTGAATCTTTGTGGCTAAGGCTTTGTGTGTTTCCAATGGCAGCCTGGGTTCAGGGTTCAATTCCTGGCTTAGGGAATGAGTCACTCCTTGTTTGATATCTACATGACCTTTACCATTTGTTGATTCTCCTCCCCTCCATGAACCATCTTGAATTTTCCTTTCTCTGAGCACCTGGGAGGTTATGTTTGGTAAAGTTCAAAAGCCAGAAATACTGGTGATTTGGCATGACTAATGTTGGGTAATAAGAGGTTTAAAAGGATTTCTAAAGAGAGCACTGTGGTTAAAAGTCAGCTTAATTAAAACCACATATTAAAGCTCTAACAGCCTGGAACTCCTTGAGAAAAATAGGAGGTGCCACAGACCCTGTTTTGGGAAAAACCTCTGTTTTCCTCATGAAACCCCAGGAACTGAAAGTGGATAGATCTCTCTCAAAATCTAAAGCTCTGTTCTGTTTTGCATTGTGTTAGCCAACATTTTTGACTTCTGGGGGTACCAGATATTACTTCACATTGTGAGAGAGCTTTGGTGTGTAATGACTAGGTAGGAAATATACTTTTAGGGGTGGCTAATTGCAGTTATGGGGAGATACTCAGCTCTTTGTACGTTTGGATCAGAGGAGCATGCTCTTGGCTACCTAGAAGGTATGAAAATCTCCCCACCCCCACAGTGAGAGATAAGACTCACAGGGGGATGGGCTAATCATAGAATGTGCTGATTGTCTTTGGATTGCTTTGCAATGAAATGCATGGTAAAATCTTTGCACGTTGTTCTGTAGTGTTTCTCTTTTGGGGATCTAGGATCCAATATGAAAAATAGGACCTTTAATTTTGGGGATTTTTTTGCCTTCCAGTTGTGCCTAATTATTAGGCTGTAGAAACTGCATGCTTTCCTGGCCCTGTTCCTCCAAGGGCTCCACCCTGAAACCAGTAATCTAAATAAGAAACTGGAAAATGAAAAACCCTACAACTACTGGATCTTCTGTCTGTCTGTGTATTTATATGTGCTGTGTGTGATGTTTATATATGAAAGAGCTCTGATTAATTGGCTTAAAAATAATAAGTGCTTTAATCAAATATTTTGTCAGACAAATAAAAATTGTAATGACTTTTAGTAGGTTACTAAAGAAACAGTTTTACATGCAAAGTGAAATGTGTTTTTGGTAAGAGATTATAAGAAGGCAATGGACTGTGGGTTTTCTTGGGCCTAGTTTAGATGGCTAAAGGATTGTTTTAAGTTAGGTAGTATAAAGCTGAAAGTTTGAACAAGTTGTGGAAAGCTTGTGAAAAATTAATCTTGTAAAAAATTCTCTGTATGAACATATTGGCCAAAGTAAAAGGGTTATTATTTAGTTTTTCCATAAATTGAACACAACAGGTTTTTCTTAGAGCACTTATCTGTTCTTTCACAAAAATTTGTAATGGATTATAAAAGGTTTATGAGAATCTTACTTTATCGTCAAATATTAAAATTAGGTAGATTTATCTATAAGGTTTTATTAAGAATTGGATTTAACATAAGAGTACACTAATCTAAAGGTGAAATTTGACTTATTTGGTATAAAAGTCATACAAAAACTATTCTCAAATATGAAGTGCTGTTTGGCTTTCTTTGGGCTATATTTGTATAAATATATTATTGGTATGTGTTCCAAAATTATGGGAAACTCCTATAATTCTGATATGACTTAGTGTATGTTATTAATAGTTATAATTGTTATGTAAAATTGTTGTATGCCATAGAAGTAACCAAATTCCTTTTAAAAAAATTTATTATACTTTAAGTTCTGGGGTACATGTGCAGAATGTGCAGGTTTGTTACTTAGGTATACATGTGGCATGGTGGTTTGCTGCACCCATCAACCTGTCATCTACATTGGGTATTTCTCCTAATGCTATCCCTCCTCTAGCCCCCCACCTCCTGACAGGCCCCAGTGTGTGATGTTCCCCTCTCTGGGTCCATGGGTTCTCATTGTTCAACTCCCACTTATGAGTGAGAACATGCGGTGTTTGGTTTTCTGTTCCTGTGTTAGTTTGCTGAGAATGATGGTTTCCAGCTTAATTCCTGTCCTTGCAAAGGACATGAACTCATCCTTTTTTATAACTGCATAGTATTACATGGTGTATATGTGCCACATTTTCTTTATCCAGTCTATCTTTGATGGGCATTTGGGTTGGTTCCAAGTCTTTGTTATCATGAATAGTGCTGCAATAAACATACATGGGCACGTATCTTTATAGTAGAATGATTTATAATTTTTTGGGTGCATACCAAGTGATGGGATTGCTGGGTCAAATGATATTTCTGGTTCTAGATCCTTGAGGAATTGCCACACTGTCTTCCACAATGGTTGAGCTAATATACATTCCCACCAACAGTGTAAAAACATTCCTATTTCTCTACATCCTCTCCAGCATCTGTTGTTTCCTAACTTTTTAATGATCACCATTCTAACTGGAGTCAGATGGTATCTCATTGTGGTTTTGATTTGCATTTCTGTAATGACCAGTGATGATGAGCTTTTTTTCATGTTTGTTGGCTGCATAAATGTCTTCTTTTGAGAAGTGTCTGTTCATATCCTTTTCCCACTTTTTGATGAGGTTGTTTGTTTTTTTCTTGTCAATTTATTTAAGTTCCTTTAGATTCTGGATATTAGCCCTTTGCCAGATGGATAGATTGCAAAAATTTTCTCCCATTCTGTAGGTTGCCTGTTCATTCTGATGATAGTTTCTTTTGCTGTGCAGAAGCTCTTTAGTTTAATTAGATGCCATTTATCAATTTTGGCTTTTGTTGCTATGCTTTTTGTGTCATGAAGTCTTTGCCCATGCCTGTGCCCTGAATGGTATCACCTAGGTTTTCTTTTATGGTTTTTATGGTTTTAGGTTTTATGTTCAAGTCTTTAATTTACCTTGAGTTAATTTTTGTATATGGTATAAGGAAGGGGTCCAGTTTCAGTTTTCTGCATATGGCTAGCCAGTTTTCCCAACACCATTTATTAAATAGGGAATCCTTTCCCCATTGCTTGTTTTTGTCAGGTTTGTCAAAGATCAGATGATTGTAGATGTGTGGCATTATTTCTGAGGCCTCTGTTCTGTTCCATTGGTTTATATCTCTGTTTTGGTACCAGTACCATGCTGTTTTGGTTACTGTAGCCTTGTAGTACAGTTTGAAGTCAGGTAGCGTGATGCCTCCAGCTTTGCTCTTTTTGCTTAGGATTTTCTTGGCTATAAGGGCTCTTTTTTGGTTCCATATGAAATTTAAAGTAGTTTTTTCTAATTCTGTGAAGAAAGTCAGTGGTAGTTTGATGGGGATATCATTGAGTCTATAAATTACTTTGGACAGACAGTATGGCCATTTTCATGATATTGTTTCTTCCTATCCATGAGCGTGGAATGTTCTTCCATTCGTTTGTGTCCTCTCTTATTTCCTTGAGCAGGGGTTTGCAGTTCTCCTTGAAGAGGTCCTTCACATCCCTTGTAAGTTGTATTCCTAAGTACTTTATTCTCTTTGTAGCAATTATGAATGGGAGTTCACTCATAATTTGGCTGTCTGTTTGTCTGTTATTGTTGTATAGGAATGCTTGTGATTTTTGCACATTGATTTTGTATCCTGAGACTTTGCTGAAGTTGCTTATCAGCTTAAGGAGATTTTGGGCTGAGAAGATGGGGTTTTCTTTTCTTTCTTTCTTCCTTTTTGTTTTTTTGGAGATGGAGTCTCACTCTTGTTGCCCAGGCTGGAGTGCAATGGTGTGATCTTGGCTCACTGCAACCTCTCCCTCCCGGACTCAAGCAATTCTCCTGCCTCAGCCTCCTGAGTAGCTGGGATTACAGGCTTGTGCCACCACGCCCGGTTAATTTTTTATTTTTAGTAGAGATGAGGTTTCTCCATGTTGGTCAGGCTGGTCTCAAACTGCCGACCTCAGGTGATCTGCCCACCTTGGCCTCCCAAAGTGCTGGGATTACAGGTGTGAGCCACCGTGCCTGGCGATGATGGGGTTTTCTAAATATACAATCATGTCATCTGCAAAGAGACAATTTGACTTCCTCTCTTCCTATTTGAATACACTTTATTTTTTTCTCTTGCCTGATTGCCCTGGCCAGAACTTCCAATACTATGTTGAATAAGAGTGGTGAGAGAGGGCATCCTTGTCTTGTGCTGGTTTTCAAAGGGAATGCTTCCAGGTTTTGCCTATTCAGTATGATATTGGCTGTCATATTTATTGTCATAAATAGCTCTTATTATTTTGAGATATATTCCATCAATACCTAGTTTATTGAGAGTTTTTAGCATGAATGGGTGTTGAATTTGATTGAAGGCCCTTTCTGCATCTATTGAGATAATCAAGTGGTTTTTGTCATTGGTTCTGTTTATGTGATGGATTACATTTATTCATTTGCATATGTCAAACCAGCCTTGCATCCCAGGGATGAAGCTGACTTCATCATGGTGGATAAGCTTTTTGGTGTGCTGCTGGATTTGGTTTGCCAGTGTTTTATTGAGGATTTTTGCATTGATGTTCATCAGGGATATTGGCCTGAAATTTTCCTTTTTTGGGTCTCTGCCAGGTTTTGGTATCAGGCTGATGCTGGCCTCATAAAATGAGTTAGGGAGGAGTTCCTCTTTTTCTATTATTTGGAATAGTTTCAGAAGGAATGGTATACCAGCTCCTCTTTGTACCTCTGGTAGAATTTGGCTGGGAATCCGTCTGGTCCTGGACTTTTTTTCGTTGGTAGGATATTAATTACTGCCTCAATTTCAGAACTTGTTATTGGTCTATTCAGGGATTTGACTTCTTCCTGGTTTACTCTTGGGAGGGTGTATGTCTCCAGGAATTTATCCATTTCTTCTAGATTTTCTAGTTTATTTGCATAGGTGTTTATAGTATTCTCTGATGGTAGTTTGTATTTCTGTGGGATCAGTGGTGATATCCCCTTTATTATTTTTTATTGTGTCTATTTGATTCTTCTCTCTTTTCTTTTTTTATTAGTCTTGCTAGTGGTCTATCTATTTTGTTAATCTTTTCAAAAAACCAGCTTCTGGATTCATGGATTTTTTGGAGGGTTTTTTGTGTCTCTGTCTCCTTCAGTGCTGCTCTGATCTTAGTTATTTCTTGTCTTCTGCTAGCTTTTGAATTTATTTGCTCTTGCCTCTCTAGTTCTTTTAATTGTGATGTTAGGGTGTTGATTTTAGACCTTTCCTGCTTTCTCCTGTGGGCATTTAATGCTATAGATTTCCCTGTAAACACCGCTTTAGCTGTGCCAAAGATTCTGGTATGTTGTGTCTTCGTTCTCATTGGTTTCAAAGAACTTATTTATCCCTGCCTTAATTTCATTATTTACCAAGTAGTCATTCAGGAGCAGGTTGTTCAGTTTCCATGTAGTTGTATGGTTTTGAGTGAGTTTCTGAATCCTCAGTTCTAATTTGATTGCACTGTGATCTGAGAGACTGTTTGTTATGATTCCCATTCTTTTGCATTGGCTGAGGAGTGTTTTACTTCCAATTATGTGGTCGATTTTAGAATAAGTTTGATGCAGTGCTGAGAAGAATGTATATTCTCTTGATTTGGGGTGGAGAATTCTGTAGATGTCTATTAGGTCTGCTTGGTCCAGAGCTGAGTTCAAGTCCTGAATATCCTTGTTAATTTTCTGTCTCGTTGGTCTGTCTAATATTGACAGTGGGGTGTTAAGGTCTCCGACTATTAATGTGTGGGAGTCTAAGTCTCTTTGTAGGTCTTTAACAACTTGCTTTATGAATTTGAGTGCTCCTGTATTGGGTGCTTGTATGTTTAGGATAGTTAGCTCTTCCTGTTAAATTGATTCCTTTACCATTATGTAATGCCCTTTTTGTCCTTTTTGATCGTTGTTGGTTTAAAGACTGTTTTATCATAGACTAGGATTGCAACCCCTGCTTTTTTTTTTTTTTTTTTTTTGCTTTCCACTTGCTTGGTAAATAGTCCTCCATCCCTTTATTTTGAGCCTATGTGTATCTTTGCATGTGTGATGGGTCTCCTGAATACAGCACACCGATGGGTCTGGACTCTTTATCCAATTTGCCAGTCTGTGTCTTTTAACTGGGGCATTTAGCCCATTTACATTTAAGGTTAATATTGCTATGTGTGAATTTGATCCCGTCATTATGATGCTAGCTGGTTATTTTGCCCATTAGTTGATGCAGTTTCTTCATAGTGTCAATGGTCTTTACAATTTGATATGTTTTTGCAGTGGCTGGTACCGGTTTTTCCTTTCCATATTTAGTGCTTCCTTCAGGAGCTCTTGTAAGGCAGGCCTGGTGGTGGCAAAATCTTTCAGCATTTTCTTGTCTGTAAAGGATTTTATTTATCCTTCACTTGTGAAGCTTAGTTTGGCTGGATATGCAATTCTGGATTGAAAATTCTTTTCTTTAAGAATGTTGAATATTGGCCCCACTTTCTTCTGGTTTGTAAGATTTCTGCAGAGAGTTCTGCTGTTAGTCTGATGGGCTTCCCTTTGTGGGTAACTCGACCTTTCTGAATGCCCTTAACATTTTTTCCTTCATTTCAACCTTGGTGAATCTGATTATATGTCTTGGGGTTGCTCTTCTCGAGGAGTATCTTTGTGGTGTTCTCTGTATTTCCTGAATTTGAATGTTGGCCTGTCTTGCTAGGCTGGGGAAGTTCTCCTGGATAGTATCCTGAAGAGTGTTTTCCAACTTGGTTCCATTCTTCCTGTCACTATGAGGCACACCAATCAAACGTAAGTTTGGTCTTTCCACATAGTCCCATATTTCTTGGAGTCTTTGTTTGTTCCTTTTCATTCTTTTTCTCTAATCTCATTTTCACACTTTATTTCATTAAGTTGATCTTCAATGTCTGACATCCTTTCTTCCACTTGATCAGTTCAGCTATTGATACTTGTATATGCTTCACGAAGTTTTTCATGAGTTTTTCAGCTCCATCAGGTCATTTATGTTCTTCTCCAAACTGGTTATTCTAGTTAGCAATTCCTTTAACCTTTTTTCAAGGTTCTTAGCTTCTTTGCATTGGGTTAGAACACATTCCTTTAGCTCAGAGGAGTTTGTTATTACCCACCTTCTGAAGCCTACTTCTGTCAAACTCATTCTCCATCCAGTTTTGTTCCCTTGCTGGTGAGGAGTTGTGATCCTTTGGAGGTGAAGAGGCATTCTGGTTTTTGGAATTTTCAGCCTTTTTGTACTGGTTTTTCCTCACCTTCATGGCTTTATCTACCTTTGTTCTTTGATGTTGGTGACCTTTGGATGGGGTTTTTGTGTGGGCATTCTTTTTGTCGATGTTGATGCTATTCCATTCTGTTAGTTTTCCTTCTAACAGTCAGGCCCCTTTGCTGCAGGTCTGCTGGAGTTTGCTGGAGGTCCACTCCAGACCCTGTCTGGGTATCACTAGTGGAGGCTGCAGAACAGGAAAGATTGTTGGCTGTTCCTTCTTCTGGAAGCTTCATCCCAGAGGGGCACCCTCCAGATGCCAGCTGGAGCTCTCTTGTATGAGGTGTCTGTCAATCCCTGCTGGGAGGTGTCTCCCAGTCAGGAGGCATGGGGGTCAGGGACCCACTTTAGGAGGCAGTCTGCCCCTTAGCAGAGCTTGAGCACTGTGCTGGGAGATCTGCTGCTCTTTTCAGAGCTGGCAGGCAGGAAGGTTTCTCTGCTGAAGCTGAGCCCATAGCCACCCCTTCTCCCAGGTGCTCTGTCCCAGGGAGATGGAAGTTTTATCTATAAGCCCCTGACTGGGGCTACTGCCTTTCTTTCAGAGATGCCCTGCCCAGAGAGGAGGAATCTAGAGAGGCAGTCTGGCTACAGTGGCTTTGCTGAGCTCTGGTGGGCTCTGCCAAATTCAGTGGCTTTGTTTACTTCCTGGTGGCTTTGTTTACACTGTGAGGGGAAAACCACCTGCTCAGGCCTCAGTAATGGCAGACACCCCTCCCCCTACCAAGCTCGAGCATCCCAGGTGGACTTCAGACTGCTATGCTGGCAGTGAGAATTTCAAGCCAGTGGATCTTAGCTTGCTGGGCTCCATGGGGGTGGGATCCGTGGAGCTAGACCACTTGGCTCCCTGGCTTCAGCCCCTTTCCAGGGTAGTGAACATTTCTGTCTCACTGGCATTCCAGGTGCCACTGGGGTATGAAAAAAAAATCCTGCAGCTAGTTTAGTGTCTGCCCAAACAGCTGCTCAGTTTCGTGCTTGAAACCCAGGGCCCTGGTGGTATAGGCACCGAAGGGAATCTCCTGGTCTGCGCATTGCCAATACTGTGGGAAAAGCATAGTATCTGGGCCAGAATGCACCATTCCTCACATCATAGTCTCTCACAGCTTCCCTTGGCTAGGGGAGGGAGTTCCCTGACCCCTTGCGCTTCCCAGGTGAGGCGATGCCCCATCGTGCTTTGGCTTGCCTTCTGTGGGCTGCGCCCAACTGTCTAACCAGTCCCAATGAGATGAGCTGGGTACCTCAGTTGGAAATGCAGAAATCACCCACTTCCTGCATTGATCTCACTGGGAGCTACAGACTGGAGCTATTCCTATTCAGCCATCTTGACAGCCAGCAAGAAGTAACCAAATTTCTTAGTCAATTTTGGCTTTAATAGTGACTGTCCTAAGATTTTTTTGTCACTCACAGACAATTGTCTTGTTTTGATCCTCTTTAAAATGTGGTTTATAATCAGCTATAGGACTTTGACAGATGTTCCTGTATGCAGGTTTCTGATAACTTTGGAGACTGTGACATTAAAATAGGGGAAAAAAACTTTTAGAACTCTCCTGGAGAGCTGAAATGTTCATGAATATCAAACAGAACAAGAGGTAACTGCATGGACTGATCTAATAGAAAACTGAAGTAATCTTTTTGAAAATTTTTACTTGAAATGCTGAGGATCCTTTGTTTTGTTTTCCAGAGTCAAAGAAACTTTTCTTTTGAGCTATATACAGCTTTTAACAATTGAGAAAGGTATACTCCTGTGAACAAAATTTGGAGCATATTTGTTTCTCTCTACCTGACTTCTCCAGAATTTGAAAACTATTTCTGAGTATTCTTAACTTGTGGCAATATAGTTATTTGCATAAGTGCAATAATAATCTGTTTTCTTTTGTAACAGGATGCAATTGGAGAAACTACTTAATTTACCAAGGCTTTGACTGGAATGGCATGTTTTCCTTTTAAGAATCAAAATTGACTTATAGAGCCAATAAAAGCCCCTTGGAAAATTGGCCTCATACATTGTCTGCATAGTCCCTGTACAGGGTTTCCAACCTGTGGTAAGTAAAGAATGTCACTATTTTTTTTTTTGAGATGGAGTCTCACTCTGTCACCCAGCCTGGAGTGCAGTGGTGCAATATCAGCTCACTGCAACCTCTGCCTCCCAGGTTCAAGCGATTCTGCTCTTTCAGCCTCCCAAGTAGCTGGGACTACAGGTGCACACCACCATGCCCAACTAATTTTTGTATTTTTAGTAGAGATAGGGTTTCACCATATTGGCCAGGCTGGTCTCAAACTCCTGACCTCATGATGTGCCTTCCTTGGCGTCCCAAAGTGCTGGGATTACAGGCATGAGCCACCATGCCTGGCCAAGTATGTCACTTTCTAACAGGCCCAGGAGCCCCAAATTACCTTGTGACCACAAGAGAAAAGGAATTTCCCAACTTATAGGTATTTGAGGGTACAAACTCAAGGCTGCGCTTGGCTTCGTAAAAAGTCTTATCTGAGATTCATTTTATGGAACAATGTTCCATCAAAGCCAATTAAAAAAGCCTATGTGAAAATTATTCTTGCTGCACTTTACAAATAATCTGGCCAAGTATAAGACTAAAGCTTATTTTTGCAAACAAATTCATTCTACCATGATTTGTCTTTAGTAAAAATGTGAGACAGGGGAGAGAAAAATTATGTTTCAAAAACTGTGGTACACTTGTTATCAGATTCTAGTCTTATCAGTTGTTTTTGAACTGTTTTTCACCATACCGATGCTTTCTGACTCAGCTCCTCTCTACCCTGGGTATGAGATGCCCTAATAGTTAGGCAGGAATATCATTGCCCCTATTCAGCCTGAAGAAGTTAAAGAAGATAGATCTTCATCTGCTTACAGCCTTTAGGATTAAAGGTTCCCTTGTAAAAGGGAGGGGGGAAATATGCCAGAGGTGTTTGAACCAGAGCAACTCAATCTTGAATAGGGGTTGGGTAAAATAAGGCTGAGACCCATGGAGCTGCATTCCCAGGAGGTGGGGCATTCTAAGTCACAGGATGAGATAGGGGGTTGGCACAAGATACAGGTTACAAAAACTTTGCTGATAAAAGAGTGCAGTAAAGAAGCTGGCCAAAACCTACCAAAACCAAGAGGGCAATGAAAGTGACCTCTGGCTCATTATACACTAATTATAATGTGTTAGCATGCTAAGAGACATCCCACCAACACCACAACAGTTTATAAATGCCATGACAATGTCAGGAAGTTTCCCTATATGGTCTAAAAACGGGAGGAACCCTCAGTTCTGGTAATTGCCCACCCCTTTCCTCAAAAACTCATGAATAATCCATCCCTTGTTTAGCCTATAATCAGGAAATAACCATAAAAACAGCCAACCAGCAGCCTCAGGGCTGCTCTGCCTATGGAGTAGCCATTCTTATATTCCTTTACTTCCTTAATAGACTTGATTTCACTTAATAAAAAGAAATTATAGTATACACATGCAAAGGAATATTATTTAGTCCTTAAAAAGAAGGAAATCCTGCCATTTGTGACAACATAGATTGACCCAGAGGACATTATGTTAAGCAAAGTAAGCCAGGCACAGAAAGACAAATGCGGCAGGATCTCATTTATGGATGTATCTTAGTCCATTTGTGCTGCTATAACAAAATATCTGGGACTGGGTAACTTATAAGCAACAAAAATTTATTTCTTATGTTTCTGGAGGCTGGGAAGTCCAAGATCAAGACACTAGCATTGGTGTCTGATGAAGGCTGCTCCCTGCTTCCAAGATGGTGTCTTGTTGCTGCTTCCTCCAGAGGGATGCATGTGTCCTCACATGGAGGAAGATAGAAGGGTGAAAGAGCACTCCTTTTGACCTTGAGCCTTTTAATAAGGGTGCTAATCCCATCCATAAAAGTAGAGCCCTCATGACTTAATCACATCCCAAAGACCATACCTCTTAATACTACTGCACTGGGGATGGCTTCAACATAAATTTTGGAGGGGATGCCATCATTCAAACCATAGCAATGTGGACTCTAAAATAATCAAACTCAAAAGCAGAGAGTAGAATGGTGGTTTTCATGGGCTGTGGGGAGGGGGAAATGAGGAGATGATGATCAGAAGGTACGAAGCTTCAGTTATCCAGGATGAATGAGCTCTGGAGATTTGTGTGGCATGATGCCTATAGGTAACAATACTGCATTGTATACCTAAAATTTACTAAGGCAAGTTGATCTTATGGTAAGTGTTATTATCAAAACAGTGATGAAAACAAAATCCAAATACAAATAATAAAGGGGCTGGGTGCAGTGGTTCACAGCTGTAATCCCAGCACTTTGGGAGGCCAAGGTAGGTGGATCACTTGAGGTCAGGAGTTTGAGACCATCCTGGCCAACATGGTGAAACCGTGTCTCTACTAAAAATACAAAAATTAGCTGGGCATAGTGGCCTGTGCCTGTGATCCCAGCTGCTCAGGAGGCTGCTGTGGGAGGATCACTTGAGCCTGGGAGGCAGAGGTTGCAGTGAGCCATGATCGTGCCACTGCACTCCAGCGTGTGTGACAGAGCAAGACTGTCTCAATAATAATAATAATAATAATAATAATAATAATAATAATAATAAAGGGGTGGGAGAAAACTTTGGGAGGTGATGGATGTGTTTATGGCCTTGATGGTGGTGATGATTTCACAGGTACATACGTATCCCCAAACTTATCGAAATGTATACATTAAATATATACAGCTTTTTGTATGTTCATTTTACCTCAATAGAGTGGTTTTCTTTAAAAAAAGAATTAACAACAATCTGGCAGGTCCATGGGGAGGAGAGGCCCAGGTGGCTGAGGAAAGAGCGTCTGCATCCTGGAGCCCCGTCTGGGGACATGGGGGCACATGTGAGGCTGTGGCACAGAGAGCCCTGCCGAGAAGGATATGGCTCCAGCTTCATATTGAAAAAGAAGGGTCTTTTGCAACTGGCCAACAAAAGCATCACTGGAGCTGGACAAGGTGGACATTCTGACCTGAAGGATGGCTCTGGGGGACAGGAGTGCTGGCCATGGGAGCAGGAGAGGCTGCACATTTTGCTGCTTATGCTTTTGCACCTGCCATCTTGGTCACCCTCACCCCCCCGGCCCTCTGAGTGTTCTCATAAGTGCAATATTATCTTCCTATTTTTTAAACGAGCACTTGAACATTTATGGGAAAACAGGCTGCATATTGGGGTCAACTGTGATGGTTATCCATGCCCCAGAAGAAGAGGAAGTCACTTCTTTGCATGAAATGGAAATGAAATTGAGAGACCCAGGATTTATTTCCTTTGCTGTGATCATAATTGTGATCTTGGTGCTGATTTTGATTGTGGCTCCCAAGAAAGGACAGACCAATATATTGGTCTATATTTCAATCTGTTCTTTGGCTGCAGCATTTTCAATTTCTCCTGCCAAAGGCCTGGGTATTGCCATTAAGGAATTACTAGAATGGAAGCCAGTTTAGAAGCATCCCCTGGTCATTGTTTTGCTGGCTATACTTGTGTTTTTGGTGACTACACAGATTAACTATCTCAAGGCACCAGACACCGTGAATACATCTCCTGTGACTCCCATTTATTTTGCGTTCTTCACATCCATGGTAGTGACTTGCTCTGCCATCTTACTCCAAGAGTGGTATGGCATGAAAACTGGAGATATCATCGAGACCCTGAATGGATTCTTCACTATTATCCTTGGCATCTTTCTTCTACATGCTTTTAAAAATACTGACATTACCTGGAGTAAGCTGACATCCACTGCTAAGAAAGAAGTCATCTCTCTGAATGGCAATGAGAGCAGTCCTGTTTTACTAGAGAACTTGGAGTGTTCAGCCCTGGATACAATGATAACGTTACCTTGTTTAGCAGAACTGATGATTGAAGTCTCTAGAAACACTGAATTTTAACCAGTATGAGACAGTCAAAGAGGAAAATGAATGCTTGCTTCTTGGAACTAGGAAAGTTAGCATTTTTGAAGTTCTAACTAATTTAGATGTGAGGCCAAGTACGAATGCCATCTTTTTGGCCATTAAATTTGAAAATCAGATTGATTCTCCTCCAGAAGACGTCTGCTGCTTTTCATTTCTGCAAATTTTGAAGTATTCCCTAGGGATCAAAGAAGTCAAAGAGCTATGTGTGTCTCAGAATAGTCTCTTTCTTCTGGCCACAATATATTTGTCTCTGCCAGGTGGCTCTTCATTTTTTCCTTGGTGGCTATGACTTACATTCATCAATAGAAAGTTAGCAGTGTTCTGATAAGCAGAGTATCAGTCATTTTCTCTGATGAGTCATAATTTCAAATTATTGAAACTGAGAAGTGAGATCACCGGTGCTTTGTCCTCCCTTCTGCAACTTCTTTCTTCCTAAACTGGTTAGCTAATTAATTATCTTAAGGGAAAAACAAGCCTGCTGTGGAAATTTATTCCTTAATGGGCTAGAATACACAAGACATACCCACCCGTGAAGAGCTTATGAATTGTAACTTACTGACATATCGTAAGAATTTACTACCCATTAAAGAGGAAGAATGGAGGAAGAGAAAAATACTTTAGACCTCAAATAAAGGAAACTGTTTTTTTCTTTTCACAAAAACAACACACATGCTATTGTTTTCACAGGTCCCTTTAATTAACTCAGACCTGGATGACATAAAATGAAGTTTCTGAAGAAGTTCAGGTAAATTCAGCTTTGGAGTCACTTATGTTCATTTTGTTCCTTTATTTTACTATTATCCCAAAGGTTATTTTTCTTGTTGACATAGAGATTTTTTTGTAAAATAATCACTGGGTTATTTCAGGATTATACTGTACACTTCAATTGTTCTCAAGTGTTTTATCCCTAAAGGGTGAGTTTTCCATAGACTGTGTGGAAACAGCTAGAAAATTCTTTGTGAAAAATCTGAATGAATTATCTTAACGGCTGTCTTGAAATTTGGTACTTCCTCCCTTATTAAGGAAATTATGATTAGTTACTAATCTTTAAAAATAGGTATATCCTAATAGAGAGTCAACTTCCTGCAAAACAAAATATTAATGCCTCAGGGGCTACTGCAGGACAAAACCTTTTGCACATTAAAATGTCCGTAACAATTTCCTATTTCAAATGCATGGCAGCAATTCCATTTTTGGTGGTCTTTAACATAATGGACAGATTTACTATCACTTACTGATTTTATGGAAAAGGAATTGGCTATCTTATTTCTATACTAAACTTATTTTTCTTATCTTATTTCTTATCTCTTATGTCTTTTTCTTATCTTATTTCTATACTAAGCTTATTTTTCTCAAAACAAAAATTCTAACTGAAAAGTTGTCATTAAAAAAAATTTCAGGTTGACTGGATTTTTTCTGCTGTAACTTTAAATGTTATTAGGTTTTGTTTCTTGTTTCTAAGGTAGCTCAAGTCTTCCCAAGGTAATAATAGTAAATCTTATTCTTCAGAATTCTTTTAAGCTGACTTCAGCTTTTCCCCAGTTTTATTAAACTATGACCAATGTTCACAATGACAACCTGAGATGGCTGCAAGGCCCTAATGTGCCATTGTAGTCTTTCAGCACAGTGTAGTGTTGAGTACGATTCCATGCATTCTAAATTTTTGAAAATTGATGATCCATGGAAGGTCCATGGAATTATACCTCAGATCAAATATGTGTTTACTCCGTTCATTGCTGTTTCACTTTAGTTGTATATCAGACATATAAGCTATGAACACAAGTTTGTAGGAAAAGTATCTTCTGGCTGGGTGGTGGCTCACACCTGTAATCCCAACATTTTGGGAGGCCGAGGTGGGAGGATTACTAGATCCCAGGAGTAGTTTCAGACCAGCCTGGGCATTGCAAGACCCCATCACTAAAAAAGAAAGTAAGAAATATCAACTGAGTGTGGTGGTGTGCACCTGGAGTCCCAGCTATGTCAGGAGGCTGAGTTGTGAAAGTATCTTCTGAAAACATAGCATTTGAAAACTGCAGAAATTATTTAATTTTTTTTCTTTTAGTATTAAGAGCTTTATTGATTTCTCTAGGACATCTTCTTGGTGAGGAAATTAATGGCAGTTTTCTTGACATCCAACCTGAAACTGTGGTGGTTCTCTGTGAATTTAAGTTTTAGATATTTATTTGTGTCACCTGTTACAAAGATTTTGCCCTTGGTATGTTATGCTCAGGTCAAAGGTTCCTGAAACACAAGGCTCAGTGTGTACCCTGGATGGGAAAATGAACTGGTGTTGACATATATGCATGCCCAGGAGGAAGACTGGGAACGACTTAATGAGTTGGGGTATGCGGAGAAACAATGAAATATTGAAAACTGTCTATATAAAAATCACTGTTGGGCATATGCATTAAAAAACAATATGTTATTGCAAATTTAACACTAAAATTATTTTCCCAAACAGAAGATATTGTCTAAGGAAGAATAAAATGCTGAACCCCTATATTCAGACTGTTAATCTTACCTGGTAGTTTATGTATGTATTTCAATACTTTGTCATCACGTAGATATCTTAAGATTTATTATATGAATATCTGCATGTGTGTCATTAAGGATTACAAAGTAGTGCTCACACAAGAATTAACAACAATCCTTCTCAAACTCTTCCAAAAAGTAGAAGAGGAGGGAAAGCTTTCTAACTAATTCTCTGAGGCCAGCATTACCCTGATACCAAAGCCAGATACAGACATCACAAGAAAAGAAAAATATAGATCATATCCCTTGTGAGTACACATATTAGTCAGGTTGGGTTGCCATAACAAAATGCTATAGATTGGGTGGTTTAAACAACAGACATTTATTTCTCACAGTACTGGAGGCTGGAAGTCCCAGATGAAGGCCCAGTGAGGTTGTCTGGAGGGGGCTCTTTCCTGATTTGCAGATGGCCACCTTGTCACTGCGGTCCTCAGATGGCCTTAGCTCTGAGTGCATGTGACAAAAGAGAGAGGGAGAGATATTTCTCTCTTCCTCTTCTTATAAGGCCACCAATCCTGTTGAATTAGGCCTTATGAACTTAATAATCTTAATTACCTTCTAAAGACCCTATCTCTAAATCAGCCACATTAGGCGTTAGGAATTTAATCTATAAATTTTTGGGGAACACAATTCAGTCCATAGCAGTATAAATACAAAAAACTAGCAAATCTAATTCAACACCTTTAGAGGAGTACACATCATAACCAAGTGGGACTTATTCCAGGAATGCAAGGGTGGTTCAGTATATGAAAATCAATCTGTTTTATATACTACGTTAATAGAATGAAGGAAAGAAACACGATCACCTCCATCAATGCAGAAAAAGCATTTAACAAAATTGAACACCTTTTTATGATAAAAGTAATTGACAAACTAGTAGTAGGAGGAAACTTCTTCAATATCATAAAGAACATTTGGTGGGAATTGAATAATGAGAACACATGGACACAGGAAGGGGAATATCACACACCGGGGCCTGTTGTGGGGCGGGGGGAGGGGGGAAGGATAGCATTAGGAGATATACCTAATGTTCAATGATGAGTTAAGGGGTGCAGCACACCAACATGGCACATGTATACATATGTAACTAACCTGCAGGTTGTGCACATGTACCCTAAAACTTAAAGTATAAAACAAAAAAAAGAACATTTGTGCAAATCCCACAACTAACATCCCACCATCAAAGGTGAAAGACTGACATCATTCCTTATAAACTCAGAAATAAGGAATGGATACCCACTTTTGCCATTTCCATTCAATATTGCACTAGAAGTTCTAGCCAAAGAAATTAGACAAGAAAAAAAGGCATCTAAATTGGAAAGCAAGAAGTAAAATTATCTCTATTGCACATGACTTAATTTTACATATAAAAAATTTAAAGAATTCATAAAAAATCCATAAGCACTAATAAACAAGTTCAGCAAATTTGCAGGGTACAAGGTCAATACATTAAATCAGCTGCACTTCTATATACTAGCAATGAACAATCTGAGAAAGAAATTAAGAAAACAATCCTGTCCGGGTGTGGTGGCTCATGCCTGTAATCCCAGCACTTCTGGAGACTGAGGTGGGAGGATTGCTTGAGGCCAGGAGTACAAAACCAGCCTAGGCAACAGAGCAAGACCCAGTCTCTTTAAAAAAAATTGCCAGTTGTGGTGGCGTTGCTTGTAGTCCCAGTTACTCAGCAGGCTGAGGTAGGAGGATCACTTGAGCCCAGGAGTTTGAGACTACAGAGAGATAGGATCACCATTGTACTCCAGCCTGAGCAACAGAGCAAGATCCTGACTCTATTTAAAAAGTCAAAAAAGGGCCGGGCGCGGTGGCTCACGCCTGTAATCCCAGCACTTTGGGAGGCCGAGGCGGGCGGATCACGAGGTCAGGAGATCGAGACCCCGTCTCTACTAAAAATACAAAAAATTAGCCGGGCGTGGTAGCGGGCGCCTGTAGTCCCAGCTACTCGGGAGGCTGAGGCAGGAGAATGGCGTGAACCCGGGAGGCGGAGCTTGCAGTGAGCCGAGATCGCGCCACTGCACTCCAGCCTGGGCGACAGAGCGAGACTCCGTCTCAAAAAAAAAAAAAAAAAAAAAAAGTCAAAAAAGAAAACAATTCTATTTATAATAGCATAAAAAATAATAAAATACATAGGAATAAATTTAAACCAAGAGGTGCAAGATTTGTGCACTGAAAATTATAAAACATTACAGAAAGAAACTTATAAAGATCCAAATGGGAAGCCACTTTGTGTTTGTGGATTGGGAGACGTAGAGTTGTTAGAATGGCAGTGCTCCTGAAAGTGACCTACAGATGCATGGCAATGTCTTTCAAAATACCAATGGTCTTTTTTGCAGAAATGAAAAAGCTGATTCTAAAATTCATCTGGAATTATGAGACCCCAAACAGCCAAAACGATGTTGAAAAAAAAATAAAGTTTGAAGACACACACTTTCCAATTTCAAAGCTTGACTACAAAGCTACAGTAATCAAAGAATCATGGTTGTGGCATAAGGATGGACCAGTGAAATGGAACTGAGAGTCCAGAAATAAACCAATACATCTATGATCAATTAATTTTCAACAAGGGTGCCAAGTTTATTAATTGGACAAAAGTCTCTTCGACAAATAATTCTGGGGCAACTGTATATCCACATGTAAAAGAATGACTATGCTGCATACTGTATACAAAGATTAACTCAAAGTGGATCAAAGACCTAAACACAAGAGCTAAGACTGTAAAACTTTTAAGAGAAAAATGTAGGGATAAATCTTCATAACTTTGAATTTGGCAATATAATCTTAGCTATGACATAGATGACAAAAGAAAAGCTAGATAAACTGCAACCCATCAAAATTAAAAACTTTTGTGCATCAAAGAACACTTTCAAGAAGCGAAAAGAAAATCTGCAGGATGAGAGAAAATATTTGCAAATTATATATGTAAGAAGGGCTTACTTTCCAGAACATAGAAATAACTCTCAGAACTTAACCCAATTAAAAATGGTGAAAGGCCTTGAATAGACTTTTCTCCAAAGAAAACATACAAAGGTCCAACAAGGATATGAAAAGATGCTCAACATCATTAGACATCATGGAAATGAAAATCAGAACTATGAGATACCACTTCACTTTCATTAGGTTGTCTATGATTTAAAAAAAGGAGAGGAAAACAAGTGTTGGTGAGGATGTGAAGAAATTAGAACTCTCAGCTGGGTGCAGTGGCTCAAGCCTGTGATCCTGGCACTTTGGGAGGCCAATGTGGGCAGATCACTTGAAGTCAGGTGTTCGAGACCACCCTGGCCAACATAGCGAAACTCTATCTCTATTGAAAATACAAAAAAACTAGCCAGGCGTGGTGGTACAGGCCCGTAATTCCAGTTACTCGGGAGGCTGAGGCAGGAGAATCACTTGAACCTGGGAAACAGAGGTTGCAGTGAGCCGAGATCATGCCACTGCACTCCAGCCTGGGTGACAGTGAGACTCTGTCTCAAAAAAAAAAAAAAAAAAAAAAGAAAGAAATTAGAACTCTCATGCATTGCTGGTGGGAATGTAAAATGGAGCAGTTGTTCTGGAAAACAGTTTGAGAATTCCTCAAAAAGTTAAAAATAGGCCTGGTACAGTGGCTCGTTATTGTAATCACACTTTGGGAGGCCAAGGCAGTTGGATTGCTTGAGGCCAGGAGTTCAAGACCAGCCTGGGATACACAGTGAGACCCCATCTCTAAAAAAAATACGAAAATCAGCAGTGCGTGATGGTGGATGCCCATAGTCCCAGCTACTTGGGAGGCTGAGATGGGAGGATTGCTTGAGCCCAGGAGATCAAGTTTGCAGTAAGCTGAGATAATGCCACTGCACCCTAGCCTGGGTGACAGAGTAAGACCCTAACTCAGAAAAAAAAAAAAAGTTAAAAATAAAAATACCATATAGCAGTTAAACTTCTGGATATATATGCCCTACATGATTGAAGACAGATATTCTAACAAATACTTATAAATACTTATTCACAAACGTTCATAGAAGCACTATTCACAACCTGAATGTCCATCCACTGATAAATGGATAAACACAAGGCGGTAGACCCACACAGTGGAATACTACTCAGCCACAACAAGAGTGATGTTCTGACATGCCGCAACCCAGATGAACCTTGAAGACATTCTGCTAAGTGAGGGAAGTCAGACACAAAGGCCACATATTGGATGTTTCCATTTACATGGACTGTTCAAATAGGCAAATCCACAGAGATAAAAAGTAGATTCGTGGTTGCCAGAGGCTGGAAGGAGGAAGGAAGGAAGGAACAGTGGCTAAATGGCTGCTAATGGTTTTCTTTTTGAAGGAAAGAAAATATTCTAAAACAATCTAAGTGATAATTGCATAACTATGAATATGCTAAAACCATGGAATAAATTGTTAATAGGATGAATTTTATGGTATATAAATTATATCTCAGCAAAGCTGTTACAAAAATGACAAGTATCTTCTCTTCACAACAACAGTACAGTTATTAAAATTAGGAAATTAACACACCTTGATATAATACTCTTTATAATTTATGTATCTCCATTAGATTTTGCTGTTGTTCCCTTTAATGTCCTTTATAGCAAAAGAAAGTCTTTGATCATGTCTAGCAATCAGCCGTCACGTCTCATGTCCTTTAATCTGAAACAATTCCTCAGTCTTTTTTTCCCACGACCTTGACTGTTTTTGAGAGTAAATTATTTTATTAAATGGCACTTAATTTGGGGTTCATCTGATAGATTCAGATGACATGGTTTCATCAAGAATATCACCGCAGTGATGTACCTGTTCTGCGCATCCTGTGAGAAGGCGTGGGTTTGAGTTTGTCCGATCACTGATGATGCTGGAATTCATCCCTGGTTTAGAAGGCGTCTGCCAGGCCTCTCCACTGCCATGTTACTATATTTCCTTTTGAAATTGCTAAGTATCTCATTGGAGATACTTTGAGACTATGTAAATATCTTCTTACTCAACCTTCCACCCATTAATTTTCGCATCCATTGTTGATTTTTGCCTAAAAAATGGGATTTTTACATCAATCTCTAATTCTGTTTTTTTTTTTTCAGGTTGTCTTTCCAATTCAAAAGATTCAAAGAGCTCTGTGTTCTCCAACAAAGTGTACAGTGCAGCCTTTGCTTATTTTAAAGTGTCCCATGAGAACAGGCAAAGCAGCCAGGTTTAATATTCCCTGTTTGCAGAAAAGAAAAACACATCTTGCAGACTCATGGGCTTAAAGCCAGCTTGTGTTTTGTAATTTGCCCTTCACCTTCTTATACCTGGAGGGGCACACTGATGATTTGGTGATTTAAAAAATAAAAAAGGGCCGGGTGCAGTGGCTCACACCTGTAATCCCAGCACTTTGGGAGGCCGAGGCGGGTGGATCATGAGGTCAGGAGATCGAGACCATCTTGGCTAACACGGTGAAATCCTGTCTCTACTAAAAATACAAAAAATTAGCCAGGCGCGGTGGCGGGCACCTGTAGTCCCAGCTATTCGGGAGGCTGAGGCAGGAGAATGGTGTGAACCCAGTGGGTGGAGCCTACAGTGAGCCGAGATCGTGCTACTGCACCCCAGCCTGGGCGACAGAGTGAGACTCCATCTCAAAAATAAAAAAAAAAAAATAAAAAGAATAGTAAGGAGGCTCTCTGAACCTCATGGAAGATGACAGGGCCCTGGACCACTTTTACTTATTGAGGTTCCAGGTATATTAGGATATAAATATTATAGCAAAAATGAGTTATAACTATGGTGAAAAAAATGAACTGTGGTTTCCTGTGGGGCTGGACTGGGGGTGAGTTGGGGGTGGGACAGGATTGACTGGGAAGGGCCTCTGGGCTTCTGAGGGCATGAATCCTGTGCATCTTGACAGGGGTATGCATTTCCAAACTCACAGAAGGTGAGCTTTTGAGTGGATGTGACATTCTATATACGTTTTACCCCCAAATCCCCATAAACGTGGCTGGTAATGGTATGCACGCTGAGGTGTTTGGAGGCAAAGCACCCCGATGCCAGCAACTTCATGTGAAATGCACCACAAATGTGATAGACTGTGTGAAAGGAAAATGAATCTTGAGATCCCAAATTCACAATGCCAAAGAGAAGAGTGAAGCTGGAATCTGGATCATGCAAACCTGCCTCCCGTTTCGTTCCTAAATAAGACAGCAATGAAGATAAAACAAAGCGACATGCCTCCCTTACAATTTGCCCACTAGGAAATTCCTTGTGTTCCCCAAGATCTTTACCCTAAAACAGTTCTGTTGAATTTCCCCCTGGCAATGTAAATTGATGGCTTATCTTCACAGGTGTGGTACAAAGGACAGAACTCAAGTTCATTTTGCTGCTCACCGATACAAATGCATATCTGATTGCTTCCTCTGCCCTATGTCTATTTTATTTCATGTAAAAGTGTAGAATCACTGAGCTACATGAATGCATAAGTGCCTGTTTCTCCTGTTTCTCTGTCCCCCTCTCACATGTAAGGCTGATCAAAGGCTCAGAAGAATACAACCATTTGCCTCTTACCTACCCACACCTTTAAAAAATTTCCTCCTCTTTCTCCAATACCCACTCTTTTCCTTTTAAATATTGAGATCCCCAGACCCTCTTCAGGAAAGGTATGGACCACAATTTTTCCTATGGATCTGTGGTCTTTCCTGGGCATGTCCTTAACCTTGGCAAATAAACTTCCTAAAAAGATTGAGGCTGGCCTCAGTCATGTTCTTTGATTTACAATTGATAGCATTAATTGTAGAATGTTTGTGGTAGATCTATGGGGATTCATTGTAAATACTATCAATTGTATATATTTGAAATTTTAAATAAAAGAAAGCTGGGGAGAAAATGAGTTACCAAAAGTTATGGTAAATTTTAGTAGTTTGCATTTATTTTATTTATTTTTTGAGATGGGGTTTTTGCTCTTTTTGTGCAGGCTGGAATGTAAAGGCATGATCTCTGCTTACTGAAGCCTCTGCCTCCTGGGTTCAAGCGATTCTCCTGACTCAGGCATGCACCACCAGGCCCAGATAATTTTTTATATTTTTAGTAGAGATGGGGTTTCACCATGTTGGCTAGGCCCATCTCGAACTCCTGACTTCAGGTGATCCACCCGCCTCAGCCTCCCAAAGTACTGGGATTACAGGCGTGAGCCACCATGTCTGGTCTAGTTGTTTGCATTTAATGAGTAATGAATGCCTTTAATATACCAAAATACAGTGCAAAGAAGTTGTACCATTCCCAAGATAATTGTTGAGTTTATTAAAAATATTAATAGTGTCAAAGGTGTGGTTTATTCATGGGACACAAGTTTTTTTTTTTTTTTTTTTTTTTTTTTGAGACAGTCTCACTCTGTCACCCAAGCTAGAGTGCAGTGGCGCGATCTCGGCTCATTGCAACCTCCACCTCCTGGGTTCAAGCAATTCTCCTGCCTCAGCCTCCTGAGTAGCTGGGATTACAGATGTCTGCCACCACGCCTGGCTAATTTTTGTATTTTTAGTAGAGGCAGGGATTTCACCATGTTGGCCAGGCTGGTCTTGAACTCCTGACCTCAGGTGATGCACCCACCTCGGCCTCCCAAAGTGCTGGGATTACAGGTGTGAGCCACCGCACCCAGCTAAGACACAAGTTTAAAGTTGTATAAAGGACTTTAACATTTTAAAATTCTGACAGTGTAACTCAGAATTGCACTGTTTTATACCAGCAGAGACTTTTATACAAACTTTGGAGATCTCTCCGAAGTCTGAATTTTTTGAGGCCTCAGATAACATGGCCCTTGTGTCCCATGAGCTCTGATGTTGGCAGTTGATTGTAAGTGGGCTCCCACCACGTTGCACAGAGCAGAAGCAATGCCAAGATGCAGTTTGTACATATGGGACCCCTGACTTGTTGCCTGGCTCACTCAAAGGCCCGTCGGCACTCTCCTGTGCCTGCAAATGACAAAGCTTTAGCATTCACCAAGCAGGAGGTGACAGGTCCTTCCCATCTCTTTCTATTCATGGCTTCAAATTAATAATTAGTAGCCTGAAAAATGAGCCAATCTGTCTCGTGGAGGGTAAGAACCATAAGCCAAGGCAATTAGCGTCTTGGTTCTGGCTGCCTTGGGAACTTAATTTAGTCACACAGCCCATTTAAGGTTTCCAAACCTTGTTGTCTCCTGAAGAGGGAAATCATGATTGTTAAATGAGGGGACCCCCCCAGGGACCCATATGTTGAGGATGTGCTGCGTCCTGGGCTGGCCTGGGGCACAGGGCCAGGCAGCTTTTGTCGCGTCCACATGCCTGCTCTATTCTTCTCCAGGACTCAGCAGCTGGCTCCAAGCAGCACAGCCCTTAACCACCCGCGGAGGGAGTGGCCCCTGCCCCCAAATAGTTGCACACTTGAGCAGGCCTTTTGTCTGCTTAGAAGACATTCCAACTGCCCATAAGCAGTTGGCCTTCGCACAAAGGAGGGTGTCCATGGAGGAGGGCAGTCTGTCTGTGCAGCATATTGTTGAGTGATTGTGAATCTGCAAGCCTGCAGTTTGTAAGTCATCCCCAGCATGGAAGGTGGGCATGGAATGGATGCAAGGCTGGGGAGGACAGAGGCCGAGGAGAGGGCTCAAGGAGAGGATTAAACCAGACAATTTAATTAGGGAGATGTGAAGAGTCACAGAATCAAGATATTGGGGCTCCAGGGGGAACTTAAGGAATGATCTAGGTCTTTTCTCTCTCAGGAACCACTCAAGCCTGATGATACTGAATCCTCTTTTATTTATTTGTACTTACTATTTTCTTTAGAGACGGGGTCTCACTCTGTTGCCGAGCTGCAGTGCGGTGGTGCAATCATAGCGCACTGCAGCCTTGACCTCCTAGGCTTAAGCAATCCTCTCGCCTTAGCCTCCTGAGTAGCTGGGGCTACAGGTGTGCTCTCCCTTACTCAGCTAATTTATTTTTATTTTTTGTAGATACGGGTCTCACTATGTTGCCCAGGCAGGTCTTGAATTCCTGGCCTCAAGTAATCCTCCCACCTCGGCTTCCCAAAGTGCTGGGATTACAGGTGTGAGGCACAGCACCCAGCAGAATTCTCTTTCAGAGAAAATTCCAAGGCCTTGATTTAACAACTGTTGCTGGGAGAAAGTTCTTTGAATCATTCTGATTAAGAAATCTGCTTCTCCTTTCACAAGTGGCCATCAAGAACAGCTGGTTTTCTAAGAGGCTTCCGAGATTTGAAAAACGGTGGCTAATGATGACAACAGCAACAGCACTGAGCACAGAAAACTCCACAGGCCTGGGCTCGGCTCATCGCACAGCCTCCATCTCTGGATGCCCTGTGAGGGTTCTGTCATTATCCACATTTTAGAGATGAGGAAACTGAGGCTTAAAAGGGCTAAGTGACCAACCCACTGACACAGCGATTCGAGCTTAGGCTGGCCCATCCCAGACCTGGACTGCCCACCTCTCTCCCCTTTCGCAGCCGACCTGGCTGCCAGCTCTCGTCCTTCCTCTGCGGGGTTTGGCTTTTCCCTCCTCTCTTCCCCAGGTGGTCCCGTCCCGGGCACTGCCTCGAGTCTCACGGTGTGCAGGGCCAGGCAGACGAGCTGCTGACTGCAGCTTCGCTGTAATCTACCGACTCTAACGGCAGCTCAGCTCGCACGGGGCTAGCACAGCGAACACGTGCGCACGGGGATGGGCGGAGAACCGAGTGACGACAGCAAAGAGCCAGGGGGAGCCAGGAAAAGCTCGAAAATCAGCGTAACGCTGTTGGAGATGAGAGGGCACAGCACAATTTTGAGAGCCAAACAAAGGCGGGGCACAGAGCTGTTGCCTCGAGATGTGTGGCCTCAGAAGGTCTTGTCGAGGCGAGTGATGAAAGGGAGGAGGTTCCCGAGGATACTGGAGCCGGAAGACGCGGCGAGGGTCCGGGTTAGCAAACCGGGCAGAGTCAGAGGCCCAGGACGCCGGGCCCTGGGGGCGCTGTCGCAGGGCGGCGGCGGAGGCCGGGGTGGTGGGCGCCCCGGGGTGGGGGGAGGCGGGAGTGCTCTCCCAGGTGGGCTTGGAGGGGCCCCGGCCCAGACACCCAGGGCCAGCCGGCGCACCCGCATGATGTTCTGAAAGCGTCCCCGCAGCCTGGTCGGTGGCTGGGGGAAGCTGGGCGTGGTTAGCCTGGCAGCCTGGCTTTGCGGACTCACCTCCGGGCCTCGTCCTCCAGTGCCTTCCCTCCCCAACTGAGGGGCTTGGCTGCACCCGCACGCGGTTTTCCAGGAACAGCGATCCCGGAGTGGACTCTCCCGCATCCAGGGGGACGTCAGCACTCTCGGCTTCCCCATGGGGACACACTCACTGAGGTCACGCGACCCAAAACCAAATGACCCACCACCACGACAGCCGCATCGTTTTTAGTGGTTTGTCCGGGAGGTTTTAGAGTGAGAGAATGAAGGGGGTGAGGCCTGAGGGAGGGAGGCGCATGGAAGCCGCCGCATCTGACTGTCCCAGGGTGTGCCCAGGCCCAGAGATGATGTCCAGACCCCTGAAGGGAGTGAAGCGGAGGCCCTGCTGGAGGCAAAGGTCAGCGCGGCCTGATTAGCCTCCCACGGTGACTTGGGAGGTGACTCGGGAATCCGGGCCCTCTTCTACCTGTGGCGCCGTCCAGCCCTGGTCCCCCAGGCTGTGGCTGCAGCCAGTGCGTGTAAATGGAAGAACCCCGTGATGATTTTTCCTTGGGGGAGATAAACCCATGGATGGGGTCTGGAGCCACAGGGACGGTGAGTAGCATGCAGGATCTAAAGCTGCAGAGCAGAGAGGTGAAGACAGTCTCCCTCCTCCGTGGTCCCTGGATCTGGAGAAGCATGAAATGTGCCCGGAGTCTCTGGTGCCCATGAGGCGTTGTTGGGGCAGGAGGTAGAAAGGTGGCATCAGTGGATGGGTGGCGTCCCATGTCCTGTAGCCGTCACAGGGGCCAGTATCCAAATGGAACCCACAAGTAACCCAACATTCCCAACAACTGAGGGTATTAGCATTGTGTTTAAACGTTTTGGGCCTGAATCAGACAGTGCAGGGTTCCAACGCCCACTTGGTCAGTTTTAAATGGATTCTCTGCAAAGCAGTCCCGATGGGTAGGACTGGGTGCAAGTGGTGAATGTGGTCCTGGGAGGCAGCTGCGGGGAGGGGATGTGAGAGGGAGGGAAGCCAGACCGGGAGTGTGCATTGACACAGGTTTCCACTGTGGGCAACAGGGGCTCACACCTGCTGGGGACCCCCCAGGACCTTGTGCGGATCACGCCTCAGCATTGTCTTGGCTGGCAGGTGGGGAAGCTGGGGTCTTGATCCACTAGCACTAAGCGGCTGAGTCTGCCCCGGTGGTGTTAGCCCCTTGGCACTCCCACCTGCCCTCATGTGGGCTTGGTTGGGTTCCTGGGCAGAGTATGCCTCAGAGACTCGCAATTGCACGGTTGGGAGGATGGGGCAGCTGCCCTGGACCCTGCCTCCCCCACTGCCCATCCTCTCAGTTTCTCCTTGCATGCTGGCAGGATTCTGAGAGCTTTGCCCAGGGGTAATGTGGCCTGGCGTGGCCTCTGCCTTCCTGCGTGGGGCTCCCTGGTCGTGGAGTGTGCATTGCCGGTGGTGAGCCAGCGCGTAGGGGCCTGGACCAGTGATGCATGGGGGCCAATGAGGGAATGCTCCCCTTCCTCCCCGGGACCATTCTCAGACACACTCCCAAAGGCACACAGAGGGGCTGACTCAATATCCCACCCCAGCTTTGTCAGCTCTGCCTCCCCAGCCTTACTCCTGCCCCCTGGGGTCCCTCCAGGGTTGACAGCCTGCATCTGGCTGGGGTCAGGCTCTGCTCTCTGGGGACGGGCTGCCGTGATGACAGTGCTGAGCTGTTTGCATTGGTGCCAGACTAAGGGAGACCTTCTGGAACAGTGTGGGTGTGGCTTTGTGGGCATGCAAGGCAGGGCCATGGTCTTAGCTGCATCAGCACTGTGCTGCAGGGTGAGAAAGGATGGGCGAGGCATCCAACCCTTCAAGTGCATCAACAACATCCCCACATCCAGTTGTAGTCAGAGAGCAAAACTGTCGAGGACAGTGGCTGGACAGGCACAGGGAAAGTCCAGGAAGGTGTCACCCACTGATTTCTTCTCTCCATGCTGGGGTTCATGGCCACAGTAGGGACCAGTGCCAGAGCTCCTGGGTATCCCCAGCAGTTCCTTGCTAAGGGGATCATGGGGGCAACTCCAGGGAGGGCTCTGACCTCAACACAGGGGCAGAACACTTGGGATCCACCTACAGTACCTTGTGATGTTCTAAGTACCATCGAAAAGGTAAAAAGGAAACAGATTCAGCCAAATAACTAGTTGTTTTTTTCTGTGCTATTATTGCAAAGTGTTAACTATTTTTTAAACTTCATATTTTGAAATAATTTTAGATTTATAGATGAGTTGCAGGCATAGTACAAAGTTCCCAAATACCCTTTACCTAGTTTCCTCAAATGTTAGCAACTTATATAGCTATGTGACATTGATCCAAACTAAGAATTCACCGTTGTGCAATGCCATTTACTAAATGACAGACTTCAGTTGGGTTTCACCAGTTTTTCCACGAATGTAATTCTTCTATTTCAGAATTGAATCCAGGATGCCCTGCATATTTAGTCATCATGTCTCTCTCCTTAGTCTTTCATTTGTCACTCAGTCTTTCCTTGTTTTTCATGACTTTGAACTTTACAACTGTACATTTACTAAAAAACTGAGTTGGCTGAAAACTAGGTTGGTGGTTTTATTTCTGGGACTGTGCAGACACAGCAATGATTTGGTCATTCTGGTACAGGAATGGACATCTACGGTTTTCCTGGGCATGGTGCAGTGCTCAAGATTTCCAAAGCCAAACTGCGTGTCACAGTTGTATGTACACGTGCCTCGATGCACTTCTTGTTGGACTGGTGCTCCTGTGAAAACAGACAGCAGTGGGGTGCTAGGACTGCAGCTGAACTTGGTGATGGTTGTCCTGAATACTTGTGCTTTGGTAAAAAGGGCACATTTGAGTCCCCACAAACCTACTCACTCCAGCATGACACAATGTGGCTCTCCCTCCTCCCTCCTCTCTCTTCCCTGCACTTGTGTGGCTTGGCCCATCTCCTCCTAGAGGATTCCCTCTCGGCTTACGCTCCCCTGCAGATGTCCAACTAGTGGCTCCATGCCAGTCTGGGCTGTGTGCGATGTTCCCTTCTGGGCCTTATCACTCTGCCATACACGGGTGTCCAGGCCTGCCTGTGCCCCCTGCACAGATGTAGCCCTGTGGCACTGACCGAGAGCAGCTCTTTGGGTTGCAGAATCGATTCCTCTATCTCCTTTTGGAGTAAGTGTTGCTCTCCACGTGGATGATAATCAGATTTTCTCTCCCTTTGATTTTATGTTCATTCGTGTTTGTTCCACCCAGATTCGCAAAGGAATTATTTATTTGTCTTTAGAGTTCAGTAATGTTCCTAGCCTATGTCTTGGTGCTGGTCCTTTTGGGTTGATATTCTCAGGTACTCACTGTGCTCTTTCAGAATGTAGTTTCAACTTTTTTTGTTGTTGTTGTTTTGTTTTCTAAATTCTAAATTATGGGAAAGTTTTTTTTTTTTTTTGCCATTGCAGAGTTCAGTATTTGTTCTGCTATTTTACTTCAGGTTTTTTCTCTAGATACTTTATTACCTATATGCTGAATCTTTTTTGCCTATTTGTCATTTTTTATTTTTTCTTTTTATTTTTTCCTTTATGTCTTTATGACTAAAACAAATTTCTCCTATTTCTCTCAATGCATTGACTGCCTGTTATTTGCCCTTGTGTTCCTTCCAGTTTAGCCCTCATTTCTGAGATGATTTTCATTTGTCCTGAATTCTTTCCCAAGTCATCTTTTTTCCAGGTTTCCCTTGCTTCTCTCTTCTCCCTCCACACAGACGCTGGTATCACGCAGGGCCGTGGCCATGGTGGTCACCTCCACTTGCTTTTACGTAGGGCCTAGAGGGTGGGGACTGTATCATCTAGTTTTGTTGTTTTTGGCCATTTGCCCATGTGTTTTTGGTTTTACTATCTAATTTCCATGTTATTTTTGTGTAGGATTCAAGGAGATTCAAAACCCGTGTCACTGCTGCCATCTTCCTAGAATCCCTTTAAATCCTCATGGATTTGCTGACATTGGGAGCATCCTGAAAGAGTCCCCATGCTAGGGTGGCTGCAGTAACAGGTACAATGAGAAATGATGGTGAGTCCCATAAATGCCCTCAATTCGACTTCCTCTGAGTACAACCTGATAGCAAAGATGTGCAGGAGGGAAGTTAGAATGGTCTCAAATAACTGTGTTTATAGTTTACTGTTGCAAATTTCACAAAAACATATGACCACATGAACACATTCCAAGGGCCCCTCCTAAGACCTTGGAAAGGGCAGCTGTCCACCATTTTGATAAAGATTAAGTAGATCAGGGTGTATCCATAAGATGTAATGGTATGCAGCCATGGAAAATAATCTTTCTGAATTTAAAAATAATCTTTTCATAATAATGAATGTGCATTGTAGAAAATTAGAAAATATAGGTAATAAAGCATAAAGAAAATAAGAAAATAACAATATTTCTGCCACCCAGAGGTTATCACTAAATGTCCTTCCACATTTTGACATACTTTGACAATGTTGCATGCAAAGTGAAAAAAAAGTCAGTTCAAGTTGCACCTACAATGTGATATTGGGTTGTGAAATTATGTATGTTTTGAAAAGTATTAAAATACAATAGACCAAAAATGTTGACAGGGCTTATTTGTGGATCATAGGCTTAGCGGTGATTGTTATTTTCTTATTTCCTATATTTTCCACCACAGGAATGTAGACTTTTATAATCATTAAAAATGAATTATTTAAAAAAGTAATTATGGTGATTTCAGAAGTGAGGTTTGGTTGTGAGTGTGTTTGAAATCGGATGAACAGCTTATTTTGTGTCTGCTGATTATGTGTCTGCATTATGTTGTTTCAGGTTCTCCCCACTCCAGAAAAAATCAAATCAGATTGTGAATTTATTCCCTGACATTAACACACGGCATTACAGGAGCATGTACATCACATGGTCAATTTATTGGCATGAGGATTATGTCATCGGGGAATAAATGGGAAATTCTCAAGGTACTTTGCTCCAGTAATCAGGACTTTATTTATCTCTAAGCTAAAAGAGGGGATTGACTTCTTTAATGATGATCAGAAAATGCTTTTAGGAAGATTCCTTTCCTATTAAACAATTTCTTAAAGTTGCAGTAAATGTTGTGTGGCTTGTCTATGCCCAAGGCTTGGCAGCACACTTTCCTTTGTCTTCAAAACCATGGGAAAGAATGTCACAGGAGTCTTGGAGGAAAAATAATTACAAAGAGGAAAAGGTTGATCAAGGGCCAGTTAATGTTACTGATGACATATCGGTAAGGTTCTCCAGGCCCAATTCTTTTTGGGGGACTTTGGCTCCACAAGCAAATGCCACTTGGTGATATGGCTCCCAGCACTGGCCACCTCAGTGTTCCCTACACTACTGGAGAAATTTAGGCCTAAATTAAAATCAGAGTCATGCAACTTGATTATATTTTGGCAGTTTGATTTAAGTGCAAGTTCTTTGAAATGTAAGGGTGTGATTGGTTTTTAGTGATGTAAACTAAAAGGTCTGTTACTTCCAGGTGGCCCAGGCCTGTAGGCTTCCAGTGAGAAAACTGGAGACCACACTCACCCGTCCCACTGCCGTTTCTTTGGGGCTGCCTGTGATACTGGGTTATTCCCCTTGCCGAGTTCCACTGTGCTTACCCTGTTGGAATATGATGGTGGACTTGCCAGAGGAGATGACCATGATTTTCAGGAACAGCAGCCCCTCCTTCCTGGTTGAGGCAGCCAGCAGGCACTCCTATCCATGAGCCACAGCTCAGCTAAGGCAATCCAGTCCAGCTGCATGCCCTCTCTCTGCTTCTGGGGAGGTAGGAAGGACCAGGGGCATTCATGCTTGTTTCTAGGGGGCCCTAACTGGATCTCTGGATCAAGACCTACTCAGGGGAGAAAGACTACTCTGGGTTCCATGTTAGGACTGACGGGTGCATCTTAACTGAGATGCAGACAGTGGACAATTCGAACTCTGACCTGAGAGCAAGCCCCAGCCTTGGTGCTCATAAATGCTCCGCTTGGTCCTTCACATTTGTGTTCCACACAGGAGAAGCCAAGTTGTGAGCAGTGCACCTTCACAAGCAAAGCCTCGACTGAAATCTTCTCTAACAATTGGCTGGTCACTCCTGAGCGTAATCTACCCCTTCAGAACACTGGGGATGAATTTAGAGACATCGAAGCCTCCTGATGAGAAATACGTGTCCACTCACCGGGAGAACTGAAATACCAGGAGATTTCTACACAAATCTCACAGAGTCCTTCTGGCGTCCTAGGGGTTTGCTCACATATAAGGGACTTTCTGGTAGGAAGAGAGTCTCTTTACATTCTTTATTATATGATCCTGGTGGCTTTGTAGAGAGATGGTACAGCTGACAGATCATGTCCTGTGGGGCCAGGGAGTTGTGTGTGTGTGAATGCTCTGTGAACTTGGGCAAACTACTTAGCCTCTCTGAGCCTTAGCTGCATCAGCTTTGAAAAACAGGATGATAAAATGGAGTCACCTTATTTGACTTTTATAAATACACTTACACAATTACACAAGTTGTGGGGATGGGAAGAGAGAGTTGGGGAAAGAGAAATGAGAGAGAGAGAGAGAGAGAATGAATGATAAACAATTTAAACAACAGTGGGGTGTAGACCAACGCCCAGCCTGGCAAGGGTGAGCCCAGAGAGCCTTCCCTCCTGGCTATTGGCAGCCTCCGCATGGAAGCCTGTCGTTGACTTCTTAATGATGAGAGATGTTCTGGGGGCACTCCAGGATTCTTGGACATGGGATCGTCTTCACAGCTGTGTCTATTGAAAGCTGAAGTTTCAGTCTCCCCTGCCCCCTGCCCCCTGGAGTGGCTTCCCAGGGGAAATTCAAGGGCACCTGTGACTGCATGGCTGCTTTCCTTTCCTTTACTCAATGCCGTCCTTTGGTGACAGCCGTGTCTCATGCCAGGATACATGAGGTGCTCTATAGTAGTATGTTTTCCCTCCTGGGAGGTAATTTTATTTAAATGTGAAGTCAAAAGGATCACTAAATAGAACCATGAGGCAACCACTCTGGGCACCTGCCTGGTGATATCCACAAGAGCTGACCACAGGTGCCCCCTGTGCCCAGCAAGTCCTTGGCTGGGCAGTCACACAACAGGCATGGGGATGTGTGGCCACCAAGCCCTCCAGGGCAGTGCTATTTGTAATAGTCCCAAATGGGAGAGATGGCAAACGCCCGCCAATGGGGCAGCATGGATAAATGGATGCTGCACAGCAACGGCGATGAGTGAGCCCCAGCACCCGTGAGCTCACCAGTGTAATATTGGGTGGAAGAAGCCAGGAGGAAGGGCATTCACATTCTGTGATTCCAGCTACACTATGTTTAAATATGGGCAGAGCTAGGCTGTGGTGCTGGAAGCCAGGACAGTGGGATCCTTGCATGGGGGTGATGGTGCTGGTAGGTTCTGGTAATTTCCTCTTCTTGATCTGGGTGTAAACATTTTGTGAAAATTCAATGAGCTGTACATTTATGACTGGTACATTTATGACTTTGTATGAATATTATACTTTCATAAAACTACTTTAAAATATGATTGTGAACCTTTTTTCACCTATTTTCTGCCAATTAGCACCGAATTGCTCACTAACTAATGAGTGGTGCTGGTTTTGACTTGCTTGCTACACTGTCTTGAGACAGATAGGGTTTTCTGTGCTTTGTATGACCCCCTCTGGAACCAGGGTGGGACTGGGAACACTCGGAAAACATGTGCTGACAGATGCTGGGCATCCCCGTGTTGGTGGAGGCATGCTCATTCCTCAGCAAAATACCCATATGGGGTGTTGGCAGGAAAGAGGACAGAAAAGGACAAAGTATTTGTCTCTGCTAGCGTTCCTGGAGCTGTCTCACCTTGGCCAAGCCCCCGCCCAGTCCTCTCCTAACGTGGACAGACTAGGGGGCAGAAACTAGTCAGCCAAAGAATTTCCAAGCTAGGGGTTGATGAATGCTTGGATAATTTGCCCATGAACACGTTGGATTCTTCTTCACTTGCCATCACGGGGGGATAAGTACCCCAGTTTTTTTTTGGAGAGAATTGAGGGACTGTGCCATTGCAGTGTGGATTTCAAGAGATTTTAAACGGAAGGCAGAGTAACAGTGTGGTTTGGGAAGCTCTAAAGACAGTTGTCCTGGTGCGGTTTCTTCCATAAAAGAGTGGGGACGCCATGGACCTGCTCACCAAATTCCAGTCCCGACACAGTTCTGTGAGGCACTCTCCACATCAGGGCAGACGGGCAGGAGGAGTTTACACAGCGATCTGGGGGCCATTAGAGCACTGAGGGATCCATTGCTGTCTCTTGTTTCTGTTTCCCACACTGTGCTGGGTGCTGGGAACATGACGATGAACTTGAAGGAAATAATGTGTACGGTGGTTCATTTCCAAGACATAGTGCCTTGAATCAGTTTAGGTCAGCAAACTACAGAAGAAACAGGATATACTAGGCCCCTGCTTGGAGAGCTGATGCCTGTTTGTTGCCCCTCACCCCCTTAGTTGCCCTTACCAGAACCAAAGGAGTTTAGTCTAAGATGAAAGTTTACTAGCCTGCAAAATAGCTCACTTTGTCTGTTCTTATCAGCCTGCCCAGCTACTTAGGTCATAAGTGAAATACTTGAAGAGCCCCTGAGCTAACTAGGATTGCAATGCATTGTGGCTGCAACAAGATGCAGCAAGACAACTGTAAAGAAAATGCCTAAAACCCCTACCCACCAACCCATAGGCGATGTCCAGGAAGACTGTGACCTCCATAGTACTCAGCATTTGAGGAACTGGGGGAGGGACCTGTGCACTAGGGGATAAATTGCTTGTTGAAACTGTGCTGGGTGTGCCTGTCCATCAGATACCCTATCTTGCAAGACTGTCGTTAAAAGTCTCACTTTTGCAGTTCTCCGGGTCTCTGAGTCCATTCTTTGGGTTTGGATGAGTGAACTTGTTTCTCATAAACTGAAGTAGGTGTGGCTCCTGCCCCCAGGTGGCTGTGTCCAGGTTTTCCTTGGTAGTGCTCCCCTGGTCCTGGTCCTGGTTCTGCTGCCACCCTGTGGAATCCTCGTCAACCTTTCAGCCACTCAAATACCCTTGGTGTCCATGGCGTCTGAACAGCTAGTGTAAGTGCAGGCAGCCCCAGGGTCTCCATGCATCGGGCAGCTTGCCTTCCGTTGAAGATGTGGCTGTCTTCCCATTTCTCTCTGCCGATGCCAGCAGCTCCCCTGCATCACCCTGCTGTCCTACGACTGCGTTCTCAACACACAGCTGAGAGCGAGAGCAAAACAGCATGTGTCCGTGATTCCTAATTTCTGTTGACATTTCTTGGTAACATCAATAAAGCAGCAGTGCCAATGTGAATGGATGTGAATGCCTTGGAAGAAAACCTCGGAGACAATACTGGAGCATGTTCAAATAAATCCTGTGTCCCCAGTGCTCTTCAGGGGACAGAGTCGGCTCTAATTCAAAAGTGACACAAAGGCATTGGGTTCTGGGAGGAAGCAAGTCTTAAGGCACATGTGTGTCCTTTTCGTATATGCTCAAGAGAAATCTATGACAAAATGTTTTATCAATAAGTCTAAAAGGCCAGGTGTGGTGACTCATTGGCTCACACTTGTAATCCCAGCACTTTGGGAGGCTGAGGTGGGAGGATTGCTTGAGCCCAGGAGTTTGAGACCAGCTTGGACAAACTGGTAGTGAGACCTCTTCTCTACAAAAAAAAATTTAAAAAATTAGCTGGGCATGGTGATGTGCACCTGTAGTGCCAGCTGCTCAGGAGGCTGAGGTAGGAGGATTTCTTGAGCCTAGGAGGTTGAGGCTGCAGTGAGCCGTGATTGCACCACTTGCATTCCAGCCTGAGCGACATAGCGAGATCCTGTCTCAAAAAAAAGTCTAAAAGAACTTTTTCGATAAGTATAAAAACTCTCATATATAAGAAAACATCGTGTCATAGAAATTGAAAGCTTTTTTCTTTCTTTCTCAGGGCTACATAAAATAAGAGCAGGGCTCCAGGAAAAGCAATTGTGATGTGTGGTCCATGCTGCATACTTAGAGCCAAGAGTAGGTTAAGTCTCAACTCTGCTACTTTTTAGGTATGTGATATCAGGTTCCTCTTTGTTTTGGGTTTTTCATCTGAAAAACAAGGATAATAATAATGCCTCCCTTATAGGCTGTTGTAAGGATCAGATGAGATAATATATGCTAAGTCCTTATCACAGGGCCTGACACACAGCAGGTGGTGAATAAATATTAGCAACTTTTATTGAAACTGATGGAAATACAAAGATAAATTGAAAAATCCACTATCGTGTGAGATTTTTAATGCACAGCTCTTGAAATTGACAGAGATCAAGAAGATAAAAATAAACAAAACTCTTAAATAACAGAGAAAAACATCATATAATAGCTAATGGGTCTTTTTACCCACCAGAGAGTGTATATTATTTCAAGTATACACAGCACAGTCACAGAAATTGGTCATGTGTTAAGCCATAAAGAAATGATCAACAAACTCCAAAAAATAGAAATCATGATATAGGTCACACTTACTGATTACAACATAATAAAATTAAGAATTGACAACTGAAGATACATATATATTCAGAAATAATAGTCTAGAAGTAAGTATACAAAGATGCACATACAACATTTACTGCTAGTAATAGAAGAAATGCAAACCACCTAAATATTTTTCATTAGGGAAATGGTTACGATCATGGTGCAGCCACACTGTGGAATGCCATGCAGTGGTCAAAAAGAATGAGATCGACTTACGTATCTGCACACAATGATGTCCAAGACGTATCAATTAAGTGGAAAAAATTCTAAGAGCAATGATATGATATGATACAATTTATGTAAAAAAATACAAAATGGAATTACATTTTTCATGAAATGAAATTCATTTCCTACACACACACACACACAAACACTGCAATATACAAGGAAAGCTGTGAAGGCAAGTCCTGGGATGTGACTCAGCATGATTACAGTGATGACCTCTGGGGAGGGGTGGCATTCAAGGTGGTTTGGTTAAGGAGAGCTTTGTTGGACATTCTTATTGTGAAGATACATGCATGCATTACTGATATTATTTAAAATCATTTAAAATAACAAGGAAGGTGAGAAAAGAAAAAGTTTCAGGTACCACTGTCCAGTGGAAGCACAAGGTTTGCTTTTTATTTTTTCTCCTTTCCTTGCTAATCATTCATCCTTATCTTCCCCACCCATGTTTATGGAATATTATGAGCTTGACACAGCCACTCACAGTTTCCATACAATGTCTTGTCTCCCTCTCTCTGTGATCGCCAAGTCTCCCAGGTGGCTGCCAATGGTTCTGGCCTCCTCGAGCCACACTCTCATGCAGTCCTTTCCACATTCAATCAGGGCTGGCCTCTGTGTCCAGCAGAATGTTGATGGGTCAGAAAAGGCACTACAGCTCCCGCCTTGCTCTCTTGGGTGACTCATGCTGGGGGAAGCCAGCCACATGCCAAAAGGACGCCCAAGCAGCCCTGGGGAGGCCCACACAGAGAGATGCTAAGGCCTCCTGCCAGCAGCCAGCACCAGCTCGGCAGCCAGTGAGGGCTGCCTTGGCAGTGGATCCCCTGGCCACAGCAGAGCCTTCAAATGATGCAGCCCAGGCTGACATCTGACTGCAGCCCTGTTAGTCTGCTTTGTGCTGCTATAACAGAATTCCATAGACTGGGCAATTTATAATGAACAGAAATTTATTGGCTCATGGTTCTGGAGGCTGGGAAGTCCAAGATTAGGGTCCCAGCATCTGTCAAGGGCCTTCTTGCTGCATCATCCCATGGTGGAAGGGCAAAAGGAGGGAGGGGGAGGGAGAGAGACAGAGAGAGGGAGGATCAAACTTGTTCTTTTATAATGAATCCACTACTGAGATAACAAACCCATTCTCATGATAACAGAATTAATCCATTCAAGAGGGCACAGCCCTCACAGTCTAATCACCACTCAGCAGCCCCCTCCCAGCACTGTTGCACTGGGGATTATGTTTCCAGCACATGCTTTCCAGGGGCCACATTCAGTCTGTAGCAGACTCCAAGCCAGAACCACCCGGCCAGACTATTAGTGAATTCTTGGCCCACAGAAACTGTGATTGCAGTTTGAGACCACTAAGTCATGGATATTTAGCTATGCAGCATTAGGTAACTGCTAATTACTGGCTTACTAATCAGTCTTTCTCTGCTCCAGATACCCTTTCTGTGCCATTGTTTCTCAGGTCTGGGGCCTCTGGTGTCTTTAACAGTCTCTGTGCTCCCCATCTTCCTGCTCGGCCTCAGACGCCCACTTCCCTGGCTCGGTCTGCTCCCTCTGTCTCTGCCTGCTTGCCCACCTCTCTCCTCTACACTTTGTGGTGCTCGCTCCCCCTCTCTCCTCCTGGATCCCTGCTGGATGACGAGGGTCGCCAGCAAGCGTGTGGTCTGCCTGAGACTTCCGTGGGGCTCTCGGCAGTTCTGTAGGCTGACCCCAGTGCTTTTTTTGTAGCTGGAAAAGGGAACCCCGGCACCAGATGAGGATGCGGCCTCTTTTGTCCTAATTCTCTTTTCCTTTTCTAAGAGACAAACCAGGCTAGTGGGATGTTATCCTGACACAGGGACCAGACCAGCTCTGGCGAAAGGTGAGGGCTGTCCTTTCTGGCCAGGCATTTCCTAAAATGTGTTTGGGTATTTTGTGGGGTGAATTTGCTGGGAATCTCCCATGTAGTCATGGAAACCTTGTCCCTCACAGCCTAGAAACAAAGATGTTCAGGTTCAGTTTGCCTGCCAGTCTGCCACCTGGCTAGAAAGTGACTGTCCCAGGTCTGCTGTGAGGAGTGGCCTGGTTTATGGGAGGGGTTCCTCTCCAGAGCACCTCTAGGGGAGGAGAGGCGAAGCCTCCTCTGTGGCAGGGGTGCCCACCTCAGCCCACTGTGGGCAGCTGAAAGACACATTTGAATGGACAACGTGGAATCTCAGAGCTGGAAGGGACCCTGAGAAGCTACCCAGAATTTCAGTGCCTCCAGGGAGTGGACGACAGTCTCAAGAAAAGGAAACGAGATAGCACTTGTGTGTGTGCACTGGACAGTCTCCAAGGCGCAGTGTTGAGTAAATGATGCAAAGTGTGGGAGGTGTGTGTGGGAACTGCCATTTGTGTAAACAAAGCAAAGGATGCACTTGTTAGTAAATGCATGAACTACCTCTGAAGTGCGCACAGGCTGGCTGCCTCCAGGAGGGGTGATGCAGGCAGGGGCAGGGGTGGGAGGGATACTCGCTGCCGAATATCCTTTTGTAATTTTAAAGTTGAACCATCTGCATGTATTTCTTTTCCAAGAATAAAGTTGAAACACGCAATACATAAATCTATCTACTGTACCCTCCCATTTTCTTGATGATTGAAATGGAGACTGGAGGACGGCCGATGGTGAGCCACGGGGTTGGCACTGGAATCCGGGTCTTCCAACTTCCTCTCTCTTTGTCGTCACTTGTCAGGACCTTCTGGGGTGTCTGCTGGCTCCTTGCACCCCGTGTTCCATGGGGATGACCTGGGTGGTAGAATGAGGAGGGGGCGCACACAAGCTGAGCTGGGAGGGGGGCTCTCTGAAGCTCCCCATTTGGGCTGCTAAGACTTCATGAATGTGTGCGTGGCAGTCCATTAGGAGGGGTAGGCCTGAAGCATGAGGCCTGAACTCACACAAAAAGCCAGTCTTGCTCTGCAGAGGTCAGACCTGACTGTGCTCCTGAGAGGGGTTTCGGGGGTTGTGTGCAGTGGGGACATTTTTGGAGCCCACGCCATTTCCATCTGGTGGTGCTTTACATGCTTTCCATTCTCTTTCCAGACCCAGTGAGGTAACTGCTATTTCATAAATTCAGATGCTGTCTCCCTTGCTGACCATTTCTTGCTTTTATCTCTTTGGGCATCAACTTGGCCCTCTGGTCTCTCCCTCTAGGTGCCTCCTTCTTTTGAAGCCATTATCTGCACGGCCTGAAAAACACAGTAAGTAACATGGCTACCTGAGCCATTGTTACAGAGACCCATTTATAGACTTTTCTAACTACTTCCTTCTTCTCAGGTCTGTGTTTTCAGCTTTTCTAAGATGGAGGGTTTAGGTATCTGTAATGACTTTTACTCCATTTCATGATGTTTATCAGGCATTTGTTATATGCTAGGCACTGTGCAGTTACACTAACAACAACCTTATTATTATTTTTTTAAAGCACATTTACCATCTCTATTTCACAGAGAGGGAAACTGAAGCTCAGAAAGGCTGAATGGTTTGCTCATGGAACACACAGCGTGCAAGCAGCATATGCCCACGATCGCCAAGGCCTCAGCCGCTCCACCGGCATGCACGGAGGCTCTTCCTGTTTCCCACGCACCTGGCTGGAGGCCTCTCAGAGTGCAAAGGACCTCAAAGGAAGGTGCCTGGCTCAGCGGGGATGCAGGGGCTTCCTGGAGGAGAGGACTCTTGGCCAAGGCTGGAACCATGCACAGGAGTTGGGAAGGAAGGAAAGAGGAGGGGGCTTCCAGGAGGGCAGGCTGGAGGGGGCAGAGATTGTGGCCTCTGTGGGGTTAGGTGAGGCTGGAATGGGGGAAATAACAAAGAGAGGAGCTAAGAAATGTGTTTCATCCAAAGACAAGTGGGAGCCATGGAGGGTTTTCAGTAGGGGAATAAAGGGGTCAGCTGGTCTTGAGATGGTCCCAGCAGGCAATGACCAAGTGCAGGGAGACTGTAGGAGGCACCATGGAATCCAAGGGAGAGGACGGGGCCTGCAATGGGTGGTAACCCTGGTCTGGGAGGAGGCATGGCCCCAAGAGCTGGTTAGGAGGGGATGTGGGGACTAATTGCATGTGGGGTTCAGGGAAAGTTCAGGTAGGCACTGCATTCCTGGTGTACGTGGGGAGAAGTGACCCAGCAGAGGTGGCGGGCGGGCTTGACCACTGAGCTGAGCTGTCTGTGCTGAGCAGGCATCTGGATTCCAGTCGGGACTCAGGACAGAAACCAGACTGCTGGTCTGGGTTTGGGAGTCACTGGCAGGTGTGGTGAGACTGGCTGAACCTTTTGGAATGGATGAATATGCCCAAGAGAATGTTCAGAGGGTCAAGAGAGAAACAGGCCCAGGGCAGGCTCAGGTAGTGCCAACTGTTGGGATCTCATCGTGCAGCTTCAGCTGCAGGAAGCTTGAAGCCCGGGGACTGAGTGGGGCAAGGGCAGTTCAGACTGAAGGAAGGAAAGTGCATGGCCAGGGCGGGACCCAAGACCAAGAGGGACTCTACTTACCAAGGATGGGGACTTTTCTGCTTTGCTCTCCTGTAGTAGAAACATGGGGGAAACTGGCCGACCCTACAGAGACAAGAGTTTCCTGCCAGGGAGGGCCCAGATGAGAGTCAGCTGTGGGGACGGAGAGCCTTGGCTGTGGGGGCTGCTTCCAAGGTCAGCAGGCAAAAGCGTTAAAGGCCTCCCGAGCCCCAGCCCTCCAGCGGCGCCTGCCCTCTTGTGAACACTCCGGTTTCTTAGGGAAGCCTCTCATGGGCACGGGTAGTCACCGATGCTCTGGCTTTCCTGGAACAGCCCGACTTTCATAACATTTTACATTTTTCTGTAGGATTGGCTTCATCAGCTGTATAACTAAATGTGATGCATTTCTATTTCTACGTAACACTTTGTACACAATGTTTTTATGTTAACCAACATGACTGAACCAGAAGCTCTCCTTGTCTGGATTATGTGTTGACCTTGAGTATTGGTCCTTCTACACCTTCTAGATCCTTTGGGACCTCTGGCCCTGGAGTTCTAGACACACCTTTGCTTGTGCTCTGGTCTGAGTGTTGGTGCCCCCGTAACAGTGAGAGAAATGGAACATAGCTGACTCCGTCTGCCTTCTACCCTCACCAATTAACTGTCTTTGCTCATTCTTGCACATGGGCCAAGCTAACTACTAAAGCAAGGATGACAATAGTTTCTTTACAAAACTAACCCCCAAGGAGATAAATAGGGTGCACACACAAGTAACAATTTTGTGTTAAGGATTTATAGGAGGATTGTAACCTCACCAAGGACAGATGTTTCACAACCTCCTCAGATCCTCATTGCTTCCAAGATGTCTGTGGTCATCAGTCATCTCCTGATCTCAAACCCCTTCTTGTTCCCCCTTTCCCAATATAAAAAGAAGCTTGGGATTCATGCCTTTTAGGATGGTGCTTTAGGACACTAGTCACCATCTTCCTGGTTTGCTGACTTTCTGAAATAAGTGATTTTCTTTGCCCCAGCTCCTTGCTCGTGACTTATTGGCTGTCGTGTGGTGAGCAGAGTGAGTTTGGACTCAGATACACCCCCACCCCCCAAATTCATATGTTGGAACCTAATACTCAATGTGATGGTATAGAAGGTGGAACTTTAGGAGGTGATTAGGTTATAAGGATTCCCCCCTCCCCCATGAGTGGGAGTAGTGCCCTTATAAAGGAGGCTCCAAGGAGCCTCTGGCCCCTTCCACCATGTGAGGACACTTAGAAGTTACCATTTATGAGGAACAGGCTGTCACCCAACATTGAATCTGCTCGTGCTTTGATCTTGGCTTTCCCAGTCTCCAGAACTGTGAGCAATAAATTCGTATTGTCTGTAAATTACCCAGGCTAAGGTATTTGTTATAGCAGTCTGAACAGACTAAGACACACTCTGAATCTTTAGGCCATTATGGCACGTGCCTTTGGTCCCTGCTCTGACACCCTGCTATCCCCTTTTCATGTAAGGGTGTGTCCTTCCCAGGTGCTGTGGGGGCTCAGGCCTCACTCCTGCCACCTGCTTCTGGACCCCTCTGGGAGCAGAAACTGCCTGGCCCAGAGCTGCAATTTCTACCTCTCCAACTGCCTGTGGCCTCTGAGTGCCAGGAGGGGTGGGTGGAGAGGTGCGTGGGTGGGATACAAAGTCCCTGCCTCCTCCTTTCCCTCTCTTCTGGTGAGCACCCTCCAATAAACCACATGCACATGAATCCCCGACTTGGCTTTGCTTCTGTGGACTCCAAACCATGATGTCCATTCTGGCTGACCCTACAGAGATGCAACTCATTTTTGTTTCTCCAACTTCCTGGGGGCAGGGAATATGAACTGGCATTAAAAAAACTCCTGAAGGTTGAGCACGGTGTGGGAGCTCCGTGGAGTTCAGAGGTGGTGAAGACACTGGTTAGACAGTGGCTGCATCTACTTGGGAAAAGCCCACCTGAATAAGATGGTTGGTGATGATTGCAGTCTTCCCAATGTGCAGGGCAGCTCACCTGTTGGTATGGTTTGACCAGAGGTGGTCGACTGGTGGCCGGGAAGGGAGCTGCAACCCAAACATGAAGCTGGAAAACAGAGTGGAGGCAGCTGACCACAGCCCAGCTTTGGTGCTAAGTGGGGATGGGGTAGGGACAAAACGGACATAGCTAATCATTTCTTGGTGACTGCAGGAAACTCTAATAAGGGACTGGAAACTGAGGCAGGCAGGGGAGGAGGAACCAATACCAGCATCATTCTGCAAGTGACTGTGGTAGGCGACCAGGGCCTCATCCCAACAGGGAGCTCTGGGGACTCTGGAGACTGAGCACAAACCCAAGGGGAATCCCACGTGAGGGGCATCCACCTAAGGGGAATCTCACCTGAGGGGTGTCCACCTGATGAGTGTCCACCTGAGGGGCGTCCACCTGAGGGACAGACACCTGATGGGAATCCACCTGATGAGTGTCCACCTGAGGGGACTCCACCTGAGGGGACTCCACCTGAGGGGAATCCACCTGAGGGGCACAGACCTGAGGGGAATCCACCTGAGGGGTGTCCACCTGATGGGAGTCCACCTGAGGGGAATCCACCTGAGGGGAATCCACCTGAGGGGAGTCCACCTGAGGGGAGTCCACCTGAGGGGCATCCACCTGAGGGACACACACCTGAGGAGCATTCACCTGAGGGGAATCCACCTGAGGGGCATCCACCTGAGGGGAATCCACCTGAGGGGCATCCACCTGAGGGGAATCCACCTGAGGGGAATCCACCTGAGGGGCATCCACCTGAGGGGAATCCACCTGAGGGGCATCCACCTGAGGAGAATCCATCTGAGGGGAATCCACCTGAGGGGAGTCCCACCTGAAGGTTGTCCCTCTGAGGGGCGTCCACCTGAGGGATGAGGGATGTGCACCTGAGGGCCAGGCATTCACTCTCTGGCACTCCTAGCTGCCACGTGAGCTTGTGGGCTCTCAGGCCAAAAATCCCATTTACAGGCGTTTGCAGGAAGCACCACCAGGGCGTGCAGGTGAGTAGGGCAGGCAAGGCTCGGCCCGATAGCACCATGCAGGGGATTTTACTGGTCTTGTACTGAGCTCTAGCTGCCTTTGTTCCTTTAGGTCTCACCGCACCCCTGTGGAATATGCACTAAGCCCATTTCCATTTTACAGACAAGGAAACTGACTGAGGGGGCCAAGTTAGTTGCCCAAGGACACAGCCACGAAGTGGCAGGGTGGAGATTGGACCCTCACATCGGCCTGGCCTGGAGCTCTTGTCCTGCCCCCACTGAGCTGCTTGGCTCCCAAGGTGGAGCTTCCCCACACAGTATGAGGATGAGAGCAGGCCCCAGTCCTCTGTGGACCACCATTCCTGGCCAGTGCGTCCTGGGGACCACACAATGCCGCAAAGGCCACGAGTGCTCCACGCCAAGCACCTGGACTCCTACGGTGCCCTGGGTGTTTCTCATCCTTGGGGCAGCTGTGTTCTTCCCATGCCTGATGCCAAGAGGCCTTGGGGTACCCACTTCACTCCACATGCAACCTGTGAGCCTCACTTGTGGTCGGGAGAAGAGACAGGTGACTGATTCAAGTTCACTTCTACACAGGAGGGTAATGAATTTCCCTTCCTAGCAACTTTCCACAGATCCCTGGGAAAGGGAAGGCCAGGAAAGGGTTAAACACTTTATTTAGATGGCTTTGCTTATTCTGGAGAATTAATGGAAGATAAGCTAAAAGTTCATTTATAAGAGTATTAAAGGATAATTATGATGGAGTAAGTGCAGAGGGTCAGAAGGCATTATGGTGAACAGACTTCTAACCAGGGGCTAGAGAAGACAGGCTAAAATAGATTCAGCCAAGCAGCACCCAGCATTCCCCCAAATTCCACTATGGCGAATGTCCACCTCTCTCCCCTCCCTTTTTTCTATTTTAATTAAAAGTATTGTAATTCAATCCCTGGTTAGGTCATCTGTGAACTTGTAATTATAAATGAATCCCAAGAACTTAGAGTTTGAGGCAGATCAAATAGGTGACCTTTTAATAGCAACAAAATAAAAAAAAGATTTTGTAGAAAATCTGATTCAATCAGATTAGATGGAAAGTGGGTAAAGCTGATTACAATTCTACTAAAGACAGTATTTGGGCAGCATTTGCTCTAAAACAATAGCATTAATTCTTCTTTAACAAGTATTCTCTGGAGAAAAATTAATAATTAATGGGAACCCAGTTTCAACACAGAGCGCAGGACACGACGCAGGAGGAAGAAAAGGTGCCAGCCGTGGTCAGGGTCAGGAGGCACCTGAAGTCCTGACGTTTTGGGTTACATCCAAACATGTTTTGGCCTTTAAAAGAAAAAACAGCTTAATTGAGGTATAATCCACATACCATAAAATTTATTATAAGTGTACATGTGATATTGTGAAATATATATATATTTGGTCTTTGTCCTATTTCCTGGCATACAACTCCTAAAATCCTTGGAATCTCCAAAGTGATGTCTTTTTGTATGCTAACGTTGACTGAGCACTTCAGAGCGGGGCTGGTCATGGAAAGATCAAGGCAGGATTTCTTGATATTCTGTAACTTAGTTGTTATGGACTGAATGTGTCCCCCCAAAATCTATAGGTTGAAGTCCTAACCTCCAATGTAATGGAATTAGGAGGTGATTAGATCATGAGGGTGGAGCCCTTGTGAATGTGATTAGTGCCCTACAAGAACAGACATGAGAGAACTCACTTCCTCTCTGCTCTCAGCCAGGGAGGATACAATGTGAAGATGGTCAGCTGCAAACCAGGAAGCAGGCCCTCACCGGATGCCAGATCTGCTGGTGCCTGGATCTTGGACTTAGCCTCCAGAACTGTGAGGAATAAATGTTTCTTAAGTCACTCAGCCGATGGTTTATAAAATGTTATTTAAGTCACTCAGCTATAATTTGTTATGCAGCCCAATCTAAGATAAAAAGTTAACAATACTTAAACACTATGATATAAAATCAATACAGCTTGTTTACATGATAAGGGGATAAGAAGGGTAATAAAACAGACATTTGCTTCACACACACGTATACACACACACACAGATCTGTTCATAACATACAATGAGGGAGAAATACAACAATTACAGCCCTTATTTCTGTAACTGTCATGTGGTTATAGCTGGTATTCATAGCTAACTGCTTTCACTACCCATTCTGTATTCCCTTTGCCCTCAGCAAGTATCTCAGCTGGTGACGCTTTATCTGGTGCAGTGACTGAAACCTTTATTTCTGAGGGTCTGGGCCATTAGTAGTCCTGCCTGGCTTGGGTTGTTGTAGTTTTCCAATGACTTTGATCACAGAACACGGTAACACTAAGAGATTTCCTAAGGGATTGCATGTATTCCAGACATTCTCTTTCTTGACTCCATTGTGAAGTAGCAGTCTAATTTCTCCTTGGTGGTCTGGATCAATCAGCAGAGTAACTCCCTTCTTTGCTTGTTGATTTAGAGGCATGAGGAGCCCCAGGTGGCAGGGTTGCAATCTTAACTTCCAGTTCAATGGAATCATCACTGTGTCTCCTGGTGGAAGCAGTCCTCCCTCTGAAACTAGGACTTCTAGGCCAGTGGAGCATAAGTTGCTGGAACAGGAAACAAAAATGTTGCTAATGGGTTATTGGGGATAATAGTGAGTGGTGCCACTCCCATTTCTACCCCTAGATTCCTGGACCTGGGAATCCTGGTTATGGGAGAAACAGCACTATATATTGAATGCTGATTCAAAACATATACAGCCTCATGGAGAACCTTGTCCTAGCCCTGCAAGGTATTGCCACCTAGCTGGTATTGTAACTGAGTCTTTAAAAGGCCATTGCACCATTCTCTCAAGTCAGCTCTTCAGGATGGTAGGGAACATGATAAGACTAGTAAATTCCATGAGCATGGACCCTTGCCACACTTCATTGCTGTGAAATGAGTCCCTTGATCAGAAGCAATGCTGTGTGGACTACCATGGTGATGGATGAGGCATTCCATAGTACTGATGATAGTTTGGGCAGAAACATTACATTTAGGAAAGATAAATCCACATTCAGAGTAAGTGTCTATTCCAATAAGATCAAAGCACTGCCCTGCCCCTTCCATGATGGAAGCTGTTCACTGTAATCAACCTGCCACAGGTAGCTGGCTGATCACCCCAGGGCATGGTATCATACTGGGGGCTCAGTGTCAGTCTCTGCTGCTGGCAGATTGGGCACTCAGCAGTGGCTGTAGCCAGCTTGGCCTTGGTGAGTGGAAGTCCATGTTGCTGAGCCCATGTGTAAGCTCCATCCCTGCCACCATGGCCACCTTGTTCATGAATCCATTGGCGATGGCAGGGGGTTCTGGGAAAGAAGCTGACTGGCATCCACAGACAGGGTCATCCTATCCAGTTGATTATTAACTTCCTCCTGTGCTGAGGTCATCCTTTGATGAGCATTCATATGGAATACAACTATCTTCATGCTTTCTGCTGATTCAGAGGTCTATCCACATGCCTCTTCCCCAATTTCCTTGTCACTAATTTTCCAATTAGGCTACTTCCAAGTCCCTGACCATCAGTCAAGCCATTAGCTACAGCCCATGAATATGTATATAATCACACATCTGGCCATTTCTCCTTCCAAGCAGAGTGCACAACCACTTGCACTGTCCGGAGTTCTGCCCACAGGGAGGATTTCCCTTCACCACTGTCCTTCAGGGATGTCCCCGAAAGGGGCTGTGGTGCTGCAGCCTCCAGTTTCAGGTGGTGCCTGCCTATCATGCAGAGCCGTCTGTAAACCAGGCCAGAGTTTTCTCTTTCTCTGTCATTTGATTGCAGGGAATTCCCCATGAGGCCATTAGTGTGTCTGGAAGAAGGAAGGCAGCATAACAGGAGTGGGAACCTTGGGCATCTGGTCCACTTCTTCATGTAACTTACTTATGTCTTCAGAGCCTGCTGAGGCCTGATCTTGTATAGACCACTTCCATTTGTGATGGAGTGCAGCTGTGCATGCCCAAGTTTATGGCTTTCTGGGTCAGATAACACCCAGCTCATGATAGGCAGCTCAGGGCACATGGTGACTTGGTGGCCCATGGTTAATTAAGTGTTCAGCCTGTACTAAGGCCCAGTGGCAGGCCAAGAGCTGCTCCTCAAAGTGAGAGTAGTCATCTGAGGAAGATGGCAGGACTTCACTCCAAAATCCCAAGGGCCTTCCCTGTGATTCACATAGAGGGGCTTGCCAAAGGCTCCACACAGCATCCCCATCTGCCACTGATACCTCCAGCAGCATCGGATCTGCTGGGTTGCATGGCCCACCTGGCAGAGCAACTTGCGCAGCAGCTGGGACCTGTTTCAGAGCCTTGTCTTGTTCTGGGCCCCACTCAAAACTAGCAGCTCTTTTAGTTGCTTGGTACCTGGGCTGGAGTAGCCGCCCAAGTCAGGAATATGTTACCCCCTAAATCCAAAGAGACCCACGAAGCATTGTGCTTTTTTTTTTTTGTTACAGGAGGGGCCAGAAGAAACAATGCATCCTTCACTTTAGAAAGGCCACTAGGGCCACAGAAATTTCACTAAGGTAGAAGCCTCCTGAATTTTTGTTGGCTTTATTTCCCACCCTCTGACAGAGTCTTAGAAATAAGTCTGGAGTAGTTGCTCCTTCTTGCTCTTAAGGACCAATCAGCATGCCATCCATGTAACAGACCAGTGTGGCATCTTCTGGCAGGGGAAGGCAATCAAGATCCTTCAGTTCACTTGTGAAATAAAGTGTAGCAGGGGGCTGGAGCACTGATATACCCTGAGGCAGGACAGTGCAGGTGTACTGCTGGCCTTCCCACTTAAAAGCAAACTGCTTCTGGTGGGCTTTATTAACAGAGAGGGAGAAAAAACATTTGCTAGATCAATGGCTGCATACCAGGTACCAGGAGATGTGTTGATTCGCTCAAGCAATGAAACCACATCTGGTCCAACAGCTGCAATTGCAGTCACCACCTGGTTAATCTTATGATAAGCCACTGTCATTTTCCAATATTTATTTGTTTTTAGCGCATGTCAAATAGGTGAGTTGAATGGGGTTGTAGGATATGGTGGGAATCATCACCCCTGCATCTTTCACCCCATCCTACTTTTTTTTTTTTTTTAAGAGACAAGGTCTCATTTTTTTGTCACCCAGGCTGGAGTGTAGTGGTGCCATCATAGCTCACTGCAGCCTTGAACTGCTGGGCTCAAGGGATCTGCCCACTTCAGCCTCCCGAGTAGCTGGGACCACAGGCAAATGCCACACTGCCTGGCTAATTTTTTAATTTTTTGTTGAAATGGGGTCTCACTCTTTTGCCTAGGCTGGTCTTGAACTGGCCTCAAGCAATCCTTTTGCTTCAGTCTCCCAAAGTGCTGGGATTACAGGTGTGAACCACCTTGCCCAGCCCCCAACTATCTTTTGATGGTGGCACTAATCTCTGCTATCCCTCCAGGAATGCGGCATTGCTTTTAGTTTACTATTTTTTTAGGCAGAGGCAGTCCTAGTGGCTTCCACTTGGCCTTTCTCATCATAGTAGCTCTGCTCCACAGGTCAGGGAGCCAATGTGGGAATTCTACCCAGGTGCTGAGTATGTCTATTCCAATGGTCTGTTCCATGACTGGGAAATAACCCCAGGATGTGTTCGTGGACCCACTGAGCCCACTGTGGGATGAATCTGAGCTAAGGCTGCATTGATCACCTGACCTCTGAGTTGTGGGTCACAGTGATGTTTTGGTCTCCTGGAATTAGTGTTACCTCAGAGTCAGTGTCTGTTGGTCTCTGAAGGCCTGAAGATCTCTTTTTCCTCAATGCAGAGTCACCATGGTAAAAGGTTTTTGAGGAGCCATCACACTGGTTTCCATAGTGACTGCACCATTTTACATTCCCACCAGCAGCATGCAAGTGTTCCAGTTTCTCCACATCCTCAAGACCCTTGTTATTTTCTGTTTTTTGGGTCATTTTTAAAATGGGTATTAAATGCTATTTCATTGTAATTTTGATTTGCATTTCCTTAATGATTAGTGATTTTTGGCATCTTTTCAGATGCTTATGGACCATTTGTATATCTCTTTGGAGAAATGTCTGTTCAAGTCCTTTGTCACTTTTGAACTGGTTTGCATTTGTTGTTGTTGTTGCTGAGATATAGGAGTTTTAAAAAATATAATCTTGACATTAACCCCTTATCAGATATGTAATTTAGAAATATTTTCTCCCATTCAATGGGTTATCTTTTCACTCTGTTTAGACAGAGTCCTTTGGGGATAAAATTTTTACAGTTTGATGTAATCCAATCTCCCTATTTTTCTTTTCCCTGTGCTTTTGATGTCATATCCAATAAATTGTTGCTAAGTCCGATGTCATGAAGGCTTTCTCTTTATCTTCTTCTAAGAGTTTTATGTTTTAGGTCTTATATGTAGGTCTTTGATCCATTTCAAGTTAATTTTTACGTATGGTGTAAGGTAATGTTGCATATCTTTTGCTTGTGGATATTCAGTTTTCTCAACACCATTTGTTGAAAAGTTTGTCTTTTCCCCATTGAATGTTCTTGGCACACTTGTCAAAAATCATTCCACCATGTGTACAAGAAATTATTTCTGGATTCTCTATTCTATTACATTGGTTTCTATGTCTGTCTTTACACCAGTTTCACATTGTTTTGATTAGTGTAGCTTTGCAGTAAGTTTGAAATTGGGATGTGGCCTCCAACTTTATTCTTTTTCAAGATTGTCTTGGCTATTCCAGGTCCCTTGAGATTCCATTATAAATTTTAGGATGAATTTTTAAAATTTCTGCCATAAATGTCATTGGAATTTTGATAGGGATTGCATTTAATTTGTCAATCACTTTGGGTAGTATGGAAATCCTGACAATATTAAGTCTTTCAAGCCATAAACACTGGGTGTCTTTCTATTTATTAATGTCTTCTTTCTTTCAGCAATACTTTGTAGTTTTTAGTGTAAAATTCTTAGCTTCCTAAAGTTAATTCCAAGTATTTTATTCTTTTTGACGTTAGATGTTATTTTAAATGGATTTGTTTCTTAATTTCCTTTTCAGAGTGTTCATTTTTAGTTAACAGAAATGCAGCTAATTTTTTTTCGAGGCCGGGTCTCACACTGTTGCCCAGGTTGGAGGGCAATGGCTCACTGCAGCCTCTACCTCCTGGGCTCAAGTGATCCTCCCAAGTAGCTAGGACTATAGATGCATGCCACCAGGCCTAGCAAATTTTTGTATTTCTTTTGGTAGAAGTGGGGTTTTGCCATGTTGCCCATGCAGGTCTTGATCTCCTGAGCTCAAAAGTTCCACCTGCCCCGGCCTTCCAAAATGCTGGGATTACAGGCATGAGCCACTGTGCTCGTCAGCTAATTTCTTGTGTGTGCTGATTTTGTATCACGCTACTCTGCCGAAATCATTTATTATTTCTTGTAGTATTCTGTGTAAAACTTTTAGGATGTGTGTGTGTGAGTGTGTGTGTATATATACACACACACATATATATATCGTCTGCAAACTAGCTCTCACTCTTGAAATATTATAGCAGTTGTATAGAATTCTAAGCTGATAGTTATTTTTTCTCAGCTTTTGAAGATATTACTCCACTGTCTTCAGGCTTTCATTGTTGCTCTAGAGAAGTCTAGCTCTTGTTTCTTTGTAGGTAATTGTGTTTTGTCTCTACTTGCTGTTTAAGATATTTTCTTTGTCTTTTTATAAGCCTGCTGGGTAAATATTACACTTTTTGATCTGTGGGATTCAAGCCTTTCCTTAATTCTGAAAAATGCTTACCATTATCAGAGCAAACATTTTCTCTGTGTGCTCTATTATCTCCATTAGGAGCTCTGATTAGACACAAGTTAGATCTTCTTCAGTCTTCCTTGTTATCTCCTTCTTATATTTTCCACCTCACTGCTCTCCTGTGCTGCAGTCTGAGCATCTTCTTCAGCTCTGTCTTCTTGCTCATGATTTCCATCTTTAGCTGCCGTTGACCTAGACAATGAGATTTTTACTTTAGTGATTATTTTGTTTTGCCCAAGAGTTCTATTTTTAAACCATGACTGTTACTTAAAAAAAATCTTGATTGGGCTGGGAATGGTGGCTCATGCCCATAGTCCCAGCACCTTGAGAGGCTGAGGCAGGAGGATTGCTTGAGTCTAGGAGTTCAAGACCACCTGGGTAACATAGCGAGACCCTGTCTCTATAAAAAATAAATAAATCAACAAAACATTTCTTGATTGTTCAATTTTGGTAGTACTTTCAGTCTTGCTGATTTTTTAACTTCATGGTTTATAACTTCAAACTTTTCATACCAATTTTATATACTGTATTTAATAATTACAATATTTGAAGTCTTGTGGGGAAGGAATCTAAATCCTATGTTTATTTTCTCCACTGACCGATAAATTTTTATTTTGAGTTCCCACTTAGCTTAGTTTGATCTGTGGAAATTCTTAGGAGATTGGATTGAGAATGTTTTTCTCTGTAGAAGATTGGTGTTTTCCAAAGCTGGGTGCCAGAGAATGCTACCAATCTAGAAATTCTTTACTTTAATTTAACTGCAATTGTGTTATTTCAATCTCTTGGGTCTGGTCAGGATACCCTCATGGTTAGGGTAGTGTAAGAACACCACATCTGATTTTCAATTTTCAGGAGAGACTATTTTTTTTTCCCACTCAGACCAGGACGGAGAATGGAGAGTTTACTATACTGCCAGAAGCAGAAATCAAGATAGCTCTTCTAGATTTTTACATTTCCCTCCTAATCTTTTACAAATGTTTCCTCAACATCTAATGTAAAATAAACTCTATTTTTGCATTTCTATCTTATTGATTTACATATTATTCCTATTTAATTGGTTTACATGTTATTAACTAAGTTGTATAATGCAAACAACTACAACTGTCATAAACAGGTTTGGGAAGAATTTCTACTGACAATTAGTAGGCATACTACTGGATTGGTAGGAATGGAAGTATGACATCATTTTTGACAGTAGCCATGAACATTCATTGTGCGATAGGCATTGAACGATGGGAGGAGAGAGTGTCTGTTGGTTGACTAGTGGTCATTTTAGAGAGCTTTCATTGTAGTTTAAATACTCAAACACAGCAGATAGTTTATAATGTATAAAAGGACCTTGGTCCATGTAGCAACTCCTTTGGTACCCTATTGCTATCTACTTTCTTTTTATTTTCTTGCTTCAGAGGTTATCTGAAGTCTCAGTGGACAATTCCATGTACACCAATGACTTCCTACCTTGAGCACCTGCAGACCTCTGCTTGGGGGTATTATCCAACCATGGAGTGGGCTTGGCCCCTGCATGGAGGAGGCACACAGTTCCAAGGAGCTGGTGCCCACAGAGCAGCCCTGAGCTAGTGAGGAAAGTGAGTTGTGACAGTTCTCAGGTATGCCCTACACTGTCTCCTGGAAGTTCCCAGTTGCTCACAGGGACATCCTGATCATTGACTCATCTTCTGTTAGCTCCCTCCCTTCCCCATTCCACCCCTGCCCCCTGTCATCTACCCGTGTTTCCTGGAATCATCTTACAAATGACTTGTGCCAAATGCTTGTCTCAGGGTCTGTTTGGGGGGATCCTGGGATAAGATATCTCGCTACTTCCCACTTTTGAGGCGATCACTTTTAATCCTCTTACCTGTTTCTAGACTGTGTATTCTTATTACTGAATAATATTTTATATAGCCATTTCTTTATTTAGCCATTTTAGAATTATGCTGTATGAGGACTTTGCTATCTTTCCTTACTTCTCTTTCTCACATCCTCTTTATATTTGTTAAACTGATAATATTTACACTATTATGACTATATACCATGTCATAATTACATTTCATTTCTTGTAGAAAGTTTTGTTTTTCTCTAGAGTTAATCATTGCCTTCTTTTTCATTTTCTTTGCATTCCAGAAATCTCATACCAATTCCTCCCTCACCTGCTATTATAATTTTTTAATGCTGCCAAGTATATCAGATCATCTTGTGATTCATTGATCTATTTTTCCTACAAACATATCTCTTGCAGCCCTCCAGTCTTCTCTCCAGCCTAGGCTCTGTGCAGGAACCATCTTGGGACATCCCCTTGAGCATCCCAGCAGCTCCCTCAGCTTCCCTCTTGTGGGACCCCTATTTCCTGGGTCCCATGTCTTCCTCCTTCTTGGTTTGTGGCCTTCATCTTGGTGGATCCTCCTTCTAGTAGCTTCCTCCAAGAGGATGATTTTGGATAATGTTTTTGAGACCTTATAGGTCTAAAATTATCACTATTTTCACATTTCACATCACTCCACAATGGATTGACTGTTTGGCTGGGGATAGAATTCTAGATGGAAAATAATCTCCCCTGAGGATGTGGAAGCACTGCTCCCATGGCTTCTGCTGTTGTGTTGAGAAGTCCTTTCAGAGTCTTCACTCATGGTATTTGACCTGTGTTTTTCTCTGGAAACTTTTAGGATCTCTTCTTTGTTCCCAGTGTTCTGTAATTTCCTGATGATGTTCCTTGATGTTGGCCTGCAGTCATTTGTGTTTCTGGGTGTCTGGTGGGCCTTTGGATAGAGGGACGAGTTCTCCTCTTGTGGGACATTTTCTTTTGTGCTTCGTTTGAAAATTCCCTCCATGTTTCCTGTACTTTCTAGAACTCTGATCAGCCATATGTGAAAGACCTGAAGACATCTCTCCAAGACTTACAGAATCACTTCAGAGTGATTCTCAGAGGTATATCTCTGAAGTGATCTTTAACTTTCTTACCTTTTTTCTCTTATTGTTCATCTCCTTGCCTCTCCCCACCACTTTCTGAGAGATGTCTTCAACTTTATCTTAAACTCTTGCCACTGAATTTTTGTTTTGGCTATTACACTTTTAATTTCCAAGAGGTTGTTTGGTTATTCTTACTTTCTGTTACTTTTTAAAAAAGATCAGTTCTGATTTCTATTATTTTCATAGAGACAAGCCCTCTCATCTCTTCTAGGATATTAATTGCAGTTCTTTTTAAAGCTTTCTTCTCTTCTATGCTTTGTCTCTATTTCCACTGGGTCTCCTATTTTTTGTTTATTTGTTTTAGTCTTTGTGTCCAACATTACAGGCTTTCCTCGGCTACATTTTCATATTTAAGAATGAGTAAACAAAAAGCAAGTGGAAGTTCTGTGTGTGTGTGCATGTGACTGTGTGTGTGCACGTGGGAGTCTGTGTGTGCATGTGACTGTGTGTGTGCATGTGAGAGTCTGTGTGTGCACGTGAGTGTGTGAGAGTCTGTGTGCATGAGAGTCTGTGCACGTGAGAGTGTGTCTGTGTGTGCACGTGACAGTGTGTGCATGTGAGAGTGTGTGCGCACATGTGACTGTGTGTGCATGTGAGAGTCTGTGTGTGCACATGAGAGTCTGTGTGCATGTGAGAGTGTGTGTGCATGAGAGTCTGTGTGTGCACGTGAGAGTGTGTGTGCATGTGAGAGTGTGTGTATGCATGTGAGAGTGTGTGTGCATGTGAGAGTGTGTGTGCATGTGAGTGTGTGTGCGCATGTGAGTCTGTGTGTGCATGTGACTGTGTGTGCATGTGAGTGTGTGTGCATGTGAGAGTCTGTGTGTGCATGTGAGAGTCTGTGTGTGCATGTGACTGTGTGTGCATGTGAGAGTGTGTGTGTGCATGTGAGAGTGTGTGTGCATGTGAGTGTGTGTGCGTGAGAGTGTATGTGTGCATGAGAGTCTGTATGAGTGCATGTGAGGATGTGCACGTGAGTGTGGTGGGGGCACTTGCTGACCTGTGGGTTTTCCTGCAGGTCATTAGGCACCAGGCTAGTGACCTAGGCCTGAGTGATCTCACATTTTTCTGTCATAATCACTCCTTTCTGTCTGGTGCCTTAGTCCTGCCCCCACTGCTGGATGTCTCCACCTTGGAAATGTATCTAAGTCATTTCTCCAGAGAAGACACTCCCACTTCCCGACGGCTGGGGGAGGATGGTTCTGGGGCCACTGGAGCCCTGACAGTGTCTTCTAGGCATCTGCTTGTTTCCCCTGCAGACTTTCCCTCTTAGCTCCAGCCTCATCCTGCTTTCCCTGGTACTTGGGGAGTCCAATTCCTGAGCCTTTCTGGGTTTCTGTGGCACACGATGACCCACATTTTAGTGGTGTCCCCTCCTCAGGAACTTGGGCCTTTTCTGTTCACGCTCTTTCCATCTTTGTTGACCTTCCTTGTCTACTGTTTCCTTTGCCTTTTTCTCCCCTCCCGTTTTCTTTGTCTCTGTGCATTTGTATACTTTTCCCTTTTGCTTTTATTTTGGTAGTACTTGGGGAAGCAATGAAAACAAAAACTGCTGCTCAATTTGCCACGTTTAACCAGTGCCCCATAATTATTAAGGGTCCTGCCGTAACCAATCAAGAGAATTTATCATCATTTATTTACCTGTAAAAGGATTTTCAAGTTGTTCTCAGTGTTTTGTTATGATAGCAAGTGCTTCAATAAATCTCCATCTAAATAGAGCTTTTTATTTCTGATAAATTGTATTCTTGGGCTGAATTCCCAGGAGGAGACTATGACTCCAGCAACTTCATGAGCTTTTTTCTTTATTTCTTTCCTTCCTTGTAGCCGCCCCAAGCTGAGGATGTGTTCCTGCCAGCCTTTATTATCACTTAGCAGTGATGGTACTATTTGTCCCCCAGTGTCCTCGGGGATGGGCCGAGGAGGGAGCAGGGCAGGGTTGGCACAAGGGCTCACTGCTGGAGAAGGCCAACAATGTGCAGAAAATGTGGATTTTGTGACAAGCGTGACACAGTGGCTGCAGAAAGAAAGGAACAGGTTGTGTGGGTGAGGACGGGCCTCTGCAGTGACATTCAATCACTGGACATTAACAGGGGACATCTGTCACTGCCACTCAGTGAGGAGGCCAGGCTTGCAGCCCGGGATGACAATATGTTCTGGGGCTCATGATCACGTGAAAAATACCACTTTTGCAGAGGGTCCTTCCAGCGTTTGTGACAAATCCTTCTATTTTTATTACAGAAATCCCGGGCAAATCCTTCAGTCAGGGGACTTTCTATTAACACGCAGCTGGTAAGTGAAAAATAAAACAACCAAGAGAAAACCCACACCAGATCCCAAATAATCACATGCTGGCCCTGTGAGCACAGGGCAGCCAGGCAGATGAGAGCACAGCCCTCAGAGGTCCCTGCGACACGCGTTTGAATGGCACAGCAGAGACCATAGCCCCTCCGCCCACCCCTTTCCTGGAGCTGCGCTTCCCTTCCCTGTCTTGTGCTTCCTCCTTTTCTCTCAAGAAGGAGATTTTATCACATACTGGCTGCTCAGTCAGCACCTGGGGCACCCTGGAAAGACCCACCCCTTGTCTTGTCCTCCACCTGTGGCAGCTGCAAGCCGGTGGGCCAGGAGAATATTTTAAATGCAGGATAGCTTTTCCCTGCCTCCCTTTTTGCTTTTCTGAGGTTTTTCATTGGTTAACATGTTTGGATATTTTCTCCAAAATAGCAGTAACTATTTTTCCATGAAGTTCATCTTGTTTCTAAGGGCAGGTTTATTGAGGTATAATTGAAAAGCAATAAAGTTCACCCTTTTAAATGTACAGTTCTACGTGTTACAGCCATATAAATGCCAGTCTTGGAGGTTGACTAAGCCAAATGACCACTTGGCTTAGGTGGTCTCCTGGAAGCAGATCCTAAGGCAGGGATTTGGTGCTTGTGTGTTATTGAGGAGAAGGGAGTGAGCAAAGCTGGATAGGAGAGTGGAAGGAACCGAGCAAGGATGTGAGGGATGAATTGTCCACAGCAAGTCCTGCCTTGAGGAAGGGGCACAGCGGAGGACCCATCGGGTCAGCTGAGGGTGAGTGGAGGAAGCTGGGCCTCCAGGCATTTTGGAGCCAGGTGGTTCTGCCAGCCTCGGGCAGTTCTCCAGGGAAGGATGCCCAGTGAGCCTGTAGCTGCCAAGTCTCACAGCATCAGGGGTGTGTGTGTGTGTGTGTGTGTGTGTGTGTGTGTGTGTGTGGCAGCACCAGCCAGTAAAAGGCAAAGGCATCTGGTCAGGCACTGATCCTACAACCAAACTTTCTTAGCATATTTAACTTGCACAAAAACCACCCGAGGAAACCCCAGGCTGCTAGGAAGCCAGCTCTGCCTCCCCAGCCTTCCCAGCCACAGGAATGAGCTTGCTGAGGGCCCAGCCCCGGGGCCGGGAGTCTGCTGCAAAGGATATGAAAAATTCTCACCATTACTTCTGCATGTGAAAAGAATATGCGTGTTGGAAATAACTTCCTAACTTACATATTTTTAAACATTTGTTTAGACTTATAGGAGAAATATTTTTACTGACTTTTGCATAAAGTGTACTGGAGGAAATTCATAAAACATAAGATGTAAAAAAGAATTTTAGAACTTGGAATTAGCTGGGCATAGTGGTGGGCGCCTGTAATCCCAGTTACTCGGGAGGCTGAGGCAGGAGAATTGCTTGAACCGGGGAGGCAGAGGTTGCAGTGAGCCAAGATTGTGCCACAGCATTCTAGCCTGGGCGACAGAGTGAGACTCTGTTTCAAAAACAAACAAAAAACACAAAAAACTTGGGCACAAGCATCCTGTTATAAGTCAGGAGCCATTTCTACCCAGTTTCTCTCAGGAAGTGCCCTGTGGAATGTACTGTAAATAAAGCACTTAGCAATCATTAACGCTCATGCTGTAAGCCTGGATTACACTGCAGTTCCAAACACATACTGTATACATGGGCGGGATCAACATCTTCCTAAAGCATAATCTAGGAATCAAGTCCCTGAATTTGAGAAAACCGGCTTCATTTGAGCAGGATTAATTCCTCCCACTTGCATCAGGAGAGGCTGTGCTAAATCTGTCAGAAGCATAACTATAAAGTCAATTCCTATGTATATGTGTATATAGCTGTATCTGTCTTTCTGTCCATCTGTCATGCATTTTAAGGCACTTTAAGGTGACACACAAAATGGAAATAGATTGACTTATATTCATTTTTGTTCAGAGCTGCCAGAAACATTTCTGAAATGTACATTTTTCCAATTTTACCTCATTTTAGTTTCATTGTTTTGTTCCTTAAGCAAAGTATCACTAACAGATCTTAATATATGGCAATAAACCAGGTGCCGCTAAGTGAGAGAAAAATAGGTACAATTTATTGTCACTTGATAGGTCTAAGTAAAGCCTTTTTGGTTATAATTCCTCAAAAATAAGGCTCTAAACACTGGAAAAGAAATAACCTTGCATGTCAGGTGTTTTCTCGTTATTTGTTTTATCAAATCTAAAAAGGACCTGATTAGGTTGTCAACTGATAATGGAGCAAAAATGGAGTTTGCAGCATGTAACTGGGAAGGGGTTCAAATATTTGAGTGGGCCAGGTGCAGTGGCTCACACCTGTAATCCCAGAACTTTGGGAGCCTGAGGAGGGTGGATTGCTTGAGCTCAGGAGTACGAGACCAGCCTGGGAAACATGACAAAACCCCATCTCTACAAAAAATACAAAAATTAGCTGGGTATGGTGGCGTCCACCTGTAGTCCCAGCTACTAGGGAGACTGAGGCACCAGAATCGCTTGAAACTGGGAGGCAGAGGCTGGAGTGAGCTGTGATCGTGCCACTGCATTCCAGCCTGAGTGACAGAACAAGACTCTGTCTAAAAAAACAAAAAACAAAAAACCAAATATTTGAGTGATGTTGCTATAGAGAAACTGCTTCCAGTCCCATGGATTTCATGTGAGCAGGTATCTTGATGCTCCATTTGTAAAACTGAGAAAAGAGATGAAATGGGTGATGAAACTGTCAGGCTAGCAATAAACAGCATCCAGCTATGCATGATGAACCAATCAAAAAAGTTCTATTTCAAAAAAGATACATTCCTCCAATAAAATAGGAGTTTTTATGTTTAATCATTCTTTAAATTTTAAGTATATTTATTATTGCTCAACTGTGCATAATAATAATTGTTATAATTCAACCCAGATGACATTTTAAATACATAGAAACATATGATTGCAGGAAATTTTTATTTTTAATTTTTTGAGACTGAGTCTCACTCTGACGCCCAGGCTGGAGTGCAGTGGCATGATATTGGCCCACTGCAAGCTCTACCTCCCAGATTCAAGCAAATATCCTGCCTCAGCCTCCCAAGTAGCTGGGATTACAGGCGCCCACTGCCACGCCCAGCTAATTTTTGTGTTTTAGTAGAGATGGGATTTCACCATGTTGGCCAGACTGGTCTCTAACTCTTGACCTTGTGATCCACCCGCCTCAGCCTTCCAAAGTGCTGGGATTACAGGCGTGAGCCACAGCGCCTGGCCAGAAATTTTTTAAAATTAGTTAAAATGATATATTTTTGTTACAGAGACATATGACATTGTTCAATGAAGGATCTTCTAGCACAAAACATATATGTTAGGGTCAAATTCTTTGGGGCAACTGGAATAAATAAAAATTCAAGGTGTGAAAGGAACAGTGTTAAATTTCTCATTGAAAAGGAATTTTTTTTTTATTTTCCAAAAGTAATGTATTTCAGAATAAATTTTCATTAAACAATATTGAGTATCGAAATCTAAATTTCATTTTTTATTGGAGTAACTTTAAGTAGTACCAGGTATAATCTAAGTATCACATTTTTTAAACTTTACTATAAAACTTACAATATAGGTTTATCTTGCACATGAGTATCAACTTCAGATATATGACATTTCTTTTTTTTTCAGTGCTATCACTTTATTTTATTTTATTTTATTATTATTTTTAATTTTATTATTATACTTTAAGTTCTAGGGTACATGTGCACAACGTGCAGGTTTGTTACATATATATACACATGCCATGTTGGTGCACTGCACCCATTAACTCGTCATTTACATTAGATATATCTCCTAATGCTATTCCTCCCCCCTCTCCCCACCCCACGACAGGCCCCAGTGTATGACGTTCCCCATCCTGTGTCCAAGTGTTCTCATTGTTCAATTCCCACCTGTAAGTGAGAACATGCAGTGTTTGGTTTTCTGTCCTTGCGATAGGTTGCTCAGAATGATGGTTTCCAGCTTCATCCATGTCCCCACAAAGGACATAAACTCATCCTTCTTTTATGGCTGCATAGTATTCCATGGTACGTAAGTGCCACATTTTCTTTTTTATTATTATTATTATACTTTAAGTTTTAGGGTACATGTGCACAATGTGCAGGTTAGTTACATATGTATACATGTGCCATGCTGGTGCGCTGCACCCATTAACTCGTCATTTAGCATTAGCTATATCTCCTAATGCTATCCCTCCCCCCTCCCCCGACAACAGTCCCCAGAGTGTGATGTTCCCCTTCCTGTGTCCATGTGTTCTCATTGTTCAATTCCCACCTATGAGTGAGAACATGCGGTGTTTGGTTTTTTGTCCTTGAGATAGTTTACTGAGAATGATGATTTCCAATTTCATCCATGTCCCTACAAAGGACATGAACTCATCATTTTTTATGGCTGCATAGTATTCCATGGTGTATATGTGCCACATTTTCTTAATCCAGTCTATCATTGTTGGACATTTGGATTGGTTCCAAGTCTTTGCTATTGTGAATAGTGCCACAATAAACATACATGTGCATGTGTCTTTATAGCAGCATGATTTATAGTCCTTTGGGTATATACCCAGTAATGGGATGGCTGGGTCAAATGGTATTTCTAGTTCTAGATCCCTGAGGAATTGCCACACTGACTTCCACAGTGGTTGAACTAGTTTACAGTCCCACCAACAGTGTAAAAGTGTTCCTATTTCTCCACATCCTCTCCAGCACCTGTTGTTTCCTGACTTTTTAATGATTGCCATTGTAACTGGTGTGAGATGGTATCTCATTGTGGTTTTGATTTGCATTTCTCTGATGGCCAGTGATGGTGAGCATTTTTTCATGTGTTTTTTGGCTGCATAAATGTCTTCTTTTGAGAAGTGTCTGTTCATGTCCTTCGCCCACTTTTTGATGGGGTTGTTCGTTTTTTTCTTGTAAATTTGTTTGAGTTCATTGTAGATTCTGGATATTAGCCCTTTGTCAGATGAGTAGGTTGCAAAAATTATCTCCTATTTTGTAGGTTGCCTGTTCACTCTGATGGTAGTTTCTTTTGCTGTGCAGAAGCTCTTTAGTTTAATTAGATCCCATTTGTCAATTTTGGCTTTTGTTGCCATTGCTTTTGGTGTTTTAGACATGAAGTGCTTGCCCATGCTTGTTTGCAGATGACATGATCGTATATCTAGAAAACCCCATTGTCTCAGCCCAAAATCTCCTTCAGCTGATAAGCAACTTCAGCAAAGTCTCAGGATACAAAATCAATGTACAAAAATCACAAGCATTCTTATACACCAATAACAGACAAACAGAGAGCTAAATCATGAGTGAACTCCCATTCACAATTGCTTCAAAGAGAATAAAATACCTAGGAATCCAACTTACAAGGGACATGAAGGACCTCTTCAAGGAGAACTACAAACCACTGCTCAATGAAATAAAAGAGGGTACAAACAAATGGAAGAACATTCCATGCTCATGGGTAGGAAGAATCAATATCATGAAAATGGCCATACTGCCCAAGGTAACTTATAGATTCAATGCAATCCCCATCAAGCTACCAGTGAGTTTCTTCACAGAATTGGAAAAAACTACTTTAAAGTTCATATGGAACCAAAAAAGAGCCCGCATCGCCAAGTCAATCCTAAGCCAAAAGAACAAAGCTGGAGGCATCACGCTACCTGACTTCAAACTATACTACAAGGCTACAGTAACCAAAACAGCATGGTACTGGTACCAAAACAGAGATATAGATCAATGTAACAGAACAGAGCCCTCAGAAATAACACCGCATATCTACAGCTATCTGATCTTTGACAAACCTGAGAAAAACAAGAAATGGGGAAAGGATTTCCTATTTAATAAATGATGCTGGGAAAACTGGCCAGTCATATGTAGAAAGCTGAAACTGGATCCCTTCCTTACACCTTACACAAAAATTAATTCAAGATGGATTAAAGACTTAAACGTTAGACCTAAAACCATAAAAACCCTAGAAGAAAACCTGGGCATTACCATTCAAGTGCCACATTTTCTTAATCCAGTCTATCATTGATGGACATTTAGGTTGGTTCCAAGTCTTTGCTATTGTGAACAGTGCTGCAATAAACATATGTGTGCATGTGTCTTTATAGCAGCATGATTTATAATCCTTTGGGTATATACCCAGTAATGGGATGGCTGGGTCAAATGGTATTTCTAGTTCTAGATCCTTGAGGAATGGCTACACTGTCTTCCACAATGGTTGAACAAGTTTACAGTCCCTCCAATAGTGTAAAAGTGTTCCTATTCCTCCACATCCTCTCCAGCACCTGTTGTTTCCTGACTTTTTAATGATCGCCATTCTAACTGGTGTGAGGTGGTGTCTCATTGTGGTTTTGATTTGCATTTCTCTGATGGCCAGTGATGATGAGCATTTTTTCATGTCTGTTGGCTGCATAAATGTCTTCTTTTGAGAAGTGTCTGTTCATAGCCTTTGCCCACTTTTTGATGGGGTTGTTTGATTTTTTCTTGTAAATTAGTTTAAGTTCTTTGTAGATTCTGGATATTAGCCCTTTGTCAGATGGGTAGATTACAAAAATTTTCTCCCATTCTGTAGGTTGCCTGTTCACTCTGATGGTAGTTTCTTTTGCTGTGCAGAAGCTCTTTAGTTTAATTAGATCTCATTTGTCAATTTTGGCTTTTGTTGCCATTGCTTTTGGTGTTTTAGACATGAAGTCCTTGCCCATGCTTATGTCCTGAATGGTATTGCCTAGGTTTTCTTCTAGGGTTTTTATAGTTTTAGGTCTAACATTTAAGTCTTTAATCCATCTTGAATTAATTTTTGTATAAGGTGTAAGGAAGGGATCCAGTTTCAGGATTTTACATATGGCTAGCCAGTTTTCCCAGCACCATTTATTAAATAGAGAATCCTTTCCCCATTTCTTGTTTTTGTCAGGTTTGTCAAAGATCAGATGGTTGTGGATGTATGTATTATTTCTGAGGGCTCTGTTCTGTTCCATTGGTCTATATCTTTGTTTTGGTACCAGTACCATGCTGTTTTGGTTACTGTAGCCTTGTAGTATAGTTTGAAGTCAGGTAGCGTGATGCCTCCAGCTTTGTTCTTTTGGCTTAGGATTGTCTTGTCAATGCGGGCTCTTCTTTGGTTCCATATGAACTTTAAAGTAGCTTTTTTCCAATTCTGTGAAGAAAGTCATTGGTAGCTTGATGGGGATAGCATTGAATCTATAAATTACCTTGGGCAGTATGGTCATTTTCACGATATTGATTCTTCCTATCCATGAGCATGAAATGTTTTTCTGTTTGTTTGTGTCCTCTTTTATTTCATTGAGCAGTGGTTTGTAGTTCTCCTTGAAGAGGTCCTTCACATCCCTTGTAAGTTGGATTCCTAGGTATTTTATTATCTTTGTAGCAATTGTGAATGGGAGTTCGCTCATGATTTGGCTCTCTGTTTGTCTGTTTATTGGTGTATAAGAATGCTTGTGATTTTTGCACATTGATTTTGTATCCTGAGACTTTGCTGATGTTGCTTATCAACTTAAGGAGATTTTGGGCTGAGGCGATGGGGTTTTCTAGATATTCAATCATGTCATCTGCGAACAGGGACAATTTGACTTCCTCTTTTCCTAATTGAATATCCTTTATTTCTTTCTCCTTCTTGATTGCCCTGGCCAGAACTTCCAACACTATGTTGAATAGGAGTGGTGAGAGAGAGCATCCCTGTCTTGTGCCATTTTCAAAGGGAATGCTTCCAGTTTTTGCCCATTCAGTATGATATTGGCTGTGGGTTTGTCATAAATAGCTCTTATTATTTTGAGATATGTCCAATCACTACCAAATTTATTGAGAGTGTTTAGCATGAAGGGCTCTTGAATTTTTTTGAAGGCCTTTTCTGCATCTATTGAGATAATCATATGGTTTTTGTCTTTGGTTCTGTTCATATGATGGATTAATTTTATTGATTTGTGTATGTTGAAGCAGCCTTGCATCCCAGGGATGAAATGGACTTGATCGTGGTGGATAAGCTCTTTGATGTGCTACTGGATTCGGTTTGCCAGTATTTTGTGGAGGATTTTTGCTTCGGTGTTCATCAGGGATATTGGTGTAAAATTCTCTTTTTCGTTGTGTCTCTGCCAGGCTTTGGTATCAGGATGATCCTGGCTTCATAAAATGAGTTAGGGAGGATTCCCTCTTTTTCTATTGATTGGAATAGTTTCAGAAGGAATGGTAGCAGCTCCTCTTTGTATCTCTGGTAGAATTCAGCTGTGAATCCGTCTGGTCCTGGACTTTTTCTGGTTGGTAGGCTATTAATTATTGCCTCAATTTCAGAGCCTGTTATTGGTCTCTTCAGGGATTCAACTTCTTCCTGGTTTAGTTTTGGGAGGGTGTATGTGTCCAGGAATTTATCCATTTCTCCTAGATTTTCTAGTTTATTTGCGTAGAGGTGTTTATAGTATTCTCTGATGATAGTTTGTATTTCTGTGGGATCAGTGGTCATATCTCCATTATCATTTTTTATTGTGTCTATTTGATTCTGCTCTCTTCTCTTCTTTATTAGTCTTGCTAGTGGTCTATCAGTTTTGTTGATCTTTTCAAAAAACCAGCTCCTGGATTCATTGATTTTTTAAGGGTTTTTTTGTGTCTCTGTCTCCTTCAGTTCTGCTCTGATCTTAGTTATTTCTTGCCTTCTGCTAGCTTTTGAATGTGTTTGCTCTTGCTTCTCTAGTTCTTTTAATTGTGATGTTAGGGTGTCAATTTTAGATCTTTCCTGCTTTCTCTTGTGGGCATTTAGTGCTGTAAATTTCCCTCTACACACTGCTTTAAATGTGTCCCAGAGATTCTGGTATGTTGTGTCTTTGTTCTCATTGGTTTCAAAGAACATCTTCATTTCTGCCTTCATTTCTTTATTTACCCAGTAGTCATTCAGGAGCAGGTTGTTCAGTTTCCATGTGGTTGTGTGGTTTTGAGTGAGTTTCTTAATCCTGAGTTCTAGTTTGATTGCACTGTGGTCTGAGAGACAGTTTGTTATAATTTCTGTTCTTTTACATTTGCTGAGGAGTGCTTTACTTCCAACTACATGGTTAATTTTGGAATAAGTGCAATGTGGTGCTGAGAAAAATGTATATTCCATTGATTTGGGGTGGAGAGTTCTGTAGATGTCTGTTAGGTCTGCTTGGTGCAGAGCTGAGTTCAATTCCTGGATATCCTTGTTACCTTTCTGTCTCATTGATCTGTCTAATGTTGATAGTGGGGTGTTAAAGTCTCCCATTATTATGGTGCGGGAGTCTAAGTCTCTTTGTAGGTCTCTTAGGACTTGCTTTATGAATCTGGGTGCTCCTGTATTGGGTGCATATATATTTATGATAGTTAGCTCTTCTTATTGAATTGATCCCTTTACCACTATGTAATGACCTTCTTTGTCTTTTCTGATATTTGTTGGTTTAAAGTCTGTTTTATCAGAGACTAGGATTGCAACCCCTGCTTTTTTTTTTTGTATTCCATTTGCTTGGTATATCTTCCTCCATCCCTTTATTTTGAGCCCATGTGTGTCTCTGCATGTGAGATGGGTCTCCTGACTACAGCACACTGATTGTTCTTAACTCTTTATCCAATTTGCTAGTCTGTGTCTTTTAATTGGGGCATTTAGCCCATTTACATTTAAGGTCAGTATTGTTATGTGTGAATTTGATCCTGTGACTGTGATGTTAGCTGGTAATTTTGCTCATTAGTTGATGCAGTTTCTTCCTAGCATCAATGGTCTTTACAATTTGGCATGTTTTTGCAGTGGCTGGTACTGGTTGTTCCTTTCCATGTTTCGTGCTTCCTTCAGGAGCCCTTGTAAGGCAGGCCTGGTGGTGACAAAATCTCTCAGCATTTGCTTGTCTGTAAAGGATTTTATTTCTCCTTCACTTATGAAGCTTAGTTTGGCTGGATATGAAATTCTGGGTGAAAAATTCCTTTCTTTAAGAATGTTGAATATTGGCCCCCACTCTCTTCTGGCTTGTAGAGTTTCTGCTGAGGGATTCACTGTTAGTCTGATGGGCTTCCCTTTGTGGGTAACCCGACCTTTCTCTCTGTCTGCCCTTAACATTTTTTCCTTCATTTCAACTTTGGTGAATCTGACAATTATGTGTCTTGGAGGTGCTCTTCTCGAGGAGTATCTTTGTGGCATTCTCTTTATTTCCTGTATTTGAATGTTGGCCTGCCTTGCTAAGTTGGAGAAGTTCTCCTGAATAATATCCTGAAGAGTGTTTTTCAACTTGGTTCCATTCTCCCCGTCACTTTCAGGTACACCAATCAAATGTAGATTTGGTCTTTTCATATAGTCCCATATTTCTTGGAGGCTTTGTTCATTTCTTTTTTACTCTGTTTTCTCTAAACTTCTCTTCTTGCTTCATTTCGTTCATTTGATCTTCAATCACTGATACCCTTTCTTCCAGTTGATCGAATTGGCTACTGAAGCTTGTGCATGCATCACGTAGTTCTCATGCCATGGTTTTCAGATCCATCAGGTCATTTAAAGTCTTCTCTATGCTGTTTATTCTAGTTAGCCGTTCGTCTAATCTTTTTTCAAGGTTTTTAGCTTCTTTGCAATGGGTTCGAATATCCTCCTTTAGCTCGAAGCAGTTTTTTATTACCGATCGTCTGAAGCCTTCTTCTCTCAACTCGTCAAAGTCATTCTCTGTCCACCTTTGTTCCATTGCTGGCGAGGAGCTGCGTTCCTTTGGAGGAGAAGAGGTGTTCTGATTTTTAGAATTTTCAGCTTTTCTGCTCTGGTTTCGCTCCATCTTTTTGGTTTTATCTACCTTTGGTCTTTGATGATGGTGATGTACCGATGGGGTTTTGGTGTGGATGTCCTTTCTGTTTGTTAGTTTTCCTTCTAACAGTCAGGACCCTCAGTTGCAGGTCTGTTGGAGTTTGCTGGAGGTCCACTCCAGACCCTGTTTGCCTGGGTATCACCAGCAGAGGCTGCAGAACAGTGAATATTGCAGAACAGCAAATGTTGCTGCCTGATTGTTCCTCTGGAAGCTTCGTCTCAGAGGGACACCTGGCCGTGTGAGGTGTCAGTCGGCCCCTACTGGGAGGTACCTCCCAGTTAGGCTACTAGGGGTTCAGGGACCCACTTGAGGAGGCAGTCTGTCCGTTCTCAGATCTCAAACTCCATGCTGGGAGAAACACTACTCTCTTCAAAGCTATCAGACAGGGACGTTTAAGTCTGCAGAAGTTTCTGCTGCCTTTTGTTCAGCTATGTCCTGCCCCCAGAGGTGGAGTCTACAGAGGCAGGCAGGCCTCCTTGAGCTGTGGTGGGCTCCACCCAGTTCAAGCTTCCCGGTGCTTTGTTTACCTACTCAAGCCTCAGTAATGGCGGGTGCCCCTCCCCTAGCCTTGCTGCCACCTTGCCGTTCAATCTCAGACTGCTGTGCTAGCAATGAGCGAGGCTCCGTGGGCATGGGACCCTCCAAGCCTGGCACGGGACATAATCTCCTGGTGTGCCATTTGCTAAGACCATTGGAAAAGCACACTATTAGGGTGGGAGTGACCCAATTTTCCAGGTGCCATCTGTCACGGCTTCCTTTGGCTAGGAAAGGGAATTCCCCGACCCCTTGTACTTCCCGGGTGAGGTGATGCCTCGCCCTCCTTTGGCTCACGTTCCTTGGGCTGCACCCACTGTCCTGCACCCACTGTCTGACAAGCCCCAGTGAGATGAACCCGGTACCTCAATTGGAAATGAAGAAATCACTCATCTTCTGTGTTGCTCACGCTGGGAGCTATAGACTGGAGCTGTTCCTATTTGGCCATCTTGGAACTTCTCCAGGAAATGTTTGTTAATGCATTTTCTAAAGTGGATGATGGTGGGCATCAAATTGCCTTTTATTTAAAAAGAGCACTCTAATAATTTCACTTAAAGCTCTTCATATGGACAGTGTGCTGGGAATATTCTTTGTAACTATTTAAAACGTGAACTCTTTCAGTGATGTATTGCTATGTCAAAAGCCATTCCAGACTACAGTGGCTTAAACAACACCACATTACTTCTGGGCTCCCTGCTATTGGGACTCAGGAGAAGCTGAAGGTGGCCCTACTGATGACTAATCCTCAGTTGGGGAGTGGGAGAAGCTGAGTGTCACAGAGAGAACACAGCCTCAGGATGGAGACAGCCAGGCCCCACTCACCTTGTGACTGCAGGAAGCACCGAGCCTCTCTGAGCTCTGGTCTCACCCACCGGGATGAGGCCACCCACTATGTGGCTGCAGATGCAGCAGGCAGCCTGGCTGTGGAGGGGAAGGAGGGCAGCAGGCAAGGGTTCAAGGTGTGGAGCCTATAGGGGCAGCACAGCTGCCAGTCATGTGGTAGTGGAAGCTCAGAACATCGGAGATGGGTCCTCTCCAGCCCCCGGTTCCTCTTGCTGAGTCCCACATTGCCTGTGCTCTCCTGGTTACCGAGCAAGCAGCAGCCATTACAATGGGAGGCCGTGGAGAGTGGCGATGGGGCTCCTTAGTTTCCAGCTGAGCCCTGCAGGGAATGGCTTTTAGTCTCGAGACTGGAGGGTCTTCATGCCGGTGGTCTTCCTGACCCACAAGGCCCTGGACAGTCCATAGGCCCATGCCCTTCTAACCCCATTTGTGCCTGAGCCCCACCCCCACACAAGTGCTCCCCAAATGCTCCCTTGGCCCATGTCCCATGAGAGCATGAAAGTCTTCACCCAGAAGTCGAAGGACCTCAGGAAAGCTGTGTGTGGTGGAAAGGACAGAGGAGGGGTCCCTGAGCAGCCCTCCTGTCTCAACAGCCCCCCCTTTCCCATTCCCTCCACCCTCCTCAGTCCCCCAGGTGACAGAGGTACTCCTCTCTGGGTCTTGCCAACCTCCAGTACCCACTGGACGCAAAGGAGATATTTGCTTAGACTTTGCTGACTCCGAGGTGGATGGCCTGGGGCAATTCCCCAGCCCTGCGGTTGGGGAAGGAGGAGGCTGAGCTTTGGCCCCGTCTCTGGGGCAGGAGGAGGCTAGGCTGTGGCCCCACCACTGGGGAAGGAGGAGGCTAGGCTGTGGCCCCACCACTGGGGAAGGAGGAGGCTGGGCTGTGGCCCCACCACTGGGGAAGGAGGAGGCTGGGCTCTGGCCTCATCACTGGGGAAGGAGGAGGCTGGGCTCTGTGCTATGCCTTGGGGTTGGGGAAAGTTGTGCTCTGGCCCTTTCCTAACTCTGATTCAGGTTCATTGTCCCTCTAGGAGAGCTCCAGGCTATTTCCCCATTAGTTCTTTTGAACAGGTCTCATCATGTGATGTGGACACAGCATTGTCTAGTTTTATACCAGGAGAGAGATTCCTTCTCTTGCCTAATTCCTGGCCCTGGCAGTGGCCCTGTCCTTCTGAAACCCCATCTGTCATCTCTGCCTGCCCAGCAATCCTTCCTCCTTCTTTTGGGGCCACCTGCATTTCTCTTTGGGGACACGGCCTGCTTTCATGGTGTCTCGGTAGAACTACTGATAGAGGTGTCCTACCCCTGCACTACCCTGGGCATCCCAGCCCGCCTCTCTGCGGAGCAAAGCTAGAAGAGAAGTGTAAGAGTTAAAGAGGAAAGAAACATGAAACACAGCTTAACAGTTAAACACAGGTTTATTTAAGAAAAAAAATCCGAGAGGGGCTTCTGGGTGATTTTGGTCAGGAGTGCTTTCTCTTACAGACTAAGTATATATTGGTTTTAGGGTGATGGGGCTTATTACAAACTTAGAATGTTTCTGTGTGGGGAGAAGTTTATGATGGGGTCGGAATGTCTGTTACCTTGGGGCTGACATCTTCCTGGCCGGAGGGGGCTTATCTTGGGGCTAGCATATCTCTGGTCAGAGAGGAGTTTGGAATGTTTCTCATCAGAGATGTTATTTGTGGTTTATGGTCATGTTGACCTTAGCCGTTAGGCTGCTGCCCCTTGGATTTAGGTGGTTTTTGATTAACGTGAACTTTAAAATGACAGTGCTTGTCCAAGATGGCGAAACTCCTGCTCTGTCAAGAAGTGGTCAGCACCTCTAGCTCCTGAGCTCCAGTGCCAGGGCCTCTCGTTTTGTGGGCAGACCAGCCTCTCTGCCTTTGACTCTACAGCCTCCTGCACTCCTGCAATGTGCTGTGACCACAGTGCCCTGGCTAAATCCATCACCTTTCCTTCTCTCTCCAGGACAGTTTCATCACAACACATAGGAGGTAGAAAAGAGGTGAAAGTGTGGACACAATACACTCTGTGCCTGCAGTGGCTGTCTCTTCCTCCAAATGCTCCCTCCCTCCAGAGGGCCCATAGGGGCGAGTGTGTGGCCCCAACAGTGTCCTTCCTGGGCACAGAGCCCATGTGGGGCACTGCTCTGCAGGATAGCAGAGAACATGCTTCAGTGAGGCAGAGCCTGTGGCCCCTAGACATGGAGCCAAAGGAGGGGGGGGTTCCCCACAATTGTTTCTGAAGGTTCAGCTGCACTATGATCTCTTCTCAGTTATCACATATGGGGTCCCATTTGACATAGATTGGATGTTTTGTCCCCTCCAAATCTCCTGTTGAAATGGGATCTCTGGTGTTGGAGGTGGAGCCTAGTGGGAGGTGTTTGGGTTATGGTGGGGATGCCTCATGAATGGCTTGGTGCTCTCCTCCTGGTGATGAGTGAGTTCTCTATGAGTTCACATGGGATCTGGTTATTTAAAAGAGGCTGGCATCCCCTCCCTCTCTGTCTTGCTCCCCATCTTACTTTGTGATACACTGGCTCCTGCTTCACCTTCTGCCATGACTAAAAGCTTCCTGAGGCCCCACCAGAAGCCAAGCAGATGCCCGTGCCATGCTTGTATAAATGAAGAATCAAGAGCCAAGTAAAACTCATTTCTTGGCCAGGCATGGTGGCTTATGCCTGTAATCCCAGCACTTTGGGAGGCCGAGGCGGGTGGATCACCTGAGGTCAGGAGTTTGAGACCAGGCTGGCCAACATGGTGAAACCTCGTCTCTACTAAATATACAAAAAAAATTTAGCTGGGTTTGGGTGGTGGGTGCCTGTAATCCCAGTTACTTGGGAGGCTGAGGCAGAAGAATTGCTTGAACCTGGGAGGTGGAGGTTGCAGTGAGCCGAGATCATGCCACTGCACTCCACCCTGGGTGACGGAGTGAGACTATGTCTCAAAAAACAAAACAAAACAAAAACAAAAACAAAAAACAACAACAAAACAAAACAAGATACTTCATTTCTTTATAAATTGCCCAGTCTCAGATATTCCTTTGTAGCAATGCAAATTGACTAACAGGCCATTCCACAAGCCAATAAATTCCCCTTTTGCCTAAATCAGTCACAGTTGGTTTTGATGCTTGCAACCAGAAGCATCTTGAAAATTTTATCTGAAGGAGAGTATTTGATTTCCATTTTTAATAGTATTTGTGAACTGGTTAAACTGAAAACTTTCTCTAGAAATGCTAAACAAAATCTATGTGTCCTTTTTTTAAGGAAATATATATTTAATCATTCTCTTGAACGATCAGAACTCCAAAGCTAGTTTTCTATAACAAAATGTAACACAGACACGGTGGCTCCAAGGGCCAGGAAGGCAGTGGTTAAGACACGAAAAGTGTGGGAAGGGGGCTGGAAACAAAGCATTCTTTTCCATCAAAGCTTCATTCCTCAAGGCCTCAATTCAAACAGTCATTGTCCCTGCTTTCAAAAGTCTCTGTGTGCTTCATGGAAGGTATATGTTTGTTGCCGTAATTTGAACTGTGGCCAGGCAGGGTCTGGAGATCTAAATTCAGAGTAAGAAAACTTGAGGTAGAACTCAGGCAGCTCTCTTACAGAACTTGGCTTAGAGGGTAGAATGAAGGGAAAGGAACTTAGAAGCGCAACAAGCTGAAGATAATCCCATCAGGCATTTCCCACAGGCCTTGTCAACTCTGTTCTCTGAGAGATGTTATCCTGGTGTCCGATAGAGTTTTGGCTCTCTGTGCTGAGGCAGCAGCCAAAGAGACAGAATGCTTATTTGCCAATGACTAATGTGAGGAAGCAGACAGACTTGTTTGTTCCCCTCTTGCTAGGCCCTTTTCTACTCTAAATCAGGGTTTCTTAGCCCTGACACAGTTGACCCTTGGGACTGGGTAATTGTAATGGGGAGACGTCCTGTACATGGTAGGAGGTTGAGCAGCATCCCTGGCCTCTACCCACTAGATGCTAGTAGCACCGTCTCCTCCTCCACTCCCTCATTGTGGCAACCAAAATTGTCTTCAGACATTCCCCCGGGGATGGGGGGCGAAAATCTCCCCAGTTGAGTCCCACTGCTCTAGATGCTATTGAAAACTGAGGTCATAGCTATCTACGCAGGATGGAAAGGAGAAGCCTCAGAGCTTGTGATGACATAATGCCACATAGTCACGGTGAAAGGTCCTTCCCTGGAGCATTCACAGATGAACATCATCTGAGAAATAAACCCGCATTTGTTTGAAAAGATGGTGCTCAGTTTACTTATAAAATCGGTGTCACAGACTGGTTTGTTTATGCTAAAATTATGATCATTTTTCTTATCTTTGGCATTTTTCAGTTGGGAAGAGAAACTGAGGCACCTTTGGAAGCATCATGAAAAGTGAATCACTTGACCCATTACTAAAATGCAGCCGTCCCTGAGTTGCAAAGTGGCAGTCAATTAGCAGCATCTTAGAATATACACTACAGCTTAATTCATGGAATATAAGATGTGTATATATTGGGATAGAGACTTTCTGGGAGCTTTCTTAGAGCAACATTACAGCACATATAACTAAAATTTCAGAGACAAAGAACACGCACTATCCTATCCTCTCACTCCCCAGTTGATAGGTAGGGGGAGGTCCCTGAGATCTGGGGATGCACTTGTCTCCTCGTGCATTTTACTTATTACTCTTGTCTAGTTCAGATGAATTATTTTCCCAACTTCTAATATGTCTTTGAAGATAGATTATTTTTGTTCATATTGGAGCCTTCTGCTTTTGGCTTCTTTTTGTTTCTTATTCTTGTTTGCTCACTCCAGACTTCTAGATATGAATTCACTTCCTCCCAGAAATATAAAACTAGGTCATATCTGGTGGCAAAATAGTTCTGTAGATCCCTGTTGTAACGATGACTTTGCATGCTTTTTTGTGGCCGAGTCACATTATTTTAGCATCAGGTAAGGGGCAAGAAGCAGAAGTGCCCAGCTGATGGCAAAAAAAGAAGAGACACACAGAGAAGACTTTGAGTTCAGCAGCTGTAGGTGACTCCGCCTTTTGATCTCAGATTCTGTCCTTTGATATCCCCTGTTGCTTTGGCAATGTCATTTTCAATCATACAGGAGTATGTGTTGTTGATCGTAACATTGTAGAGCACAGACACAACCTTCATGGCCACATCCTCAGAGTTCAGCCCAAAGGTGGTATTGGAGACTTCTGAGAATTTGGCTCCCTGGTCAACTAGGGATCTTCAGACCACTGTGGGCTGAGAGACCCATAAGGGAGCCTCACATCGCAAGGTCTCTGAGTTGGCATTATAGTCTACTTTCACCTCTGGTATGCTGAAGGCTCCAGTTTTATACTCAAGGTTAGCATTCCCCTTGCCTTTAGAAGTGATGATATAACATTTGTAGGTGCCAGCATCTGTGAGTTGTATGTTTTTCAGCTGCAGAGAGGCATTGCCAACTATCACTTGATCAGCAAGCACTGCTGTCAGGCCTCTGAACATTTCATCCTGCTCTGACAGCTCATCTTTGCCTTCTTTGAACTCATGGACCAAGCCTATAACCCCTTCCTTCAGCCATTGTATCATGATATCAGAAAGTTTGATGTCAAGTTCAAAAGTGCAGCTCAGGATTCCATCCTCCCCAATGTTCCCAGCTGAGGTGAGAGTAGTGACTGTGATGGAGTGTCTCCCTGAAATACGAAAGCCAATGATGAGTGCAATTGCTCCAGCCAGAGTAATGATGATGCTAATTATGCTGTAGAAACTTCATGGCTTTTTCTTTGTTTTCATGAAGACCCAATCTGCGGCTCTTTAGCATATTTCTTTTTCTTTTTTTTTTTTTTTTTGAGACAGAGTCTCACTCTGTCTCCCAGGCTGGAGTGCAGTGGCGCGATCTCTGCTCACTGCAAGCTCCGCCTCCCGGGTTCACGCCATTCTGCTTCAGCCTCCTGAGTAGCTGGGACTACAGGCGCCCGCCACCACGCCCGGCTAATTTTTTTGTATTTTTTAGTAGAGACTGGGTTTCACCGTGTTAGCCAGGATGGTTTTGATCTCCTGACCTCTTGATCCACCTGCCTCGGCCTCCCAAAGTGCTGGGATTATAGGCGTGGGCGAACGCTCCCGGCCTAGCATATTTCTTAAAGAAGAAGGTGGACTGATAAATGATCCCAGGTGAAATTTATATCTATCTGGATTAAATCCTTGTGCTTTTCTGGAGGAATCAGGGAGCACAGAGTCTAGGCTGCAATACCATGCTTCTTGAACTTGGATGTCATACGTGACCTTTTAAAGTCACAGCTTATCTCTCATCACTTAAGGGGAATTTTCAGTGGCCACAAATAAAGGGTAAAAACCAGAGTGGTGAGAAGAACTGCTTTGTGGACCTTGCCAGCTTTAGCAACCAGACTTTTTCTTTATTTTTAAAAATTGAGCAGAAAGTACAGAGAGTTGCCAATACACCCCTCCTCCTCCACAGCTTCCCCTATTATTAGCATCTTGCAGTGGTGTGCTACATTTGTTATAACCAATGAACCAATATTGGTACATTATTAACTAAAGTCTGCAGTTCACATTAGGGTTCATCGTTTGTGTTGTATATTATTTTTTTAAAAATTTTTTGTAGAGATGAGGTCTCACTATGTTGCCCAGGCTGGTCTCGAACTCCTGGGTCAGGTAATCTTCCCACCTTGGCCTGCCAAAGCTTTGGGTTTATAAGCATGAGCCACTGTGCCTGGCTATGTTGTACATTCTATGGGTTTAGACAAATGTATAATGTTGTGTATCCACCATTATAGCATCATATACAACACTTTCATTGTCCTAAAAGTCCTCTGCATTCTGCCTATTCATCTCTCCCTTCCTCCCTCCAAATTCCTGGCAACCACAGATCTTTTTACTGTCTGCATTGTTTTGCCTTTTCCAAAATGTCCCATAGTTGGAATCATACAATAAGTATGTCACTTATGTGTCACTTTAGTGTCTTTTATTTACCAACATGCATTGCATATGAGGTTGCTCCATGTCTTTTCTTGGCTAGATAACTCACTTCTTTTTATCACTGAATGAGATTCCATTGCCTGGATTTGTTTATATATTCATCAATTGAGGGAGCATCTTGATTGCTTTCAGTTTTTGGCTACTAGGAAAAAGCTGCTATCAACATTCCTATGCAGGTTCTTGTGAGGGCATAAATTATCAACTCAATTGAGTAAACAGCAAGGCGTGTGATTGCTGGACCACATGGTGAGACTCTGTTTAGCTTTGGAACAAACAGCCACACGTCCTCCAAGCTGGCTACACCATTTTGCATTCCCTGCAATGAATGAGAGTTCCTGTTGCTCCACATTCCCATCAGCATTTGGTGTTGTGAGTGTTTTGGGTTTTCATCATTGTGATCAGCGTGTAGTGTTATCTCATTATTTTAATCTGAAGTTCCTTAATGACATATGATGTTGAGCATCATTTCATATAATTGTTGCCATCTGGATATCTTCTTTCATAAGTGTCTGTTCAGATCTTTTGCCCACTTAAAAACTGGGTCGCTTGTTTTCTTGTTGAATTTTAAGAGTTCTTTCTATATATTGAATACAAGACCTTTAACAGATCTGTGATTTGCAAATATTTTTTCCCAGTCTGTGTCTTGTCTTTTCATTATCTTAACAATGTGTATCACTGAGCAGATATTTTTAATTTTAATAAAGTCTAACGTCAATTATTTTTGCCATGGATTGTACTTTTGGGGTTGTATCTAAAAAGTCATCACCAAATCCAAGATCATTTAGATTTCTTCCTAAATTATCATCTAGGAGTTTTATAGTTTTGCATTTTACATTTAGGTCTATGATTCATCTTGAGTTATTTTTTGGATAAGGTGTAACGTTATTTTTTTGACTGTGGGTGTTAATTATTCCCACATCATTTGCTGAAAAACTTATCCTGTCTCCAGTAAATTGTCTTTGTTAAGATCAGTTGAATATATTTAGGTAGGTCCACTCCTAGGCTTTCTGTTCTGTTCCATTAACCTATGTGTCTCTTCTTTCATGAATACCATTTTGGCTTTATTACTGTAGCTTTATAGCAAGGCTGGAAATTAGGTAGTGTCAGTCCTCTGGCCTTGTTCTATTTCAGCCAATGCAACTGTGTTGGCTTTTATGAGTCTTTTACCTTCCCACACAAACTTTAGAATTACTTCGTTGATATCCACAAAGCAACTTGCTGGGATTTTGATTGGGATAGTTTTGAATCTATAGATTAAGTTAGGAAGAATTGACATCTTAACAATATTTAGTCTTCATATTCATGAACATGGATATCTCTCCATTTATTTAGATATTTGATTTCTTTCATCAAAGTTTTATAGTTTTCCTCATATAGATTCTGTACACATTTTCTGAGATTTATACCTAAACATTTCATTTAGGTATAAATATTTCATTTATTTGTGCTAATGTAAATGTGTTATATTTTTAATTTGAAATCCCATTTACTCATTGGTGCTATATAAGACAGCACTTAACTTTGCCTATTACTCTTGTATCCTGCCACCTTGCTACGATGGTGTATTAGCTTCAGGAGTTTATTTTCTTGATGCTTTGAAATTTTCTACATAGACAATCATTTCATCTGCAAAGAAAGTTTTATTTCTTCCCTCCCAATTTGTATGCCTTTTCTTTTCTTATTGCATTGACTAGGACGTCCAGTATGATATTGAATAGGAGTGGTGACAGGGGACATTCTTACCTTTTACCCAAAATTAAGGGGACAGCATCTAGTTCCTCACCACTAAGTATGATGTTAGCTGTAGGTTTTTAAAAAATTTATTTTTAATTTTTGTCGGTACATAGTAGATGTATACATTTATGGGTGACATGGTTTAGTTCTCTATCCCCATCCAAATCTCATGTTGAATTGTAATCTCCAGTGTTGAGGAAGGGACCTGGTGGGAGGTGATTGGATCATGGGGGAAGATTTTCCCCTGGCTCTTCTCATGATAGTGAGTGAGTTCTCATGATATCTGATTGTTTAAAGTGTATAGCACTTCCCCTTCACCCTCTCTCTCTCTTTCTCCTGCCACCCTGTGAAGACATACTTGCTTCCCATTCACTCTTCCATCATGATTGTAAGTTTTCTGAGGCCTCTCCAGCCATGCCTTCTACATAGCCTGTGGAACTGCGAGTCAACTAAACCTCTTTTTAAAATAAATTACCCAGTTTCAGGTAGTTCTTTAGAGCAGTGTGATAATGGACTAATACAGAAAATTGGTACCAGAGACGTGGGGCATTGCTATAAAGATACCTGAAAACATGGGAGCAGTTTTCACTTAACATAATGATCTCCACTTCCTATGTCAATTTTTTCTGTAGTGCAGATTAAGTCTGATGTTTCTTTGCTGATTTTCTGTCTGGAAGACCTATCCAATGTTGAAAGTGGGGGGTTGAATTCTCTAACTGTTATTGTACTGGGGCCTATCTCTTTCTTTAGCTCTAATAATATTTTCTTTATATATCTGGGTGCTCCAAAGTTAAGTGCATATATATTTACAATTTTTATATCTTCTTGCTGAACTGACCCCTTTATTACTATGCAGTGAGCTACTTTGTCTTTTCTTATAGTTTTTATCTTGAAATCTATTCTGTCTGATATAAGCATAGCCACTCCTGCTCTTTTTTGTTTCCATTGGCATGCAATATCTTTGTCCATTTCTTTATTTTCAGTCTATGTGTGTCTTTATGGACTAAATGTGTTTCTTGTAGGTCTTGTTTTTTAATTCGTTGAGCCACTCTATATCTTTTTATTAGAGAGTTTTGTCCATTTGCATTCAATGTTATTATTGATAAGTAAGAACTTAGTCCTGCCATTTTGTTGTTTTCTGGTTGTTTTGTGGAGTTGTAGGTTTTTTGTAGATGTTCTTTATCAAGTTGAGAAAGTCTTCCTCTATTCCTAGTTTTCTGAGAGGATTTTTTTCTTTATCTTGAATGGGTGTTAGATTTTGTCATTTTTTCTGCATTTGAAAATATGACAATATGATTTCTTCATTTCTATGTGATAGATTACATTAGCTGATTTTTTTTTTTTTTTGAGACAGAGTCTCGCTCTGTTGCCCAGGCTGGAGTGCAGTGGTGTGATCCTGACTCACCGCAACCTCCGACTTCCAGGTTCAAGCAATTTTCCTGCTTCAGCCTCCTGAGTAGCTGGGATTACAGGCACCTGCCACCATGCCCAGGTAAGTTTTGTATCTTTTTAGTAGAGATGGGGTTTTACCATGTTGGCCAGGCTGGTCTTGAACTCCTGACCTCAAGTGATCCGCCTGCCTTGGCCTCCCAAAGTGTTGGGATTACAGGCATGAGCCACTGCTTCTGGCCACATTGATTGATTTTTAAATGTAGAACCAGGCTTGCATACCTGGGATTAAATCTGTCACCCAAGCTGGAGTACAGTGGCACAGTCATAGCTCTAGTCATAGCTAGGAGTCATGAACTCCTAGGCTCAAAGGATCTTCCTGCCTTTGCCTCCCTAGTAGTGGGACTAAAGGCATACAGCACCATGGCTCGCTATTGAATTTATTTTTATTTTTAGATACAGGGGTCTTTCTATGTTGCCCAGCTGGTCTCTAATTCCTGGCCTTAAGCAATCCTCCCACTTTAACCTCCTGAGTTGCTGGGATTACAAGCGTGAGCCACTGTCCCTGGCATAATTCTTTTTATACACTTTTGGGTTAATTTGCTAATATTTTGATGATGATTTTGGCATCTATGTTCATGAGAGATACTGGTTTGTATTTTTCCTTTCCTGTAATGTCTTTATCTAGTTTTGGTGTTAGTGTAATGTTGGCCTCATAGAATGAGTTAGGAAGAATTCCCTTTGTTTTTATATTTTGGAAGAGACTTTGAGAATTCGTATTATTTTTTCCTTAAATGGTTTGGTGGAAGCAACCAGTGAAATAACCTGGTCTTTAGTGCTTTATTTTTTGAGGGCTATTACTTATTAATTTAATTTCTTTAGTAGATATAGACCTACTTAGAATATCTATTTCTCTTTTTGTGAGTTTTGGTAATTTGTGTCTTTCAGAAAATTGATCCATTTCATCCAGCTTATCAACTGTATACATATATTTGTTTATAATACTTCCTTATTATCTTTTTAATGTTCATGGGATCAGCAGTGATGACCCTTCTTTTATTTACAGTATGAGCAATTTGTATCTCTTTCTTTTTCACTTAGCCAGAATAGAGGTTTACTGATTTTATTGTTCTTTTCAAAGAATCAGCTTTTGGTTTCATTTATTTTTTCTAATGATTTCTTACTTTCCATTTTATTGAATTATTCTCTAATTTTAAAATTTATTTTCTTATATCTACTTTTGATTCAATTTGCCCTTCTTTTTTTCTAATTTCCTAAGTTGGAAGATTGGATGATTGATTTAAGAGCTTCCTTCTTTTCTTTTCTTTTTTTTTTTTTTGGGAGACAGAGTCTTACTCTGTCACCCAGGCTGGAGTGCAATGGTACCATCTTGGCTCACTGCAACCTCTACCTCCTAGGTTCAAGCTATTCTCCTGCCTCAGCCTCCCAAGTAGCTGGGACTACAGGCGTGCACCACCATGCCCAGCTGATTTTTATATTTTTAGTAGAGATGGGGTTTCCCCATGTTGGCCAGACTGGTCTCGAACTCCTGACCTCGGGTGATCTACCCGCCTTGGCCCTTAAAGTGCTGGGATTACAGGCATGAGCCACTGCGCCCGGCCCTTCCTTCTTTTCTAGCAAATGAATTTAATGTTACATATTTTCCTCTAAGCACTGTTTTCACTGCATTCCACACATTTGGTAAGTTGTATTTTTATTTTCATTAAGTTAAAAATACTTTTTAATTTTTCTTGAGACTTCTTCTTTAATTCTTATGTAAAATAGAAGTACATTGCTTAATCTCCATATATTTGGGGATTTTTTTTTCAGCTTCTGGTAGATTTCTGTTTTTGACTTCTAGTTTAATTCCACTGTGCTCTGAGAACATATTTTGGATAATTTCTATTCGTTTAAATTTGTTAAGGTATGTGTTATGGCCTCGAATATGGCCTATTTGATGAATGTTCCATGTGATCTTGAGAAAAATATGTATTCTGCTGTTGTTGGATGAAGTACTCTATAGACGTCAGTTAGATCCAGTGATAAATGGTGCTGTTCCTTACTATACCCTTACTGATTTTATGCCCACTAGATCTATCAATTACTGATAAAGGAGCGTTGAAGTCTCCAACTATTAATGCAGTAAAGAATTTTATATAGCTTATATTTTCCTTGCTGTTCTATCAGTTTTCGCTTCCTGTGTTTTGATACTCTGTTGTTAGGTGCATGCATCTGAAGTATTATGTAAACCAAAAATAAAATTCGAAGGCCCCCCACTTCCTTGCAACCATCTGAATGGGCTCCCTCCTTGGCCAGGGCACTCTAAAATTTACCTCCTACTTGAAATGAAAGACAAGAACCCTCAGGACCCGAAGATGTATGCTCAGCAGTATGGGAAGTATGTACTCAAAGTTCCTCTAAGTGTGTGAGAGGATGAAGAGCATAAACCACTGCAGAATCCTTTCCCCTTTGGCAGACAAAAGACTTGACTATAACGGTAGTTTAGGAATAAAATGTCTCAGCATTTGCCATTTCCTGTCTCTACAGGGAGCTGAACTTAGGATAGTGGCCTTTGTTGTGTCCAGGAAGGGCTGATTTAATGCATGTGGTGGCCAGTGTCTGCGATGGATGGGTCTTCTTCATTGTTGTACCCTCTCCTTTCTGATTTCTCCTTCTCTTCCTCCACTCTTTCATGAGCATTTCTCTGACCGATCTGAGCATGTCCGGTTATTAGTGTGTTAGGGGGAGTGAGCTAGAAGAAGAGTCAGTAATCAGACAAGCATGCTGCA